>NC_000008.11:74677265-75302265 GCF_000001405.40 Homo sapiens | reverse complement strand
CAAACCCCTCACACAGCTTCTGATCCCTGGGACTATATTATTGAATGTAAAAATCATTGGGAGATGTTTATGAAAAGTAGGCTGGGGAAGGTATCAACTCATTTGGTTAGATGCACAGCTAGGCTAGAATTACTTCAAAGGTGTTTGAATATTTAAACTCATCATTGGAGAAGAGAAGAATACAGCCTTTCTTTTTAAAAGAGGGTGAAGTTTTCTAAAACAGCTGATTCTGTTGATTACGTTCTTGAACTAGGGTTAAAATTCCTCACCCTACCCCTAACCCCCAATTTATGTAACACCTGTTCACCAAAACATTCTGTGAAATGCTGAGAAAGTCTCCAGCCTAAGGATTTTAAGGTACAGTTGTTGCACATCTTATTTTGGCACTTGAGTTTGGTGAGAGAATGACCTGATGAATCTTTTGTGCTTGATATTGTAATTTTGCGCTGTTAGCAAAAATGTTACTACTATCAGTCTGCCTTTCACTTCCATAATTAAGTTGCCAAACTCAACGTCATTTTTTTATTTCCTAACCTCGATCTTTCTGTATACATAGTGGTTAAGAGTATGCTTAGGTAGGTATCAGATTTTCTGGCTTTAACACTTCTTACCTGCATAAACTTGGGCAAGTTATTTAATTCTTTGATGCCCCTGTTCTCTTATCTGTAAAATAGGTAAAATAGTATTAGCTCAAGATAATAGCATATAGCTTATGATGATTAAAAATGAGATAACATCACATGTAAGATGCTTGGAAGTGTCTAGATTATAGGAAGAATCTAAAATATTAATTTTTATTATTATTGACCCTCCTTTTACCTCCCAACAATTTCCTAAAACAGTCCAATTCCATCTGAGCCAGATATAATTCAATTTTATAGTAAAGAAATCCCCAACTATTCTAAACGCTCTGTTTCAACATTAAAACCTGAATTTCTGAAGAATTCAGTTTCTCCTGTTTAATCTGTAAGTGGATATATAGCTTACGGTCCATAAGTCTATACTTTTTTTTTCTTTTTTTTTTTTTTTTGAGACAGGGTCTCACTCTGTTGCCCAGGCTGGAGTGCAGTGGAGCAATCTCGGCTCACTGCAAGCTCCGCCTCCCGGGTTCACGCCATTCTCCTGCCTCAGCCTCCTGAGTAGCTGGGACTACAGGCGCCTGCCACCACGCCCGTTTAATTTTTTGTATTTTAGTAAAGATGGGGTTGCACCATGTTAGCCAGGATGGTCTCAATCTCCTGACCTCGTGATCTGCCCACCTCAGCCTCCCAAAGTGCTGGGATTACAGGCGTGAGCCACCGCGCCCGGCCAAGTCTATACTTTTTAGGTTAGGAAAGAATGTTTACATTCTACTTCATTGCTTCCAAAAACATTATTCTACTCCACTCAAATAAAAATTCTTCTTTAAGCTTATGCTATATGCTATTCCACCCTCCGCCTCAACGCTGGTGTCTGCCGGCTTCATGGTCAATCACTGGTTATTGCCCCTGGCTCACAGTTCTCTCACTTACAAATCCCACTATTATCTTGGATGACTTCAATGCCTGTGATTGATCTCTCCAAAAGTCTTGTCTCATGATTTGTTGACCTTCTTAGCATTAACACACCTCAACTCTACTGCAGCCAACCTCACCCGTAGTCATACCTTGAAACTGGTCATTACCAAGAATTACCCAACATTCTTAAATATAAACTCTAATGCTTCACTCTCTAACACATCTTCACTTCCATCAGGCTCCTTAACCTCTCTGTGTTCTTTATATCTTTTACTTTGACCTCAAGGAGATATTTAGTTCACGCATGTCCTCCCTTGTCTTCCCTCCACTCTCCTACCCTCCCATTCCTTCCCTCTCTTCTTCCCTCTCCCTCTTTTTCCTTCCTCTCCCCTCCCCTCTTCTCTCATTTTCTTTTCTTTTACTCTCTCACTCTTTCTTCTCTCTCATCAGTCTCAAATCTTCATTACTTAAACCAGTAGGTGGTTAATGTTTCACTGTCTTGTCTACTAGTTCTACACAAATCTGATAAAATTTTACAATACACCTGACAAAATTCTAACCTTTCATTAGTCCACTTATTCAGTATCTCTTACAGCCAAACTGCCAAGAATTTTTATACAAAATACAGCTTGGATTGGCACCATGATAAAATCATGGTCTTTTGTCTCAACTGGAAACTCAATGATGTCTTATGGAAATTTCATAGATTCTCATAGAGTTCCATCTTCCATTTCTCAAAATGGCCACTTTGGACCTTAATTCCTCTCATTAAAACACACACACACACACACACACACACACACACACACACACACACATATACACATACATATATATCTATACCCTTTTTGACCACTTATCCCCAAGTTCTAAAAATATACAGTGCCACAATCATACTCAGTAGAAAACCTTGCCTTCCAGCCCAATAATCAAATGGAGGCTATCTAAAAGAAATATTTTCAACCATTGTCCCTCTCATTAACAAACTCATCTGCATTGTAATAAATGATTTAACACAAGGATGGGGATTTTGAATATTTACCTGAAGGGATGGATGTTTGTTGCTGAAACTCTGTCACACAACTCTTAGTGTTTCTCTGATCATAGATGAGTGTATCAGCACACCAACTCAAGCTGGGCTAATTAGATGATCTATTCTGAGAATTTGAAATTTAGTTTTAGAGATTTTAGGTGGTCTCTGATGGTTGTTTGAACTGCCATGTAAGACTCAGGAGCCATGTGCACATAAAAAAGCAGGCTATGTGGCATTGAAGCAGAGCTACCAAGGGAAGCAGAAATGAGAAACCCATAGCCCTAGAGAGTGGGATTTTGAATCTTGAAGAGTTTCTGGCTCCTACTTCTAGTCCCTAGTGAGGTGTGTTTCCTGCTCTGAGGTCTGAGGAGACACCTCTAAACATTATATTCTCTCTTTTTGCATAAACTGGTTCAACTGGGCTGCTCATAAATGTAACCAAAAAACTTCTATTTAAGCAAGTGTTCACACCCATTTATCCTTCTTCCCTGCAATTTCTGTGGAATGGTCTCTCTTCTACCATAGGTGAGTCCTTCCATGTTTTGCTCTGAATACCCTCCCTTCTTGCTTTCTTTGACACCTTATACTATTGGTCATCAGTTCTCTCTCCCATGTCTTCAGCCTCACCTGCATCTTGGAATATAAACATCCTCACACTGATGACACCTGGAAAACAATAATACATCTTTCTTGGAACCTTCTCTCATGAGTTGCCAAATCGTCACAAGTACACTAAAAAAACCCTTTCTCCATCCATTGCTAAACTTCTAAGAAAAGCAGTCTAACATCAGAATCCAATTTTTTATCTTCTATTTATGCTTTGCCACCTCAATTTTCTTTCTGTGCTCGATGCCCTCCATTGATAATTTCTTAACTTTTTGGGATACATTATAGCATTTGACATAGTTAACTCCCTCTTTTCTTTTAAAACTAGCTCTTTCCTTCATTTCTGACATGGTACACTCTATACTATACACATTCTTGTTTGTGAAATCAACACTTACTCATCTTATGATACAGAATTGCACATATACAGCCCAGATCTCTCTCTTCTAAGCTCTAGTCACATACATAGATACAAACATGCATATATATGTGCACATATATGTAAACACAAATGCACACATTTATGCATGTATTTAAATATATGCATACATATAAATTGCATGTTTTGTGTGAACGTACACACACACACATATCTTTCCTCTAAATATTTTCTTCAGGTACCTCAAACTCAACATTGCCCAATGTGTTATTCATCGTGTTCATCCACAACCCTCTAGTCCTCCAGAGTTTTCTAGCACCTCACCAAATCACACTGCAATCCACTCAATCACCCAAGACAAGAATCTGATCCATGAGTTTGGGATTGCTGCAAAATCTTCTCCCTGTCTCTAATCTAATTCTCCTCAAGCCCAGAATTCAAACTATTGGCAGAGTGATTTTTCCAAATGTACATTTAGTCACCTGTGCCCATGTCTACTGCTAACAGTGGGGACTTGGAAGAAGAGTATACTTGGGGACTCACCTATTATATATCTAAATAATTAAAAGTGATATGATAAATACATGTAACAAACTGTCATATAGAATCAATTATTTCCTCCTACCTTAATATATTTTCATACCAATAAAGTCATAATATATTGCGAAGCTATATTTTAAGTAACTAATGTTTGGTAAAGTATCACAGATAAATGAATGAATTATTATTGCCCATGTCTAGATTTTCAGATGTTGGGATGATAATATTTGCATATATCTACTTCAGTAACATATATATATTCAGTAATATATATTTTACTCTATATAATTCAAGATACATTCAATTATATATTACTATATATAATTCAGTATTTTTTCAATAAACTTTGTTAAGACTTCATTATAAAAAATTGTAAGTTATATTGTTAATATCAATATTGTCTTGTAATCTATGTTCTATTGAAAACAATACCAAATTAGCAAGCCTTCTTTGAATTGCTGTAGCTCATGAATAGCTTTTTATTAATCGCAATTTGGAGAAACCTTTCTCTGCTGAGGCAGTAGCACTTGCAATTGTAAATAAAATTCTTAAATAAATACTTAAATCAGAAATAAATATTTTAGATTTAAACTTTGAAGTAGGGTCACACATAATAAATTATTATGATTGCAGTAAATATTATAAAACATTTTAATTTCATTATATAAAGTCACTATTAATCACATCACATTTTTTGCCTTCTCTTAAAGTAACATTTAAATGCACACATTAAGCTAAAGACTTGGTGTCACACTTACACTTTTTTATGGTGTATCATGTTTACTTCTTAAATAATTTTATGAGTTATAATTGTTTCATATATATTTGCCCAGGCTGATCTTGAACTCCTGGCTTCAAGTGATCCTCCCGCTTTGGCCTCCCAAAGCGTTGAGATTACAGGGGTGAGCCACCACACCCAGCTTATAAATTATTGAAAAATGCAAAATAATCCTCAGTTTCCATATGTAAGTATTGTGTATACCATGTTATTTTTGAGTGCTTCCATATGTTGAATTGAAATACAACGAGAAGCAAGAAATGGATGCTTGGCACTACTGGAAAGCAATAAAATGGTTTCAAGTATCTATTATATTTTAGATATCTAAGGGGAAAGATTTGACAAGGTGCAAAAATTCATCTTTTTCTCTCATTTAAGTATTTCTGCAGGTCAGATTCTGAACATACTGCAAAATAGTATATATAGTCTACAAATATATAGTCTACAATATATCCAGTGGTACAACCTTATGAGCCTCTATGGCTTTTGGATTCAGCCACATTTTGTTTCAAGAATGTATGGAAAATATGTGCAGAAACATTTCTCTGGAGCCTGAATGTGTTTATTCACAAGAGTATATGTTTAGGATTATGGGTCACACTGTGCCAGCATTGAGAGCCAGCTAGCCAGGGACAGAGGTTAGGGTGAACAGCCTTCCTTATTTGCCTAGGACTAAGGGACAGGCATTCCTGGGATGTAGGATTTTCAGTGCGAAAGCCAGGGAAGTTCCAGGCAAAGTGAAATTATTGCACCAGAGAGTCCACATGTCTTTTAATAAAATTTGTGTACATGTTTGTAAGATGCATAGTTCCAAGTCAGTGGTCCCTTTTGCCCATGTCTTAGGGTGGTACTATGTCATTCATTTGCTTACACTACTTTAATCTTCCCTTGATTACATAATAATAATATCCAAACAGCTAAGACATTAGATAGCATGAAAAAAACACTAAGAACAATACCTAACATAGCAAATTTTAAGTAAATGTTAATCATTATTATCCCACCTATAGTTAAAATCCCACTAATAGTTAAAATCCTACCAATAATTTGTCTGCATAACACACAGTGGGTGATAAATACATGTTTTTGAATGGCCCAGGAGTTTCTGCTCTGTATGGGATTTACAAATTAAAATGGAATAGGGACTGGAGAATCGGTCTGGCTTTAAAATTTTACTTCAGAGCTTCCAGTGATCAGGCCATTGGTGTCCAGAGGATCTGAAAGTATAAATTAGGATTCTCTAAATGATGAGATCCAGGTATTTTCACTTGAAATTTGGAGTATAATTTTAGGGAATTCAGAAACAGTTGTCAGAAGAGTGGACAGCTGTCATTTAAAGCATACATTCTGTAAGTCAGGAACTTAGACTTCAATTTGTGAGGATAAGGAGCCAGTTTTAGGGAGGAGGGCGGAGAAATAAAAGCAGAGTAGAAAGTTGCACTAACATTCACAAGTGTTGATTTTCTACTTTATGCCAGAAACTTTGCTAGAGCTGGACTTTGATCAGACCTCTGGAGCTGAATGAGAACTGTACTACATTCAAAAGGGGTTCAGAGTTGGTGGTGCTGTGACTTGAAGTGCACACACCTATCTTTTCTAACTGGTAATCCTGTTTTCTGGATCTCATTTGCACAAAGGTAGACAAGCCGAGCGGTGTGAGAGTACAACAGATGTCTATGAGTTACTGGATTTGGGGAGTAAGAATCTGCCCTTGGCAGCTAGGTGCGGTGGCTCACATTTGCAATCCCAGCACTTTGGGAGGCCAAGGCAGGCTGATCGCGAGGTCAGGAGATCAAGACCATCCTGGCTAACACAGTGAAACCCCATATCTACTAAAAATACAAAAAATTAGCCGGGTGTGGTGGCATGTGCCTGTAGTTCCAGCTACTCGGGAGGCTGAGGCAGGAGAATGGCTTAAACCCAGGAGGTGGAGGTTGCAGTGAGCCAAGATCGCTCCACTGCACTCCAGCCTGGGTGACAGAGTGAGACTCAGTTTCAAAAAAAAAAAAATAGAATCTGTCCCTTGGCTTTTGCTGTCTGCCTTGGCCACGATTGTCTCTTATATTGTACTGGGCTAAGGATAAGGTGGAAGAGTATCAGTGAACCTCGATGTATAGAGCAGAGACTTTTAAAGTAACTGCATTAGAACTCCAATCTGGGTCTGAATTCTGAATCTTGTGCTTCTACCATTTTAAAACATACCAGGCATCATCATTGAATGAAATAAATTTGTTCCAGATAGTAAAATTAAACTGTGTTTCCACTAAGCCCTTTTCCAACAGTTTTTATTATAAATTTGGTGACATGATTCTACCTGCAGAGAAAGGGGACTATTTCAACATGAACATGTCAAAACAGAATGTAAACAGTTATTTCAGCCTTATGAAATCCCTGTAAGATAGGGCAGGGAGCTATGTATTATTGCCTTTATGTTTCCTGTGTAGAAAGGAAAATGAAGCACACTGGGGTCAATTAATTTGCCAAAGGTCACCTAGCAAGTTGGTGAGACTACCATTCTTCCAATATGCTTTCCACCAGACCATGTTAGACCTTAAAGGTCATGGATACACATTTGTTTCCAAGTCTGCATTGCATTTTGGTGTGTGGGACCGGGTGACTAATGGAGAAATAGTGTTTGGATACTATGTTGTTGAGCTTGGAAGAAACAGCCCTATTTAAGCCAATGACTGAAACTGAGGGAATAACCTGATGGAAGGCTGAATGTTCCACAGCCAAGTCCTGCCTGCCTGTGTCAAGATACATGCAGTTTTACTTCAGCAGTAAAGAGGGAAACATCTGTTACAGTGGAGCTACTCCAATGCAGGGGAGATGAGAGAAACGTTGATTATAACATTGAAAATATCCACCTGATTTCATAAAAATGCACTATTGAACAAGAACAATTTGCTGGGTTATAAAAGCTGTTGGATTAACCAGGTAGCATTGTTGGATGCAAATCTTGCTTTCCACTTTGCACAGTAGATATTTAAATGTCAACAGATGAGTCCTCCAAGTCCCTTTCAGTTCTGTGCTTTCTGGAAATGTTTAATTAGCTCTGTTGACACCCATCAGTCAACCTGCAAATGTTGAAACTTCAAATATAGTAAGCTTACAAGAGGATATTTTATATATATTCGTGCATATATATTTAAATACCCTTATAAATAATTATAATGGATACATCCTTCCTGTTTTTCCATCTTGATCCAAGTCCATTTTTCTAGTCTGCTTGCTTGTATCAGCAGGTAAACTTCTTTTAGGAGAACATCTTTGTTGATCATCCCAAGAACCCTAAATAATTTATCTATGTAAAGTGGTAGAGGTCTTGTGACTGCCACCCATCTCTTTCCCTGCTTGATGTCCTATTGCTCATCTGCGCCTGCTCCCCTGTTTGCCTCATGAGGCCAGGATAGTGAGGACTATGCCTGCACTAATTTAATATGTGTGTTTTGCTACATCCTTCCCCACAACATGATGTTTAATACTGTCAGGAGGCCTGGACTGTTCATGTCCCAGTGTCAGAGTGTGGCACTTGAGCTCCAGTAAAGATTTAGTAAAATGAATCTCCAGCTTCTTCTGAATTAGATCTTCATGGTTACTTTTAGTTAATAAGTTTCAAATAAAATTCTATGACATCTCAGATTTCAAAAAAATGTTCATTTCCACATTAAGAAAATGGATTTCAAACATAAACATAAGTTACTTCTGTATTTTCTTTTTTTTTTTTTTTTTTTTTTTTTTTTGAGACGGAGTCTCGCTCTGTCGCCCAGGCCGGACTGCGGACTGCAGTGGCGCAATCTCGGCTCACTGCAAGCTCCGCTTCCCGGGTTCACGCCATTCTCCTGCCTCAGCCTCCCGAGTAGCTGGGACTACAGGCGCCCGCCACCGCGCCCGGCTAATTTTTTGTATTTTTAGTAGAGACGGGGTTTCACCTTGTTAGCCAGGATGGTCTCGATCTCCTGACCTCATGATCCACCCGCCTCGGCCTCCCAAAGTGCTGGGATTACAGGCGTGAGCCACCGCGCCCGGCCACTTCTGTATTTTCATGTCATTATCCACCTCCACTTTCATAGATGATTGAGAGAATATTTACGGACCCCTTAGTATTTGTGGTCTAACCTGGTAAATTAGACGTTTTACGGAACCTGAAGTCAACTAGTACAATTCATGGAAATGGATTCTGTGTGCACATGAGAAGAAAATTATATTAGATGAAAACATTTTCATTAATGCTTATAGATGATAATGACATATATTGACAGGTCGTTAAGGAAACGAATAAAAACATAGAAACAAATGTTTGCACAAACATGCATGTAAGAATACGCATACATACTGAGGAAAATGAGCTGGGTACCTGGAAGGAGAGATGCTGGCCACCGAATCTGATTCTGTGTAAGGACCAGACCCTTCCCACCAGTAAGGAGCTTTGTCATGCTGTGCTTCTTTTACAAATTAAAAGAGCCCAAAATAAATGTTTTCCTACACAGAAGCATACAACTTATCATGTGCATTCTTTCACAATAGTGGCATAAGCCCATAGGTCTGAAAGAACTGTACAGTAGCAAGTACTGACCTTCTCAGATGTGGTGAGATCTTGTTCCATAAGAAACCAAACGGTAATGGGGTGTCCCAACTAAGGACTCTCTGGACTAAGAGAAGCTGCCTTGATTTTAATTGCATTCTTCATTCTTGGATAAATGAATCTTATTTTAATCTGATAGTCTCCAGAAATGTTGTATACACCAAAATTGAAATGCATGGTTCAACGATTGCAGGTAGGTGGGTAACAAGAGTAAATGAGACAGCACAACAGAATTTCTCTTATCAAGTACTTAACACGATCAAGTTTCTCACACTGCCTGGCATTCATGCTGTAAAATGCTCTGGAAAATCATACTTGCTATCTATGTGTTGCCGATCCATTAATAAATACCAGAAAAAACAACCCCAGAGAAGATCATCAGTTTTAGATCATTAATAAGATATATGCCTTTAGTCTAAACTTAATGTAAATGAAGATAATTCATGTTTTAACTTAGCTGTTTATTTATATATTAAAGACAGGCATATCACTATAGAAACTAATACTTCTATAGATTAATCTCATAAGACATTTTTCCTCTCATCAAAATGATGAAATAACTTTTACTATCATCACTTTATAGATGAGAGAACAAAAAAGTTAACTTATTTGCCATAAATTAGCAGCTATTGAAAGTGAATAAACTGAGACTTATGCTCAGACATACTGATACTATATCTCATATGCTTTCCATTACACTACACATTGATTCTTACATCTCTACTCTCAGCTACACAGGATATGTCCATAATATGTGTTATAGGTGATATAATTTCTGCCAGGAGACAGACACCCAATATAATGGTTTAAAAGACTGGAATTGTTTTCTCCCTTACCTAAAAGTCCCAGCTGGTATCAAAGTTCTGCTTCACAAAGCTGTCAGTGGTCCTCATTTCTCTTTTGTTGTTTCACCACTCTTCCATTCTTGAGTGTTGCTCTTAACTGCATGTCCAAAATGGATTGCCAAAACTTCTGCATTCTAGCTAGCATGGAGAAGAAGGATAAATGGGAAGACACACTCCCTTCCTTTAATGTCACTTTGTGGAAATTTCACACATCAGTTCTCACATTCCACTGGCCACAACTTAGTTACATGGCCACACCTGACTGTAAGACAGGACTAGAAATATGGCCTTCCTCTAGGGACCACATGCCATGGTCAGTAATAAGTTAATAGAAAAAGAAGGAAGAAAGAGATGCAGTCTCGCTACATAATGGGAGATAATTTTAGATTCTTTGAATGCTGCCTTCAGAGTCCTCATTTGTATGTTTAATACTTTTTCCACTAAAAGATCTTAAAACAAAGAAAGGAAATAAGATTTGCAAATTATATTTAAGAATTAAATTATTTTAGGCAATGATTTTAACCAGGCTATTTTTAGTCCCTTGGAGCTTAATAGGTTGTTACCTGCATGTTGCATGAGTTTAATGAACTGAGGGTTATTCACAATATCTATTTTAACTTTCTATACAATGTCTCATTGAAACTTATGTGTATTTAAAATTTAAATAAATAAATTTAGTTCTGCTAAAAGTGAGGACGTGAAAAAGACCAAAAATAATAATGGCCATTTTGTAGTCTACAAGTATGTCATTAAACTGGTGTCAGAGAATGCAGTGAAGTAAAGATGGCTCTTTGTTATTTAATTTGAATATCTAAATGGGCTATACTCTTGGAATATCTCTCAACCATCAGGAAATGTTTATGGTTGGAAAGGAATGCCTTGTCAATGGGCCATAACCAGGTTAACTGGACATGGATTCTTTCTGGATTCCTACATTTTTATTTTCAATGAAAATACAAAGAGGCATCTTGGTGCCAAATAGTAAGACATTTTGCATTCCTCCATTTAAAATTTGTCTTCACAAGGGATTAGAGAAAATAGATTGAATTTTCAGGGAATGCCTTCCCCTGAACCACACTTTTCTGTTTGTCATTTACAGTACTAGTTAGCTTTCTGTGCATATGTATTTTGCTATTGGTGTCAGTCCAATATCTTCCTTCTAAGCATCACCTTACCATCTAACAAAAGTTTTCCGGCACAGACCATGGGCAAGGGTCTGATGAGTAAGTTTCTTTGAGCTCCAGATTGATGTTAAGATTTAAATCAAAATTCTCTTCCAGCTTTTTCCGCTTACAAGTTAGTAGTTATCACAGTTGCATTAGAATGTATATTATTCAATTTCCTTGAATAATTCTTACTTTTTCCTAATACATTTGGCTTAATTCTTTACAGTGTGCTAATATTGGGTATAATTATTACATAGATTGAAAAGTGTAAAGTGGATGCAGGCATCATTTGATCTATAAATCAGACTTTGAATTTAAGGGGATATTATTGGAATGTTTTATTTGAATATAAGTGTATTTGAGGCCATACGTTCTTTTTTAAGCTCACTAGATTTCTAGAATAGCAGGAATTAGAGAGAAGGGTAGCTCGTCTTGGCCTGATCTCTAGTTGGATAGAATAGGGAGAAGATGAAGAAGAAAACAAAACTGTAAGAGAGCCAGGTTTCTAGTATATTTGGAATTTGTGTTTCCAGAATTGTCTAGTTACAGTCTTAGCCACTATGCAAATGTCTATATGCTTGTACACACAAATATTTAAATGTAAACAGAAAACTAAAGCCACTCTTTCCCCACCAAAGTCTATTCTCAGTGCAGCTGCAGAGGGTCAGTTTAAACTTATGTCATTTGTCTCTTCAGAACTCTGCAACAAGCCTGGTTCCACCAGACAAAAAGCAAACTTCTTTAAAATGGCCTAAGAGCTCTCTCTCCCTCTGCCCTACATGCACCCTACTCCCTCTGGACTTTATCTCCTATTCCCTTCCCCTTCAACAACTCAACTCCAGCCATACTCATCACTTTGCTATTTCTTGCACACACACACACCAGGTGCTCTTCCATTTTTAGACCCTTGTTTTAGCTCTTCTTGGCCAAAAAGACCTTTCCTCCAGATGTATTTGCTTATCTGACTCTTCTTCCCCTTCTTGAAGTTTCTGCTCAACTATAACCTTTACACAACATGGCCTTCCCTGACCACCTATTTAATTTACTCCCTACCTAGGCTTCTGACAGCCTCCTTACTTTACCTTTGTCTTTTTAAATAGTATTTGCCATCTCCTAAAGTACTATTGAATTCATCTGTTTATTATGTTCATTGTTTATTATCTGTTTCTTTCTACAATGTAAGCTCCATGAGGATGAGGATATTTGGTTTATCTACTATACATCAAAAAGGCCTTACATAGTGCCTGACACACTGTGGGTACTCAATACAAATGAGTTGATGAATGCAGTGTCAACCTCCTACTCCTAAATACTCAGCTCATTCTCTCTGTGTGTTTTTTCTTTTCTGTCTGTCTCTTTCTCTCTCTCACACACATACATTCACATACGTATTAACTCAAAAGCATAGTAGCTCATTTATTCAATATCTCAGACCCTGATTAAATGGATATATAGCTAAAAGTAGTAAGTGGACATTTAGCTCTTTGTGGCTCCTGTGACGACAGAGAGTCTATTGTAGAAAGAAATGAAGAATAACCAAATAAGAAGCAAAAACTACTTATTCAGCACTTGCTATAGCAAGGGACTTAGCTACCATCACTGGCATTTTAGCAGATTCAAAGGTAGGCAGACAAGTAAGGAAGCTTCATAGAGGATAAAAGGGAAGGTTTCAGATATGCACTGATTGAGCTTTTAGCAGAGAGTAGGTGTAAGCAGGCTAACTAGAAGTCTATATTTGTTAGGAGCACATATTTGGTTTTTTGTGGTTGGGCATAAGTTGAAAGCAGGAATAAAACTTGGAGAAGCTTTCAGTTATTAACTAAGCTCTAGACATTTTGATCCAATTGTTACTGTTCAGCTTCTCGGATTGTTGTTAGAGATAAAAATCTAACTTCCTATAGGTTTAGCTTATAAACAGCAGGCTAGCTTTCTGGGCTGGTTAATGTAGATAATGGATTGATTTCCTGGACTAATTATTGCAGGTTGTGGGTGAGAATCCTATTTTATATATGCTCTGGTCATTGTCCATTTCTATATTTAATCTCTCACTATATACATAACAAATGAACACACAGAGCAGCTTTTAAGGGATGAGTAAGAAGTACAAATCTGTATACCTATTAATAAAATTAAATTAATCCTCTCTAAATAATCATTTCTAACAACTATCATCACTTCTACAAATCTCCTTGACTTCCAGAATCCCAGTGAATTACTTACAGGATAAAAATTACAAGAAAATAATAATCTTTTTTGGAGATAAGTTGCCCAGGTTGAAGTGCAATGGCATGATCATAGCTAACTGAAACCTCAAACTCCTAGGCTCAAGTGATCCTCCCACCTCAGCCTCTCCAGTAGCTAGGACTGCAGGTGCACACTATTATGCCCAGCTAATTTTTGAATTTTTTGTAGAGATGGGGTCTCACTATGTTGCCCAGGCTGGTGTCAAACTTCTGACCTCAAGTAATCCACCCACCTTGGCCTCCCAAAGTGCTGGGATTACAGGTGTGAGCCACTGTGCCTGGTGGCCCCACTGAGATGGTTCTCATTTGATTACAAACATTGGGAAGGGTAAACCACTCAGGTGTATTGGGGGATGACCTGACAATTCATTGATCATATCAGGTACTGGGCTAAGATCAGTATCCATTGCCTTCTGTCATCTATTCTTACTTTGCTCCAATCTGGTTTCCACACTGCAAATCTCAGTTCATGCTAAATGTGGAGTAAAGACAGATGTTATTGAAATATTGCCTCATTCAGTCACCTCCATCACTTCTTATGGTTCTGAAGGTAAAGGATAAAATTGTTAAGATGGGCAACAAGACCCCCAAAGCCTTGGCCTTCCCTATCTCCTCAGCTTCTCCTCATCCCCAAACCCTTATTTTGTGTTCCAATCTGATAATAACCCCTTGGATTTGGCGACTTTACCTCTCACCACACAGCTCTCCCTGCACTTTCTGTCTTCCTAAAGCTTTTCCTCCAGCTCACCTTGCGATCATTTTGAGTAGTTAACTTAGTCTCATGTTTTAGATGTCAGAATCTTCAACTCTTTTGCTAGTTTTATACCTCCCTGTTTATTACCATCATAGCATCATGTATCTGAGTCCTAACAGTTACTAGCTTTTATCAAGAATCAAGCAAATAAATATTCTGTCTGTCTTCTCCACTAAACTGAAGCTTTGGAAAGAAGGGGACCATTTATTTTATTTTATTTTTTTTTATTTATTTATTTATTTATTTATTTATTTATTTGAGACAAAGTCTTGCTCTGTCGCCCAGGCTGGAGTGCAGTGGCGGGATCTCTGCTCACTGCAAGCTCTGCCTCCTGGGTTCACACCATTCTCCAGCCTCAGCCTCCTAAGTAGCTGGGACTGCAGGCGACCACCACCAAGCCTGACTAATTTTTCGTATTTTCAGTAGAGATGGAGTTTCACCTTGTTAGCCAGGATGGTCTCGATCTCCTGACCTCATGATCCTCCTGCCTCGGCCTCCCAAACTGCTAGGATTACAGGCGTGAGTCACCACGCCCAGCCAAAGGGGACCATTTTATTTTTAACACTATTTTGATCTCAGTGCCTAGCACAGTGTCTGACATGTAACAAATACTCAATAAATATTTCTTGAATGAAGGAATCAATGAATAAGTGCTAAGAATATACAAATGAGTAAAGTAAGGCGAGGACTGTGAAGGAGTTCCTGGTCTAGACAGGAGTTAAAATAAATCAGATATAAATAGTAGATAATAATCCACAAAATACTGTGACATAATCATAGCAGAGGGAACAATTAACTGCAGGAATTTAAGGCTATCTTAAAGAAGGTGTTTCTTGACTGGGGCTTAGAATAGGATTTTTTAGTTGTTGAGGAAGAAGTGAAAATCAGTTATACTCTCTTATCTTTGATCCCTGTAACATAGATCTTAAATATAAAACTTTTATTTGTAACTTTTGGATCATCAACTATTCCTGATTCTTCATAATAGTGTTTCTCTGTTCATTGAGCATGATGATTTATGGCTGAGTCATAAACTATATAAAATATTTTGAAAAGAAATAATGACATTTCTTTTGAAAAGGATTAGCTGCTATTTCTTTTACTATTCTTAGTGTAAATTAAAAGGGGAAAAAGGAAAAACATCTTTCCATAATGCTAATAAATCAAGTTATTCAAAGCTATTCTTTGATGGATAGAGAAATATTGAACTAGGCAAAGTGAGATCCGAAAACTAAGAAAGTTTGGTTATGAGACAGACCTTTATTCGGAGGTTTTTCTTACAGCACTCAGTTATCCTTGCTGTTCTCAGTTCAAGAGGAAAAAACAACACCCTGAAAGTCGCTGCTGAAAATATAAACTTTACTTATTTCCAAAATATTTCCTCTTTGAAGAACCGTGTATTTGAAAGCCAACAGTCTCATGTTCTTAAACAGTCTTGCCTTCTCCAGTGGCAGCGTTTGTGACAAAGATTCTCTTCTCTCAAATGTTAATTGTTCTAGTAAATATGTCAAGAGCTTTTAGGAAGCCAGGCATTTTAGACAACTCTATACACAACACAAGTCTTTATCTAACACATCGTATCTTTTTTTATATGGTTAGAGCAAATATAATAAAAGAAGATTTGTTTCAGAGGAAAAACAAGAAAAAAAATACCTTAGCTTCACAATGATGATCTAGTCCTATTTACTGTATATTGAGATACCTAAAGACAAATAAAATTTAATGAGTTTCTTTTAAACCTTTATTTAAAGATAAATTGTAATATATGCCTAATCACATCTGAATATTCAGCAATTTTTCCAGTTCTACCTGATTAAATTTCAGCTGGGTCTGAAACAGAGAGAGTAGTATTTGCAACCTAACTGGAAAAATTGGGGGCAGATATTGAAACACGGTTAACTGCACAGAACTGACATTTGAAGTTCTTTCATAATTTTATATCTCTAATATTATTGTCATGGAAACGGGAGAAGAGATGATGACAATGCTTTTTCAGCAACAGAGCCCAGCAGTCCTCTATCTGATGTGCTAATCAAGAGCTAATACATTGAAAATCTTAAGTCTCATGGGTTTGTGCTGCTTTTTTTAATTTAATGCTTAGTCAAATATTAACCTTAAACAGCTTTTGATATGCTGATAAATGTCACTCGATTTGTAGGGAGGGAAAAAAAAACAAAAAACCTTGCCATTTAATAGCAATATAAATAAGTTTTGACTAGGCTATATATTGAACAAGAGACAATATACTGCAAAAGTTTTCTATAGGGATATATTTTTGAATGGAAGATTAATGCTCTCTGTCTTGCTTTTTAGATGTCTCAGAGCCAACATAGGAGGCTATGTGTGTACTCTCTTATTCCCTGTGAAAATGATCTATTGATGTTTTGTAAGGAAGATTATTTATGTCTTTGCATATATCTGTGTATGTATATACACACAAAGACATATATATATAGATAAACTTAGGCATATATATTTATCTATAAAGAGTTTTGTCACATTCATCTCAACTGTATGAATCGTTGATTGGGCACTCAGTGAAACAAAGTAGAATTGTGAATTTTTACATTTCACCATAGCTTCTGTTATTGACTTGTGGAAAGGTTACTTTCAAAAACATAGCCTTATTTATCCAAACAGGTGCCATTCTTGGTGTTTAATTTCTATGACTTATGTGTGTATTTGCTGAATATCTGAGCTTTTTTTTTTTAAGAAACTCATTGAGTAAGAACATCCACACAGCTGGTTGACTTAAGTTGACTTCCTGCCCATGTCCACAGTCAAACTTTTCTTACAGTTCTTTATGATCATTAGGTGTTACCATAGGGCAATTTACTGCTATTATTCCTAGCATGCCATGTTCTACATTAGTACAAAGTTATTGAAATACTATTTTTTGCTGTTTTGGTTAATAACTTTCTCCAGTGCTCTTCTTGTTAATTTCTCATTTTTTCTTTTCTTCTTTTATGTTTTATAGTGCCCACTATGAAATTACAGGCAGAGTGAAATTACTGGGGGATAATTTTCTTTTTCTTAGAAATGTATTTGATCTATTACCTTCAAAGAATGATGGGAATAATCAAGAAGACAGGGCAAACTATTTCCTTAGCTGTAATGATATGCTTATTGTGATTCACTACAGCTTTTTTTATTATCATACATTGAGTATATATTTTATGGTATTCTTTAAAATTAATTTTTAAATCAAAATTAAATGTGCACATTTAAAATGTGTCAAAACACAATAGTTTAAAAAGCAATCATTTTAAAAGGCTTATCATGAAAAATATAAGTTCCTGTCCTCCTTCTCTCTCTAATTCCCACTCTGTAGATGATTTTACCTCTTTCAGACTGATGGCATTTACATGCATCTCAACATTGTGCATATAATCTTGTTCCTTGATTGTTTTTGATTTTAGGCACTATTTTTTTATTTTATTTTATTATTATTATACTTTAAGTTTTAGGGTACATGTGCACAATGTGCAGGTTTCTTACATATGTATACATGTGCCATGTTGGTGTGCTGCACCCATAAACTCATCATTTAGCATTAAGTATATCTCCTAATGCTATCCCTCCCCCCTCCCCCCTCCCCCCACCCCACAACAGTCCCCGGAGTGTGATGTTCCCCTTCCTGTGTCCATGTGTTCTCATTGTTCAATTCCCACCTATGAGTGAGAATATGCGGTGTTTGTTTTTTGTCCTTGCGATAGTTTGCTGAGAATGATGGCTTCCAGTTTCATCCATGTCCCTACAAAGGACACGAACTCATCATTTTTTATGGCTGCATAGTATTCCATGGTGTATATGCGCCACAATTTCTTAATCCAGTCTATCGTTGTTGGACATTTGGGTTGGTTCCAAGTCTTTGCTATTGTGAATAGTGCCGCAATAAAAATACATGTGCATGTGTCTTTATAGCAGCATGATTTGTAATCCTTTGGGTATATACCCAGTAATGGGATGGCTGGGTCAAAGGGTATTTTTAGTTCTACATCCCTGAGGAATCGCGACACTGACTTCCACAATGGTTGAACTAGTTTACAGTCCCACCAACAGTGTAAAAGTGTTCATATTTCTCCACATCCTCTCCAGCACCTGTTGTTTCCTGACTTTTTAATGATCGCCATTCTAACTGGTGTGAGATGGTATCTCATTGTGGTTTTCATTTGCATTTCTCTGATGGCCAGTGATGATGAGCATTTTTTCATGTGTCTTCTGGCTGCATAAATGTCTTCTTTTGAGAAGTGTCTGTTCATATCCTTCGCCCACTTGTTGATGGGGTTGTTTGTTTTTTTCTTGTAAATTTGTTTCAGTTCATTGTAGATTCTGAATATTAGCCCTTTGTCAGATGAGTAGGTTGTGAAAATTTTCTCCCATTCGGTAGGTTGCCTGTTCACTCTGATGGTAGTTTCTTTTGCTGTGCAGAAGCTCTTTAGTTTAATTAGATCCCATTTGTCAGTTTTGGCTTTTGTTGCCATTGCTTTTGGTGTTTTAGACATGAAGTCCTTGCCCATGCCTATGTCCTGAATGGTATTGCCTAGGTTTTCTTCTAGGGTTTTTCTGGTTTTAGGTCTAACATTTAAGTCTTTAATCCATCTTAAATTAATTTTTGTGTAAGGTGTAAGGAAGGTATCCAGTTTCAGCTTTCTCCATATGGCTAGCCAGTTTTCCCAGCACCATTTATTAAATAGAGAATCCTTTCCCCATTGCTTGTTTTTCTCAGGTTTGCCAAAGATCAGATGGCTGTAGATATGCGGCATTATTTCTGAGGGCTCTGTTCTGTTCCATTGATCTATATCTCTGTTTTGGTACCAGTACCATGCTGTTTTGGTTACTGTAGCCTTGTAGTATAGTTTGAAGTCAGGTAGTGTGATGCCTCCAGCTTTGTTCTTTTGGCTTAGGATTGACTTGGTGATGCGGGCTCTTTTTTGGTTCCATATGAACTTTAAAGTAGTTTTTTCCAATTCTGTGAAGAAAGTCATTGGTAGCTTGATGGGGATGGCATTGAATCTATAAATTACCTTGGGCAGTATGGCCATTTTCACGATATTGATTCTTCCTACCCATGAGCATGGAATGTTCTTCCATTTGTTTGTATCCTCTTTTATTTCCTTGAGCAGTGGTTTGTAGTTCTCCTTGAAGAGGTCCTTCACATCCCTTGTAAGTTGGATTCCTAGGTATTTTATTCTCTTTGAAGCAATTGTGAATGGGAGTTCACTCATGATTTGGCTCTCTGTTTGTCTGTTGTTGATGTATAAGAATGCTTGTGATTTTTGTACATTGATTTTGTATCCTGAGACTTTGCTGAAGTTGCTTATCAGCTTAAGGAGATTTTGGGCTGAGACAATGGGGTTTTCTAGATATACAATCATGTCGTCTGCAAACAGGGACAATTTGACTTCCTCTTTTCCTAATTGAATACCCTTTATTTCCTTCTCCTGCCTAATTGCCCTGGCCAGAACTTCCAACACTATGTTGAATAGGAGTGGTGAGAGAGGGCATCCCTGTCTTGTGCCAGTTTTCAAAGGGAATGCTTCCAGTTTTTGCCCATTCAGTATGATATTGGCTGTGGGTTTGTCATAGATAGCTCTTATTATTTTGAAATACGTCCCATCAATACCTAATTTATTGAGAGTTTTTAGCATGAAGGGTTGTTGAATTTTATCAAAGGATTTTTCTGCATCTATTGAGATAATCATGTGGTTTTTGTCTTTGGCTCTGTTTATATGCTGGATTACATTTATTGATTTGCATATATTGAACCAGCCTTGCATCCCAGGGATGAAGCCCACTTGATTATGGTGAATAAGCTTTTTGATGTGCTGCTGGATTCGTTTTGCCAGAATTTTATTGAGGATTTTTGCATCAGTGTTCATCAAGGATATTGGTCTAAAATTCTCTTTTTTGGTTGTGTCTCTGCCAGGCTTTGGTATCAGAATGATGCTGGCCTCATAAAATGAGTTAGGGAGGATTCCCTCTTTTTCTATTGATTGGAATAGTTTCAGAAGGAATGGTACCAGTTCCTCCTTGTACCTCTGGTAGAATTCGGCTGTGAATCCATCTGGTCCTGGACTCTTTTTGGTTGGTAAGCTATTGATTATTGCCACAATTTCAGATCCTGTTATTGGTCTATTCAGAGATTCAACTTCTTCCTGGTTTAGTCTTGGGAGAGTGTATGTGTCGAGGAATTTATCCATTTCTTCTAGATTTTCTAGTTTATTTGCGTAGAGGTGTTTGTAGTATTCTCTGATGGTAGTTTGTGTTTCTGTGGGATTGTTGGTGGTATCCCCTTTATCATTTTTTATTGCGTCTATTTGATTCTTCTCCCTTTTTTTCTTTATTAGTCTTGCTAGCGGTCTATCAATTTTGTTGATCCTTTCAAAAAACCAGCTCCTGGATTCATTAATTTTTTGAAGGGTTTTTTGTGTCTCTATTTCCTTCAGTTCTGCTCTGGTTTTAGTTATTTCTTGCCTTCTGCTAGCTTTTGAATGTGTTTGCTCTTGCTTTTCTAGTTCTTTTAATTGTGATGTTAGGGTGTCAATTTTGGATCTTTCCTGCTTTCTCTTGTGGGCATTTAGTGCTATAAATTTCCCTCTACACACTGCTTTGAATGCATCCCAGAGATTCTGGTATGTTGTGTCTTTGTTCTCATTGGTTTCAAAGAACATCTTTATTTCTGCCTTCATTTCGTTATGTACCCAGTAGTCATTCAGGAGCAGGTTGTTCAGTTTCCATGTAGTTGAGCGGTTTTGAGTGAGATTCTTAATCCTGAGTTCTAGTTTGATTGCACTGTGGTCTGAGAGATAGTTTGTTATAATTTCTGTTCTTTTACATTTGCTGAGGAGAGCTTTACTTCCAATATGTGGTCAGTTTTGGAATAGGTGTGGTGTGGTGCTGAAAAAAAATGTATATTCTGTTGATTTGGGGTGGAGAGTTCTGTAGATGTCTATTAGGTCCACTTGGTGCAGAGCTGAGTTCAATTCCTGGGTATCCTTGTTGACTTTCTGTCTCGTTGATCTGTCTAATGTTGACAGTGGGGTGTTAAAGTCTCCCATTATTAATGTGTGGGAGTCTAAGTCTCTTTGTAGGTCACTCAGGACTTGCTTTATGAATCTGGGTGCTCCTGTATTGGGTGCATATATATTTAGGATAGTTAGCTCTTCTTGTTGAATTGATCCCTTTACCATTATGTAATGGCCTTCTTTGTCTCTTTTGATCTTTGTTGGTTTAAAGTCTGTTTTATCAGAGACTAGGATTGCAACCCCTGCCTTTTTTTGTTTTCCATTTGCTTGGTAGATCTTCCTCCATCCTTTTATTTTGAGCCTATGTGTGTCTCTGCACGTGAGATGGGTTTCCTGAATACAGCATACTGATGGGTCTTGACTCTTTATCCAATTTGCCAGTCTGTGTCTTTTAATTGGAGCATTTAGTCCATTTACATTTAAAGTTAATATTGTTATGTGTGAATTTGATCCTGTCATTATGATGCCAGCTGGTCATTTTGCTCGTTAGTTGATGCAGTTTCTTCCTAGTCTCTATGGTCTTTACATTTTGGCATGATTTTGCAGTGGCTGGTACCGGTAGTTCCTTTCCATGTTTAGCGCTTCCTTCAGGAGCTCTTTTAGGGCAGGCCTGGTGGTGACAAAATCTCTCAGCATTTGCTTGTCTGTAAAGGATTTTATTTCTCCTTTGCTTATGAAGCTTAGTTTGGCTGGATATGAAATTCTGGGTTGAAAATTCTTTTCTTTAAGAATGTTGAATATTGGCCCCCACTCTCTTCTGGCTTGTAGGGTTTCTGCCGAGAGATCCGCTGTTAGTCTGATGGGCTTCCCTTTGTGGGTAACCCGACCTTTCTCTCTGGCTGCCCTTAACATTTTTTCCTTCATTTCAACTTTGGTGAATCTGACAATTATGTGTCTTGGAGTTGCTCTTCTTGAGGAGTATCTTTGTGGTGTTCTCTGTATTTCCTGAATCTGAACGTTGGCCTGCCTTGCTAGATTGGGGAAGTTCTCCTGGATAATATCCTGCAGAGTGTTTTCCAACTTGGTTCCATTCTCTCCATCACTTTCAGGTACACCAATCAGACGTAGATTTGGTCTTTTCACATAGTCCCATATTTCTTGGAGGCTTTGCTCATTTCTTTTTATTCTTTTTTCTCTAAACTTCCCTTCTGGCTTCATTTCATTCATTTCATCTTCCATTGCTGATACCCTTTCTTCCAGTTGATCGCATCGGCTCCTGAGGCTTCTGCATTCTTCACGTAGTTCTCGAGCCTTGGTTTTCAGCTCCATCAGCTCCTTTAAGCACTTCTCTATATTGGTTATTCTAGTTATACATTCTTCTAAATTTTTTTCAAAGTTTTCAACTTCTTTGCCTTTGGTTTGAATGTCCTCCCGTAGCTCAGAGTAATTTGATCGTCTGAAGCCTTCTTCTCTCAGCTCGTCAAAGTCTTTCTCCATCCAGCTTTGTTCGGTTGCTGGTGAGGAACTGCGTTCCTTTGGAGGAGGAGAGGCACTCTGCTTTTTAGAGTTTCCAGTTTTTCTGTTCTGTTTTTTCCCCATCTTTGTGGTTTTATCTACTTTTGGTCTTTGATGATGGTGATGTACAGATGGGTTTTTGGTGTGGATGTCCTTTCTGTTTGTTAGTTTTCCTTCTAACAGACAGGACCCTCAGCTGCAGGTCTGTTGGAATACCCTGCCGTGTGAGGTGTCAGTGTGCCCCTGCTGGGGGGTGCCTCCCAGTTAGGCTGCTCAGGGGTCAGGGGTCAGGGACCCACTTGAGGAGGCAGTCTGCCCGTTCTCAGATCTCCAGCTGTGGGCTGGGAGAACCACTGCTCTCTTCAAAGCTGTCAGACAGGGACATTTAAGTCGGCAAAGGTTACTGCTGTCTTTTTGTTTGTCTGTGCCCTGCCCCCAGAAGTGGAGCCTACAGAGGCAGGCAGGCCTCCTTGAGCTGTGGTGGGCTCCACCCAGTTGGAGCTTCCTGGCTGCTTTGTTTACCTAATCAAGCCTGGGCAATGGCGGGCGCCCCTCCCCCAGCCTCGCTGCCGCCTTGCAGTTTGATCTCAGACTGCTGTGCTAGCAATCAGCGAGATTCCGTGGGCGTAGGACCCTCTGAGCCAGGTGTGGGATATAGTCTCGTGGTGCGCTGTTTTTTAAGCCCGTCGGAAAAGCGCAGTATTCGGGTGGGAGTGACCCGATTTTCCAGGTGCCGTCTGTCACCCCTTTCTTTGACTCGGAAAGGGAACTCCCTGACCCCTTGCACTTCCCAAGTGAGGCAATGCCTCGCCCTGCTTCGGCTCGCGCATGGTGCGCGCACCCACTGACCTGCGCCCACTGTCTGGCACTCCCTAGTGAGATGAAGCCGGTACCTCAGATGGAAATGCGGAAATCACCGTCTTCTGTGTCGCTCAGGCTGGGAGCTGTAGACCGGAGCTGTTCCTATTCGGCCATCTTGGCTCCTCTCCCTCTTTAAAGTGGTATGTTTTAACTACTCCGTTTTTTATTTTGTGGCTACCTGTTGTATTTTTTTTATTTGAGGTTACCATGAGGCTTGAAATAATATCTCATAACTCATTATTTCAAATTGATGAATACTTAACACTGATTGCATAAACTAACAAAGAAGCAAAAAGAAAACTAAAAAAACTTTACACTTTAACTTCATCATCCCACATTTTAACTTTTTGTTGTTTCTATTTACATCTCATTGTACTGCTTATGTCTTGAGAAGTTGTTGTACTTATTATTTTTCATAGGTTTATTTTTTAGTCTGTCTATAAATGGTGTGAGTAGTTTACAAACCACAATAACAGTGTTTTAATATTTTGTGTTTTTCTGTGTACTTACTACTAGTAGTGATTTTTTTACCTTCAGATGATTTCTTATTGCTCATTAATGTCCTTTTCTTTCAGACTGAAGAACTTTAGCGTTTCTCGTAGGACAGGCCTGGTGTTGATGAAACGTTTCAGCTTTAGTTTGTCTGGGAAAGTCTGTATTTCTTATTCATGTTTCAAGAATATTTTCCCTGGATATACTATTCTACAAGAAGAGTTATTTTTTTTTCTTTTGAACTTCAAATATGTCTTGCCACTCTCTCCCAGCTTGTAGGGTTTTCACTGAGAAGTCTGCTGCCAGATGTATTGGAACTCCTTTGTATATTATTTGTTCCTTTTCTCTTGCTGCTTTGTGGATCCTTTCTTTATCCTTGACCTTTGGGATATTGATCATTAAAAGTTTTGAGGTAGTCCTATTTTGGTTAAATCTGCTTCTATAACTTTCTTGTACTTGAATATTGATATCTTTTTCTAAGTTTGGAAAGTTTTCTGTTATTATCCCTTTGAATAAACTTTCTATTCAGATCTCTGTCTCTACCTCCTCTTGAAGGCCAGTAACTCTTAGGATTGCCCTTTTGAGGCTATTTTCTAGATTTTGTAGGCATGCTTTTGGTTTTTGTCTCCACTGTGCATTTTCAAATAGCCTGCCTTTAAGCTCACTAATTCTTTCTCCTGCTTGATCATTTATGCTGTTAAGAGACTATGATGCACTCTTCAGTATGTCAACTGCATTTTGCAGCTCTATAATTTTTGCTTGATTCTTTTAAATTATTTCAATCTTTTTCTTAACTTTATCTGATAGAATTTTGAATTCCTTCTCTTTGATATCTTGGATTTTGTTGAGTTTTCTCAAAACAGCTATTCTGAATTCTCTGAGTTCTCTGAGACACATATCTCTGTCTCTTTCAGATTGCTCACTGATGCCTTATCTAGTTCTCTTGGTGAGGTCATGTTTTCCTGGATGGTCTTGGTGTTTGTGGATGTTCATCAATGTCAGGGCATTGAGAAGTTAGGTATGTATTGTAGTCTTCATAGTCTGGGCTTATTTTTTACCTGTCATTCTTGCAAAGGCTTTTCAGGTATTTGAAAGGGCTTGAGTGTTGTGATCTGAGTTTTTGGTCACTGCAGCCATATTGGCTTTAGGGGATACTCCAAGACCAGTAATGCTGGCTCTGGCAGACTTCTAGAGGTACCACCTTGGTGGTCTTAGGTAAGATCCAGGAAAATTCCTTGCATTACCCGTACTTTACCCCAAACAAAGAGAGTCTCTCTCGCCCTGTGCTGATGTGCCTGGAGTTGTAGTGTGGGTGACACAAGCATCCTTATGACCACCACCACTGGTACTGTTCTGGGTCAGACCTGAAGCCAGCATAGCACTGGGTCTTACCCAAGGCCCCCAGTGACCACTGCTAGGCTACCACCTATGTTCACTCAAGAAATGACTAAGGGCTCTACAATCAGCAAGTGGCAAGTCCAGCCAGACTTATGCCCTTTCCTTCAGGGCAGGAAGTTCCCCTGGCCCTGGAAAGGTCTGGAGATGCCATCTGGAAGCCAGGGCCTTGAGTTAAAAGCCCTAGAAATCCACCTGGTGCTTTATTCTACTGTGGCTGAGCTGTCCTCCATGCCACAAGACAAAGTCCTTCCCACTCTTCCCTCCCCTTTCCTCAAGCAGAGGAGTCTCTCCCTATGGTCACTGTTGCCTAAGACCCATGAAGAGTATTACTTGGCTATTGATGCTGTTCACTCAAGATCCAAGGATATTTTTAGTCAGCTTGTGGTAAATGCTGCCAGTTCTGAGCTCTTTCTTCATGGAAGTAGGCTCCCCTCTGGCCCAGGGCAGGTCCAGAAATGCCATCTAAAAGCCAAGGCCTGGAATGCGGACCCCAGGAGCCAACTTGATGCTCTACCCTATTGTGGTTAAGTTGGTATCCAAGCCGCAAGGCAACATCCCCTTTACTCTTTTTTCTCAGTTCCTCAAATAGAGAGTATCTCTCTCATAGATGTCTCTGAATTCCTAGTAGTCATTCCTGCAGCTAGGAATGTGCTAGTTCACACCTGAATTCAGCCCAGCTCTGAGTCTCATCCAAGGCCCACAGCAAGTACTGCATGATTATCACTGCTGATTACGCAGCGCTCTTTAGTCAGCAGTTGAATTTTTCTACGACTGGGTCCTTCCTATCAAGGGAACAGCTTCCCTTCTGGACCAAGGTGTGTTGTGAGATGTTGTCCAGGAGCTAGGGCCTGGATTGGAAGCCTCAGGACTCTTTGCCTGGTGCCCTATTCTACTGTTGATGCACTGGTATCCATGTTTCAAGACAAAGTCCTCTTTACTCTTCCCTCTCCTCTCCTCTCCTCAAGTAGAGGGAAAGAGTCTCTCCCAGAGCTGTGGCTGTACTGTCTGGGATTGGGGAGAGGAGTGACAAAAGCACTTTCTTGACCACCCCTGCTGATATCTCACTAGGTTGCACTCTGCTTCCCACCCTGGAGTCCACTGGCTTCCAGCCCAGCAGAGTACCAGTACTTTCCCAGGAATTGCAGTCCTTGTGGCCTAGACTGCCTTTCAAGTTTATTTAGGATCTTAGAACATTTTAGTCCATGGTAACAGGGCTTGCTGGAACTCAGATTCCGACCACTGGGATGAACAACTTGCCTCTGGCTAGAGCTGGTCTAAATGCTCCCTCTACAGGCACTAGCTGAGTTCTGCCTAGTGTTGCTTTCTTCTGTGACAAGGCAGCAGTAAGTTTCAATGCAAAGTCACACAATCACTGCTCTCTCCCTCCCCCAGGTGCACAGATTCTCTCTTCACATCATGTGGCTGCTGCCAAGGTATAGGAGAGGGGTGGTGTAGAGAATTCAAGACTGTCTTTCCTACCATCATCAATGCTTCTTTCCTTAGTTAAAACTAAGTGTTTAAACTGGGTACTGTGGTTGCTCTCCTAAATTGTGGTTCTTATAAAGCGGTATTTTTGTATGTGTGGATAGTTGTTTAATTTGGTGTTCCTGTCAAGGGTACAATCACTGGAGGCTTCTATTTGACCATCTTGCTCTGCCTCCTACCCACTGTTCTTTTTTAATGTGAGCATTTCCAACTGTAAATTAATCTCTGAGTAGGTTTCTTTTGCTGAATTCCAAAAGTTTCAGTAGATTGTATTTTTGCTTTTATTCCACTCTAAATATTTTCTAATTTACCTTGTAATTTCTTCTTTGACCCATTGGCCTTTTCGTAGTGTGTTATTTAATATTTACATATTTATGAATTTCTCATTTTTTTCTATTACTTATTTCTAGTTTCGTGCCATTGTGTTTGGAGATTTTTCAGATGATTTTAATCTTTTAAAATGTATTGGCCGGGCGCGGTGGCTAATGCCTGTAATCCCAGCACTTTGGGAGGCCGAGGCGGGCAGATCACGAGGTCAGGAGATCGAGACCATCCTGGCTAACATGGTGAAACCCCGTTTCTACTAAAAATACAAAAAAAAAAAAAAATAGCCGGGCATAGCGGCGGGCGCCTGTAGTCCTAGCTACTCAGGAGGCTGAGGTGGGAGAATGGCGTGAACCCAGGAGGCGGAGCTTGCAGCAAGCCGAAATCACGCCACTGCACTCCAGCCTGGGTGACAGAGCAAGACTCTGTCTCAAAAAAAAAAAAAAAAAAAGTATTGAGACTTGTTTTGTGGCCTAAAATTTGGTGTACCTTGTAGACTGTTCCGTGTGCAGTTAAGAAGGAGTATTGCGTTGTTGAATGCAGTGTTCTGTATATGATGTCTGTTAGAAGTAATTGTTGTATAGTGTTTAAGCTGTCATTAAAACAAATCTTCAATCTACTTGTTTCTTCCATTATTGAAAGTGTGGCATTGAAATCTCTATTCTTTCAGAATCTTCTATTCCTCCTTTCAGTTGTCAAGTTATGTTCCATGTATGTTGGAGCTCTTTACATACATAAGTGTGTGTGTGTGTATATAATTGTTACATATTCTTGATTGGTTGGTCCTTTTATCAATGTATAATGTCCTCTGGGTCTTTTAACAATCTTTTACATAAAGTCTACTTGGGCCTATAGCCATACCAGCTCTCTTTTGGTTACTATTTGCATGGAATATATTTTTATGTTACAATATATTCTTTTCAACCTGTTTGTGTCTTTGTATATTAGTTAAGTCTATTGTAGACATCACATGGATGGACCTGTATTTGTATCCATTATTACAATCTCTATCTTTTAAATGGAGCGTTTAACCTATTTATAGGTCAAGAAATTACTGATAAGAGCTTCCGCATTTTCCTATTTTTTTCTATGTTAGATTTGGTAAACATCGTGATTACTTTTAGCACCTTAAACTTATAACTACCTACTTTGAAATTATATTAACTTTGCTTCAATGGCATACAAAATTCTGCTTCTATACATTTTCATTCCTCCTCCTTACATTATTATTTTCTCAAATTGCCTCATTATATTTTGTGTGCCTATTAAGTTTGTAGTTATTGTTTTACACATTTGTCTTCTTTTTTTTATTATACTTTAAGTTCTGGAGTACACGTGCAGAATGTGCAGTTTTGTTATACAGGTATACACGTGCCCTGGTGGTTTGCTGCACTCATCAATCCATCACCTACATTGGGCATTTCGCCTAATGCTGTCTCTCCTCCAGCCCCTCACCTCCTGACAGGCACCGGTGTGCAATGTTCCCCTCCCTGTGTCCATGTGTTCTCACTGTTCAACTCCCACTTATGAGTGAGAATGTGTGGTGTTTGGTTTTGTTCTCTTCTGTTAGTTTGCTGTGAATGATAGTTTCCAGCTTCATCCATGTCCCTGCAAAGGACATGAACTCATCCTTTTTTATGGTTGCATAATATTCCATGGTGTATATGTGCCACATTTTCTTTATTCAGTCTATCACTAATGGACATTTGGGTTGGTTCCAAGTCTTTGCTATTGTGAATAGTGCTGCAATAAACATACGTATGCATATGTCTTTATAGTAGAATGATTTATAATCCTTTGGGCATATGCCCAGTAATGGGATTGCTGGGTCAAATGGTATTTCTAGTTCTAGATCCTTGAGGAATTGCCACACTGTCTTCCACAATGGTTGAACTAATTTACACTCCCACTAATGGTGTAAAATCATTCCTATTTCTCCACATCCTCTCCAGCATCTGTTGTTTCCTGACTTTTTAATGATCGCCATTCTAACTGATATGAGATGATATCTGATTGTGGTTTTGATTTGCATTTCTCTAATGACCAGTGATGATGAGCATTTTTTCATATGTTTGTTGGGTGCATAAATGGAAAACACTCTTCAGGATATTATCCAGGAGAGCTTCCCCAACCTAGCAAGACAGGCCAACATTCAAATTCAGGAAATACAGAGAACACCACAAAGATACTCCTTGAGAAGAGCAACCCCAAGATGCATTTATCTTTTAAATCATATGAGATAAAAAGAGGAAGAAGTACAAGTAAAAATACAATAATACTCACTTTTATATTTACATAAGTTGTTATGTTTACTTGTGTTATTTTTCCATATGCCTTGCTTCAAGTTATTATCTAATATATTTTAATTTATCCTGAAGAATTCTCTTTAGCATTTTTTTGCAGGGCAGGTCTACTAGCAATAATCTCCTCTAGTTCTTCTTTTTCTGGAATTGTTTTAATTCTTTTCTTAATTTTGAAGGATAGTTATAGCAGAAACATAATTCTTGATTGACAGCTTTTTTGTTTCTTTCAGCATAGTAAATATGTCATTCTACTGTTTTCTGGTGCCCATATTTTCTTATGATAAATGAACTGTTAATTTTGAGGATCCCCTTGTATGTGATGATTTGCTTTTCATCTGATGCTTTCAAGATTCTCTTACTGTCTTTGTATTTTCACAGTTTGATTATAATGTGTCTCTATGTAGATGTCTCTGAGTTTTTTCTATTTGGAATGTGTTGAGCTTCCTGGATGTATAGATTTATGTCTTTCATCAAATTTGAGAAGTTTTCAGATATTATGTCTTCAAATTTTCTTTTTTTTTTTTTTCTCATTTTCTTCAAGGACTCTCACTATACCTATGTTAGTATGCTTTATGGTGCTCCACACCTAGGCTCTGTTTATTTTTCTTCATTTGTTTTTCTTCTGAGACTTCAGACCGAATTGCTTAATTGATATCTTCAAATTTGCTGGATCTTTTTGCTGCCTATTTAAGTCTACTGCCTTCTTTTAGCTCTTTGTCAATGGTTGCCTTTAGCTGTTTGAACATATTTAAGACAGTTGATTTAAGTCTTTGTCTAGGAAGTCCAGTGTCTGTGTTTCCTCAGAGACAGCTTTTGTTAATTTCTCTTTTTTTTCACGTGACTGGGTCATACTTTTTTTTTCTTGGCTTGCCTCATAATGTTTTGTTAAAAACTGGATGTTTTAAATATTGTGATATAGTAACTCTAAATCAGATTCTCCCATGTTCAAGATTTTTCATTTGCTTGCTGTGAGGTTATAGTGAATTTTGTAAACTACTTCTGAAAATATTGCGTTCTTTGTGATGTGTGGTCTCTGATATCTTTTTTTTTTTTTTTTTGAGATGGTCTCTGATATCTTTCGCCTTTACCTTCATTGTCAGCCATTGATTTGACAGAGATTTCTTTAGTGTCTAGAGCTGAAAACAAGCAAACAAAAAACAAGCACAGAAGAAGAAGGAGAGGTAAGGAAAGAAAAGAAAATTTTCTCCAGTCATTGCTTATCTCTGATCATCCAAAGCACTACACTTCTAAGCCTTTCCTCCCAGGCTTTCAATATGACCATTGTTTGCCACAAATGTTATTTTATGCACCACACAGAGTAAGTCATTCATTTTTCTTTCAGTGTTTTTGAAGAACATGTTTTTAGGCACCTCTTTGCCCTGAGACAGTTTTGAGTTCGGTAAAACAAATGTAAGTTCCTTCATTGCATCAATATTTCAGGAATCCACAGACAAGTAAGCCAAAACAGACAAACACAATTCCTTGGGAACAACTTTCACTCTGCGACTTTTAAAACCTGGTAACTGCATCAAGAATGTGGGCTGCTATTTTAAAGACTGTGGCATCATGGGGAATTTGGTGGAGTACAAATAAGTTAATTGCCCAAATCCTTTTCTATTTTGTGTTAGTGTCCTTTCTTCAAGTTAAACATTCACTTGTTTGCTATAAACCTTTGACTACCTTTCAGAGTTCCTATAAGATTGATTCTGACAGATTTGCCAATTTTTCAGTGTTTCTAGGAACGGACTAACCCCTGGTTTGTCCCTACTGTGTCATTTTTGCTTACTCTTGCCATGTTCTATACCCTACCTTGGTAAATATTTTATACTTAAATTTGCAAAGCTCATAAGATATGGAAATCTCTAAATTGTTAAAATAAAAACCCTTGGGCAACTTGCAAAAACAAATACAAATTATTCTAGAAAAATGCACCTTTCACTTTAGTTGCACCAAGTTACTACACATAAAGCACACAATTTATGTGTTATTACACATAAAGCACACTGAAGATAAGCACACAATTTAAAATAAACACATGAAGAAAAATTTATTGTAAAAAAGATTCAGAAAACTAAACTACAACATTTAGATAATTATAATCTTAAAAAATTAACATATTGTTTGAGAATGAGAATGTTTTAAACTTTGATTCACATAATTACATTAATTACACAGGGCTAGATGATTGATAAGATTCATGAGACTCCAAAGATTATACTCATGAAAGGCTTTAAACAAAGCTAAATATGCTGGTATAGCAGTAGGAGAGAAGCACAGGCAAACATCAGAGAGATCTGAGGCTTCCCAGTGAAATATCAAAGGCCTCCTAGGATTCTTTCTCAGTCAGACTGGGAACAGTGGGATTCACGTTTTATTGTTCTTCATTATGTTGCTTAAATGCCTCCATGACTACTCATCTCATGTAACCAAGAAACCACTTCCAAAGACCAAATGTGCATGTTCAATTTCTGGTTCCAGTTTTTTTTTTATGAATGTATAAGGTGGTGTTGTTTTGTTTGTTTGTTTTTGATGGCCTTCAACCTGTCCCATTTGGAATTTTCTTCTTCACAAAATATTTATAATGTAGCACTAAGGTATCTCTTATGTTCCAATTCTGAACCATACTTCTAGTTCATTTGTTATTATCCAAAAATCTGTTAAAATTCATCACAACCAGGATACATTGAACAAATATGCCTTGGGCTTTTTATAGTCTGATGAGTTGGTGGAGCAGCTGGAGTATGTATTCCCTTTAGCAATCTATTAAGATTTAGTAGTCATGTCATCTATCATCTCTTTTTTCATAATGTTTCATAATGTTTTCATTAGCCATCTGAACAATTTCACCCTGTTTAATTGTTCCAATGATTTTTGTATCCCTTTTATTCGTAACATTCTTTTTTTTCTGAATATTTCTAACTTTTTTCCGTCATTCAACCCATTAGGAGGAGTTGAGCCCCGATCTGCAACAGCCTTCCTCACATGCTTTCACCCTTCTATCAGGAGAGTCACACAACAATCCCAAGCATGCTAAGCCCCATTTATCACATCAATCATTCCTTGGGTAAAAGGCCTAAATTTGGAACAGTTTATCATTATGTAATCTAACTGAAGGTGCCTGCAATTTCAACATTTCAACACCTTGAGAAGCATTCAATTTATCATAATAAGGGTAGAGTTGAACTACTCCCAATTTCAAGGTATTTCTACATAACCCTGCCTTCAGCCAGTTCAACAGATTAAGACTTCCACATTTCTGCAAAAGGTGCATTTTCTGAACTCTTTGAATGTTCCCAAGCTCCAGGTTTCGGATATCTCTTGATCTTCACTCCCTTCACTACACACTCAAAGCCTTCATAGTCTTATCAGTGATTATCAGTTTGGCAGAGTGACATTCTGATCAAAAGAAACACCTGTACTACCCCCTGCTTTTTATCATGTCCCTTAGAATTATAGACAGAATCTGTGGTGGTTACTTGTCTTGGCAGACCAGAAGCCTCATACTTCTCTTAGTTACTCTCATTTTTGCCAAAGCAGCCAAAAGCAGCCAAAGCACAGAATTCTTGGCTGACTTCCCTTCTGTCTGAGTTTCTTTTTAAATCCATTTTGCTATTTCCCTCAGTTCCAGTTCTGTCCACCTCCAGGTTGATATGTTTTTCCTGTTTCACTGGTCACAGCATCATTCAAATGTATGCTAGCTTGGGAATCAAAGGTCCTTCATACCCTATTTCTTCATTTTCCTTTCTTTCAAGTAGAACTTTAACCATTATTTAATCTTAAAGCCAAGGGCCACTGCAAGTATCCTGCTCAGAGTACCAACTGCAGCAATTATAAAAGGTCAGACCACTGAAAATACTCCTGAGACTCCACAAGGTTTACTTATATCAGCCTTTAATAAAGAAAAAGAATATAATACAGGAGGAGCTAGAAAGCACAAACAACAGACAGAATGGAGATTTCTAGGCACAATTCTAGACTCTTTTCTCAGTCACATAGCACAGGCTTCATCTGTGGATCATGAACCACCAAGATATATGTGAGAAATCATGATTTGACAGAGCCAATGCTCAAGTTTACTGGATGGGTCTTTTATATTCCACTGGTCATAGAATTAAAATGAGACTGAGAAACCAGGTGAGCTGGATGCAAACCATTAATCTATACATTTTTAATAAACAGAGTAGACAAACTGGTACAAGATACTTCCAGGCAAGTGTAGAACTTTAAACAACATATTATAAATCACTAGCTAATATATTTATTTTATATCTTGATTTAAGGTCAGAATCAGAGTATCCCTGGAGACAAAAATAGAACTATCACAGAGCAGCACAAATTAACCCTATCACTAGACAATGATTAAAAAAAACAAAGAATAAAAACAGCAGAAAGGAACAGTAAAACACAAGCATATTTGAAAATAAATACAATATGTAGAGTGATAGATGAAGTCTTTGTAATTAAAAACTACAGATTAGGAATTACTGAAAAAATAGAGAAATGGAAAATAAAGATATGAAAAATACTCAGAAATCAGTGTAGAAACATAAGAAAAATGAAAAATGAAGTTAAAAGTCATGAAAGATACAAACTTGGAATATATGCTCTTAAAATTAATAAAAGTTACAATAGAGACAGTAATACAAAAAGGATATTTGAAATAACTTTCTATGACAGTTTACAGCTATATATTATAATATTCAATAAGTGAAATTAACTTAAACAATATAAATAAAAATAATATGACATTTTAAACATAACAAGAAAATTGCACAATAGAAAACATAACAAGAAAATTGCACAATAGGAAAAAAAAGATCTTAAACCCAAAATGAAAGGAGAAAGATTACCTCTAAAAAGTAACAAAGAAGGCAATAAGACACTACATTAAAATATATTATATTATATAGATTTTTAAATGATATATAAAATAAAATAATTTTCAATTGGGAATTCTATATATTTCTAAATTATTGATAATATTGAGGACAAAATCAAGACCTTTACAGATAAACTAGGACTCAGATAGTTTATACACAAGGTCTTTTAAGAGAGCAATACTATGTGATATATTTTAGGGAAAAAGAAAATTTAATTCAGAGGAAATGATATGCAAGAAGAAATTATAGGAATAGATTCTGATTCCTCAAAATGGATAAATTTAAATCAGCCTTTACTGCAAGAATAATAATGTGTAACTTGGAAAATAATAAAATTATGGAACTGAAATCGTGGCAAAAAAACTAGTGACGTAGAAAGAGTAATTTATGTTAATGCATTGTTTGGGAGGAAAGTAGAAATAGCGATTAACTTTAGATTTTGCTTAGTCATGTACGCATGTCAAATTCAAAGAATAGAAACTGAAAGATAGGGTAAATAACTTCCAAATTGAACAAGAAAATAATATGTTACACTTATATAGTGCCAATCTCTATGCTAATTTTCTTATTTACATAATTAGTTGTCTCTGCAAATATATGTGGAAGGTATCTCTTTTTATGATTAACCAAGATCACATATTGAGGATTAGTTGGCAGTGCTGTGATTTAAGCTTAGGTAATATGGTTCCAAAGTCTGCGTGCTGAACTGTACACTATCCTGTGGCCCTGAGAAGGAAAAGAGGTCATAAAGAAATAAATAGGAAAGGGAAATAGAACTTAATAAGAGAACATGATGAACAATAATAAAAAGCTTTGTTAATCCAATAGCAGACTGGGAGAAAAGAAGCAAGAATATATTATAGAAATAATTCAAATATATTAGAAAATGCAACAACTATAAAAAGATTATTTCTCTTTTAAAAAAGAGGTTGGTGTTTGAATTACACAAAAATTCAGCTCTTTGATATTATAAGAGACACTCTCAAAATATAAGGACATAGAATACTTAAAAATGAAAAAATAAAAGGTGTAATCATTGAAAAAGTAATTGATAAACTGAACATCATTAATATTAAAAATTTCTGCTTTGTGATAGACACTGCCAAGAGAATGTGAAGACATGTCACAGATTGGGAGAAAATATCTGTAAAAGACATACCTGATAAAGGACTATTATCTAAAAAGTAGAAAGAACTCTTAAAACTTAGCAATGAGGAAATAACCCAATTAAAAAAAATGAACCAAAGACCTTAACAGACACCAAAAGAAGATACACAGAAGGCAAATAGCATATGAGCAAATGCTTACACCTGTAATCCTAACACTCTGGGAGGCTGAGGTAGGAGGATTGCTTGAGGGCAGGAGTTCAAGATCAGCCTGGGCAACACAACAAGACCCCTCTCTCTACAAAAGAATAAAAATAAAAATAAAATTAGCCAGGCATCACATTTTTAGCTTTCAAAAATTGGTACAATATGATGTATAACTTATATTTTGTTGACTTAGCAACCATGATTCTAACATTTATCTATGTTGATACATGAGGATATAGTTCATTATTTTAACTACTGCTTAATATTCCATTGTTTGACTGTACCACAATTTGTTAATCCATCCTTCAGCCAATAGGCATTTGGGTTATTTCAAGGTTTTTGGTATTATAAATAATACTGCAATTAATACTCTGCATACGTATGTCTGTATGTCTCCTGTGCACATGCATGAGAGTTTCTCAGAGTATACTAACAAGAGGAATTACTAGTGGGCCACACAGACTTTTCTCCTGATGTCCACACGTTTGTGTGAAAGTTTCCTAACTGTAGCTTAGAGAGAGAGAGATAAGAAATGAAGATGGTCAGAGAGACACAATATTGCTGACTTCGAATGCCATTAATTCATTCCTTTTTGTGGCAGACTAATATTCCATCAGATATATATCACAGTTCTTTATCCACTCATTGATTGATGGGCATTTGGGTTGGTTCCGCATTTTTACAATTGTGAATTGTGCTGCTATAACCATGCGTGTGAAAGTATGTTTTTGTAAAATGACTTATTTTCCTCTGGGTGGATACCCAGTAGTGGAATTGCTGGATCAAATGGTAGTTTTATTTTTAGTTCTTTAAAGAATCTCCACACAGCTTTACATAGTGGTTGTACTAGTTTACATTCCCACCAGCAGTGTAGAAGTGTTCCCTGATCACCGCATCCATGCCAACATCTACTCTTTTTTGATTTTTTGATTATCGCCATTCTTGTCAGAGTAAGGTGGTATTGCATTGTGGCTTTAATTTGCATTTCCCTGATCATTAGTGATGTTGAGCATTTTTTTTCATATGTTTGTTGGCCATTTGTATATCTTCTTTTGAAAATTGTCTACTCATGTCCTTAGCCCACTTTTTAATGGGATTGTTTGTTTTCTTCTTGCTGATCTGCTTGAGTTCATTGTAGCTTCTGGATATTTGTCCTTTGTTTGACTTATAGATTGTGAAGAATTTCTCCCACTCTGTGGGTTGTCTGTTTACTCTGCTGACTGTTCCTTCTGCCGTGCAAAAGCTCTTTAGTTTAATTAAGTCCCAGCTATGTATCTTTGTTTTTATTGCATTTGCTTTTGGGTTCTTGGTCATGAAATCCTTGCCTGGAAAGGTTTTACAATGTTATCTTCTAGAATTTTTATAATTTCAGATTAAGTAGTTAATCCACCCTAAGTTGATTTTTGTGTAAGGTGAGAGACGAAGATCCAATTTTATTCCTTACTTGGACTAGCCAATTATCCCAGCACCAGTTGTTGAAAGAGTGTCCATTCCCCACTTTAGGTTTTTGTTTGCTTTGTCAAAGATCAGTAAGCTATAAGTATTTGAGTTTATTTCTGGGCTCTCTATTCCTTTCCATTGGTCTATGTGCCTATTTTTATACCATTACCATGCTGTTTTGGTGACTATGGCCCTACAGTATAGTCTGAAATCAGGTAATCAGTGATGCCTCCAGATTTGCTCTTGTTGCTTAGTCTTGCTTTGGCTATGTGGGCTCTTTTTTTGGTTCCATGTGAATTTTAGAATTGGTTTTTTAGTTTTATGAAAAATGATGGTGGTATTTTGATGGGAGTTGCATTGAATTTGTAGATTGCTTTTGGCAGTATGGTCGTTTTTACAATGTTGATTCTACCCATCCATGAGCATGGGATGTGTTTCCATTTGTTTGTGTCATCTATGATTTCTTTCAGCAGTGTTTTGCAGTTTTCCTTGTAGAGATCTTTCACTTTCTTGGTTAGGTATATTCCTAAGTATTTTATTTATTTATTTATTTAGAGACAGAGTCTCACTCTGTTGCCCACGCTGGAGTGCAGTGGCATGATCTTGGCTCACTGCAACCTCCACTTCCCGGGTTCAGGCAATTCTTCTGCTTCAGCCTTCTGAGTAGCTGGGACTACAGGCACATGCCACCATGCTCAGCTAATTTTTTGTATTTTAGTAGAGACAGGGTTTCACCATGTTGCCCAGGCTGGTCGCCAACACCTGAGTCACCTTGGCCTCCCAAAGTGCTGGGATTACAGGCATAAGCCACTGTGCCCAGACTGTTTATTTATTTATTTATTTTTGCAGCTGTATTAATCAGGGTTCTCTAGAGGGACAGAACAGGATACACACACACACACACACACATATATATATACACACACACATATATATATACACACACACACATATATATGGGAGTTTAATATATATACACACACATATATATATACACACACATATATATGTGTGAGTTTAATATATACACATGCTCGCGCGCACACACACACACACACACACACACACACACACATATATATATATATAGGAGTTTAATCAGTATTAACTCACAGGATCACAAGGTCCCACAATAGGCTGTCTGCAAGCTAAGGAGTAAGGAGAACCAGTCCAAGTCCCAAAACTGAAGAACTTGGAGTCTGTTGTTTGAGGTCAGGAAACATCCAGCATGGGGAAAAGGTATAGGCTGGGAGGCTAGGCCAGTCTCTCTACTCACATTTTTCTTTCTGCTTATATTCCTGCCCACCCAGATTAAGGGTGGGTCTGCCTTTCCCAGCCCACTGAATCAAATGTTAATCTCCTTTGGCAACACCCTCATAGACACATCCAGGATCAATACTTTGTGTCCTTCAATCCAATCAAGTTGACACTCAGTATTAACCATCATACTAGCTATTGTAAAAGGGGTTGAGTTCTTGATTTGATTCTGTGCTTGGTTGCTGTTGGTGTATAGAAAACCTACTGATTGGTGTACATTAATTTTGTATCCGGAAACTTTGCTGAATTCTTTTATCAGTTTTAGGAGCTTTTTGGAAAAGATTTTAGGGTTTACAAGGTAGACAATCATATTATCAGTAGACAGCGACAGTTTGACTCCCTCTTTACCAATTTGAATGCCTTTTATTTCTTTCTCTTGTTTCATTGCTCTGGCTAGGACTTTCAGTACTATGTTGGTGAGAGTGGGCATCCTTGTCTTGTTCCAGTTGTCAGAGGGAAAGCTTTCAACCTTTCCCCACCCAGTATTTTGTCAGCTGTGGGTTTGTCATAGATGGCTTTTATTACATTGAGGTATGTCCCTTGTATGCTGATTTTGCTGAGAGTTTAAATCATAAAGGGATGCTGGATTTTTGTCAAATGTATTTTCTGCATCTATTGAGATATCATGTGATTTTTGTTTTTAATTCTGCTTATGTGGTGTATCACATTTATTGACTTGCATATGTTAAACCATCCCTGCATCCCTGGTATGAAACCCACTTGATCATGGTGGATTATCTTTTTGATATGTTGTTGGATTTGGTTAGCTAGTATTTTGTTAAGGATTTTAGCATCTATTTTCATCAGGGATATTGGTCTGTAGTTTTCTTTTTTAGTTTTGTCCTTTCTTGGTTTTGATATTAGGGTGATACTGGCTTCATAGAATGATTTAGGGAGGCTTCCCTCTTTCTTTATCTTGTGGAATATTGTCAATAGTGTCAGTACCAATTCTTTGCATGTCTGGTAGAATTCTGCTGTGAATCCATCTGGTCCTGGATTTTTTTTGTTTTTGGTAATTTTTTAGTTACCATTTCAATCTCTCTGCTTGTTATTGGCCTGTTCGGGGTATCCAATTCTTCATGATTTAAGCCAGGAGGATTGTATATTTCCAGGAATTTATTAATCTCTTCTAGGTTTTCTGATTTATCCACGTAATGGTGTTCATAGTAGCCTTGAATGGTCTCTTGTATTTCTGTAGTGTCAGTGGTAATATCTTTCATTACATTTCTTATTGAGCTTATTTCGATTTTCTCTCTTCTTTTCTTGGTTAACTTTGCTAATGGTCTATCGGTTTTGTTTATCTTTTCAAAGAGTCAGTTTTTGTTTCACTTACCTTTTGTATTGTTTTTATCTTTTTGTTTTAATTTCATTTAGTTCTGCTCTGATCTTGGTTATTATTTTTCTTCTGCAGGATTTGGGTTTGGTTTGTTTTTGTTTCTCTAGTTCCTTGACCCAGTGATCATTCAGGATCAGGTTATTTAATTTCCATGTATTTGCAGGGTTTTGAAGATTCCTTTTGGAGCTGATTTCCTGTTTGATTCCACTGTGGTTGGAGAGAGTGCTTGATACAATTTCAATTTTCTTAAATTCATTGAGGCTTGTTTTGTGGCCTATCATATGGCCTATCTTGGAGAAAGTTCCAGGTACTTTTGAATATAATGTATATCGTGCAGTTTTTTGATGGAATGTTCTGTAGATATCTCTTCAGTCCCTTTGTTCCAAGGTATAATTTAAATCCATTGTTTCTTTGTTGACTTTCTGTCTTGATAAGCTGTCTAGTGATGTTAGTGGAGTATTAAAGTCCCCCACTATTATTTTGATGCTGTCTATCTCATTTCTTAGGTTTATTAATACTTGTTTCATAAATTTGGGAGCTCCAGTGTTAGGTGCATATATGTTTAGGATTGTGATATTTTCCTGTTGGACAAGGCCTTTACCATTATCTAATGTCCCTCTTTGTCTTTTTTAACTGCTGTTGCTTTAAAGTTTGTTTTGTCTCATATAAGAACAGCTACCCCTGCCCATTTTTGGTGTCTATTTGCATGAAATATCTTTTTCCACCCCTTTACCTTAAGTTTGTGTGAGTCCTTATGTGATAGGTGAGTCTCTTGAAAGTAGCAGATAGTTCGTTGGTGAATTCTTATCCATTCTGTAGTCCTGTATCTTTAAAGTGGAGAATTTAGGCCATTTACATTCAATGTTAGTATTGAGATGTGAGGTACCCTTCCATGTTGCCTGTGTAACTTGATTTTTTGTTTTATGGTTTTATTTTTTAAATTGTATTTTTTTGTAGGTCCTGTGAGATTTATGCTTTAAAGAGATTCTGTTTCGATGTGTTTCCAGGATTTGTTTAAAGATTAGGCCTCCTTTTAGCAGTTCTTTTAGTGGTGGCTTGGTAGTGGCGAATTGTCTCAGCATCTGTTTGTCTGAAAAAGACTGTATTGTCCCTTCATATATGAAGCATAGTTTTGCTGGATACAAAATTCCTGGCTGATAATTGTTTTGTTTGAGGAGGCTGAAGATAGGGCCATAATCCCTTCTAGCTTGTAAGGTCTGTGCTGAGAAATCTGCTGTTAATCTGATAGGTTTCCCTTTATAAGTTACCTGGTGCTTTTTCCTCACAACTCGTAAGTTTTTTTTCCTTCTTCTTAACTTTAGATAACTTGATGACAATGTGCCCAGGCTATGATCTTTTTGTTATGAATTTCCAAGGTGTTCTTTGTGCTTCTTGTATTTGGATGTCTAGGTCTCTATCCAGGCCAGGGTAGTTTTCCTTGATTACTCCCCTAAATATGTTTTCCAAATGTATAGATTTTTCTTTATCCTCAGGAATGCCTATTATTCCTAGGTTTGGTTGTTTAACATAATCTCAGACTTCTTGGATGCTTTGTTAGTATTTTCTTACACTTTTTTCTTTGTCTTTGTTGGATTTGGTTAATTCAAAGACCTTGTCTTCGAGCTCTGAATTTCTTTCTTCTACTTGTTCAATTCTATTGCTGAGACTTTCCAGAGCATTTTGCATTTCTATAAGTGTGTTCATTGTTTTCTGAAGTTTTGATTGTTTTTTGTCTATGCTATTTCATTGAATATTTCTCCCTTCACTTTTTGTATCATTTTCTTGATTTCCTTACATTATGCTTCACCTTTCTCTGGTGCCTCCCTGATTAGCTTAATAACTAACCTTCTGAATTCTTTTTCAGGAAAATCAGGGATTTCTTCTTGGTTTGGATCCATTGCTGGTGAGCTAGTGTGATTTTTGGGAGGTATTAAAGAGCCTTGTTTTGTCATATTATCAGAGTTGGTTTTCTGATTCCATCTCATTTGGGTAGGCTCTGTCAGAGGGAAGGTCTAGGGCTGAAGGCTGTTGTTCAGATTCTTTTGTCCTATGGGGTGTTTCCTTGATGTAGTCCTCCCACACTTTTTCTATAGCAGTGGCTTCTTGAGAACTGAGCTGTAGTGATTATTATCTCTCTTCTGGATCTAGCCACCCAACAAGTCTACCAGGCTCTGGGCTGCTACTGGAGGTTGTCTGCACAGAGTCTTGTGATGGCAACCATCTGTGGTTCTCTCAGCCATAGATACCAGCACCTGTTCCAGTGGAGGTGGCAGGGGGGTGAAATGGACTCTGTGAGAGTCTTAACTTTGGTGGCTTAATGCAGTATTTTTGCACTGGTTGACCTCCTGCCAGCAGGTGGTGCTTTCCAGAGAGCATCAGCTGTGGTAGTATGGAGAGGAACAGGCTGTAGGTGGGGCCCTAGAACTCCCAAGAGTATATGCCCTTTGTCTTCAGTTACCAGGGTGGGTAGTGAAGGACCACTGGGTGGGGGCAGGACTAGGCGTATCTGAGCTCAGACTCTCCTTGGGTGGGTCTTGCTGCAGCTGCTGTGGGGAATGAGGATGAGGTTCCCAGATCAATGGAATTATGATCCTAGGAGGATTGTGGCTGTCTCTGCTGTTTCATTCAGGTTGTCAGGGAAGTGTGGGAAAGCCGGCAGTCACAGGCCTCACCCTGCTCCCACACAGTCCAAAGGGCCGGACTCACTCCCACCGTGCCTCCCTCCAACAGCACCAAGTCTGTTTCCAGGCAGTGGGCATGCATGGCTGAGAACTTACCCCAGGCTACCCACCTCCCAGCTGTGAAAGCAAATATAGCTTTCCTTCTTCCCCTAGTCTGCACACCGGATTCACACCCTCCCCCAAGTTCTGGCCAGGAGGCTTCTTGATCAGTTCAAATTGTTACAAAGTTTAGCTGAGGATTTCCTTCTCCCTGTGGCCTTTTTCCCAGTGCCTCTGGCCACCCCTCCAGAAGGATACCTGTGAGGCCAGGCAGGAATGGCCTGCTTGGGGATCCAGCGAGCTCACAGAGCCTTTCCCGCTGCTTCCTCTACCTTTATTTTTCGTTTGGCTTTCCAAATTGACTCAGCTCCAGGTAAGGTCAGAATCTTCTCCCATAATCTAGACCTTCAGTTTCCCCAGTGGGGCTATGTGTTCAGGGGCAGACAATCCCCTTTTCCCACTTTGGCAGTTTGGGCACTCACAGTATTTGGGATGTCTCCTAGGTCCTATAAGAGCAATCTGCTTCCTTCAGAGGGTCTGTGGTTCCTCTCCTAAGCTAGCCTCTTTCTTTCCCACCATCTGCTCTTCAATAAACCTTATATCTTAGTTGAACTTTTTCAGACTTGGTTACATAAACTGTTTCCTCAAGGTGAGTGGCTAAGACTGGCCCTCTGGGGAAACTTGTTTTTATAATATAATATTTTTATTGATACAAATCTGTGTCAGAAACTTTTAAAAAAATTTATGAAATTGATAAAAGCCAAATTTGAAATATTGACTACTTCTGGAAGGTAGAGAGTGAGTTATACAATTAAGGAGAACTACATATGTGACCTCAAATGTATTTCATATGATTTTTTCATTTTGAAAAATTCAGAAAAAGAATGTGCAAATGACATCAAATGGTAAAATTTGACAAAAAGGCTGCTCATTATACTCTATTATCTTTTTGTGTATGTCTGAAATATTTTATTAAAAATGAATTATCAATTTATTGAGATATCAATAGTTAGCAGTTGAGACAGGAACTCTGGTTCAATTTCAACTCCCCAACATACTAGCTATGACACTTGTTACTTGAACAAGTCATTTTACAAGTATGTGCCTCAGTTTCCTTTGAATGGGTCAATAAGAACACCTGCCTTATTGAGTTGTGGTGAGGACAAAAAAGAATGAATTAGCATATTTAAAACACTTAAAACTTATATTGGCAATTACAATAATTTATTTTGTGTCAACTTGACTAGGCTGTGGTGCCTAGTTGTTTGGCAAAACAGTAATTTCGATGTTGCTGTGAAGATATATGGGGATGCAATTCACATTTAAAATCAGTAGACTTTAGGTAAAGCAGATTATCTTTCATGATGGGATGGGTCTCATTCAATCAAAGACCTTAAGAGCAAAGAATGAGGTTTTCCCAAGAAGGAATTCTGACTTAAGGTTTTGTCATAGAAATCTTCCCTAAGTTCCTGGCCATCTGGCCTGCCCTGTAGACTTCAGATTCACAAGTCCCCACAATTGTGTGAGCCAATTTCTTAAAATAAATCTCTCTCTCTCTTTATATGTCATCAATCTATCTATATTTATATATGTATTCTACTGGTTCTGTTTTTCTGAAAGGCTTGTCTAATATAGCAGCTTAGTAAGCCAGATGTTCTCTGTCCTCTTTTAGGTCTATATTAGCACAGCATAGTGGGTAATATGAGACTGTATAAATATTTGGGGCATAATTCAACTTGCATGTTTTCTTTTTTGAGTTTTTTGGATATGACTCTTACATATTAGTTTTACAAAATTGTTTGTGGTTTGAAACTAAATATTCTCTAAAAACCATACAGGATATATTTTTCTGTATACTAAGAGGTTGAAATTTACTTTTGAACTACTGTAGTTCAGATAAAGTAAGAATTAATAAAGTATTTAAGAAGTAATGGTAGTTAAATTAATATGCCCGACATAAAACGCATCCTGGACAAAACTGCTGAAATTTATAGAAAGATGTAAAGATATACCATGTGGCCACTAGAGGGCATGCAACATCTGCCACATTTTTCTTCAAGACCAAGGACTTTTGCCTGTAGACGAAAGTAGTTATGGTTCAGTCTAAGAAATAAGAAAATGGAGCTCCATTTATATTTCAATCATTATAATTGAAACATATACAAGTAGCTGTTAATACAACACCATTAAATAAGAAAATGGGGCTCCATTTATATTTCAATCATAATAGAAGTATGTACAATTACATGTTAATACATCATTAATTCATTACATCAATATAATTGAAATATACATATAAACAATTTAAAATCAGTACATTCACTTAAAGTCATTTTTTTAAACCCATTTTCAATATTTAGGTATTATTTCCCAAGACCAAATTTTTAGTTTTTATTTTTTTAGTTGTATACAATACCATATTTTTAATTGTGGGAATGCATTTGACCAAGTCAGTGAATAATAAATAAAATTAGGTTTTAAATTTATTAAAGATAAGAATCATACTTCATTTTTGAACCCCACTATATTTACTGTCACATTTTAAGAGTGTAGATGTATGTTGTTACAAAATTCAAACATTTATATTGAACTAACATTAGGTACTTTGCAAAGGTTTATAATGCAATTCCATAGGCATCACTTTACTAGACATACAAAGGAGTGATAGTATCAGTCAAATCATATTCTCTAGGAATTCAGGGCCAGGTGATAGACTCGCGTATCACAACAAGACAGTCAAGGAAAATGATTTTATCTTTTTGTTAGTTGTTGGGGAACTCACTTGGAATCTTCTACTGATGAACCCTCAGATTCACCTCTTCTTTCAAGCAATGGGCATGTTGGCTCCATGCTGTTTCTTTCTCAAACCCCTAGGAATTCAATGTATTTCCCTTTTTACATGGTAATTACTATACCACCATCTTAATTGGCATCTCTCACTGTTTCTCTTTTTGAATTCCCTTCTATAAAGCTACCAGATCAATTATTTGTTGACACATAATATTTGTACATATTTATGGGGTTCCTGTGATATTTTGTTACATGCATAGAATGTGTAATAATCAAGTCAGGGTATTTAAGATATACATCACCTCAAGTACGTATCATTTCTATGTGCTGGGAACATTTTCAGTCCTCTCTTCTAGCTATTTTGTAATATAAAACATATTGTTGTTAACCATAGTCACTCTATTATCAAACATTAAAACTTATTCCTTCTATCTAACTAGGTATTTGTGTGCACTCACCAATCTCTCTTCATACCTCCCCTGCCACCCATACACCCTTCCCACCCTTCCCAACTTCTAGTATCTATCATTCCACTCTCTACCTCCATGAGATAAACATTTTTAGCTCCCCCATATGAGTAAGAACTGCGATATTTGACTTTCTGTGCCTTGCTTATTCCACTTAACATAATGACCTCTAGTTCAACCCATGTTTCTGCAAATGACATGACTTCAACCATTTTTATGGCCAAATACTATAGTATTCCCTTATGTGTATATACCACATTTTATTTATTCATCTGTTGATGGAAGTTTAGATTGATTCCATATTTCTGCTATTGTCAACAGTGCTACAATAAACATAAGGATGTAGATATCCCTTTGATATACTGATTTCCTTTCTTTGGGATAAATATGTAGTAGTGGGATTGCTGGATCATATAGTAGTTCTAGTTTTATTTTTTTGAGAAATATTCATACTTTTTTCATAGTGGCTGTACTAATTTATATTCCCACTAACAGCGTGTAAGAGTCCTCTTTTCTCTTCAGTTCTCACCAGCATCTCTTTTTGATTGTTTTTAACAATAGTCATTCTAACTGGGATAAAAAAAATATCTTATGGTGATCTGATTTACATTCTTCTGATGATTAGCAATGTTGACCGTTTTTCACATACTGTTTGGCCATTTGTATGCCTTCTTTTGAGAAATGTCTATTCATATTTTTACCCAGTTTTTAATGGGATTATTTGTGGTTTTTTACGTTGAGTCATTTGTGTTTCTTGTGTATTCTGGATATTAGTCCACTGTAAGATGAATACTTTGCAAATATTTTCTCCCATTCAACAGCTTGTCTCCTCACTCTGTTGATCGTTTCCTTTGCTGTGCAGAAGTCTTTTAGTTTAATATAGTCCCATTTGCCTATTTTTGTTCTTATTGGCTATGCTTTGTAGGTTTTAGCTGTAAAATCCTTGCCTAGACCAATATCCTGAAGTGTTTCCCCTATTTTTCTTTAGCAGTTTCATAGCTTCAGGTTGTATGTTTACATTTTTAATCCATTTTGTATTGATTTTTTTTTACATTTGGTGAGAGATAGGAGCCCAGTTATATTCTTCTGCATATGAATATCAAATTTGCCACTTACCATTTATTGAAAAGGGTGTCCTTTTCCCAAGGTATGTTAATGGCACCTTTGTAAAAAATCAGTTGCTTGTAAATACATGGATTTATTTCTGAGCTCTCTATTCTGTTCCATTGGTCTATGTGCCTGGTTTTATACAAGTATCATGCTATTTTGGTTACTAAAGCCTTGTAATATAAAGTCAGGTAGTGTGATGTTTCCAGGTTTGTTTTTTTGCTTAGGATTGCTTTGGCTATTTTTTGGTTTCATAAAAATTTTAGAATTGTTTATTCTATTTTTGTGAAAAATGGCATCGGTATTTTGATAGGGATTGCATTGAATCTTTAGATTGCTTTGGCATTTTAACAATATTAATTATTCTAATCTATAAACACAGAATTTTTTTCCATTTGTTTGTGTCCTTTTTAATTTCTTTCATAAGTATTTTCTAGTTTTCCTTGCAGAGATCTTTCACTTCCTAGATTCCTAGGCAGTTCCCAGTAATCCCTAGGTATTTTAGGGTTTTTGCTGCTATTGTAAATTGGATTACATTCCTGATTTTTTTCTCAGCTAGTTCATTATTGTTGAATGGGAATCCTATCGATTTTTCATACATCAATTTTGTACCATGCAACTTTAATAAATTTATTTATGAGATCTCAGAGTTCTTTGGAGTCTTTAGGTTTTTTAATTACAAGATTATACTGTCACCAAAGAGGGTGATATGGATTGGCTGTGTACCCACCCAAATCTCAACTTGAATTGTAGCTCCCATAATTCCCACGTGTTGAAGGGGGAACCCAATGGGAGATAATTGAATCATGGGGTAGTTCCCCCATACTGTTCTCATTATCGTGAGTAAGTCTCACAAGAGCTGATGGTTTTATAAGGTATTTCCCCTTTCGCTTGGCTCTCCTTCTCTCTTGCTGGCCACCATGTAAGATGTGTCTTTGCTGGCTGGGCATGGTGGCTTACACCTGTAATCCCAGCACTTTGGGAGGCCGAGGCAGGCGGATCTCGAGGTCAAGAGATTGAGACCATCCTGGCTAACATGGTGAAACCCTGTCTCTACTAAAAAATATTAAAAAAATTAGCCAGGCGCGGTGACAGGCACCTGTAGTCCCAGCTACTCGGGAGGCTGAGGCAGGAGAATGGTGTGAACCTGGGAGGCAGAGTTTGCAGAGAGCCAAGATCGTGCCACAGAACTCCAGCCTGGGAGACAGGGCAAGACTCTGTCTCAAAAAAAAAAAAAAAAAAAGATGTGTCTTTGCCTTCCACCATGATTATGAGGCCTCCCCACCTATGTGGAACTGTGAGTCTATTAAACCTCATTTCTTTATAAATTACCCAGTTTCATGTGTGTCTTTATCAGCAGCATGAAAACAGATGAATACAGTAAATTGGACATTGAAGTTGAGGGAGATGATTTAGGGTATCTGGTGGAAGAAATTTCTAAGCAGCAAGGCATGTAAGAGGTGACTTTGGATGCTGTTAAAAGCATTCAGTTTTAAAAGGGAAACAGCATAAAAGTTTGGAAAATTTGCAGCAGGATGATGTGATAGAACAGAAAAATCTGTTTTCTGAGGAGAAATTCAAGTGGGCTGTAGAAATTTGCATAAGTAATGGGAGCCAAATGTTAGTCAGCAAGACAATGGGGAAAATGTCATCAGGGCATGTCAGAGACCTTTGCAGCAGCCCCTCCCATCACAGGCCTAAAGGCCTAGGAGGAAAAAATGGTTTTGTGGGTCAGGCCCAGGGTCTCTGTGCTTTGTGCAGCCTAGGGACTTTGGTACTCTGCATCCTAGCCACTCCAGCTGTGGTTAAAATGGGCCGAGGTACAGCTCAGGACATGGCTACAGAGGGTGCAAGTCCAAAGCCTTGGCGGCTTCAACATGGTGTTGAACCTGTGGGTGCACAGAAGTTAAGAATTGAGGTTTGGGAACCTCTGCCTAGATTTCAGAGGAGGTATGGAAATGCCTGGGTGTCCAGGCAGAAGTTTGCTGCAGTGGTGGGGCCCACATGGAGCATGTGTGCTAGAGCAGTGCAGAAGGGAAATGTGGTGTGGAAGCCCCCACACAGAGTCCCCACTGGGGCACTGTCCAGTGGAGCTGTGAGAAGAGGGCCACCATCCTTCGGACCTTAGAATGGTAGATCCACCGACAGTTTACACCATGAACCTGGAAAAGCCAGACACTCAATGCCAGCTGTGAAACAGCCAGGAAGGGGCTGTATCCTGCAAAGCCATAGGTGTGGAGCTGCCCAAGATCATGGGAACCCACTTCTTGTTTCAGCGTGACCTGGATGTCATCAGTGAAAGGAGGTCATTTTGGAGCTTTAAGATTTGACTGCTCCACTGGATTTCAGACTGGCATGGGGCCTGTAGCCCCTTTGTTTTGGCCAATTTCTCACATTTGGAATGGGTATATTTATCCAATGCATGTACCCCATTGTGTCTAGGAAGTAATTAACTTGCTTTTTATTTTACAGGCTCATAGGGAGAAGGGACTTGCCTTTTCTTAGATGGGACTTTGGACTATGGACTTTTGGGTTAATGCTGAAGTGAGTTAAGACTTTGGGGGATTGTTGGGAAGGCATAATGGGTTTTGAAATGTGAGGACATGAGATTTGGGAAGAGCCAGAAGTGGAATGATATGGTTTGGCTCTGCCCCACCCAAATCTCATCTTGAATTTTAGTTCCCATAATTCCCACGTGTTGTGGAAGGGACCTGGTGGGAGATAATTGAATCATGGGGGCAGTTTCCCCCATACTGTTCTTGTGATAGTGAATAAATCTCACAAGATCTAATGGTTTTATAAGGGGATTCCCCTTTCACTTGGCTCTCATTCTTTCTTGCCTGCTGCCATGTAAGACATGCTTTTCACCTTCTGCCATGATTGTGAGGCCTCCTGAGCCACATGGAACTGTGAGTCCATTAAACCTCTTTTCTTTATAAATTACGCAGTCTCAGGTACCTTTTTATCAGCTGCATGAAAACAGACTAATAGAGACAGTTTGACCTTTTTGTTTCCAATTTGGATGGCTTTTTGTCTTTCTTTTGGCTAAGTGCTCTGGTTAGGACTTCCAGAACTATGTTGAATAGAAGCAGTACAAGTGGACATTCTTGTCTTGTTCTAGTTCTTAGAGGAAAGGCCTTCAGTTGTTCTCCATTCAGTATGATGTTAGCTGTGGGTTTGTCATATATGGTCTTTGTTGAGGCCATATATAAACATTATTATGTCCATTTAAGACAAATAGATATTGAACATTTTTATCCCTCCAGGATAAAAATGCTTAACCAACTAGGCATGGAAGGACATAATAAATGGGGCCTTTTTATGTTGAGCATTTTTATCCTGAAGAGATGTTAAATTTTATCAAAGTTTTTTCTATGTCTATTGAGATGATCATACTTTTTTCTCTTCATTCTGTTAATGACATATATATATGTGTGTATATATATTATATATATGTGTGTATATATATGTGTATATATGTATATATGTGTATATATTTATATATATGTGTGTATATATATGTATATATATGCGTGTGTATATATATGTATATATATGTGTGTGTGTGTGTGTGTGTGTGTGTGTGTATATATATATATATATATATATATATATATATATATATATTTTGTTGATTTGCCTGTGTTGAACCATCCTGGCATCCCTGGGATAAATCTTACCTGATCATGGTGTGTTATCTTTTTGATACACTATTGGATTCAGTTTGCTAGTATTTTGTTGATGGTTTTCACATCAACTTTCATCAGGGATATTTGCCTGTAGTTTTTTGTTGTTGTTGTTGTTACATTCTTGTCTGTTTTGGTATAAGGGTAATGATGGCATTTTAGAAGAAGTTAGACAGAATTTCTTCCTCTTCTATTGTTTTGGATAGTTTGAAAAGAACATATAAATAGCCAACAGGTATATGAAAAATGGTCAACATCACTAATCACCAGGAAAATGCAAATCAAATCATAATGAGATATCTTATCCCAGTTAGAAGTGGAAGTGGATCACTTGAGCCCATGAATTTGAGACCAGCCTGGGCAACATAGCAAGACTCAGACTATACAGAAAATTTAAAAATAAGCCAGATGTGGCTGTGCACACCAGTAGTCCCAGATGCTTGGCAGGCTGAGGCAAGAGAATTGCTATAGATGTCTTTATAGGTGTGATGAGTTTCTTATATGCAGCATATAGTTGGGTGTTTTAAAAAATTTATTCAACCAGTCTATATCATTTAAGTATAAAGTTTCATTGTTAACTGTTAAGCAAAGTGGAAGTAGGACTTGGTGATTTTAGAAATTTCAGTCTCTCCAGATTACAAAAGATGCTACAATTAGGAGATTTGCTGTCAGAAAAGATACTTTCAAGAGACAGACAAAGGTATGGTGTATTAGGTAAGGATTCATGTTAGAGATTCAAAAGAAAAGAGTTCTGATGTGTTGATTGGGATCATATTCTATGAAAGTTTACATATCAGACAGAAGGCTTTCACATTATGTTAGCAAAAATTACTAGGGATGTATTGGCTTGAGAGTAGCATAATTAAATCATTACTTATGCAAAATGGATTTGGAATGGCCTGCAAGTCAGTCTTTGCTGTCATAATAAAAAGATAACTTCCACATCAAAATAGTAACTTTAAACTTTCTAGTTTTGTATATATTTTAACTTTTAGCTTCTCTAGAGCAGGCACACTCTTATCTTTTATTTTCAGTGTTTCCCATAAAGCCAGCTGTGATAAAGCACAATTATTGTTGGTTGAATGTATAAATCTGTAAAATGGCATCCAGGTTAATTTTTTACTGTTCTGTAATATTTAGGTCAATGTAGTAGAGTGGAAAGCATACACAATTTAGTCAGGTCAGACTGAAGCCATAGGTCTGAGTTTCAGCTACTAGCTGTGGAACATTGGGAAAATTTCTAACCTTTTCTGAATTTGAAAAAAAAAAAAAAGATAGTTCAATGGCAATGATAATATTGCAAAGAGCTTGGAAAAGAGAAATAATAAGAAAAATTGTACCCCCAAACCTGTATTATATTCCTATTGCTACTGTAACAAATTACAATGAACTAAGTGGTTCAAAACAACACAAATTAGTTATCTTATGGTTCTGCAGGTCATAAATCTAAAATGGATTTCACTGGACCAAAACCAAAGTGTTGGCAGGAGTGCATTGGTTTCTGGAGACTAAAAAGATGAATTTTCTGCCATTTGCACTTTACAGAGGCTGTCTATATTTCTTGATTAGTGATTCCCGTCTATCTTCAAAGCCAGCATTAACCAGTTAGGTCTTTCTCGCATTGCATTACTCTAACACTAACTCTTCTACTTCCCTTTTTAGCATATAAATGATCCTTGTAATTACATTATTAGATTATTTTAGACAATCTAGGACAATCTCTTTATTTGTAAGGTTAGCTGACTAGCAACCTTAATTTCATCTGTCACTTTAATTCTCTCTGGCTATGTAACAACCTATTCACAGTTTCTGGGGATTAGGACACGAACATTTTTTGGGTAATGACATTATTCTGCCTATAACAGTCTACTTTTTGGCTCCAAATATTCACGTCTGTCTTACATTCCAGGTACATTCATCCCATTTTAACATTCCCAAAGTCTTAATTAATTGTAGCATCAAAGCAAAGTTTAATAGCTCATCAAAATATCATCAACTCCAAAGTCCCAAATCTCCTTATCTAAATCAGATGTGGGTGAGGCTTTTGATATAATCCATCCAGAGTCACAATTCATCTCTAGCTGTGGTCCACTAAAATTCAAGAAATTAGTTATGTTCACCCAAAATGAAATGGTAGACAGACTAATGATAATAGTATATATTCACTTTCATTTAAAATGGGAAGGAAAGAAAAAAAAAAAAGAAAGAAAGGCGTCGCTAATCCAAGTAATTCTGATATCATCTGGATAAGCTTCATTCGGTTTCAAGTCCTGGAAATAATCCTCTGAGATTGTGGCTTTACCTTCTGGGCACCTCACTATGCCCTAGGAGTTATTCTTTCTCTTGAAAGAGAGTACATGTTTGCAGATTATTTGTCTCATCAATCTGTTTAAGGATGCTGTAGCCAGTACTCTCTTTGTCTTTTTTGATCCAAGGTCCAAGCTGGCAGTATTTCTGCTGGTATAACATTGTCAAGAACATTGTGGGTGTCCCACGCCTAATCTCTTCAAAGAGTTCTCTGTACAAGTGCATCTTTCAATCATTCTGAGGCACTAGACAAAACTTGTTTAGCCATACCTTTGGTTGTCTCTTGAAAGTATGCTTTTCTGACAACAAATCTCCTAATTATAGCATATTTTGTAATCTGGAGAGACTGAAGCTTCCAAAATCATCAAGTCCTAGTTCCACTTTGTTTAACAGTTTAAAGTTAAACTGTCTCTTTCCTCTTGCTTTTTGCTATAAGCCAGAAGAAGAAACCAGCTGCACCTTAACACTTTGCTTGGAAATGTCCTGTTACTTAAGTCTATCATTCACAAGTTCTGCTTTTCACATAACTGAATGACACAATTCAGCTAGCTTTCTGCCACTATATAGCAAGGATATCTTTTCATTCAATTTTCAATAGCATGTTCCTTATTTCTGAGCCCTCACTGGCAGCACTTTTAAGATTTATATTTCTCTAAATAATATATTCATAATTATTTATGTATTCTCTAAGATGATGTTATTTCTCTGGCATCACATTTAATATAAATATTCTATAAGCATCCTCTTTATGACAATTTAGGTAATAAGAAAATACATGTTTTCTTTACCCTGCCCTTCCCTTTATTCTAAATCCTCACTAGCAAAGTTGTTAACATCCATATTTCTACTAATGGTCTATTAAAGGAAATCTAGGCCTTTCCAATCATACATCTCAAAATTTTTCCAGCTTCTACCCATTACCCAATTCCAAAGTCATTTCCATATTTTTAGGTATTTGTTACAGCAGTACCCTACTTGCAGTTATCAAAATCTGTGTTTGTCAGAGTTCAACTGGAGAAGCAGATCCTAAAATAGAAATAAAACACAACCTTCTCTATTATCCAGTACACGTGAGTGAGAAACAAATTAGGCACCTGCCTGTGATCCATTTGCTCCCTTTTCCAGGGATGCTCTGGGAGAGAGGGTTGGGGTGATGGTGGAGAAAGCAGACAATGGCTCAATCACCTTTTCTCATGTATATATATATACATATATGTGAGAAATATATATCTCACATATAAACATCTCACATATATATATATATATACACACACACACACTTTGTGTAATTCCAGAAAAAATTACAAGAAATTCACGGAAATATAACATAGAACATAACAAAGTAAAAATATCAATATCTGGCATTCAGTAACAAGTTACTAGACAATCAAGGAAGCTGAAAAATAGAGTCCATAATGACATGAAAATTTAATTAATCAAGACTACCTAGAAATAATACAGGTGATAGAATTCATAGACAATGACTTTAAAACAGTTATTGTAATTGTATTACATATTTTCAAGAAGTTACAGGAAATAGGGAATATGATAAGTAGAAACATGTTAGATATAAAAATAACCCAAATCAAACTTTTAGAGATAAAAATTAAAATGTCTAAGATGAAAAATGCACTAAACACCTTTAATGGTGGATGAGACATTTCAGGGGAAAAAATTGTTGAACTTAAAGATATAGCAATAGAAACTAACCAAAATAAAGCACAGAAAGAAACAAAGGCTGAATAAATGGACAGAGACTTGGGCAACTAAATGCAATCAAATGTGTGTGCAATTAGAGTTCCTGAAGGAGAAAAATGAATAGGGAACAAATCAAAATATTTGAAGAAGCAATTCCCAAAATACCCAAAACACAAGAAACAGAAAGAAAACTACACCAAGGAACATCGTAATCGAATTAATTAAAAAGACCAATGAAGAGAAAATGTTAAAAGCAACTAGAAGAAAAAGACATGTTATATACACTACAACAACAATAAAGATGACAGGGGATACTTAATGGAAACAAAGCAACTGAGAATATTGTAAAGTAACATTTTTATAGTATTGTCAACCTGGAATTCTCTAACCAGTCAAAATATCTTTATAAACAAAAGAGAAATAGCCTTCCTAGATACACAAAAGATGAAAGATTTTATCACCAGCTGAATTGAAATCCAAGAAAACCTTTCAGGCAGAAGAAAAATTATACCAGATGAAAATCTGGAACTACTGAAAGAAATGAAGAGCAATAGAAATGGTAACTACATCTGCAGTCAAAACTTTTTTTCTTACTACATTTAAATCTTTCAAATTATTGTCAACAGTCCAAAGAAAACATAATGAAAATGAATTGTTATGTTTATAACATGTATAAAAGTAAAATGTATGACAACAACAGCACTGAGTTTGAGTACCTAGAAATAAAAATAAATTGTTTTTAATACTTTATGTGAAGTGGTATAATATTAAATGAAGGTAGAATGTAAAAGTTAAGCAGATATACCTCAAACTCTACAGCAAATACTAAAATAACAACAAGAAAGTTATACTTAAGCTAGCAAAGAAGTAAAGTAATGAAAATTTCGAATTAATGAAAAGGAAACATAAAGCAAAGGACAGATATGATACACAGAAAACCAAAAGCAGATGGAAGATTTCATTCCAACTATAACATTAATAACATTGATTATAAATGGTCTAAACATCCCACTTAAAAGTCAGAGGTTGTCAGGTTTGATTAAAAAAGAAAGACCCAATTATATATGGCATATAAAAAGTCCCTTTAAATATAAAGACTTAAATAGATCACAAGTAAAAGCATGGAAAATGATATATCATGCTACCTATAATCAAAATAAAGTTATGGTGCCTAAATTAATATCAGAATATGCAGATTTCAGAGAAAAGAATAGTATTATTAGAAATAAACTAAGTCATTTCATAATGATAGTTCTGCTATTCAAAATAATATAATAATCCTGTGTTTATATACTGATAACAGTTTCTAAGTATATAAGGAAAAAGCTGATTGAATTGTAAGGAATAAAAGACAAATAAGCAATTATAATCACGCTTCTTTCACCATGATAGCATATGTCTACCAAACATTACTAAGTTTAGAAAGTTTCAAGTGCACATGAAACATTTAACAATATAGTCCATATTCTGGACCATAAAACAAGTCTCAAGTATAAAATGATTAATATCATACAAATTATGATGTTTTCAGAATGCAAACTAGCATGAGTAACAGAAACATATAAGGAAAATTCCCTAGTTTTGGAAAGTAAATAACAATTCATACATTCAATCCAATGCAATGAGGCAAGAAAAGAAGAGCATCCAGATTGGAAAAAAAAGTACTAACACTGTGTTTTTTTGCAGATAGAATGATTGTGTCCAGCATCCTAAGAAATCTCCAAAACAGTTTCTAAAATTAGTATCTGAGTTTATCAGGAGTGCAGGAGGCAAAAATAACTTGTATTTCATTATAAAAGCAAAGAACAATTGACAATTGCAATATTTAAAACTCTATTAAAATAGCACCAAAAGTATAAAGAGCTAAATCTAACAAAAAATGAAAAGAGCTGTATACTAAAATTTATAAAACTTTGTTGAAAGAATTTAAAGATCTTAATAAATGGAGAGATATACTAGGCTCTTGGGTCAGAAGACTCAATATTTTAAAGATAACAATTCACCTAATACTGATTTATAAACCAATTCAATTCCATTCAAAATCTTGGCAAGCTTTTTATTAAAATTGACAAGCTGGCTCTAAAATTTATAGGGAAATGCAAAGGTCCTGGAAGAGCCAAATAACCTTGCAGGAGAAGAATAAGGTTGGAGAAGTTTCACTATCTATTAGGTTGGTGAAAAAGTAATTGTGGTTAATAATTCAAGTCTTATAATGCCATATGATCAAGACAATGTGTTATTGGCATAAAATGAACAACACAATGGAGGGTCCAGAAATAAACCCATTTAGATATGATCAATTGATTTTTTCACAAAATTCCCCAGGCATTCTGTGAAAAAAGTGTACACTTTTCAACTTTTTTTCTTGAACAATTGATATCTACATACAAAATGAACTTCAATCCATACCTTGCACCATATAGAAACATTAATTCAAAATGTATCAGTGATTTAAATGTAAACCCTAAAACTATGAAACAGCCTAGGAGAAGATCTTTTAAACCTTGAATTAGTCACAGATTTTCTAGATATAACACAGAGTATACAGTTCATAAAGGAAAAAGGTATAAAATTAGACTTCATCAAAAATAAAAACTTCTGCTCTTCCAATGACCTGGTTAAGAGAATGAAAACCCAAGAACCAGACTGGGAGAAAATATTTGCAAAACACATATCTGATAAAGGTCTGGTATTTCAACTACATAAAGAACTCTCAAATGCAATGATAAGAAAATAACCCAATTTTTAAAATGCACAAATGATTTAAACAGACACTTCACCAAAGAAGACATAGGGATGCAATGAAAAGTTGAAAAGATGCTCAATACTCTTTATTGATTGTGCACATGAAAAGATACTCATTAGTCATTATTGAAACACAAATGAAACCTTTAATGTGATACCATGCATTACCACCCTATTGAAAGCAGGTTTTCTCAATCTAGGCAGCACTGACATTTTTGTCACTATAATTATTTGTTGTTGGGTGCTGTGTTATAAAATGTAGGGTGTTCAGCAGTGTGCTTAGCTTCTCGATACCAATAGCAAACACTGCCTCCAGCCTTCTCCAGGCCTTGGCAGATGTTCTCTGGGCACCAAATCACTCCAGGTTCAGAACCACTTGCCTATACCATGGCAGTCACCTCCAGCAGTCATTGGTCTTTTCCCACTCTCCTTTGCTCCACACTACTGCCCAAGTTATCTTCCACAAACCAAATCTGACTATATCCTTCTATTCCTTTAAAGACTTATCCTGGTTCCCAGGTGATTTTTATTAAAAAAAAATATATTCCTCACAATTCCATGACTTTGTTTGTTTGTTTACTCACCTACCTTGCACATCTTCTTTTTCCTTGACTTTGCACATATAGACCCATATGTTGTAGCCAGTCAGAGCTCCTTGCTGAATACACTGCATCATTTTTGCTTCTGCAGTTCAAAGCATTTGCACAAAACACTTCTTCCACAGCGAATACTTTGCTCTCACATTTTCCACTATTATGAAGCACAAATATCTTCACCTGAAATTCTGAAATATTGAGATAAAGTACATCATCTCTGTGAAAGCCTTGCTGACATCACAAAGAAGTATTATCTTGAGGTTTTTAGAGTGCAGCCACCAGAAAACAGGTGAGAAAAAAAGACAGCTTTTTTTCTTGTTAGAATGAAGGTCTATCCCAAAGTGTGATTATGTAATTATTTCTTCTGTCAGGGAGGAGATGTTTTATGTTAAGTGGGTACTAAGATTAGTTAATTGTTCTCAGTTCTCACAAACAACTATCCTCTAAGGGTAAGCAAGTTCAGGAATGATGCAATTGATGATCTTGAATATTTCAAAAACCTAGCAATTTAGGCCACAGACTTACAATTCTTTATTGAATAAGAGTTGTAGAAATTTGTTAATCATTTCAGTTATTAGCTTTATATGATGGGTTTCCACAGCACATATTTTTCGTACCCTCATTATACACTTAGTATTTTTATATCATATTTTTTATACATTGTCATCACCACAATTAATTTGTGAATTCCTTGAAAGCCAAGCTAGTGTCTAACTTACCTGTTTTATCCTCAGGATAGCACTAACCAAGTATGGTTGAGTTGTATGTGCACTGCTCAAGACACTTAGGCAAGTTGGTGATCAGGAGCTAAAAGTAAATGTGCCCTAGAGAAGTCCTGTGCCCACTACAGGAAAAGGAGGGCTTTCTCTAGATTGCAAAAAGGCAGTAATAAGCTAGCTGTGGTGCTATTTGAATGCCTAGTATACTACTTTAATGCCTAGATGCTACTTTAATGCTTAGCTCATAGTAGTACTCAAGTAAAGCTTATTTAAATTCCTATTCCTCTCAGACAACTTGAATGTTCAGAGCTCTGTTCGGGCCAACAATCTCAGAACATCATGCTCTACAGGGACAGATAAAATTTTTTCTTTTTTGAGACGGAGTCTTGCTGTTGCCTAGGCTGGAGTGCAGTGGCGCGATCTTGGCTCACTGCAACCTCCGCTTCCCGGGTTCAAGCAATTCTCCTGCCTCAGCCTCCCTAGTAGCTGGGATTACAGGCGTGCGCCACCACACCTGGCTAATTTTTGTATAATTTGTAGAGATGGGAGCACCATTGCACTCCAGCCTGGGCAACAGAGCAAGACTCAGTCTCACACACACATACACAAAAAGATATAAAGGTACAGTAAAAATGTGGTATAAAAGATATAAAGGTACAGTAAAAATATGGTATAAAAGGTAAAATGCGGTACACCTCTATAGGGCACTTACCATGAATGGAGCTTGCAGGGCTGGAAGTTGCTCTGGGTGAATCAGTGAGTGAGTGGTGAGTGAATGTGGAGGCCTAGGATATTTATTATTATATACTTAGCTACTCTAAATTTAGTTTAAAAAATCTTTTTCCAATAATAAATTAACCTTAGCTTACTGTAACTTCTTTTACTTTATAAACCTTTTAATTTTTTTAACTTTAGACTCCTTTATAACACAGCTTAAAACACAAACACATTCTATAGCTGTACAAAAATGTTTTTTCTTTATATCCTTATTCTATAAGCTTTTTTATTTTTTACTATTTTTACTTATTCATTTAATTTTTATTTTTATATTTTTTTTCCAAGACAGAAGCACACACATTAGTCTAGGCCTACACAGGGTCGGGATCATCAATATCACTCTCTTCCCTCTTCACATCTCATCTTAAGTGAAGGTCCTCAGAAGCAGTAACATGCATAGAGCTGTCATCTCCAATAACAATGCCTTCTTCTGGAATACCTCCTGGACAGCCTCCCTGAGGCTGTTTTACAGTTAACTTTTTTTTAATAAGTAGAAGGAATACTCTCAAAAATAAAAATAAAAAGTAATGTATAGTAAATACATAAACCAGTAACAGTCATTTATGACCATTATCCAGTATTATGTATTGTATATAATTGTACGTGCTGTGCATTTATGCAACTGGCATCACGGTAGGTTTGTTTACACCAGCATCACCACAAACACGTGAGTAATGTTTTGTGCTATGACATTACAAGGGCAACATCAGTAGGCAATAAGACTTTTCCAGTTCCATTAAAATCTTATGGTATCATCATCATATATGCAGTCCATCATTGACTGAAACATTGTTATGTGGCATAAACTATATAAACAACTTTTAAGTCATGGGAATACAGTGACATCAATCAATGGAAAGCAATCTGCAGAAAAAAATATTTTTATTAATTTATCGAGACAGAATCTCACTCTGTTGCCCAGACAGGAGTCCAGTGGCACAATCATAGCTCACTGCAGCCTTGAACTCCTGGGCTAAAGTGATCCTCCCGCCTCAGCCTCCCAAGCATCTGAAACTACATGTGAGTGTCATCACACCAAGCTTATTTTTTAGGTTTTTTTTTTTTTGGTAGATACTGAGTGTCATATACTTCCCAGGCTGGTCTCCAACTCTTGACTTAAGTGATCTCTTGCCTTAGCCTCCTTTGAGATTACAGGCATGAACCACCACACCCAGCATAAATTTAAAAAAAGAAACATTTATTTTGCAGTTAAAGATATGAATAATATAAAGATGAAAGATACGTGAAAATTACATTTAACCCTAGCTGTGAAAAAGGAAATAATACAAGTTTAGAGCAATTGTATGATTTTGCAAAGTTCAAGTTTTAGTGAAATCTGATAATGGCCAAGTATTTTATGACTTTGCAAAGTTAACTGGATAAGAATAAAAATAAACTTTCACTTGAAAATGCAAAATTCTACATAATGGAACTTCCTTTTGCTAAACTTCATTTATGACATTGAATAAAAGTTTTGTAAACATGAAGAGTCTAATAGTATTTTGACAGTCTCTGGAAACTGAGGAGATAATAGGTCATTCGAATCCTAGAAAGGATTATTCTTGATTTTTACTTCTTTTCCCCAATATTATATGGGTTATTTTTAAGGGGGTTGGGAGAAGGACCTCGTTATATTGCCCAGGCTGGTCTTGAACCCCTGGGCTAAAGTGATCCTACCTCTAAGCCTCTGGAGTAGCTGGGATTACAGTTACATGCTGCCGCACCCAGCTCTGTATGAGGTTTCCTAAAGAATAATTTTTTTAGCATAAAGAATCTTAGATTATATGCCATATAGACTAACTTTTGAGTAGATATACTAAATATTTCTATATTTGGTGATGAGAATGATTTTTCAGCCACCAGATACTTGGATACCTGTCACTTGGATATCAGCAAGGACTTTGTAAGAAATAAATATCACACATACATTAGAGAAGATTTTTTTAAAGTGACTGTTTTTAAGGTATACATGGCCTTTATGGAAAACGCAAGGACTAGTGTGGTTAGTACTTCAGAGGCTAAATGAACTGGGAACCATTATTATCCCACTTAAGGACTAGGATAGGGATGATTATGTGCACTGGGCAAGAGAGAACTGTCTGACTTTGCTATGACCTTCAGCTGAGGACCATAGCCAGCCTGCAGTGGTTCTGCAGGGAGACAGAGGGGATAAAGAGCTTAACTTTACTCACATTTCTTCCTCTAATGTCTCATGGCTTTCCCATTCATTGACCCCAACTAGGAGTCAGAGTGTGTTAGTTTATTCCACATAGATTGTTTCCCAGGAAACACAGCAGATAAAGCAAAGAGGAGCATGGATCTTGAGGAGCAAATGAAAAATAGCATACTGGCTTGGGGTTAAAAAAAAAAAAAGGTATCTATTAGGCAACTTAATTACACTTTTGTTGTGCTTAACATGTTAGATTTTAAACTGCTGTTTCAAAATCTAAATTTACTTTTCCTTTATCTCATAGTTAGCTAACAGTTTCTTACAAGATTTGATATTTTTTAAATCTAAAAGTAAAGTTTAAAAAATAGAGAATTATTTATATTTTTCTTCTTCACTAGCTGAGCAACATTAAGGGAAAGAAAACAATAAGGAAAACGACACTAATGTATACAAATGTGATGATTTTACATTGGCTCAGGTTTTAAGACCCTTTTACAGAGATTTTATAGAAGGTGAAAATCTTAACAGTTTTAAAGTTATTCTGTGATAACTGTGAAAGTTAGTACAGCAGAACACACACACTGAGGGTCCCATGGGCTGCCTGAATTATGAGTCTAGTTCTCACAGATCTCCTGACATTTGGCTTACATAGTCATCACCTGTCATGCTAATTAAAGTTTTTACTATAATATATAAATTCAGAGTGTGCAAACCAAGTTTGAAAAGAATATAGAAATGGAAATATTTCTAAACCCTAGTAAATATTTATGATTTATTTTATTTCTTTTATAACTTTTTTTGGTCCTCTTTCAAAATGAGAATATCTCTCTGATATAGTACTAGCTTCAGGACTTTGTAGTTCAGTTTGTATTCACCAGCAGCAATTTCAATACATTATCTCAGGTTCGTATGAATCTTAGTGGTGTGGAATTGCCTTAGCGATTAGGTGCATGTAAACTCTACTTTCGAGACCCTATTGCTAGTGGTCTTAGGGCCAGGAGAAATGATCTTACATGTAGAGTCTTATTGCAGACATAAAGAATGTTTTCTTCTTCTGAGTTATCAGAGAAAGAAGAGAATAATGAGGCAAGGTACCCATTAAAAATAACTACTTAAATCTAGTTCAACCTTGTATGTGTAATACAAGGTAAATCCATTAATCCCCTTGTAGAGTCTTTATCTGTGACTTTTTCCTAGTTGGCCTGAGATTTTATAACTCTAAAGTGATGTCTTCTACATTGTTTTCATACCATCACCAGTCAGTACTGATAGCCTAATCATGTTGACTTTATTTCCAAATGTTTCCATCTAAAACTTTTTAGTCTTATCTAGAAAAGGCAAATGTCACCATCTGTGTTATTTACTACACAATAATATATTAAATATATGCTCTAAATAGTTTTATAGGCCATAAATGAAAATAAGATGCCCAGGTCAGGCACAGTAGCTCATGCCTGTAATCCTAGCACTTTGGGAGGCCAAATCGGGTGGATCACTTGAGGTCAGGAGTTCAAGACCAGCTTGGCCAACATGATGAAACACTGTCTCTACCAAAAACACAAAAATCAGCCAGGCAGATGGCAAGTCCCTGTAGTCCCAGCTACTCGGGAGGGTGAGGCAAGAGAATAGCTTGAACCTGGGAGGCAGAGGTTGCAGTGAGCCGAGATTGTGCCACTGCAATCCAGCCTGGGTGACAGAGCGAGACCCTCTCACAAAATAAAATAAAATGCCCAAAGTTTGAATAAAGTAATACATATGCAGCACTATATGGGAAATTACACTCAGTTTGAACTTTGGACTATGTGTTCTACACTATCTGTCAAGAAACATTCTCTCCCATAAGGCCAGGAAGTAGAAATTATAAAGGGACATTGCCACTGACATTGCTCAGGGTTGGAAAGCACATACTCTTGCTTCAAATAGTCTCTGAATAGATGTCATATTATCATTGCAGTCTCGAGAAGTTACCCAGTGGTGAATCTCAGCATGGCTTATTCAGAAGTATTCAAAGATGAGATAATAAAAAATACCACCCATTCCTCTTAATATGTAGTATTAATATGTAGTCATATTAAACTACATTAAACCATTAAAATTTCATGTATTAATATTTAAAGATTAAGTCCAGATATATTGTTTCCTAAAATAATGGATTAAAATAGAACATAACTAAATATCTCCACTCTCTTTATTGATTCTTGTCTAACAAACTTTAAGACCATGTAAATATCTATTAATGTTATATTTTTACTTGTTTCATCTTACAGTGAGAATTCCTGTCCTAGTTGTCATTCATTTACTATTGGTCTGAAAACCTACAGGGAGTGATTTTATTATTTGTGTGACACTCTACTTAATAGAAAACACAGCCCTATAAGCATGAAATTAAAGAAGAAGTCTTATGATTTCAAGTAAGCAGACTGTATTCTTTGTCTTCCATTGCTTGCACACACACAAAAAGAAAACAAGACCATAAGCAGCTCACCTGTCCACCCTTGCTGAGACTAACAACCAGATGTATTTCAGAAAGACTTAAGCCAGAATTCTCTTACCCACTCAAGCCATAAAAATATAAAATTATGGGAATAAAAAGTCCAGTATCATTCTGAAGTATTAAGTTAATAAAGAGTGACCATTTGAGATTTCTTAGACTATCTGTTTAGAGTTTGTTATTCTTACTCTGTAAATGAATAAATGACTATTTGCCAATTCAGTTCATAAAAAACTTCAAACTATGTCAGTGCTAATGTTGATAAGAAAACATTTTAGATTGTTGTCCTCAGGGTGACCATTAATAAAACAAGAGAATATGAGATGTCTCCATTATACAAGAATATTAAAGAAATTTATAAATATAAAACAACCAATTTTCCGAAAAACATAAAAAAGGGTTGGCTTTTCAGATTGATATTAAATGAAGCTCTCTGTCATTCACCATAATATTTCCCAGAAAACACTACATTCATGAATATTCCACTAATGTACCTATATAGGAATTCAATTTTTTTCTCTACTGTTTTTGCTTTCATCTTTTTATACAATATGATTTAATTTAATTTTTATTTGTGACAGCAAGAGATTTTTTGTACACTGAAACAATTGTTCTGAATTTCTAAAACTGTACTTTTTTATTTTATATGTTGCTTTTCATAATTTTACTTAAGTTCTCAGTACTAAAATTGTATTGATGAAATCAACACGAAAGACTTCAAGTACTGTTTCTTTATTTTGATGAGTAGGATTGTCAAAAACTCAGATGAACACCATTTTTTTGGCCTTAAATTTAAATTCTTTTTCTTCACCCAGTGAAGTCATATCATTATCTGAAAGGGGTAACAAATGGTATATCTACTTGTGAGTTATATCCATCCTGGGATTGTTCTAATTCAGGAGCAAGAGTAAAAGATTGTGTAAGTGAAGGATGGCCCTTGTTATTTCCCTGCTTTCCTTTTAATGTAGTGCCCTTTTTAGGCCATTTTTTAAAAAATGAGTAGGTTAATAATGTTCATTTTGGCTAATCCTAATTTGTCTATTCTAAAAGTAATGGTAATTTCCTACAAGCAATTTTTCCCTAATTCCTACAACCAACTCAGAGAATACATTAGCAGCAACATAAAAAAAGAGGAAGCAGCAGCAAAATAAAAAGAATAAAAAGGTAATATAATGAGAGTATCTGGGGCAACGACCAGAGCTCTAAATTACGGGGACACACTGTGATTGAGCAAAATAGTCAACTTCATGACTAAAATGAAAATTATTAGAGTGCCTTTTAATGTAATGAAATGCGGTTTATTTTTCCTGAGTATTACTATCATAGGCAGATAATTCTTTTCAGGATTTGCTATCATAATATTTGATATTCTTCATTTTTTTTTTTTTTGGCAGTCTTAGTGTTTTTCCTAAACTGCACGTGGTTTTCACTATCTACCTTGTGTGAATTATTTTTAAAGCCTTACTAAAAATCTTGTCATCTACTTGCCAATGAAAAAAATTAATTAAGAAAGCTACTAAATTACTTGAAATGTTTTATAAGCTCAATATGCTGAAGATAAAGGCTATTTGTAATTATCAAATTACTTAAAAATTTGATTAAGCATCATATAATATAGAGATAAGATTAGATAGTCATGCAGAAATACACATATGAATAAGATCTAAAACATACAACTGAATATCTTAAGGAGCATATATTGTTTACTTGACAAGTTAACCCATATGGTAATATCAGGAAAACATTGAACTTGCACTGGTAACCTGCTGAATTTATTAGGTCAGGAAGAAAAGCATCGATAACATTAAAGAACACTATTAGAGTATTAATACAAGTCACTAGTATTTTAAGGTTTCTCCTTCCTGAGCACATAAAACGTTGTTTTTTTCTAGGTTACTTTCTAATAGTGAATGCACTTTGAAAAACAAATAACCAAAGCCCCTTTACTCTGTTTAAATTGTGGGTGTTTGTTATTCAAAAGTAAAAATATTTATTTTTCAGTCTCTGACTGTCAATCATCAAAATTTATGCAGTTTTCAAAACATTGAAAAACAAATACAGGCTCTTAGTTGTATTAAGTTTGGCATATACTGTGTAAATACTCTGTGACCAACTAGTGTTTACAGAGTAGTGGAAAGCTTAAAGAGCATAATAGTATTAGCTTAGAATTCAAAACAAAAATTCATAACAAGCCCAGTGATTTCATGAAATGGGCTATGTTTCCCAGGAATATATTTTCAAGATAATTAGATGTCAATTAGCAATTACTTCACTAAGTAGAAATACATTTTCTATCAATGTTAGTGGAAGAGATTTAAACATTCAAACTTTGGTGAGAGTAGCTGGAAGGTCCCTCTCTGTATTTTTCCTTCTCAGTGTGAAAGTATCTTAAGTATCTAGTAAATTATACAATTTAAAGCCCCTCATCTACCTTTTGTAACTGCCTTTAAAAAATGAACAGACTTCATATTACTTCAAATATATATTTTATGAAGAATGTCATTTTCCTACAGTTGGCACATTGGTGTTCCTGGTTCTGCTCACATAATGATAATTAAGTTCAAAGATGCTCCCTGCTGTGGCAATTTCAATGAGCATATGTAATGTAAAGGACTGAGCAAATAGAATCAGATGGACTTGGTGTATATTTTTACTAGGCATACAATCCAGGAGAAGTTAGTCTTCATGGAACTCCAGTTAAGTCATTCATAAATTGGATATAATTGGTTATTCAGAACATAAAGTGATTTATCAAAGTACTTTCATCATTATGGAAACCTAGAAAGTCCTCAATGAAGTAGTCTCTTTTCTGCTCCTTGAAATACAGTTTTTCTGCCATCCACCTATGCTCTATTAGCTAAAATTAGCCACGTCCTCATCAACACTACCCCTATTGTGGTATTTTGTTATACCTGAGGACATATCTCAGTCTTCAGAGCTTCTACATCTATGACAGAAACTATAAAGTGGTTGAATTTTACACAAACCTTAAAAGATGAGCATAACTTAAAAATGTTAAAATTATAAGGTAAAGTCAAAGATTAAGGTTAGAAGAAACGCTAAAATTAGATCTTAAAATTTTTAAATGAAAAGACTATAAAAAGTTAAAACCAATGTGAAAATGCATAATTATAGCAAGGTTAAGATATAATGATAAAATCAAGAAGGCAAAAATTTATTAAGCTTGTGACTATGAAGAGAACTAAAATAAAACAGGTAAGATAAGAAATAAAATTGTAGTTTTAAAAAATAGTAACTTCTAAAGAGCTTTAGAAATAAAACAGACAACAATAGATAAATCTAAAGAATGAATATTAAAACAAGGAAATAAACATTTATAAATATAAAAAGGAATTCAGTTTTTGAAGCTCTAAAAGTAAATAAAAATAAGAGAAATAGGTCAAGTAGCTAAAGAAATAATAATTCAAAGACATTAGAAAGTTAAAGAGGTATGTGATAAAAATACAATATTTAATTCAAGTCAAAGTGCTAAAAAATGAGAATATGAATAATATGTAATTTTAAGATGATGTGATTTAAAAGTTAAAACCAGAAAGCCTAAATTATGAGACAGATAAAATAGTTCAAAGGAAAAAGCAATTGTGTGTGTGCATATACATAAGCATATGTATATTTACATACATTATCTTTTGGACTATATATCTGAACAATACACCAAACAATTAGGAGTAGGATGAAGCAAAAAGTCCGAGGTAATTTTGCTCTGTGCCTCAAGCTATGATCTCAAGTTAGAATGGCTGTCAAGGGGAAAGACAGCTTTAAGCAACTACCCTACTTTTCCTCATGATTTCTCTATCTTTGGCAAGGAAAAATACTCAGAAAAACAAGGAAAGGACATTGACTGTTATGAACATAGACCCATGTATGGAGATTGTGTTTGTGGGTAGACACTGTAAGGGCAGAGAAAATATGGGGTGGTAAATGGGGGTGGAAGGTGTTCGTTGTACATGTGAGGAATGAAAAGATCTGAAGAATATGAATGTGAGAGGAAATCAAGGAAGAGAGAGAAGTGCAAATGAAAAATGATGCCATGCTCTGTGGACTGTATTTCATATAATATCTTTCTTAAGTGAAAATAAATGTTGGAATTTTTAAAGTTTTAAGAGATATATACATATATATGTATATATATGTGTGTATATATATGTGTATATATATGCGTGTATATATGTATATATATGTGTGTATATATGTATATATGTGTGTGTATATGTATATATATGTGTGTGTATATATATGTATATATATGTGTGTGTATATATATGTATATATATGTGTGTGTGTATATATATATGTCTGTGGAGATATATATATATATATATAGTTGTTGGGGGGGGTGGTGAAAACTCTGTTGGACAGGAGTTCCTAAAATGTGATGTCAATTTGCAAACTCTTGGTTATAGTTTCAGTGGCATTTCATTTTCCCACGCAGATAAAATGCTTGAATAACATTCCTGAAACTACTACAGAGGGCCTGGTGGGTTAGGGTATGTGTTGTCCATCTACACTCCCCTATACTTAACATGATGTCTTTGTTGTGGTAAGGGCTCAATAAAATTGTCTGAAACTGGTACTGGAAAAAATGTTTTCTGGATCCTAAGACTTCTTTACAGAAACATTCCAAAAAGTAATTCATCCATTGATTTTCATTGTCAAGTAATATTTCAGATTTTTCACTTTCTAGGATTAGTCATTAGTTTTAAAGTTGCTGATAGAGACATGATAAAAACACTATAGGAAATTTAGCATTGCATCATTATTTAAATTATGTGCAAACATTTCTGAATCAATATTTGTTCTTTTGAATAAAAACAATAGTCTTTTTGAGCTTATTTTGCACAACAGTGAAATGAAAAAAATATAAGTATTAAAATAGAAACATAAGACAACTTAGAAGAAAAAACATGTGTTACTCTATTCAAGGACACACCAGAAATGAGAATTATTTTCTTATATTTTCCAACTTGTAATGTGTTTTACTGTGAAAAAAGTAAAACATGCAAAGTTTGACATTTCTTCCAAGATAATTTATCTTTTATCTAATCTGTGCTTCTTTATTTAGCTGAATTAGTAACAGGAATCCAATATTTTGGGTCTATTCTTTTGCTGGTGTGTAATTCTTTTGATCTTATCCAAATGAGTACCGAGGCTTGGTCATTCTACAGCCCCTTTCTGCCAAGGGCTTCTTTATCCCCTTCTACTTAGGATTTTATATTTTTATCATCTTCCCCACTCCTTTCTTACAAAAATGAGACTATTTTTTAGAGCAGTTTTAGTTTACAGCAAAATTAAGAGGAAGATACAGAGTTTTCCCATAAACCTCCCACCCTTGCATATGCACAGCCCCCCCCATTATCAACATCTTCCACCAGAGAGGTATGTTTCTCACAATTGGTGGACCTACAATGACACATCCTAATCACCCAAAGTCCATAGTGTACATTAGGGTTCACTCTTGGCGTTGTACATCCAACACCATGTAAAATTACAATCCAACATTAGTTTTGGGTGGGAACAAAGAGCCAAACTACATCAATCCACCATTATAGTATCATGAAGTATAGTTTCACTGCCCTAAAAATGCTCTGTGCTTTGCCTATTCATCCCTCCAACACCCCGACTCTTGGCAATCACTGATCCTTTTACTGACTTCATAGTTTTATCTATTCTAGAATGTCATAGTGTTGGAATCATACAGTATGTAGTCTTTTCAAATTGGCTACTTTCACTTAATAATATGAACTTAAGCTTCTTCCATGTCTTTTCATGGGTTATTAGATCACTTATTTTTAATGCTCATTTATATTTCATTGGATGTACCAGTTTATTCATTCATTCACATACTGAAGAACATCTTGATTGGTTTCAAGTTTTCACAATTATAAATAAAACTACTATAGGCTGGGCGCAGTGGCTCACGCCTGTAATCCCAGTACTGTGGGAGGCCTAGGCGGGCAGATCACGAAGTCAGGAGATCGAGACCATCCTGGCTAACATGGCGAAACCTCGTCTCTACTAAAAATACAAAAAAAATAGCTGGACGTGGTGGCGGGCGCCTGTGGTCCCAGCTGCTCAGGAGGCTGAGGCAGGAGAAAGGCGTGAACCCAGGAGGCGGAGCTTGCAGTGAGCCGAGATCGCGCCACTGCACTCCAGCCTGGGCGACAGAGCGAGACTCCTTCTCTACAAAGAAAAAAAAAAAGAAAAAAAACTATAAACATCCAGGTGCAACCTTTTGTGTGAACATAAGTTTTCATCTCTTTTGGGTAAATATCAAATGGCCAATATCTGGATTGAATCGTAAGAATTTTTAATTTCGTAAGAATTGCAAAACTGTCTGTCGAAGTGACTATACAATTGCACATTTCCAGCATCAATGACTGAAAGTTTCTGTTGCTTCATATCTTGGTCAACATTTGGCATCAGCATTCCAGATTTGGGTCATTTGAACCGGTATGTAATGGGATTATGTTGTTGTTTGAATTTGCATTTCCCTGATGACATATGATGTGGACATCTTATAATATGTTTATTTGCAATCTGTATATCTTCTTTAATATAAGGTCTATTTTATTTGCCATTTATATGTCTTCTTATGATGTCAGGTGTCTGTTAAGGTATTTTACCCATTTTTAAATCACGTAGCTTCTTTTCTTATTATTGAACTTTAATAGTCTTTATATAATTTGGATAATAGTCCTGTATCAGATAAGTCTTGCAAATATTTTCTCCAAACCTGCTGCTTGTCTTTTCATTCTCTTGACATTGCCTTAGAGAAGAAATTTTTTTTTCTTATTTTTTTTATTATACTTTAAGTTCTAGGGTACATGTGCACAACATGCAGGTTTGTTACATATGTACATATATGCCATGTTGGTGTGCTGCACCCATTAACTCGTCCTTTACTTTAGGTATATCTCCTAATGCTATCCCTCCCCCCTCCCCCCACCCTACGACAGGCCCCAGTGTATGATGTTCCCCACCCTGTGTCCAAGTGTTCTCATTGTTAAATTCCAACCTATGAATGAGAACATGCGGTGTTTGGTTTTCTGTCCATGGGATAATTTGCTCAGAATGATGGTTTCCAGCTTCATCCATGTCCCTACAAAGGACATGAACTCATCCTTTTTCATGGCTGCAGAGTATTCCATGGTGTATATATGCCACATTTTCTTAATCCAGTCTATCATTGATGGACATTTGGGTTGGTTCCAAGTCTTTGCTATTGTGAATAGTGCCATAATAAACATACGTGTGCATGTGTCTTTATAGCACCTGATTTATAATCCTTTGGGTATATACCCAGTAATGGGATGGCTGGGTCAAATGGTATTTCTAGTTCTAGATCCCTGAGGAATCGCCACACTGACTTCCACAATGGTTGAACTAGTTTACAGTCCCACCAACAGTGTAAAAGTGTTCCTATTTCTCCACATCCTCTCCAGCACCTGTTGTTTCCTGACTTTTTAATGATTGCCATTCTAACTGGTGTGAGATGGTAGCTCACTGGGGTTTTGATTTGCATTTCTCTGATGGCCAGTGATGATGAACATTTTTTCATGTGTCTGTTGCCTGCATAAATGTCTTTAGAGAAGAAATTTTTAATTTTTTTTTTAATCGAGACAGAGTCTCTCTATTGCCCAGGCTGGAGTGCAGTGGAGCAATCTCGGCTCACTGCAACCTCCAACTCCTGGGTTCAAGCAATTCTCCTGCCTCAGCCTCCCAAGTAGCTGGAATTGCAGGTACATGCCACGATGACCAGCTAATTTTTGTATTTTTAGTAAAGATGAGGTTTTGCCACGCTGGCCAAGCTGGTCTCGAACTCCTGACTTCAAGTGATCCACCCACCTCAGCCTCCCAAAGTGCTGGGATTACAGGAATGAGCCATCATGCCTGGCCTGAAATGTTTAATTTCAATGAAGTCCAGCTTAACAATTATTTCTGTCATAGATCATGGCTTTGATGTTGTAGTATCTAAAAAGTTTTCATTATACTGAAGGTAATTAAGGTTTTCTCCTCTGTTATCTTCTAGTTGTTTTATAGCTAAGAAAATCTTACAAAGGATGACTAACATTTTTAATTTCATGCTATTTTGTGACTCTCTTTTGTGACTCCCAACTTAAAATTCTTCATGATAGTATTGGTTACTAAAAATAAAAAATGAAATTTATGGCACATTTGGGCTAAGGTGAGACAGAAAGTCATAGGGCATGAAATATAAAATCAACACTAATAATTCAGAAGAGGCAGAACATAAGTATCAGATCATGAAAACACTTAATAGTTCCATAAGAATCTTGGGACATAACCACAAACAGAAAAAGGGAACTAGATTTCTCAGTTTGGGGGATGGAACTTACAGTTAGTTATTTTGAAAGCTGAATGGTGATGGCCACTTCAGAAGACTTAGAAATATATGAGCTTCTGACCCTTGGATTATATAATAAACTATTATACCTACTTTTAAGTATCTCTTAAAATATATATTTTACTCCATTTCTCTTCCTACCACCAATAACTGAATGGTCTCCTAATTTTTCTTGCCCTTTATACTTTTTCTCTCTTCCAACCCATCTTCAGATCCCATAACACATTTTACTACTGTAACACTAGCCAGTGTGAACCCTTTGAAAATAATATTATCTGGATATTTTCAGTCTTTCAATAAGAAAGAATAACATCCATGTGGCTTATGATATATTTAGATTTACTTCCACCATATTATTAAGGTTTTATATTTACTATGCTTAATATTTGTTTTCTTTTTCTTTACTAACAACTGTTAGATTGGTAAAATTATCTTAAATGTCTTACTTCAACTTTCTACTTCTATTATTGTACATTTTACATTTCTAGTTTGTGTGCCCTATTTCTTTTGCCATCCTAACCAAGTCTAGAGTTAAACCTGTTTCTCTATTTATCTCACCAGAACTGTGAAAGAATAAGTTTCTGTTGTTTGACACCACACAGTTTGTGGCACTTTGCTACCATGTTTCTAGGAAACTGATATTCATCATTTTTCTAATTGCCTCAGGGAATTCTTATTTGGTAGTCTCTCCTTATTCTCAGGGGATACATTCCAAGCCTCCCAGCGGACGCCTGAAACCACAGATGGTACCAAACCACATGTACAGTATGTTTTTTCAACACGAAAACTAGGAGGGCTAGTAAGTGACTAGCGAGTGGGTAATGTATACAGCATGGAGACCACTGGATAAAGGGATGTTTCACGTCCTGGATGGGACAGAAAACATGGGCACAAGATTTCATCATGCTGCTTAGCACATCTAGCAATTTAAAACTTATGAATTGCTTATTTCTGGAATTTTCCATTTAATATTTTTGGATTGTGGTTGATTGCAGGTAACTGAAACTGTGAAAGCAAAACAAGGATGAAGGGGGACTACTGCTGTTTTCTCTGTTTGAAAAGTGTGCACTAGAATTTTTCACTTAGTTAACTCCATCTTTGAAGTTTCATTTCAACTAAACGTTACTTTATCTCTGCCCTCCTTCACCAAATAGGGTTCTGTTATATACTTTCATTGAGCCTTGCATTTTTCTTTATAAAGCATTTCCCACAGATGTGACTAAGCATTAATATCATTATTGTTTATGATTTATGCCCTCCACTAGAATGTAAGCTCCCTGAGGACACAGAAACATGTTCACCTCTATCCCCTTACCACCTATGGTCATATCTAGCCCATGGAAAATTTCAAGTAAATATATTTTGAAGGATTTAATTAATATACATCATAACAAGGCTGAATTTCAGAGTACTGACATTCCTAGTTTAAAGAATATATCTATTCAGGAATAACAAGTAGAGACCTTTTTCATTTAAAAAAAATTCTCAAACACTAAACATGTATTTACTCATTAGCACATCAGATTAATGAATCAAATTTTTTTTTACAATTTTTTAAAGAAGTTTAGTTAAGAGTTTCCATCAGTGTGAGCCATCTACCAGAATCAGTAGTCCTACTTTAAACAACATTTGGCATTTCTACTTAAATCTGTTTTTCTTCGTTGATAGAAATATCATTTTCTTTTAACTTTTACCTGCTGAATATTTCTTCTTAGACATTTGCCCAAGCCATTCTTTGTAGATATACACGTAGAATGAAGAAGTTATTCAGTGGTAGTGAGAGAAGGCAGTGTAAAGATGTGAAGAAAATAATCGTGCTTAGTTATCAAAGTGTCCCTCAATTCCAGGGAAATGGCCTACAGATGATCGCTCACAGCCAGGAAGAGGAGAGAATATCGTAAACAGAAAGCATGTGATTATGAATGAGCTTAGCAATGATTACATGGAATGCGGTTGGGGAGATAATCACAGCAATCTATGTGAGGCAGAATATTCACAAGTAGATAAAACTTGATCAGATGGGAAAAAAAAATTATCTCCAGGTTAACAAACAGAACATTTTGAAAAAAGTTGTTCTGACACTGTTGCAAACTTGCTTTCATACTGAGGAGCATTTATTAATTTTTGGTGATTCTTTCTTTTATGATGCAGACTGATTTCAGTAACGCTATCCAAGCATGGTCTTTTCTTGGTACTAAGAATATAGTATTCAGCCTCAAACTCCAATTCTTCCGTATGAGAATACATAGATGATAATTAGGCTTTGTAAAGTAGATGTTGTTAGGTAGGAATAAAAAGTTTATCCTTGAAATGTAAAATCAGTAAGCCACAATTACTTTTTTGTAACTATAAACATGGGGAATTTCTCCTTAAATTTGAAACACTTTCATTTGATAGTCAACAGCAAAATCCGTCCATTAAAAAAATGTGTATCTAAATTAACATGTCTTTGAGATCCCCATCAGCTCAATTAAGCATACCTTCCTTCCAGTGCCACACTAGATCTTGTAAGAACTGATATAAAATGTTACGTGTGGAACTCTTTTTCAAATGAGGTGTTCTATATAAATATATATCACTATTACTTACATTTTAATCAAGATTTTATAGGATTTTAACTAAATCAACTTTCCTCAAATGCTTTAATTATTTTATATTGGATTGTTAATCTATAACTGGAGAAAAAAATAAGTGCTTCTGAGACTTTAATTTCATGCACTGAAAAATTTATATCTTTATTTTATGACTGCCTTTTTAGAATTATGGCGATTAGGGTAATTCAGTTTCTGAAAAGGGCATTAAGAATACCCACTGTGGGCTGGGCATGATTGCTCATACCTATAATCCCAGCACTTTGGGAGGCTGAGGTGGGCGGATCACCTCAGGTCAGGAGTTCCAGACCAGCCTGGCCAACATGATGAAACCCCGTCTCTATTAAAAATACAAAAATTAGCCAGACACAGTGGGGTGTGCCCCTGTAATCCCAGCTACTTGGGAGGCTGAGGCAGGAGAATCACTTGAACCCAGAAGGCGGAGGTTGCAGTGAGCCAAGATGAGACCACTACACTCCCACCTAGGTGAAAGAGCAAGACTTCGTCTAAAAAAAAAAAAAAAAAAAGGTACCCTCTCTGAGTTAAAGGCATACACTTTAGTTAATGTGAACTTATGATGATTAATTTAATCAAATACATACTGTATCAATAAGATATTCTCTGTAACAAAATATCACAAACTCATAGAAATAAAGTCTTTTTTTTTTTTTTCCATAAATCTTAGCTACACTATCTCTGACTGAAAATTAGCTGGACCACTTTCCTGGTGTTAGCTAAGCTTGCTCATGAGTCTCTTTCAGTGGAGGATCAGCTACTGAGGCCGAAATAATACTCAAGCTGCAGGTTTTCACATCAGCCATGTAGTCCTACTCCAGGCTATCTCATCTCGTTAGACAACAGGGCTAGCTGCATGCTCTTTCGATGATGGCAAAAGTACAAGGGAACAAGTCCATTCATGCCATGCTTTTGTTGCCTTCAGGCATGTCGCATGCACTCACATTCATTGGCTGAAGTAAATCAAACGACCAATTCTAAAGAGGGAGAAAAGTGTATCTCAGTTATTGTTGAGGAACTTGCAAAATGATGTAACAACGGGAATGAATACAGACTGTGATGAAATAAGTGTTAAAGCAATAATTTAATCTGCCACAGGCATCTTTTTAATTTTATTGATAATTTGACTCTAAATTACCCTTCGGATTATTGAAATGGTTGAGTGTTATGTATGTTGGGTTATATCAAACCTTGATATATATCCTTAATTTTATCTACTTTTACTATTTTTCTGAATGATATCATTATTGGAGATATGGGTCCTGGGCATGCAACATGGGATAATCTAATATTAGAAAAAGTAATAATTATTAAAATATTAGGTGTGTAAGAATAATTTCTAGTGTTCCTGAATATATGGGTGTATTGAAAACTAAGGTTTGGCTTTATACAGAAAAGCAAATTAAAATATCCTCACTGCCCTAGGAAAACTACAGTTCTTATAACTCAAAGGTTGAAAGATTTATTTCCCTGCTGACCAAGGTTTCAGCAGATCAATTAAGGAAGCATGTTCTTTTCTTCTGCTGCCATGTGCAGGAAGAAAAATATGTTGATTATGCCATTTCAGGGTACTGTATACACAAAGTCAACTTTATGAGTCGGTCTAACCTACAGTGCAGGACTCAGAAATTGGAAGCCAGAAAATAATCAGTCTCTGTCCACTTGGCAGCCTGAACTATCATGAAGGCCAGTGGTTGGCTGACAGGATTTGGAGCTTGGAGTGACTCTCACTTCACAGCTTCTGATCACAGGAATAGGAATGAAGCTCCCTCAGTAAAGTTTGAGAGAATAAGATTGCTACATAACATATGCCCTGAAATTTACAAAAGGCTTACAGCAATGTAATCTTTCTCCTCCAGGGGAGGAAATGAGTCCCATTAAAATATTTAGGTTTTACAATACTGTAGAGGAAGGAAAATGCCATTAATATCATCAAGTCAGCCATAATGGGTTCCCTTTCATCACAGGACTAATTTTCCTTCTGGCTTCTTCCCCTACACAATGATTTTTCTGTGTGGCGCCTCTGTTAGGTTAATGGCAAACATCTTGTGTAGTAAAGCAATAAATCAGCCCCTTATTAACCTGGGCTCTTTTAATTTTGAGATTTTTAGAATAGTCTGAAAAAGTGTATCATTCTCTAAATAGTGTCTATGTAAACAAAGGGCTTATTATTTCTAAAATACATGGTTAAATAAAAATAATAGGCCCTTTCCAGTGTGATGTGATAATCGTTCAGAGTATATCATTGTGCCTTAGAGCTGAAAGTGACCTTGGAAACCTCACCTCCAACTTTACATTAGGGCATAGATCTCATCTAAAATATCCCTGAAAGAATGTGGTCTACTTTCTGATGAAGCACTTTCTGTGGAAAAGGCTCTTTCCAAGAGAAAAACGCAGCAGGAAGCCTAACAACGACTTTCAAACTCCCCACTGCTTATTTCTTCAGGTTCATAATATAAACTGTTCTTTTAAAAAAAGAAAGAAAAACTAGAAATTCTAGAAATTAATATAAAATTTAAATCTTTCAATAAGAAATTAAAAAATTTTATTTTAATTTCACTGTGTATTTTTATCTTCTCCTCCAGAATGTGATTTTGAAGAAAGGAGGAAAGATGTGAAAAGTGATTGGTCAGCCACATTCATGGTGTTGAGAAAAGAATTTGCTTTTCTGGAACATAGCCTGTGATAGCAGAACAACACCTGGCAAGAAACAGGTTATGTTTGGCTGGAGAGTCATTGGCACTATCAAGAAATATTAAAGTGTAGATTTGAGAGAGGAGGAGAAAGACCCAAGCAAAATTGAAAACCAGGTGGGACCCAGACAGCAGCAAAGCAATGGAAGCATGTATTTTGGTCAATATAGAGTTAATACACAATTTTGCCCCTCTTCTTCTGATCATGGGACTCATATTACCAGTCTTCACATTTCCTTTAAATTCAGGAATCAGGAAGAATTTCCAGAGTTTGCAGATGGACACATTTGCTGCTTCCATTCTAAACATAAGTTAGAAGAACCTTTCAACTGGATTCCAACTTTAATATGTCACAAACATAAAAAAGAAAGCTATTTCCTGGACTTTTCTTCATTAGAAATTAATAGATTGTCAATTGGCATAGGGAAAAGATAATCAACAGATGCCAACCCCAAGTTAACAGAAATGCTAAAATTATAAGACAAAGACTTCAAAATAGCTATTTTAATTTTGCCTAGTGAGGTAAATGCAAACATGCTCACTATGAATGAAAACAGGTAATCTCAGCAGTCATGTAAACTATAAAAATAAGCAAATATAAATTTTAGAATTAAAACACAATATCTAAAAATAAATTCACCTGATATTCTCAATAGAAAAAATGGTAATGCAGAGAAAAATGTATGAAAATATGGCAATTTGAAGAAGAGAGAAGAGATCAATAAAATAAATAAGTATATCCTTGGAGACCTGTGGATGTTTTTTGAAAAGTGAATCATGTAAGTAATTGAAGTCCCAGAAGAAAAGAAAAGAAGAGGATGAGCAGAAAAAAATTTCTGAAAAAATATCTGAAAGCTTAAACACTATAATGAAAGACACACATTTACAAACTCAAGAAGTTTAGTAAACCAAAAACAATAAAATCAAAGAGAACTGTGCCAAGCGACATCATTTTCAACCTGCTGAAGATCTTGACAGCAGTCAGAGAAAAAAGACACACTTATTACACAGAGAGGAACAATACATTAAATACTAGCACACTTCTCATCAGAGATCATTAAGCCCAGAAGACAGTGGAATGAGATCTTTAAAGTGCTGAAATAAAATAAATGTTGATTAAAAAATTCTATAGCTAATGGAAGTGTTCTTCTTTAAAAATTAATTGAAGCCATGTGTTTTGATCTATTTCTGAACTCTGTGTTTGGTTCCGATGATCTGTTGATGTATCCTTGCACCACTATCATACAGCTGATTGCGGCAGCTTTATAGTAAGTCATGGAATCAGGCAATAAGTTCCCCCGATTTGTTCTTTTGTTTCCCCGAGTCATAAAACTGCCATTTTTTGATGGTCTTCCTTCATGTGCTGCAACATGGAAAGTTCTTCTAGTCAGAAGTTTGGGTAAATTATAGGGCTTGCTTTGGTTGCTTCTTTCTATCAGAGATGTTCTTGTGCTGCTTTGTTGTTTGTTTAGGTTTGTTTGTTTGTTTGTCTTTTGGTACTTTGTCTAAGAACAGTTTTATTCTGTATTTTTTCAAATTTGTACATATTTATAGCTAATTCCAGCATCAATTACCTCACCATAGCCAGAAATGGAGTTTGCATGCTCTCACATTGCAGTATTTACCATACTTAAGATATTCACTCTCATCTTATGACCCATACGATTTTGTTGCTCACTTTTCATTTATGTTTGTAATACACGTGCAGAATAATCATCCCCCAAATTTTTCATATTTAATTTCCTTAGATTGTTCTGAAGTCAAAATAACAATAATTACTCCAAAACTGTGTTTCCATCTGCTATATTTGGCCCTGCCAAGTATGATGCTGAAGTTTGATCCCGAATGTTGGATGTAGGATCTGTTGGAAAGAGTCTGGGTCATGGGGGCATATCTCTCATGAATAGCTGGATGCTGTCCTCATGATAATAAGTAAGCTCTCACTCTATTAGTTCCCAAAAGAGCTACTCGTTAAAGAGCTTGGCACCTCTCTCTCTCTCTCTCTCTCTCTCTCTCTCTGCCTGCGCGCCCCCCACCCCACCCCGCACCGCCCCCCCACCCGGCCAACCCTTTCTGCTTTCACCATGTGGTGGCTCCCATTTACCTTCTGCCATGAGTGGAAGCAGCTTGAGGCCTTCACCAGATGCAGATGCTGGTGCCATGCTTTTTATACAGCCTGCACAACCATGAGCCAAATAAACCTCTTTTTATAAACTACTCAGCCTCAGGTCTTCCTTTGCAGCAACACAAATGGACTAAGACAGCACCTTTGTAAGCTTTCTTTACAATTATAAAGAAAGAACACTTTTTCAGGTATAATTCATAATTGATTATAATTTTAATGAACAAACTAATTTCTTAATATATTTTTAACCTTATGAGAATGTCACCATTTTGCATTGTGTATTACTAGGCTAATGACAAGAAAGATGAGCATATTGAGATGAGCACAATATGTAGATTAGAATTTTTGGTTAAATTAAATAAAAATAATTTTATGCATTATATAAATAGAGTTTTTATGTTTCAGATAGACAACAATGGTGAGAGAACTGAGTCAGTCATGGTACAGGTACAGTATACTCATAGAGAAAATAAAAGAACCTATATTTCATTATATTTCAATTCTTGACAGATAGTTTCATTAAAGAACATATTTTTTACATGCAAACATAATTATTTTGAATGTTATAAATTCTGTAGTTATAGACTTTAATTGTACGATTGTGCAAAACTTGTTAATCAACTAATGCATAGCTAGTTTTAATGTTATTTACATCATATTACAAGCAAAATTATTCTAACCAACACTAGGAGTGCAAAGGTGTTTTACTTTTAAAGGTATTTTGTTGTTGTTGCTGATATCAAAAGACACTACTTTTTAACAACAACAATAGAAAAGTAAAATAATTTTTAAGAATTATCTTCAACTTTTATTCAAAAGAGAAATGTTCTTGGGCACAAACCTCACTTGTGAGAAGTTTAAGAATTTGAACTTGGGACTTTTATAATTCTCTGCAGAGAGGATATTGAATTTGACCTAGTGGCAGAACCAAGAATAAGAGACATTGAGAATTATGGCTGTGTATGGGTCCACAAACGATTTCTCTATGCTCTTCTTATGGCTGTAAGTTAGGTCAAGTTAGATATATTTCATGTACAGTCCAAAAAATTTTGACTCTATAAGCTAGTGGCATAAAGTTTTATTTCTGACTGTTTCAAAACACAGACCAATTTCTAATTTCTAGCATTTATAATTTATAATTTTAGCATTACATACCTTTTCATTAACTCATTTTTTTAACCCTTCGACAGAAATGTGTAAAGTATAACCATTATTTAAAAATGTTTTGTGATTGAAAGTATAGCCAACTAGTTAACATTTAAATTCATTAGAGAACTCAAATATAGCTGAGAATAATTGTATTTTCTATGAATTATAATGAAGACACTAGCTGTGATGAGTAAAAATTGATGTTTTCTTCCTTTCCTGCTTGAAATTCTATCTAATTCAGGGTTTTGAACAGCCAGTCTAGTTATATTAAACAAATACAGTTAAAAAGAGGCTATTTTTTCAAACAAAAAGAGAGAAGCCTGAGATATATAAATGGTAATTGTTCTCTATAGTCAATTTTTGGCTTTCCAGAACACAATCCACATACTATACTAAGGTATGGTAGGTACATAGCTATAGTACAGCCCCTATACTATAGGTAGGATATACTGTAACCTGCCTCCTTTTTTTCTCTTTTCACAATTCCAAAAAGATCTCTGCATTAACAAAATCTATTAACAGTGCTTTATCCAAATAATGGTGGGGTTTTCTTTTCTACAATAAAGAATCCAGAGTTAGACAACTTAGTGTTAATAGAGTATCTTCATGGTGTCATCAGTGTCATAGGTTCCTATATATTTCCCGTTACCATCTTTAACAAACAAATGTGTTTGTATGGAATTTCTTTAATGAGTAAACTGGCTTTTACATCTCTATCCTTACAAACACAATGCTATTAAGAAGAAGAAGAAAAGTAAAAAGTGGGAGAGTAAAGCCAATATCAGAAATGCAAAATTTTCATAGAAATAGCTATCAAATTTCAGCTTATATTTCATTGGCTCAAATTGTAGCACATGGGTCATAAAACCTACAAAGAAAGCCTGAAAAAGTATTTTTCTACCTAGACAGATTGCTGCATTGTACAAAATCCAGACTTTATTTATGAGGAAAAAGTCTAGCAACTGAAATTTGCACCTAGCTTTTCCTAATAGCTCCAAGCTCAGGATTTATTAATTTTTATTTCTTTCAGCTACTACACATGGCTGTAACTCTACAAACCGGTTTTATAAAAAGGCTATGGTAATCACTCTTAATTACACTGAATGCCTGAAATAAAAACGATGTTAAAGATTAAATTAAAGGAAAAATTATCCTTATTTTAGAAAAAATGAAGAGGAGAGCCATATGCAGTGTCAACATTTCCTAACATATAACACATCCCACTGGACAGGCCTAATACGGATTCATTTCTCAGAATTGACTGACCTCTCTGGCAACAATTCTGCTTGTTGCAGGTCCTGCCCATTATAAAAGCTCATCTTCACATAAGGTCTTTGCAACTGTGACTTGTACAAAATGAGCAGCCCAAATCTGGTTTGCACGGAAAGCCTGGAAATTGCTTCAGTACTTGAACAAATATGGCTTTCTTCCTCTACCCCTTTTGAAATCAGGAACAATAATAGCCAACAGTAGCCCTTTAAAATCATAGTTGACACTCTCTCAATTTTGTCTGGGGAATCAATTAGTAACCAACACCAGGAATGTGGCAGACCATTATTTTAAAATCTAAGTTCAATATTCACTTTCCCTCTTAGCAACAAGACTGCCTTTCCCTCTAGGGTTTTGCTTCATGGCATTTGCTTTGGCCTCTGTATCTAAATTATAAACAAAAGACTGAAATGGGAAGGCCAGGCTAATCTTCTCTGGAATGTATTCCCTGATACCAGGCAACATTTCCATTACACAGTTGTATTGAAATTCCTTTGTCAGGCAAGAGGGGCACAGCATGGGTGCTTGGGAATAGTCTAGGATGTCAGATGTTTCTGGTTCTTTAGGCTAATCTGAGGCTTCACTATCATCCCTTGTCCTTTCTCTTTTCTTTTTTCATTCCTTTCTCATTTCCTTCTTTCCTTCCTTCCCTCCCTCCCTCCTTCCTTCCTTCCTTCTTTCCAACTACCTTTCCTTCCTTCCCTCCTTCCCTCCTTCCCCCTTCTCTCCTTCCCTCCCTCCTTCCCTCCATCCTTCCTTCCTTCCTTCCTTCCCTCCCTCCCTCCCTCCTTCCTTCCTTCCCTCCCTCTCTCCTTCCTTCCTTTCCTCTCTCCCTCCTTCCTTCCCTCCCTCCCTCCTTCCCTCCTTCCTTCCTTCCCTCTCTCCTTCCCTCCTTCCCTCCTTCCCTCTCTCCTTCCCTCCTTCCCTCCTTCCTTCCTTCCTTCCATCCTTCCTCCCTTCCTTCTTTCTCAGATTCTCTTGCCCTCATTTTTTCTATTTTTTTCTCCTCATGACAAAATATACACTTAAGTGATGTCCAGAATTTAATTCAAAATCACAATACGTATCAATCTCCAGGAGCAATTTTTCCTCCAGTGCCAGGAATTTAAATCAGAAATTCCAGAATCTCTCAGACAAATTTTGTTTTGAATGTGACAAAGTTTTTCACATTTCCAAAGTGTATACTAGACTGTTTAAAGTATGCTCTAAGAGTTTCCTGGATCAGCCTGCTGCATTTACTTCGTCAGAGGCACAGTTTCACAAGCAAAGTTTGGCTAATCTTCTCTAACAGTGCTTTTGGCTGTTTTTACTATTACATTTCTATTCCACTCATCTGCATTTCTGATGTTTTCCATTCTTTATTTCTCTGTTGAGAAAGTTCTTTAAAATGTCATTGTCCATCAAGAAGTGCTTTAAAAATATTCTCTCTTATTTTACACAACTTTTTGAAGCATTGAATTAATCAGTAAGATGTAACAGGTTTCACACACAAAATTCACCAGACATATTTAAACTACATACATTGTATGTCAATACCTGTCCTGGCTGCACCATATGGGTAATATATCCTTATGTTGTATTTGAATACCTGTCCCAGGCTGCATGGCATGGGAGACATGTCATTTAAAACTCACTAGACCCAAACAGATGCTCTGATTGAGAACAGGCTCTTCAATTTCTATCCTAAATAAACTTCTAGAGTTATAAAAAGCCTTCTAACTTGAGTGGAAATAGAGAAATGGATTTTTTTCTTAAATATTTTCTTATCCAAAGTTAACTTTCGCAAAAGAAGCCAATTTTAATGTTTGATAACTTAGGAAAGTTTTCTTACCTCACAAGTCAGCTGGCTTTCCTAGAGCAGATTTGGTTCTATTCTTGATACCACATTGATATATATAACAAGTAAAAGAACAATGCAAAAATTATAAGAAAGCATCGTATTTTATGATTATTCCCCCTGCTAATACCTTTCTCTCAAAATTTTCAATAATACCACTTATGGCTCTTTAGTATGCACGTATGGTTTATCTTGAGCTTTCCTTTCAAGTTTTCTTGCTTCCTCCTTCTACCTTTTTCCTCAGGAAATCCACACAAGGAAAATTATGAAAATATGACTCTTATTTAAACAGTACTATGTGTCTCCTAATACCATCCCAATAGAGTTGTATCATAATTTTGGTTAAATTAATATCTAGTGCTCACATTATTATGGCCACAAAATGTACTTCATAGCTGTCAGGCCTCTGGGCCCAAGCTAAGTCATCATATCCCCTGTGACCTGCACGCACACATCCAGATGGCCGGTTCCTGCCTTAACTGATGACATTTCACCACAAAAGAAGTGAAAATGGCCTGTTCCTGCCTTAACCGACGAGATTGTCTTGTGAAATTCCTTCTCCTGGCTCATCCTGGCTCAAAAGCTCCCCCACTGAGTACCTTGTGACCCCAACTCCTGCCCGCCAGCGAACAGCCCCCCTTTTTCCTTTACCTACCCAAATCCTATAAAACGGCCCCACCCCATCTCCCTTCGCTGACTCTCTTTTCGGACTCAGCCTGCCTGCACTCAGGTGATTAAAAGCTTTATTGCTCACACAAAGCCTGTTTGGTGGTCTCTTCACACGGACGTGCATGAAAACAGCTAAGCTATAAATGATAATTATTTGTCCTTTTCTGTGCTTTTCTTTTTTTTTTTTTTTCTGGCTTAGTAAGCTACTCAAAACTGGTTACTCATCTCTCACTTTGATTGTATTCCTATTTTTAGATCTCATGTCTTCCTCTTTTTTGGTCTACTCCCTCATTTCAATGGAATTTTCTTCTCAAAAAAAAATATATACATGAGGTAAATGGGCATGCTAGTTCCTGCCTAAAAATGTATTTACTATATTCTTACACTAGACTAATAGTTTTGCTCAGTATACAAGTCTGGTTGAACATCGCTTATATTTTTGAAAGAAAATTGTTTTCTAGTTTTCAGTGTTGCTGGTGAGAAACCAAATACCATTCTGATACTTGGTCCTTTGTATAAAAGGTTTTTTCTCTCTTCTGAAAAATACAGGATTTTTTCCTTGTGTGCAACCGACTGGGTTTTCACATTAATTTGTCCCAGTTGTAGGTTCTTATCTATTTTTCTTGTTAGATAGTAAGCCCTTACTTTTTGGAAATTTGTTTCAGTACCAAAAATATTTCTTAAATGTTTTGATAATTTCCTACCTCAATTTTCCATATTATTTCTGTATGTGACTTCAGTCACTTAGATGTTAAAACTTCTAGATTATTTAATGTCCTTATATTTTCTATTTTTACCCATTTTTCAATTTATTTGATTTTATTTGAAAGTTTCTCAACACTGCTTTTTCTCCCTTGTTTGCTTTTGTGTTAAGAGCCATGTTTCCCCTATATGTTCTTTTTTAAAATTTAAATAACATTTTTGGCCTTTGTTATAGATGCATTACATTTTTTCCCTCTGATATCTCTGAGCATGTTGTCAGGTATTTTTTTTAAAGTTAGTTTTTGATGCTTGTTTTGAGGCATGTTTTCTGTTTCTTTCTAGTTTGTTGTTGTTGTTATTTTCATCTCTTATAAGAGATTTTTCTTAAGTGTTTGCTGATCTTTGATTATGTGCCCCTATCTGGCAGTTTATTTGAGTCTGCTAAGTAGTTGCCAATTTGGCGTTTTCAAGCTTCTACATTTCTCATACATTTATTCTTTTGAGTTAATGCCTTTAAAAATACTTCTATTATCATTGTAGCGACATTTTGGAAAAGAATAGAACAATGCATGTGGTCAATTTATCAGCCTTAAACAGCAGTATATTCACTTGTTTCTAAGCAAGAAAGACTTAAATAACAATGAGCATTTCTATAACCCCAATAATTAGAATGAATAATTACACTTAATCAGTGCTACTAATTATTACTTGTCTCTTAAATTTCCTTTTTAGGGTCCACAATAATAGTTTAGACATACATTAAAATATCGGTCTAGGCCAGGCATGGTGGTGATATCTGTAATCTCAGTAATTTGGGAGGCTGAGGAGATAAGATCACTTGAGGCCAGGAGTTCAAGACCAGCTGGTGCAACACACTAAGACTTCTCTCAAAAAAAAAAAAAAAAAAAAATTAGCCAGGCATAGTGGAGTACACATGTATTCCCAGCTACTTGAGAGGCCAAAGCAAGAGGATGGTATGAGCCCGATGGTTTGAAATTACAGTGAGCTATGAACGTGCCAGTGCACTCCAGCCCAGATGACAGAGTGAGACCCTGTGTCACTCAGATAATATGCATATAGATAGATATGGATAGAGATATACCTTTATACTAATGTAACAGGCTGTGTTGGATAGGCCTGAGCCAGAATTATGCTGCAGGTGAAAAGAGGGAGGCAAACTTCTCCCTTCATGTATTATTTTGTAACTGATTTACATGTGATGTGGGATGTTTTCTGGTCAGAAAGTAATTGGACGTTTCCATTACTGATATTCAGGAATATACAAAGAAGGCTAATGAAACGTTAAATTTAAAGGAGAAACAATGGATTTCTGAGAGAAAATGCACCACAAACCACAGCCAATAATATTTTAGCATATTGCTTGTTAAGTGGTGGGTCTGACAGACACCTGAACTCATCCTGACCAGACAGCTGGTTGATATTTTTGCCATGTGAGAAATTGATGGGGTCAGGTACAAAGGCAACATGAGTGCTTCCTCCAATATGTTGAAATATAGTTTGAGGCCGGGCGCGGTGGCTCACGCCTGTAATCCCAGCACTTTGGGAGGCCGAGGCGGGCGGATCACGAGGTCAGGAGATCGAGACCATCCCGGCTAAAACGGTGAAACCCCGTCTCTACTAAAAATACAAAAAATTAGCCGGGCGTAGTGGCGGGCGCCTGTAGTCCCAGCTACTTGGGAGGCTGAGGCAGGAGAATGGCGTGAACCCGGGAGGCGGAGCTTGCAGTGAGCCGAGATCCCGCCACTGCACTCCAGCCTGGGCGACAGAGCGAGACTCCGTCTCAAAAAAAAAAAAAAAAAAAAAAAAAAAAAGAAATATAGTTTGAATAGACATAATGCATAACCTGCTGGTTCTTCCACAGGAGTGACTATGCTGATATTCATCATTAAAGAGGTTCAGAAATTATATATGGTAATTTTAATTTGTACCATTGATGCCAAAGCACAGTCATATTACTGCATAGAAAGAAAAATAAGACTATTTCTCTAATTCTTGCTCAGCTTCCATAGGAAACATGCACAGAGAAGCAATCAAGTAGAGTGTAGTGGGGTAAAACAGCCCTCAGTTTGAGACAGTTTTCCTAATTGATAACTGTGTGTGACCTTAGACAAGTTATATATATTTGCTAAGATATTTCTTATTGGTCCAGTGAGGATCATATACCTACATCATAAATATGCTGTTAAGACAATTTCTGCCATGTGGTATATGCTCGGTAAATTTTAGTTACTATTTTTGTTTTGCTGTTTTTATCATTCAAGTATATTTGGTAAGGCAACAATATACAACTCTATTGAATCAGGAGCCCGTGCTTTGCAGGATTTTCTGAAAATATCTTTCAAATATTTGTCAGAGCACAACACTAACCAGCACATTAAATCTGTGTACAAAAGCCAGCACCGTCCCTTCTATTGCGGCAAACCTATAATAGTCTAGAAAAATGTAGGTGAACGTGGTGAAAAAGGACAGCCTGCCCCGGTCCCTCCACATGTGCCTGGCACCCAGATCTGGATTAAACTTTCCTAGTGCTGATGGCACGTAGGAATCTGGGGGCCCCTCAAGCTAACTGTGAGAAAATTCCCTGTCTAAAGTGAGTCAGTGGATTTTTCTTTTTCTTTTTCTTTTTTTTCTTTGTTTTTTTCTTTAGTAGTGCCTCTATAATCCTAAAACATTTAAAACAGAACTGGGTTTTAAACAAGCAATGTCATGCCTGTCAAAACAGTTTGAGAGAGTCTATAAAATAAGCTTATGGGAAGAGATGGTACTTTGTGAGAAGAGAGCTAAAGTAAAATAGAAAGTTCTGGCAAAACTTAGAGATCAGAAGTAGCAACTGTTTTCCTGGGCAGATGCCTGTAATTTGGACAAAGAGTTGAAAACTAGAATGTAATTCATCAGCTTTTCTTGGGCTATATCAAGGATGGACAAACATTTTCTGTCAAGAAACAGCTATTAAGTATTTTAGGCTATGTAGGCCAAGAGGCAAAATAAAGACTATAATGTAGGTACTGTTTAACAAAAGTGCAAACAAGTTCCCCAAACTTGGTATTGACAAAATTCAGAATATAAAAATAATAATTGAATACAATTTTAAAAAATACAAGTCAGCCAATCAAAAGAATATAATCCTTTCTTGGAGGCAAATAAAATTTTTGCATAATTATGGTTCAAAGTCAGTGTTCCCTATCATCCACTTTATTTTAAGTGTTCATTTTATGGACTGAATTGTGTCTGCCCAAAATGCCTTTATTTAAGCTCTAATCCCCAAAATGACTGTATTTGGATACAGGACTTACGATAGTAAAAGTTACAAGAGTTCTTAAGGATGACACCCTAATTTCATAGGCTTGGTTGTCCTTATAAGAAGAGAAAGAGACCCCAGAGATCTCTCTCCCTCTGCCCGTGCAAGAGAAAAGACCAGTAAGAACACAGCAAGAAGTAGATAATCAAGAAGCCAGGAAGAGAGGCCTCATCAGAAATTAACCCTGAAAGCACCTTGATCTCAGACTTCCAGACTCCAGAACTGTGAGAAAATAAATTTCTGTTGTTTAAGCACCCAGTCCATGATATTTTGTTATGGTAGCCATAGAAGACTAACATAAACTGTATAAATCATTCTTAACTTACTGGCCATCCAAAAACAGGTGGCTAGCAGAAGTTTGCTAACCCTAAGCTGAATGATCCAGAAATAAACTACTTCTGGAAAATTTTCTTGAATGCAATCAGGGAAGTAAAGTAGCCCACATGCAGCTTATTTGCTCTGGAATCAGAAGCACTGAGGGCTCTAATATTTCTTCAATAAAGTCTTTTCTGGTCAGTCCATTGTATAGAGACTATATTCTCTCCTCTGAACTCAGAGATCACACTGTCTATCCTCCCCACTAGGAATTTACACACTTGCATTTCTCTTCATATTGTCATTGAACATTCACGGTGTCCTAGACCATCATAATCTTAGCAGTGCCTTATAAGTATTAGTAAATAAGTTGATTTTAAATCACTAGCTTTAGAGAGTTCAGGATTTGGATCTGTTCCTGGGAGCTTCACATTTCTGGTGTTTTAGAGATGGTTGAGGGCTTTTAAAAGTAACATGGACATGCTGTGAATATGTCTCAAGTTACTTTAGTTTTAATTGTATTTAAGAAATATTTAGGTTGAATACATACATTTAATATTATATTTTGTTTTGTTTTGTTTTTCCTTTCATCACCACTTCACCCAGAAAGAAAGGAATTCTAAGGAGGTGGGGAGGGAGTCCCTGGATGGAGGCACTGCTCTAGCGTTGGATCTATTTTGATACTATTCAAAATAACAGTGGAAAGGTGCTATGGTTTGAATGTTTCTCTCCTCCAAAACTCATGTTAAAATTTAATTGACATTATAATAGCATTAAGAGGTGAAACTTTCAAGAGGTTACATGGCCATGAGGGCTCCAACCTCATGAGTAGAATTCATACTGTTATAAAAAGGGGAGTTGGGTCCCCTTCCCCCTTTGCCCACACAGCAAGAAGGCCCTTGCCAGATACTGGTGCCTTGATCTTGCATGTCCCAGTCTTTAAAACTGTTAGAAAATAAATGTCTGTTTATTATACATTACCCAGCCTCTCAAGTATTCAGTTATAGCAGAACAGAATGAACTGAGGTAGGATCCAGTCCCAGAGAAGTGGATGCTGCTATTATAAGAACCTAAAAATGTGGAAGTGGCTTTGGAACTGAATAATGAGTAGAGGGTGAAAAAATTTGGAGAAGCAGGATAGAAAAGCCTAGAGTGCTATAAAAGGAGCCTTAAGGCTGATTCCAGTGAAGGCTCAGAAGAGGAGGGCTGCCAAATGTTGGTAGAAAAATGGATGGGAAAGGCAAGTCTAATGAGGTCTCAGACAGAAATAAGAAACAGATATTGAAAACTAGAGAAAAGCCCACCTTTGTTACAAAGTGGCAAAGAACTTTGCTGAATTGTGTCCACGCCTTAAGTCTTTGTAGAAGGCAGAATTTAAGAGCAATGAACTAGGACATCTGTCAGCAGCAAAGCATTCTGGCTGCTGTGTGGCTTCTCCAACCTGCATATAATAAAATGTGAGAAGAGAAAATGATTTAAAGATGGCATTTACAATTAAAAGAGAAGCAGAATGTACAGATTTGGAAATTTCCAGGCCTGGCAATGTAAAGAATAAAGTTATTTGTTTAGAAAAGAAAACCAAGGGTGTGACCAAGCAACCAATTGATAAAGAAGTTAGATGGATAGAAGAAAGCCAAGTGCTATTTATCAAGAAAATGAAAGAATGACCTCCAATGGCATTCCAGAGATGTCTGAGGCTACCTCTCCAATTATAGGCAAAGAATACAAGAGTCTTGAGGGCAGAAAAGTTTCCAGAGAGGGGCCCAGGTTGCTTATTGAACCTAAGCATTTGCATTCCTGAGCCATCTCAAATGTCTGCTTTGCATATTCTGCTACAGCGCTTCTCCACTGCCATAGCTGTGGCTCAAGCAGACCCAGATGTGGCTCCAGCCACATCTCCAGAAGGTACAAGCCTTAGTGTCATCCACGTGGTACTAATTCTGCAAACACATGGAGTGGAGACATGACTATTTCCACCTAGGTTTGGAAGCACCAGCTGTGGAGACATGACTACTTCCACCTAGGTTTAGGTGGAAGTGCTGCAGAGAACTGCTGCAGGGGCAGAAAACCTCCACTAGTCTTGATGGAGCTGTGAAGGCAGGGCTGCTCCCAGCACCCAGAACTGTAGAACCACCTGCATGCCATCCTACTGTAGGAGAGCTGCAGGCCCAATATTCCAACCCATGAGTGCTGTTGTGTGGAATGAGTTCAGCAAAGCCACAGGGGCATAGATGCCTGAGGCCTTGGGGGCCCAACACCCACATTAGCATACTCAGGAGGTGAGATATGGAGTCAGAGGAGATTATTCTCAGTCTAAGGGTTTAGTGTTGTTTGCTCTTTTGGGTTTTAGACTTACTTGGAACCTGTTATTCCTTTCGTATTTGCTGTTCGTCCCTTTTGAAATGGGAATGTCTATTCTATTTCTGTCCCGCCATTGTATTTTTGAAGAGATAGCTTGTTTGAATACACAGGGCCACAGCTGTGGATCTAGGTTTTGCTTCAGGATGAATTGTACCTTGAGTTTTATCCATACTTGATTTAGATAAAATTCTAACATTGGATTTTTTTTTTTTTTTTGACAAAGTCTCGCTCTGTCTCCAGGCTGGAGGGCAGTGGCGTGATCTCAGCTCACTGCAACCTCTGCCTCCTGGGTTCAAGCCATTCTCCTGCCTCAGCCTTCGGGATAGCTGGGACTACAGGCACGTGCCACCACGCCTGGCTAATTTTTGTATTTTTAGTAGAGACAGGGTTTCACCATGTTGGCCAGGATGATCTCAAACTCCTGACCTCAGGTGATCCACCCACCTCGGCCTCCCAAAGTGCTGGGATTACAGGCGTGAGCCACCACGCCTGGCCTAACATTGGACTTTCTAGTTGAATCCTCTGAGAGTATGATATTATATATTATTATATAATAGACCTAACTATCCTTCACCTTACCATAGTAAAACATTTATTCTAAATACAAATCCATCTTATGTCATTATAAAAAAAAACACAATATCAAAACAAAATTTCCTTTAAGTCGTCAGTCTGATTATCTAAAGGATTTCTCATTACAAGTCTGAGAAGTACTTAATTAGGAGGATTTTCTCAGAACATCTTCTGGTTGCATTCTACCTTAGAAAACAATACTTTGAAATGGTGTAACCCAGGGTACTATTCCTCCCACAAATATGTTTTCCCATTTTCCAAATTGATAAAATTATTATCTAGGCACAAGATTATTTTGAATAACGTCTTTATTTTTCAGCCTCATTCACAATTTTTTATACTTATTGGATTTAGTGGACAATGGGTTACGAGCAACAGTAATATGTAAAAAAAAAAAATCAGTACCTGCCTGAGGGGCAAGAATAGTAACCCATATAGCCAGAGGATCTTGTGAAAATAGAATTTTAAGGCTTTAGATAGATCTGGATGTTAGCATTAAATCTGATTTACAATACTAGGAAGACTGATAAAATAGGGCCACCACTACAGCTCAAAACTCTTTTTTGTTGTCCTAGAACACTTCATTAACAACTGATAAATAGGTTGTTTGAAATTCTTTCCATTGCAAAGAAGCCTCTTTCCAGCCCCTAGAAGAATTTGCCTAAAAGTAGATCGAAGAAAGATGTTCCTGTTCACAGTACTGCATGTGAGATGATGACTAAATGGTCTATACAGCAAGTAAAATATGTGCATTGATGAACAACAGGATGCAAAAAAATGTCTTTAAGTCAACTGACAGGTTGTAAGGTAGGGTCTGCAGAAGAAAGGACAAAGAATCAAACCTCAGAGTCCAAGAAGTTATCAACAGGGGGAAAGAAGGCTAAAGCACATGAGTATGAGTTACCCTTAACAAGCTCTGTTTATCATTGATATGGTTTGGATCTGTGTGCCCACCCAAACTCATGTCTAATTGTAGTCCCCAGTGTTGGAGATAGGGTCTGGTAAGAAATGATTGGATCATGGGGTGGCTTTCTCAAGAATGGTTTAACACCATCCCTTTGGTGCTGTTCTCATGATAGTGAGTGAGTCCTCATGAGATCTGATCATTTAAAAGTGTATGGCTTTGGGAGCATCTGGCAAAATGGCCGAATAGGAATAGCTCCGGTCTGCAGATCCCAGTGAGACCAACACAGACGGCAGGTGATTTCTGCATTTCCAACTGAGGTACCCAGTTCATCTCACTGGGACTGGTTAGACAGTGGGTGCAGCCCACGGAAGGTGAGCAGAAGCAGGATGGGGCATCGACTCACCCAGGAAGTGCAAGGGGTTGGGGAAATCCGTCCTCTAGCCAAGGGAAGCTGTGAGGAAGTGTGCCATGAGCAACTGTGCTATCTAGCCCAGATACTACACTTTTCCCATGGTTTTTGCAACCCGCAGACCAGAAGATTTCCTTGTGTGCCTACACCATCAGGGTCCTGGGTTTTAAGCACAAAACTAGGCAGCTGTTTGGGCAGACATTAAGCTAGCTGCAGAAGTCTTTTTTTCCAGAAGTCTTTTTTTCCTACCCCAGTGGTACCTGGAACCCTAGCGAGACAGAACCATTCGCTTCCCTGGAAAGGGGGCTAAAGCCAGGGAGCCAAGTGGTCTCCCTCAGTGGGTCCCACTCCCACGGAGCCCAGCAAGCTAAGAACCACTGGCTTGAAATTCTTGCTGCCAGCACAGCAGTCTGAAGTCAGCCTGGGATGATTGAGCTTGGTGGGGGAAGGGCATCCACCATTACTGAAGCTTAAATAGTCAGTTTTCCCTCACAGTGTTAAGGAAGCCACCAGGAAGTTTGGACTGTGCAGAACTCACTGCAGTGCAGCAAAGCGGCTGTGGCCAGACTACCTCTCTAGATTCCTCCTCACTGGGCAGGGCATCTCTGAAAGAAGGGCAGCATCCCCATTCAGGGGCTTATAGATAAAACTCCCATCTCCCTGTGACAGAGCACTGAGGGGAAGGGGCGACTGTGGGCGTAGTTTTGGCAGGCTTAAATATTCCTCCCTTCTGGCTCTGAAGACAGCAGCGGATCTCCCAGCACAGTGCTCAAGCTCTGCTAAGGGACAGACTGCCTCCTCAAGTGGATCCCTGACCCCCATGCCTCCTGACTGGGAGATACCTCCCAGCAGGGGTTGACAGACACCTCATAGAAGAGAGCTCCGGCTGGCATCAGATGGGTGTCCCTCTGGGATGAAGCTTCTAGAGGAAGGAGCAGGTAGCAATCTTTGCTGTTCTGCAGCCTCTGCTGGTGATGCCCAGGCAAACAGGCTCTGGAGTGGACCTCCAGCAAACTCCAGCAGATCTGCAGAAGAGAGGCCTGACTGTTACAATTAAAACTAACAGAAAACAATAACATCAACATCAACAAATAGAACCCCCACACAAAAACCCCATCCAAAGGTCATTAGCATCAAAAATCAAAGGTAGAAAAATCCACGAAGATGAGGAAAAAACTGTAAAAAGGCTGAAAATTCTCAAAACCAAAATGCCTCTTCTCCTCCAAATAATCGTAGCTCCTCTCCAGCAAGGGCACAAAACTGGATGGGGAATAAGTTTGATGAATTGACAGAAGTAGGCTTCAGAAGGTGGATAATAACAAACTCCTCTGAGCTAAAGGAGCATGCTCTAACCCAATGCAAGGAAGTTAAGAACCTTGATAAAAGGTTACAGGTACTGCTAATTAGAATAATCAGTTTAGAGAAGAACATAAATGACCTGATGTAGCTGAAAAACACAGCACGAGAACTTCATGAACCATACACAAGTATCAATAGCCGAATAGATCTAATGGAAGAAAAGATATCAGAGATTGAAGATCAACTTAGTGAAATAAAGTGTGAAGACAAGATTAGAGAAAAAAGCATGAAGAGGAACAAACAAAGCCTCCAAGAAATATGGGACTATGGAAAAGACCAAACCTACAATTGATTGGTGTGCCCAAAAGTGATGGGGAGAATGGAACCAAGTTGGAAAACACACTTCAGGATATTATCCAGGAGAACTTCCCCAACCTAGCAAGACAGGCCAACATTCAAATTCAGGAAATACAGAGAACACCACAAAGATACTGCTCGAGAAGAGCAACCCCTACACACATAATAGTGAGATTCACCAAAGGTTGAAACGAAGGAAAATATGTTAAGGGCAGCCAGAGAGAAAGGTCAGGTTACCTACAAAGGGAAGCCCATCAGACTAACAGTAGATGTCTCTGCAGAAACCCTACAAGCCAGAAGACAGTGGGGGCCAATATTCAACAGTCTTAACAAAAAGAATTTTCAATCCAGAATTTCATATCCACTCAAACTAAGCTTCAAAAGGGAAGGAGAAATAAAATCATTTACAAACAAGTAAATGATGAGGGATTTTGTCACCACCAGGCCTGCCTGACAAGAGCTCCTGAAGGAAGCACTAAATATGGAAAGGAAAAACTGGTACTAGCCACTGCAAGAACATACCAAAATATAATGAGCCACAACACTATGAAGAAACTGCATCAACTAATGTGCAAAATAAGCAGCTGGCATCATGACAGAATGAAATTTACACAAAACAATATTAACTTTAAATGTAAATGGGTTAAATGCCCCAATTAAAAGACACAGACTGGCAAATTGGATAAAGAGTCAAGATCCATCAGTGTGCTGTATTCAGAAGACCCATCTCACGTGCAAAGACACACATAGGCTCAAAATAAAGGGATGGAGAGGAATATTTACCAAGCAAATGGAAAGCAAAAAAAAAAAAAAAAAATGGTTGCAATCCTAGTCTCTGATAAAACAGACTTTAAACCAACAAAGATCAAAAGACAAAGAAGGGCATTACATAATGTTAAAGGGATCAATGTAACAAGAAGGGCTAACTATCCTAAATATATATGCACCCAATACAGGAGCACCCAGATTCATAAAACACATCCTTAGAGACCTACAAAAAGACTTAGACTCCCACACAATAATAGTGGAATACTTTAACATCTCACTGTCAATATTACAGAGATCAATGAGACAAAAAATTAACAAGGATATTCAGGACTTGAACTCAGCTCTGGACCAAGTGGACCTAACAGACATCTACAGAACTGTCCACCCCAAATCAACAGAATACACATTCTTCTCAGCACCACATAGCACTTATTATAAAATCGACCACATAATTGGAAGTAAAACACTCCTCAGCAAAGGCAAAACAACACAAATCATAACAAACAGTCTCTCAGACTATACAGTGCCATCAAATTAGAACTCAGATTAAGAAACTCATTCAAAACTGCACAACTACATGGAAACTGAACAACCTGCTCCTGAATGACTACTGGGTAAATAACGAAATTAAGGCAGAAATAAATAAGTTCTTTGAAACCAATGAGAACAAAAACATAGCGTACCAGTATCTCTGGGACACAGTTGAAGCAGTGGGAATTTATAGCACTAAATGGCCACATCCAACAGGGGGAAAATCTAAAGTCGACACCCTAACATCACAATTAAAAGAACTAGAGAAGCAAGAGCAAACAAATTCAAAAGCTAGCAGAAGACAAGAAATAACTAAGATCAGAACAGAGTTGAAGGAGCTAGAGACATAAAAACCCTTCAAAAAGTCAAAAAATCCAGGAATTGATTTTTTGAAAAGATTAACAAAATGGATAGACTGCTAGCCAGATGAACAAAGAATAAAAGAGAGAAGAATCAAATAGACACAATAAAAGATGATAAAGGGGAGATCACCACTTATCCCACAGAAATACAAACTACCATCAGAGAATACTATAAACACCTCTAAGCAAATAAACTAGAAAATCTAGAAGAAATGGATGAACTCCTGGATGAATTCCTACACCCTCCCAAGGCTAAAACAGGAAGAAGTCAAATCCCTGAATAGACCAATAACAAGCTCTGAAATTGAGACAGTAATTATTAGCCTACTAACCAAAAAAAGTCAAGGAACAGACGGATTCATAGCCAAATTCTATCAGAGGTACAAAGGGGAGCTAATACCTTTCCTTCTGAAACTATTCCAAACAATAGAAAAAAAGGGATTCGTCCCTAACTCATTTTACAGTGCCAGCATCATCCTGATATGAAAACCTGGCAGAGACACATCAAAAAAAGAAAATTTCAGGCCAGTATCCCTGATGAACACCGATGTAAAAATCCTCAATAAAATACTGGCAAACCAAATCCAGCAGCACATCAAAAAGCTTATCCACCACAATCAGTTTGGCTTCATCCATGGATGCAAGGCTGATTCAACATACACAAATCAATAAACATAATTCATCACATAAACAGAACCAGTGACAAAAACCACATGATTATCTCAATAGATGCAGAAAAGGCCTCTGGTAAAATTCAACACCCCTTCATGCTAAAAACACTCAATAAACTAAGCATTGATGGAACGTATCTCAAAATAATAAGAGGTATTTATGACAAACCCAAAGCCAATATCATACTGAACGGGCAAAAGCTGGAAGCATTCCCTTTGAAAACTGGCACAAGACAAATACGCCCTCTCTCACCACTCCCATTCAACATAGTATGGAAAGTTTTGGCCAGGGAAATTAGGCAAGAGAAAGAAATAAAGGGTATTCAAATAGGAAACGAGAAAGTCAAATTGTCTCTGTTTGCAGATGACATGATTGCATATTTAGAAAAGCCAGTCGTATCAGCCCCAAAATTCCTTAAGCTGATAAGCAACTTTAGCAAAGTCCCAGTATACAAAATCAATGTGCAAAAATCACAAGCATTCCTATATACCAATAATAGACAAACAGAGAGCCAAATCATAAGTAAACTCCCGTTCACAATTACTACAAAGAAAATAAAATACCTAGGAATACAACTTACAAAGGATATGAAGGACCTCTTCAAAGAGAATTAGAAACCACTGTTCTAGGAAATACGAGAGGATGCAAACAAATGGAAAAAAATTCCATGCTCATGGATAGGAAGAATCAATATCGTGAAAATGGCCATACTGCCCAAAGTAATTCATAGATTCAATGCTATTCCCATCAAGCTACCATTGACTTTCTTCAAAGAACTAGAAAAAAACTACTTTAAATTTCATACAGAACCAAAAAGAGCCCATATAGCCAAGACAATCCTAAGCAAAAAGAACAAAGCTGGAGGCATCATGCTACTTGACTTCAAACTATACTACATGGCTACAGTAACGAAAACAGCATGATACTGGTACCAAAGCAAGTATACAGACCAATGGAAGAGAACAGAGGCCTCAGAAATAATGCCACACATCTACAACCATCTGATCTTCCACAAACCTGGCAAAAACAAGCAATGGGTAATCGATTCCCTATTTAATAAATGGTGTTGAGAAAACTGGCTAGCTATATGCAGAAAACTGAAACTGGACCCCTTCCTTACACATTATACAAAAATTAACTCAAGATGGATTAAAGACTTAAACATAAAACCTAAAACCCTAAAAACTCTAGAAGAAAACCTAGGTAATACCATTCAGGACATAGGCATGGGCAAAGACTTCATGACTAAAACACCAAAAACAATTGCAACAAAAGCCAAAATAGACAAATGGGATCTAATTAAACTGAAGAATTTCTGCTCAGCAAAGGAAATTATCATCAGAGTGAATAGGGCACCTACCAAGCAGGAGAAAATGTTTGCAATATATCCATATGACAAAGGTCTAATATCCAGAATCTACAAGGAACTTAAACAAATTTACAAAGAAACAAACAACCCTATCAAAAAGTGGGTGAAGGATATGAACAGACACTTCTCAAAAGAAGACATTTATGTGGTCAACAAACATATGAAAAAATCTCATCATTACTAGTCATTAGAGAAATGCAAATCAAAACCATAATGAGGTACCATCTCATGCCAGTTAGAATGGCGATCATTAAAAGTCAGGAAACAACATATGCTGGAGAGGATGTGGAGAAATAGGGACACTTTTACACTGTTGGTGGGACTGTAATCTAGTTCAACCATTGTGGAAGTCGGTGTGGCAGTTCCTCAAGGATCTAGAACCTGGGTCAAATACCATTTGACCCAGCAATCCCATTACTGGGTATATAGTCAAAGGATTATAAATCATTCTATCATAAAGACACATACACACATATGTTTATTGCAGCACTATTCAAAATAGCAAAGACTTGGAACCAACCCAAATACCCATCAGTGATAGCCTGGATAAAGAATATATGGCACATATACACCATGGAATACGATGCAGCCATAAAAAAGAATGAGTTCATGTCCTTTGCTGGGGGACACAGATGAAGCTTGAAACCATCATTCTCAGCAAACTAACACAGGAACAAAAAACCAAACACTGCATGTTCTCACTCAGAAAGTGGGAGTTGAACAATGAGAACACATGGACACAGGGAGGGAACATCACACACCAGGGCCTGTCGTGGGGTGTGGGGCAAGGGGAGGGAGAGCATTAGGAGAAATACCTAATTCATGTGGGGCTTAAAACCTAGATATTGGGTTGATGGGTGCAGTGAACCACCATGGCACATGTATACCTATGTAACAAACCTGTATGTTCTGCACATGTATCCCGGAACTTGATGTATAATAATAATTTTTAAAAAGTGTATGGCATCCCCCCACTCTCTCTCTTGTTCCTACTCCCACCATGTGAAATGTCTTGCTCCTCCTTTGCCTTCTGCCATGATTGGAAGCTTCCTGAGGCCTCCTCAGAAGCAGAAGCTGCTATATTTCCTGTACAACCTACACAACCATGAGCCAATTAAATGCTTTTCTTTACAAATTACCTAGTCTCAGGCATTTCTTTATAGCAATGCAAGAATAGACTAATCAAATAATCACTGTGCCAAAAGACTATTCATTAAAGCATCATTAACAGAGTTTAATGTATTTGATTTAGAATCTGATGTGATCTGTTAAGATCTGGAATCTGAATTCTGAGAATCAGCTGAAACTACTATGTCTACAAATGTCAGCAATTATTTCTGTGTAGGGGAGTAATTGCAGGTGAGAAATAAGTATTGGTTCAACAACTATGAGGATCCCAGAGGAAAAAAAGTAGTGGCAAACACAGTTTTGTAATTGTTTTATTCTTGGTAATTCTCATTCATTAGATCTAATAATTCAGCATAGTAAATCATTTTGATAGTTAAAAATTATCCCAAATAATAACGCAATTTCAAATAATTAAACTAGAATTATTAAATCTAAGAATATTATCATTTGTTTTTAAAGTCTAACTTCATAAAGTTCTATTTTAATTAGAAATCTGCATGACACATTTAAGAAAAAAATATAATGTATTAAAGCAAACTACGTAAACATGTAAGTAATGGTGAAAATTACAACCGAATTAGAGCAAGAGAATTTTCATAAAAGCCACCTGGATATGTATTCATTTATGTATTTGTTTATTTATTTGGTTAGAGCTTGAGTTTTACTATTCAAGAGTGAGTTTGAACAGATTTTGGCTCATAAAATAGTGAAATTCTCAACATAAATAAGCTACTGAAACATAACAAGCCTCAACAAGTTTTTAAATATCAAAATTATATCAAAAATCCTCTCAGACCACAATGCAATAAAAATAGAAATTAATGACCACAAAAACTTTGGAAACTACACAAAAATATGGAAATTACAATATATGGGTCAAGAAAAAAATTAAAAAGGAAATCGTAAAATTTCTTAAAACAAATGAAAATCATAACATAACATACCAAAGTATTTGCGATACAGTAAAAGCAGTGTTAAGATTGAAGTTTATAGCAATAAATGCCTACATCAGAAGAGTGGAAAGGCCTTAAATAAACACTCTAATGATGCACCTCAAGGGACTAGAAAAGCAAGAAAAAAATCAAACACAAAATTAGTAGAGAAAAAGAAAAGATTGGAGCAGAAAAAAGCAAAATAGAGACAAAAATACAAAGCATTAACAAAATAAAAAGTTTTTTGAAAAGATAAACAAAATTGATAAATCACTAGCTAGACTAACCAAGAATAAAACAGAGAAGACCCAAATAAACAAGATTAGAAACAAAAAAGGAGACATTACAAATGATATCAAAGAGAAACAACAGATCACTAGAGGATATTAAGAATAACTATATACTAATACACTAGAAAGAAAAAAAAGTGGACAAATTTCTGGACACACACAACCTACCAAACTTGAATCAGGGAGAAATTGAAATTCTGACTGTACCAATAACAAGCAATGAGATTGAATCAGTAATAAAAATTCTACCAACAAAAGTGCCCAGGACCAGATGACATCACTGCTCAATTTTACCAAATGTACAAAGAACTAATATCATTTTTCCTCAAACTATTGCAAAAATTGAAAAGGAAGGAATTCTCCCAAATGCTTTCTATGAGGCCAGCATTGCCCTGATACCAAAACCAGACAAAGTTGCAACAAAAAAGAAAGCTACAGATTAATATCTCTGACAAACATTGACACAAAAATCTTCAGCAAAATACTAGCAAATTTGATCCAGGAGCCCATCAAAAAGATGATACACCATAATCAAGTGTGATTCATCCCAAATATGGAAGGATGGTTCAACACACACAAATTAACAAACACGGTACATCACATCAACAGAATGAAGAACAAAAAACATGATCATCTCAATAGTCATAGAAAAAGCATTTGATAAACTTCAACACCACTTCTTGATAAAAACTCTCAACAAACTAGGCATAGAAGGAATATTCTTCAACATAATAAAGGCCATCTATGAAAACCCCACCATTAACATAGTGAATGAGAAAAACCTGAAAGCCTTTTCTCAAAGAACTGAAATAAAATGAGGATGCCAACTTTCACCTCCTGTTCAACATATTACTGAGAGTCCTGGCCAGAACATTCAGGCAAGAGAAATAAATAAAAGGCATCTAAATTGGAAAAGAAGCAGTTGAATATTTTTGTTTCAGATGATGTGATCTTATAGCTAGAAAAACTTAAACACTTCACCAAAATCTTTTAGGTTTGACAAATAAGTTTAGTAAAGTTCCAGGATACAAAATCAATACCAAAAATCAGTAGAATTTCTACACACCAATAATAAGCTAGCTGAGAAGAAATCAAGACGGCAATCTCATTTACAATAGCTACAAAAACAATTAAAAAGTCTAGGAATACATTTAACCAAAGACTTGGAAGACCTCTACAAAGAAAACTGTAAAATACTGAAGAAGGAAATTGAAGAGGGCACAGAAGAATGGAAAGACATCCCATGTTCATGAATCAGGAGAATTAATATTGTTAAAATAACCATACCATGCAGAGCAATCTACTGATTCAATGCAATCTCCATCAAAATATCAATGTCATATTTTATTGAAATTTAAAAAAAAAACATTCTAAAATATGTATGAAATGGTAAAAGAGCCTGAATACCCAAAACAGTCCTGAGCAAAAATAGCAGACTTGAAGGCATCATACAACTGAACTCCATAATATATTACAAAACTATAGTACCCAAACAGTATGGTATTGGCACAAGAAAAAAAGACATCTAGACTAATGGAAAGAAATGGACAACACAGAAATAAATCCACATATTTACAGGCAACTGAGTTTTGACAAATGTGTCAAAAACATACATTGGGTGAAATAATCAACTTACATTTGGGGAAATAATCCTTCTTCAATAAATGGTGCTGGGAAAATTGAATATTCATATGCAGATGAATCAAACTGGAACCCTATCTGCCACAATATACAAATTTCAACTCAAGATGGGTTAAAGACTCAAATGTAAGTTCCAACACTATAAAACTAAAAGAAAAAAACATAGAAGACACACTTCAGCTCATTGGTCTGGGCAAAGATTTTATAGCTAAGACCTCAAAAACACAAATAACAAAAACAAAAATATAAAAATGGGACTATATTAAACTAAAAATCGCCTGCACAGTGAAGGAAACACTCCACACAATAAAGAGACACCTGTTGAATGGGAGAAAATATTTGCAAACTATTCATCCAACAATAAACTAATATCCAGAGTATACAAGGAACTCAGTTGACTCAAAAATAAAATACAAATAATCCCATTAAAAACAGAGTAAATAACCCGAATAGACGTTTCTCCAAAGACGTTCAAATGACGAGCAGATATATGGAAAAAATGCTCAATATTACTAATCATTAGGGAAATGCAAATCAGAACCACAATGAGTTATCATCTCACTGCATTATTTTATTTTGTTAGAATGATTATTATTAAAAAGATAAAAAATAGTAGATACTGGTGAGGATATAGATAAAAAAAGAACTCATATACTCTTGGTAGAAATTTAAGTTAGTACAGCTATTATGAAAAACAGTATAAAGATTTCTTTTAAAAAACTAAAAATAAAACTACTATACAATCCATCAGTCCCACTACTGGGTATTTATCCAAATAAAAGAAAACCAGTACATCAGAGGAATATCTGCACCCTTGTGTATATTGCAGCACTATTCACAATAGCAGCACTATTCACAATAGCCAAGATATCCATCAGTGGATAAATAGATAAAGAAAGTGTGATATACATACACCAATGAAATACTATTCAGCCATTTAAAAAGAATAAAACCATGTTATTTGTAGGAATATTTTAAGTGAAATAAGCCAGGAAAAGATAGACAAATATTGCATGCTTTCACTCATCCGTGAAAGCTAAATCTTTGAGCTTATGGGGGTAGAGAGTGGTATGAGAGATACCAGAATCTGGAGAAAGTGCGTGTGTGGTGCAAGAGAAGATGAACAGAGATTGTTTAATGGTTCCAGACATAGAGTTATATAGAAGACATAAGTTCTAATGTTCTGTAGCACAGTAGAGTGACTGTAGTTGACTATGTATTATATATTTCAAAATAGTTGGAAGAAAGGATTTGATATGTTCCCAAAACATAAAAATGACAAATACTCAAGGTAATGGATACCCTAAATACTCTGACCTGATCATTATATATTCTATGCACATGACAAAATATCAGATGTACCCTATGAAAAGGATAAATACTATGTTTTGATTAAAAAATTAAAATTAAAAAAACCTTAGAAAGTGATTGCACCCAGGTTCTGTCTGTGCAGAACATGTATGTATGTATGCATTTATGTATATATGAGTGAATATATGTATATATAATTGGATATATGTACATCTGGATAGATACACATGCATACATACATCAACATGGGAGGTATCAGTATTAATTTATGGTTTTCAGTAATATAGATAAAATAAATATAGATCCTATATAGCTGTATGTTTTCATCTATAATATTAAAAACCATGGGTTTACACTGATACCTTCAGTTCTAATCCACGGGGTTCGTTTTTGTTTTCTCCCTTTACATATTTGGTATTCTTGGCTTTAACAGTAAACCTATGGGTGTCATTGAGATGCTAGGGCCCCTGGGTGGCCCTTGCTGGTACAGAGGACCACTGTGTGGGTCTCCTGCACCCTAAGCTGGAACCAAAAAATCGGATTCCAATTATTTTTAATTTTTTTATTTGATTAAACTCCTCTGCATGTAAACAATCTCCTGTCCACTCCACTGCTACCTACTTTGGGTGCTTACTTCATCACTCTTCATCTCTCATATGATTTGCAGTATAACTGCTGCATTCACACCTCAAGCAGGTGCTCCTCTTTATCACTTGGGCTTTGACACGCCACCCTAGGCAGCCCTTAGCATGGTCATTTTTGAATGGATAGCCTTCCTAACTTGCTTGAATGTTGACATCCTGCACTGGGCCCCTCCTTCAACCTTTCAGAATACTTGTGTTGCTCAGCCCTACCAGATATATCTTGGACTGCTTTATTCAAGAAGAAAGGAAAAAAAAAGTAAAGAGTGAAAGAAGCAAAGAGGAAAGAAAAAAATGGACAAAATGAAGAAAGGAGGGAATAAAGAAAGGAAGGAGGAAAGGAAGGAGTATTTAAAATTATGTCTTTTATTGTTTGTCAAAAACTAGACGTTTTATATATATAATATACTTGACATATTTTATTTTAGAACTAATGTACTCAAGGGTCTGAAAAAAAGTTCCTTAGGGAAAAATCAACTTACAAGAACAAGAGATGCTAAAAGACAGAGGCTAATATCTAATAGAACATTTTAATAGTAAAAAATAATAATACTTATACCTGTGAGAATCTTTATCTATTTACCCCTGAAGAAAATTCACCCTCAAAAAATAAAAATAATCATACTTCCGAGAAGGAAATGTTTTGAGAAATTCCAAAGGCAACTCGCTACAAATTCGTGAAACATTTTCTTCCAATTGCTGAAGCAAATTCCTTCCCTGTTTCTGATCTGTAATTCACAAACTTAGAGATGACCCTGTAATTTAGATGATAATGACTACAAAAGAAAAATATAATTAGGAGGTGATTATATAACTACTTAAGTTACATAAAATGGAAATTCGAAAAACCCTAAAACTCTTTTGTAACATTAGGAATTATTTTCAATTCATCATAGTTATTGTTGTCTGTATCCTCAGCTACATGGTCCTGGTTATGAAATAATGGAAAACTATTTGGGAATTGATCCAATGAGAATTAAAAGCTCTGAGGCAGTTATTGCATTTTAGGAGCAATGGACTTGTTGGAGGACCAGGAAGAAACATGGGAAACAGAGCAAGTCAAAGTTTGCTGATACAGAATTTATGTCGCCCTTTCTGGTAGGAGAGCTGCCCCCTATTGTCATTAATTACACTACCATTTCCCCTATTGTCATTAATTTCACTACCATTGTGTTCATTTTTATCAAAAAATTTAGTCCTTCAGTCAATTTCATAATTCACACTTACTGATCACTAAGTTTAACTTATCTCCCAAGTATTTCTGGAAACTTTCAAAAGCAAACAAAACACTTATATAGAACAGGAGAGAAAGGCTTTGGATTATGGTTTTGAAAATTCTGCTGCATGTATAATTATCTTTTTTTCTTATAATTTATCTTATTCATAAGATTCTTCTTTTTTTTTTCATTGTCTTTGAAATTTAATAGTTTTACCAGTATAATTTTTAGGGTTAAATATTTCAGATAATTTCCCCAGGTTCCCAGTGGGCCCTGTCAATATATAGATTCATGTCTTTTATTTCTGAAAAAATTTTTAAATATAATTATAAATATTAGGTTCGTACCAATGTGTTGTTTTAGTTTTCAGGGGCTCCAATTATGCAAATATTATTCCTTCTTTGTCTGTCTTTTATTTCTACCATGTTCTTTCTGCCCCTTTTCATTCTTTAATTTCTGCGTTCTCAGTTGTTACCTTCGCTGTCCTAAATTATTATTGTAAAGTTTTAAAAAATTGCATATATTTAAAGTGTGCAAAATTATGCTTTGCTATACATAGTGAAATAGTTACTACAGTTAAGCACATTAACATATCCAGCATTTCACATAGTTACTTAACCTTTTTGTGTGTGTGATAAAAGCACACAGTAGATAAAATCTACTTTCTTGGCAGATTTCCAATTTTATTTAATTATATCTAAGGCATAATGTATTTGTTTTTTATTTTTGAGATAATTTTTTCAGTGTTATTTATTTATTTATTGAACTCAATCCATCCTCTTTTATTTCTCTCTCTCTCTCTTTTTCTGTCTTTTTCTGCTCTTAGTTTTTAAATTTATAATTCAAGGGTTTTTGGTTTTGTTTTGCTTTGTTTTCATATCTCTAAGTGTTTGCTTGTGTACATTTAATTCAGTTTGAAGTGTCATCTTACAGGTGTTTTCTCCTACCTGTTTTTCTTTTTTTTCTTTTTGTGGGTGATAAAGAGTTTTATCAGTTAAAGTGTGTTAAATTTTGTTTTGTTATTTTTCTAATAATTCTGTATAGATTTACTGAGTTTTCTTTGGTTCATTGTTGTATATTTTGGATGTCTTACAGAATTTCTAGTGCAATGGCACCCTCTTTTGTCAATAGATCAAATCCCTTTAAAATAGATAATCCTGTAGAGGGTTTTATTATTTCTTTTTTGGTTGTTGAGAAGAGGTTTTTTGTCTCTAATGTTTGGTTCTCTTTTGTCTGATAAGACCCTAAATGTTTTCCTTTCCTAGTTTTCTCTTTTATTACATGCCCCAAGTATCCCTTTATCTTTTCTTTTCTCTAAGCTTTTCTTGGCCTGTCTTTGCTTACCGCAAAGGCTTGCAGTGTTGCAATCATGTGAGAGATTGTTCCCTGGAATTTGATGTTTTTCTTTTTTTTATTTATAGCTATTCTGGAGTTTGGTCATTTCTTGTCAAGTCATGCTTAAAGCAATTTTTTGTATAGTTTTTTGCTGTTGTTGTTTTATGGTATTGTTTTGTTTTGTTTTGCCTTATAGCTTCTAGTTGTTTGGTGGAATATATTGAAAGATGCAGTACAGACAGTCATCACTTTCTTCAGCTACCTAAAAGTTTCTTATCTTTTAAGTTTTTATTTTTATAGTTGGCCCATGTCCCTTAATCCATATTATTTGGACTGAATTATGTGCACCGAGCAAGTAAGTTATCTTATCACTTGCTACAGTAATCAAATGCACACATTATGATAACTAGAATAAAATTTGCATTGTTTAATCCACTGCAACCAATAAAGTAAAACTTGAAAAAAAATAATGCCCAGTCCTGAAGTTGGAGAGTTCTATTTCATCAAACTCAAGGTAGATGTGCTAGGCAATGAAGGAGAGCATTTTATATTACCAAATTATACCCCTGCTCTACCTGTTATGTAGTTTCAGATGAAGTTCAGTCTTAAGAATGACAACCAGGTAGTTTCTGCTAGTAATGAATTAAGTTTCAATACATTAAAACATTTAAATGAAGCAGCACTATATTACCCAAAATGAGGTAGGTGTAGGTCATTAAAGTATAAATTATTACCCCATTTTTAAAATTGCTACTTTCTTGGGTCCTGGCAAGAAAACAGTGAGCCATTTTAGAGACTTGGCAAAGCCAAGTGTATTTTAGCACAGTTTCAAGATAAAAACAACTTGTCGTGTCAATAGCTGAGGCAAAGAAGTTAATGAGATGAGTTTAGTACCAATATATTCTATTTGCCATGCAACTGGAAAAAAAAATGTAGTGAGACATTAGATTCTGCATTTCACCTTACCAGTGACAAATTATGGTGATTATTGGAAATAATCTTTATTTAAATAATAAACAACCTTCTATTTTAAAATTTGTTCTCAGTTGCACCTCTCTTTTTTTTCTACTATCTTCATCAAGAAAAACAAGCATTGTTCTCTTTTCTTCCAAATATCTATAATATGCTAATTATTTGGAAATTGCATCATTATTGTTACTGCAGAAGCACAAAGGCCTTTCACATGCGTGGCCTCAGGAGTGATCTTCAACCCATACTCCAGCACCCACCATCACCCTTTTTTTTTCTTCACTTTGCCAAAGGGACTAATTTTTCTTTATTTCTGCATTAGTTTTAACAACCAACCACTCTATTTTATGTGATTTTTCCCTTCCTAAAACTTGAAGTGAAATAAGGATATTGTCTTTCTCTTCCATTCTTTCTTTTCTTTGTTACCACTAAGAATACATATTGTAATGTATTTTATTGCTAACCACTATAAGGAAAAAAGACTTCACAAAATTAAATTCAAACAAGTTACCAAACTTACACATTTTCTGTTTATTGACGTCTGGAAAATAATTAATATTTCTTTTTAAAGTTCAAACTTAAAGCTCCTACATAATTTTTCCTGGCTCAGTTTTTATTCTTGAGATAGGGCTCATCAAACAAATCAACACACCTTGTATTATTGCCTGTAATGATACATTGTTTGAAATTTTCCTCTAAAATATTCTACCCACCAATCAGAAGATACCCAGAAGTCTAGGTGATAATTCTTCTTTTATTCAAATGGACAATTTGCTTGTCATTAAGGTAAAGACAAAGCCAAGGATTTTTCTTCTGGATATCTTATTAAAATACATTGCTTCTCTGAACGTTGACTTTCAGTTAATTTTTTCTTGTCCTTTTTTAAAAAAATAATTTATTTTAAAGCAGTTTTAAGTTTACAGCAAAATTGAGTAGGAAGTACAGAGTTCCCCTGTACCCCTGACCCCACATATGCACAATCCTCACCCACTATCAATATCCCACACCAGAGTGATACAGTTGTTACAACTGAGGAACCCACAATGATACCTCATTATCACCCAAAGTTCCTAGTTTACATTAAGGTTGACTCCTGATGTTCTACATTCTATGAGTTTTAACACATGATAATCACATATACCTGCCACTATAGTATGATATAGAATACTTCCACTGGCGTAAAACTCCTCTGTGCTCTGCTTATCCACCCCTCCCTCCCTACAAACCCTAGAAACCACTGAGCCTTTTAGTGTTTCCATAGTTTTGCCTTTTCCAGAACGTTGTGTATGGTATTTGGAATCATACAGTATTTAGCATTTTCAGATTAGTTTCGTTCACTTAAAAATATGTATTTAAGTTTCCCCCATCTTTTCACGTCTTGATAGCTCATTGTTTCTTTTGATTATTCATATTTAATAACTTGAATATTTTATTCTTTAACGTGAGTGGGGTGCAAACCTTTTGAAATAAAAGGGCCTAATTTTGAAAACTGGTTTATTCTGTTTTTTATTGTCTGGTATTCTCAAAGAGAAGGAATAAAAAAGGGACACATATACATAATTTTTATTCAAAGAAATTATATTTAAGCATTTACAAAAATAAATCAATTATCCATTGCTGGCTCAAATCATTTATTAGCACTGAATTGTCAGACACCAGAAGGCTACATATCCGTTCCAAAAGATATGTAACTTTCAAAATATCAGTGGTTATTAATCCATTGGCCAGAATGCCTAGAATATTTCCTGATGCTCCATGTATAGAGAATGAAATGCCTGGAGGAAAGTAACTTTAGACCTTAGTAGTATTTTAATAAATAACTCCATGAAAATGCTCACATGGAAAGGAACATTCTTTCTTATTCTGTGTTCATATCTTAGAGGTGATGCATTTTTCTATCATTTTGTCCATTTCCCCAGACCAGGGATGGAAGATAGAAATCCCACCTTGTATCCCACTGGGGGACAAGGGCTTGTGTTCTGCCTTATCCTGGCCAGTCTACTCACCAGGCCTACCACCAGAAAATTCTCTTCTCCTTTGTCTGCCTCTTCTCATATGCTTTCTCTGTTCTGTATCTCAGGCTTTGCCTTATTCTCTTCCCTTGAATTAGAGAATTCTCTGAAGGTTTTATCTGTTCATATAATGTAGTGAAATAATATGATCTAAAATAAATATCAATACAAATACAAAGAATATTATAAATTGTGCAGTGTACAATTAAAGAGAAGTTGGTCTTGTGAAGAAACTCATAGAGGGCATAAGTAATGTGTGAAATACGTTCATAAGAATTTGAGGGCGTGTGTTGCATGTAATTAAGAAGAGCTTTGCAACATGGCTTTTGAACTGCACAGATATGCAATGCCACAATAAAACCTACTTTGTCCTGAATCGTTATAGCAGACAAATATTAGGACACCAGCAAAGTATCCTTATGAATTTCCTAAATCACAAGGAATATTAGATCTTCTTTTACTCCATATGTAATTTTTAAATAGTTAATCTCATTTGCCTCTGAGGTAGTTAAGATTAAGCAAATAATTCTGAGATCTTGCAAGAAAGTATTAAAGCTGACAAAGACTGTACGGAATTTCACAAGCTATCCTTTCTCACAGAGAAAGCTGAGTGTGCAGTACTTGAGGAATCAGGAAATAAAGACACCTGGTTACAATTTATCACCATTTTATTTGGCTAGGCTAACCTCCTTGTCTTGTGATCTTTCATTGCTCTTGACTTCCCTCATTAAATCCTTCAAATACATTACTGTATTATGTTTTCGAAGTTCAAGAGGGTTCAGTAAACCTGGGATTTTAAAACACTATAGATCAGAAGCTTTGTTTTGCCATAGATCCCTGAATTAAGTCTCAACAGTTATCCCACGTGAGTTTAGATATGCTAGCCTATCCCCTCTCCTATCATCTATTATTATTTTATAAGGATTCAAGGGAAAGCATGTCAAGAATTGTTTCTGTTTAGTGAAAACCCTGTGGCCCATTCGCCTTGCTTTAAAAAAAATGTCATCAGTAAAGGAGACTTTCACATCTAAAATTGTCCTAGTTTGTTGACCAGAAAATCTGGCCTCAAGCTACACTTACCCACAAACTGTCTGAAGCTTTCTTCCTAACCCCAACAACCCCAGAGTTTCTGAAGAAATGAATAGAATCATTCAAATGTATCTGTATGTATCATAGTATTAAGAAATAAACTTTTCTTTCAATATTTATCTATTTGACCTCCTATGATGGTATTTTTAGTAACTATGATTACATGTACTTTCATAATTACCTGAAGAAAATCCATCCTCTTCTGTGTTAAAGATAAGTCATTAAATTTAGCCAAGAAAAGTATTCCGGGAAACAGATCCGTGTATCCAACAATTTACTGAACCTCCATTTTCTGATCCCATAGTCACTTAAAACTCAATATTTCAAAAATTGAACTTACCTGCCAGGTGTGGTAGTTCTTGCCTGTAATCCCAGCACTTTGAGGGACAGAAGCAGGAGTACTGCTGAAGGTTAGGAGTTCAAGACTATATTGGGCAATGTAACAAGACTGCATCTTTACAAAAAAATTTAAAAGTTAGCTGGACATGGTGCAAGTGCCTAGCTCCTCAAGAGGCTGAGGTAGGAGGATTGCTTGAGCCCAGGAGTTCAAGACATCACAGCACTTCAGGTGGGGTGACAGAGTGAGACTCTATCTCCGAAAATTTGAAAATAAATAATTTTTTAAAAGAAAAACAAAATGAACTTACCATCCTTTTCTATCTCTCTCAGTTTCTGTCTTACTTTTCTTCTATTGTTTTTGACACTGACATGATTGTTATAACTATTCCTGAAATTCACCTTAACAAAAACCCTGACCTTCAACCTGGACTACTCTATCATGCCCACATTCATCTACTGCTAAGTTGTGTTAATTTTGCCTCCCAAATATGTGTTGAATCTCTGCACTTCTCTCACAAATATCACTTCCTTTGAACATGCTACCATAATATTTTAATGCCTTAATTGTTTCCTTCTTTAGGCCTTGTACATTTTCTAATCCATTATTCACGTTACAGCCACATAATCTTAAAACAATGATAATGTCACTTCAGTAATTAAAAGCCTACAAACATTCCTGACTTCTCTCAGGACAAATCCAGGATATTTTTCAAGGTCCTAAATGACTTCACCACCAAGCAATCTATCCATGTAATAAAACAAGACTTGTACACTGTACATTTATATAAATAAAATAATAAAATAAAAATTATTACTTTTTAGTATGGTGCTATTTGGTTCCCTAAACACTTCTTAAATTTTTTAATGTTAATATTTTATAACTAGGAATTATTAATCCTAATAATAGGCATGTCTATCAAAAAGGACAACATACTATTGCCCAATAATAAATAAAGTAATATCAAATTTACTAAAAAGAAGATGAGACATATTAATTATACACTTAAATATTGTTAGGGTGCAGAGAACAAGACCCCAAAATATAGTGCTTTGACAAGCTGCATGCTTTGAATCAAAGGAAGTTGAAAGACCTCAGAAATAAGCCTTAGAACGAAGGTCTCTCTCTGACTCTCTTTCTTCTTAATATCTCTCTGATCCTTTTTGTTTTTTTACCCCCAAAGCATCAGGAAGGACTTTCTCTGAAGTTTTCTTATCTGATTAAGGGAAGTTCCTACAGAAGAAATGCAATTGTCTTAAAACTGCTTCATGAAGTAACCAGAAAAGGTAAACCACTAGAGAAGAGAAGAGACTAAAAGTTGTCAGAATACCCAGATATACATTTCATATATTCTTCTGAGGGTAGCTCCAAGAGATTACCTAGGAGACTGTCTCTCCACAATAAGACAACCCTGGTTCACAGTGAAGTTCAGCCCCTCACCTTCCCACCATCTCCTCGCTGCCCCAGAGGCCAGAGGAACTTTGTCCCAGACCAGTATTCTTTCGGCTTTTTCAATTCCCTCTAAGAATCATTTACAACCCCTCAAATTTCCTACAACTTGTGAGAAAGATGTATAATCCCATAAAACTTAACATCTGGCTCTTCTTTGAGTCTCATAGTTTATAAGGCTCCCATGCTTATGCACATTAATACATTTGTATGCCTTTTTCTCCTATTAATCTCTCTATTGTCAGTCATTTCAGTGAAACGACAGAGAGGACAGAAGGGAAGCTTGCACCCCACTCATAAAATATCAAATAGGTAATAGCTAAAATTTTAAAAAAGCATGTTAGTGAAAATAAGGTTACACTGATTAAAATGAATAATGAAGATTTAACAAGTACAAAAGAAAATACAGATGAATCACTCTTTAACTTGGGTATAGGGAAAGACATTCTAACATAAAATCCAGAGGCAATAAAAAAGATTGATTGACTATATAAATTTGCCTTTAAAAATTGGCATAACATAAAGCACCATAAACAAAATAAGGATACAGTCAACAAGCTGAGAGATAATGTTTGCAGTTTATATCAAAGTCTAGAGTCATTCAAATACATAAAGAACTATAAAAAATTGTGAGAAAATTGCAAAAGCCTGTAAGTATAATAGATAAAAAGAGATTTCTTAAACAAAAGATGGAAATACTGTCCTTAAACATACGAAAGCGTTTAATGTTACACATAGAGTAAAGCAATTTAAAACAATTTAAAATGTCACTGATATACCACTTTTCACCTACCAAATTGGCAAAATATAATTTTAAAATGTAAAACAGCATACCTATTAGTAGGATTGGGAAAATGGCACTTTCATATGGTGGGAAATAGGCTTTTCTCAGATGGTACAAAATTTATGCCATAAATTTAGATAAAGCTTTAAAGATCAGATTACTGAATTGATAAATAAACACATGCATTTTTGGTAAATTTTGCATAACCTTATGCAGGAAAATTTGGCAACATTTACAAAAAAATGCATATGTGTTTACTTATCAGTTCAGCAATCTCATTTTCAAAGTTTAATCCAAAGATACACCTCCGGTAACACTAAAATACAAATAATATGTTCAAGAATATTCACTGCAACGTTATTTGTTTCAAAATACTGGACACAACACAAATGCCACTATGTAGAGAAGTGATTGAATAAAGCTATAGTACATCTATCTGATAGAGCACTATGCAGATGTAAAAGTGAATAAGGAAGATTTCTAAGAACAGATATAAAGTGACTTCCAGCATATATATAGTATATTGTTAAGTGAAAAAGGTTAAGTACAGAAGAGTATCTTTAGTGTATTACTTATTGTGTAAAAAAGAATTGAAAATAAAACACACATATATTTACTGTTTGGCAACAAAGAGACACAGAAAGGATACACCGGATACTAATGAGATGGGTTGCCTTCAGGGAGTGGGTGGAAATGTAAAAAGTAGAGGAATTCGAAAGGGAAAGGGCAATTCTCTGAACATACCTTTTTTCACATATCTTACCTTCAGAACCATGTTAATGCTTCATATATTCAAAAAAAGTCAATAAAATCCACAAAATACTAAAACTGAATGCTAACAGAAACATATTAACTGAACGGTCTCTCAAACAAATAACATTACACATTGAAAGAGGACGGTTAGTATCAAAACTAAGTCACTCTTAACACACTAATTAGACCATATGTTCTCAAGCTAAAGACAAAAAAAAAGTTGAAAAAGAAAACCTCTAAAACCACTAAAAATAGGACAAAATACAATGAAAACTCTCCTTTTTGTACAAAAGCACTAGTAGGTAGTTCTAAAATCACTTTGTGTACATTCCAAGACTGAAGACATATGTAAAAATTTTGTTGAAATGGGAGACAGCTTTCTCCATCAGAGAAGGAATAAATAAATATGGAAATTAAGAAGAGAGAGTGAACCCTGTGGGTTTGGACTGGCTTTGGCAACATCAGTGTGGTAATTGTTTCTGTACTCTAAAAGTACGTATGAGCAATAGCACCTCAGTAGCAATGAGCACTCATACAACCTGGATTTTTGTTCTAAATTCCTGTCCTCTTAAATGAACCAGGAGTTCTTGGAGAAATGGCTGATTCCAGAGCCAGTGTGGGGAAATTACAAGACAATCCTGAAATAACTTTTAGTCAAAATGTAAGAAAATACTCAAAGAAGGAAGGTAAAAATTCAAAAGGACCCAGAGTCATTGTAAATTGAATATCAAAATAAATAAGGATAGTAACAGGTTATAACTCATTCAATAAAAATAAGATTCCATGAGTTGACTAATAACAAAAATAAATACTTAAAAGGTAATAATGGAAACAACTTCTTTTCAGTAACATGCTACTACAAAATGTACAATAATGATGGGATTTGAAACCATCATTTACCAACTGCCATTATAATAATTGATTCAGTCAAGATTTAGTAATGGATGCTTAAAATGAGTAAGCCAAAAGTAAGAGGATATTTATAATATCTCAGCATGCCTCATCATAAGAAAATTAATCATTATAAAATGTAAACTATAACTTTGCAAGGGAGAAATCTGACAGAAACCACCTCAACAAAATGATTACATTAACATTTCCAGTAATGAGAAGAATCCACAGCAAATGCCCCCAGTTATCTTGTACTGAGAATACAGCATAAATTCTATATTTTTTCAACCTTTATTAGAGATTCAGAAGGTACATATTCATGTTTATTACCTGGGTATATTGCATGATGATGAAGTTGGGGGTACAAATTATCCCATCACCAAGTTAACTGAGCATAGTACCCAATAGTTAGTTTTTAAATCTTTATCCTTCTCTCTCCTCCCTCTAGTGGTCCCTAGTGTCTACTGTCACCATATTTATGTCCACGAGTAACCCAGTGTTTAGCTCCCACTTATAAGTGAGAACATGCAGTGTTTGGTTTTCAGTTTCTGCATTAATTCACTTAGGATAGTAGCCTCCATAGTGCATCCATGTTGCTGCAGAGGACAAAATTTTATTGTTTTTTAGGTCTATGTAGTATTCCATGGTGTATATATATTACATTTTCTTTATCCAGTCCACCATTGATGGACATGTAGGTTTATTCTCTGTCTTTGCTATTGTGAATAGTGCTGCAGTGAACATGCAAGTGCATGTGTCTTTTTGGTAGAAGGATTTGTTTTCTTTTGGATATATACCCACTGATGGGATTGCTAGGTCAAATGGTAATTCTGTTCTAAGTTCTTTGAAAAATTGCCAAACTGCTTTCCACAGTGGCTGAACTAATTTACATTCCCACCAAGAGTGTATAAGTATTCCATTTCCTCCACAGCCTTACTTTTTTTTTTTTTTTTACTTTTTATAATAGCCATTCTGACTTATGTGAGATGGTATCTCCTTGTGGTTTTGATTTGCACTTATCTAATGATTAGTGATGTACAGTATTTTTTATAGATTTTTTGGCTCATTATATGACTCCTTTGGAGAAATGTCCATGTCTTTGGCAGTTTTTTTAAATGGGGTTATTTCCTTTTGAGTGTTTAATTGTTTTAGTTCCTTATAGATTCTGGATACTACACCTTTGTTGGATGCATACTTGATGAATATTTTCTCCCATTCTTTAGGTTGTCTGTTTACTCTGTTGATAGTTTCTTTTGCTGTGCAGGGCTTTTACTTTCATTAGGTCCCATTTGTCAATTTTTGTTTTTGTTGCAATTGCTTTTGAGGACTTAGTCATACATTCTTTCCCAAGGACAATTTCCAGAATGGAGTTTGCTAGGTTTTCTTCTCAAAGTCTTATAGTTAGAGGCCTTATATTTAAGTCTTTCATTCATTTTGAGTTAATTTTTGTATTGGTGAAAAGTAATGGTCAAGTTTTATTCTTCTGCATATTGCTAGCCAGCTATTCCAGGGACATTTTTCAAATAGGGAGTCCTTTTGACTTTGCTTGTTTTTGTTGACTGTTGAATATCAGATGACTGTAGGTGTGCAACTTTATTTCTGGATTTGCTATTCAGTTCTATTGATCCATGTGTCTGTCTTTGTACAGGTATCATGCTATTTTGGTTACTACAGCTTTACAGTATAGTTTGAAGACAGGTAATGTGATGCCTCCACCTTTGTTCTTTTGGCTTACATTGCTTTGGTTCCTTGGGCTACTTTTTGGTTCTATATAAATTTTAGAATACTTTTTTCTACTTCTCTGAAAAATGATGTTGACCCTTTGAAAGGAATAGCATTGAATCTGTAGATTACTTTGGGCAGTATTCCCGTTTTAGCGAGATTAATTCTTCCAATCCATGAGCATGAAATATTTTTTCATTTGTATGTGTCTCTATTATTTCACACAGCAGCGTTTTGTAGTTTTCCTTGTGCAGACCTTTCACCTCCTTTATTTGAGGTATTCCTAGGTATTATATATATATTTTTAACTGTTGTAATTATAATTGTGTTCTTGAGTTGACCCTCAACTTGAACATTGTTGGTGCATAGAAATGCTACTGACTTTGTATCCTGAAACTTTACTAAAGTTTGTTTGTCACTTCCAGGAGCTTTTGGAAAAGTCATTAGAGTTTTCCAGGTATAGAATCATATTATCTATGAACAGAGATAGTTTGACTTCTTTCCCTATTTAGATGCCTTTTATTTCTTTCTCTCACCTGATTGCTCTGGCTAGCACTTCCAGTACTATGTTGAATAGGAGTGGCAAAAGTGGACATCCTTGTCTTGTTCAAGTTCTCAAGGAGAATATTTTTAGTTTTTGCCCATTTAGTATGATGTTAGCCGTGAGTTTGCCATTTATTATTTTGAGGTAAGTTTCTTCAGTGCCTACTTTCTTGGAGACTTTTATCATGTAGCCCTGTTGGATTTTATTGGCAGCTTTTTCTGCATCTATTGAAATAATCATATGGTTTTGTTTTTAATTCTGTGAATTAAATGTAGTGAATCACATTTGTTGATTTGGCTGTTTTGGACTACCTTGCATTCCAAGAATGAACCTACGTGATCATGGTGAATTAAATTTTTGATGTGATTTGGGATTTGGTTTACTAGTATTTTGTTGAGGATTTTTGCATTTATGTTAATAGGGGAGGGATATTGGCCTGTAGGTTTTGTTGTTGCTGTTGTTGTTGTTGTGTCTTTACCAGATTTTGGTAAACAGTGATGCTGGCTTTGTAGACTGAGTTAGGGAGGATTCCCTCTCCTCAATTTTTTGGAATAGTTTCAGTAGGATTGATACTAGCTCCTTTTTGTACAACTTGTAGAATTTGGCTGTGAGTCCATCTTGTGTGGGGTTCTTTTTGGTTACTAGGTTTTTTTATTATTGACTCAATTTTATTACTGATTCAACTTAATCTTGGTCTTTCAGGGTTTCAATTTTTTTCCTGACTCAATCTTGAGAGATTGTGTGTTTCCAGGAATTTATCTATTTCCTCTTGGTTTTCTAGTTTGTGTGCATGGAAGTGTCCGTAATAGTCTCTGAGGGTCTTTTGTATCTCCATGGGTTTGGTTTTAATGTCACCTTTGCCATTTCTAATTGTGCTTATTTGGATCTCTCTCTTTTTTTCTTAATCTAGCTAGCCATCTAAAAATCTTGTTTTTCCTTTCAAAAAAAAGCAACTTTTCATTTCATTGATTCTTTGTATGGATTTTTGGGTCTCAATTTTGTTCAGTTCCACTCTGATTTTAGTTATATTTTTTTCCTGCTAGCCATGGAGTTGGTTTGTTCTTGTTATTCTAGTTCCTCTAGGTGTGATGTTAGATTGTTAATTTGGGATATTTCTAACTTTTTGAGGTTGGTGTTTAGGGCTATAAGCTTTCCTCTTAACACTGCTTTTGTTGCATTCCAGAAATTTTGGTATGTTGTGTCTCTGTTTTCATTTACTTCAAGGATTTTTTTAATTTCTCCTTAATTTTATTGTTTATCCAAAAGTCATTCAGAAACAAATTATTTAATTACAATGTAACTGTTTCATTTTGAGAGATCTTCTTGGTGTTGACTTCTGTATTTGTTCCACTGTAGTCCAATAGTATAGTTGGTATTATTTTGATGTTTTGAATTTATTCAGGCTTACTTTATGGCTTAGCATGTGGTTGACCTTGGAGTATATTCCATGTGCAAATGAGAAAAATGTATATTCTGTGGTTGATGCATGGAGTATTCTGTAGATGTCTATTAGGTCCAAGTGGTCAAATGTCAAGTTTCAGTCCAGAATTTCTTTGTTAGTTTTCTGCCTATATGATCTGTCTAATGCTGTCAGTGGGGTGTTGACACTAATGCTAATGCTGTCAGTGGCGTCAGTCCCTAACTATTATTGTCCGGCTGTCTAAGTCTTTTTAAATACTTCTTATGTCTAGAAGTACTTGTTTTATGAATCTGAGTATTCCAACATTGGGTGCATATATATATGTGTGTGTGTGTGTGTGTGTATATATATAATATACACATATATATATATATACATATATGTATTTAAGGTAGTTAAGTCTTCTTGCTGAATTGTACCTTTTATCATTATGTAATGCCCTTCTTTTTCCTTTTTACTGATGTTGGTTTAAAGTCTGTTTTATCTGATATAAGCATAGCGAGATCTGCTTTTTTTTTCTTTCTATTTGCGTGGTAGATCTTTCTCCAGCCCTATACTTTGAACCTATCAGCGATGTTACATGTGATATGGGCCTCTTGAAGACAGCAAATGCATGGGTCTTGTTTTTTATCCAACTTGCCACTCTGTGCCCTTTAAGTGGGGCATCTAGACCATTTACATTCAAGGTTCATATTGATATTTGAGGTTTTGATTCTAGCATAAAGTTGTTGACTGGTTGTTTTGTAGTTTCTAATGTTTGATTGCTTTATAGGGTCTGTGGGCTATGTACTTAAGTGGTGTGTGTGTGTGTGTGTGTGTGTGTGTGTGTGTGTGTGTGTGTTGGCAAGTATTATTCTTTCATTTCCATGTTTAGAACTCCCTTAAGGATCTCCCATAAGGGTGGTCTAGTGGTAACAAATTACCTTACAAGTTGCTTATCTGGAAATGATTTTTTTCTCCTTCAATTATAAAGCTTAGTTTGAGGGGATATATAATTCCTGGTTGGCTTTTCTTTTCTTTATAAATGCTGAAAATAGGCCCCCAATCTCTCCTGGCTTTTAATATTTCTGCTGAGAAGTCTGCTATTAGCCTGATTGGGTTCCCTTTGTAAGGGATTTGCCCATTTTCTGTAGCTGTCTTTAAGACTTTTTTATTTTATTTTTATTTTTACTTTTTTATGTTTTGAGACTGAGTCTCACCCTGTCACCCAGGCTGGAAGACAGTGGCGCGATCTCAGCTCACTGCAACCTCCACCTCCCAGGTTCAAGTGACTCCTGTCCCAGCCTCCCAAGTAGCTGGGATTACAGGCATGCACCACCAGGGTTTCATAATTTTGGCCAGACTGGTCTCAAACTCCCCACCTCAAGGGATCTACCTGCCTCGGCCTCCCAAAGTGCTAGGATTACAGGTGTGAACCACCATGCTCAACCAAGACTTTTTTTTTAGCTTTGACCTTGAGCAGTCTGGTGAATATAAGCCTTGGCAATGTTCATTTTGTAAAACATCTCACAGGCATTCTCTGGATTTCTTGTATCTAGATGTCTTAATTTTTAGCAAGATTAAGGAAGTCTTCTTGAGTTATTTCCTCAAATATATTTCACAGAGTGTTTGCTTTTGTCCTTCTTTCTCAGGCATGCAAATAATTCCTAAGATCTATCACTTTACGTAATTCCTTATTTCTTGAAGACTTTGCTCACTTTATTTAATTCTTTTTTTTAAAAAATTGTCTGACTGAGTCAGTTTGAAAGACCAGTCTTCAAGCTCTGAGATTCCTTTTTTCTGCTCAATCTAGTCTGTTTATAAAGTTTGTATATTGTATATATCATATACAATATATAAGTATATATCTTATATACAATTTATATACTATATATAGTATATATCTTATATACTTATATATTGTATGTATCTTACAATATATATAGTGTATATATATAGTATACATATATTGTGTGTATATATATACAAGGTATATATATTGTGTGTATATATATAAGGTATATATTATGTGTATATATGTATACAAGGTATATATTTTGTGTATATATACAAGATATATATTGTATATATCTTATATAGAATATACAAGCTTTATAAACAGACTAGATTGAGCAGAAAAAAGAATCACAGAGCTTGAAGACTGGCCTTTCAAACTAACCCAATCAGACAACTTTTTTAACAAAAGAATTAAATAAAATGAGCAAAGTCTTCAAGACTTTGCTATACAATATACGTATATACATATGATATATTATATATAATATACATACATATATGTGTATACATATATAATATACATACAATTCTTTTTTCTGCTCAATCTAGTCTGTTTATAAAGCTTGTATATTGTATATTATATATAAATATATAATATACATATGTACATACAATATACATATAATATATAACATACATAAATATGTATATACATATATAATATACACACAATATACATATAATACATATACAAAAAATTGTATATAGTCTGTTTATAAAGCTTGTATATTGTATATAAAAGCAGTTGTATTTTGAAATTTCTTAAGTGAGTTTTTCTATTCCAAAGCACTGATTAATTTCTTTTTAAGATATTTCTCTTTTTCTTCATTTCCTGGATTGCTTTACAAGTTTCTTTTTGTCAGTTTTCAACCTTGTCTTGGATCTCATTGAACTTCCTTCCAATCCAAGCTTTGAATTCTTTATCTGCCATTTCTGAGTTTCATTTTTATTTGCAATCATTGTTGAAAAGCTATTGCAATACTTTGCTGGTGCCACTACATTCAGATTTTTCATGGTACCAAAATTTTTATGTCAGTTCCTTCTCATCTGGAGACACTAGCACTTCTAATTTTTTGTAATTATTTTCATGCTTGTAAGATTTTTTCTTTTTCTTTATTTCCCTTTAATATACTTATTTTTTTTCTTATTTTCCTTTCCCTGCTTCTCTAGGGTGTGCTACTATAGACCGTGTTGGGTAGTGTCTTTGGCTTTGCTTTTATACACTTCTTTTGGAAAAACTTTTATATTTGGCAGTCTTCATATTGGGCTGTGCAGTTTGATCTTCAAATAGTAGATGGCACCTATAGGTGAGAGCTGACTGCAGGCAATGTGGCTGGGTATATACTTGATCCTTGTTTACTAGGAGAAGCTCTCTGTTGCCTCAGGCAGTGGGCTGATTTGTGTAATTCAAAGTGTTCTGAGCTCCTTGGTCAGCCCTGGTGGTGTGGGAGACTGGGGCCAAGAAGGGCAGGGCTGGATGAGGCAGGTCTACCTAGAGATTCCCTGATGGCAAGCATAAGCACCTCAGCTGAGGTAGACTCCAATGGGCAGCCATCAATCATCCAGAGATGTGCCTATGCATGGAGCTGGGAAACCTCTTCGGCCCCAAATCACTGCACAGGGATAGGAAATAATAGCTTAAACTCCTAATCCAGGAGAGTGAGTGCTCCGGATGCCTGGTGAGCTGCCAAGGCATGCAGCAGAGGGGATACCTGCACCAAGATCTCTGCATGGGAAGGGTGGGGCAGGTCAGGCTGCTGATCCAGGTGAACAGGTGTTTTGAATGTTTGGAGATCTGTCTGGGCACGGATGGAGAGGGTCCTCTGCACCAGGAACTCTGCAAAGGAGGAGTGGGGCAACCTAGTCCGTTGAACCAGGCAAGTGGCTACTCTGAATGCCTGGGTGTGTCACAGAGAATGCTGCATTGTACCATAATCTATGCCCATGAAGAGTAGTGTGGCTCAGGCTACTGAATCAGGCATGGGTACTCACAAATTGATGCTGTGAATGCCTGGCAATCTGCCTGGGCATGGAGCAGAGACAGTCTCACTGCACTATGATTGAGAGGTGACAATGTGGTAGCAGCCCTCGTTCACTCTCAGCACCTCCTCAGCCTCAGAATCTGCTCTGGCCACACTCAAGGAGCCCTTCAGCCTGCCGCTGTGCTGTGGGGGCCTCTCTCTGGGGCTGGCTGAGGCCAGAGCCAGCTCCCTCTGCTCATGGGGAGGTGTGGAGGTAGAGGCATGAGCGGGAGCCGGGGCTGCGTGCAGCACTCACAGGCCAGCACGGGTTCCGAGTGGGTGCGGGCTTGGTGGGCCCCACACTCGGTGTGGCCAGCTGGTGCCTGCTGGTCTTGATCGAGGGATGAGCTCCCTGTGGGCTGCCAGAGTGCCAGGGCTAGGTGCCACAAAGTCCCACGGTGAGTGCCATTGAGAGGTGAAGCCAGCTGGGCTTCTGGGTCAGGTGGGGACTTGGAGAACTTTTCTGTCTAGCTAAAGGATTGTAAATGCACCAATCAGCACTCTGTGTCTAGCTAAAGGTTTGTAAATGCACCAATCAGCACTCTGTGTCTAACTAATCTGGTGGGGACTTGGAGAAATTTTGTGTCTAGCTAAAGGACTGTAAACGCACCAATCAGCACTCTGTGTCTAGCTAATCTGGTGGGGGCTTGGAGAACTTTTGTGTCTAGCTAAAGGATTGTAAATGCACCAATCAGCACTCTGTGTCTAGCTAAAGGATTGTAAATGCACTCTGTCAAAATGGACCAATCAGCTCTCTGTAAAACGGACCAATCAGCTCTCTGTAAAATGGACCAATCAGCAGGATGTGGGTGGGGCCAGATAAGGGAATAAAAGCAGGCCACCGGAGCCAGCAGCCGCAACCTGCTTGGGTCCCCTTCCATGCTGTGGAAGTTATATTCTTTCGCTCTTCGCAATAAATCTCGCTGCTGCTCAATCTTTGGGTCTGTGCCACCTTTATGAGCTGTAACACTCACCACGATGATCTGCAGCTTCATTCCTGAAGTCAGCAAGGTCATGAACCCACCAGAAGGAAGAAACTCCAGTCACATCTGAACATCTGAAGGAACAAACTCCGGACACACCATCTTTAAGAACTGTAACACTCACCACGAGGTTCCGCAGCTTCATTCTTGAAGTCAGTGAAACCAAGAACCCACCAATTCCGGACACATGATCTATGTCCATGTAGGGTGGGGTGGCTCAGGCTGCTGGTCCAGGGAAGCAAGTGCTCCAAATGCTGGAATTTCTGCCTGCCAGTGGAGCAGAGAGGGCCCTGCTGCACCATGCTGTCAGGGGAGCAGAATGGGGCACTCAGTGTGGCACACACAGATTAGTTTCCAGTTACCAAGCTGGCTGGTTGCAAAACTCACCACCCAGAAAAAACTGCAGCTGCAGCAGTTTCCTCCTGCCTCAGGCTGGCAATGGGGGAGAGCACAATTCCAATGCCTACTGCAGAGGCACTGTCCACAGTTCAGGCTATAGAAGCCCCTGCACCACTCCATATGCACCAATCTCTGACCCAAGACTAAAATGTAATGTCTATGCAGCCATGTTGCCAGGTCACCAAACAATGGCTGATTTTTTATGTGTCCTATTTAAAAATTGCATTCTACTCTCAGTTCCAGGTCTGGGAAAATGTCTGCAGCTTATCCTGGTGTCTTCCTCACAACATCCCCAGGCCTCTCCCCAAGTTAGCTCCAGGGCTTGGAACTAACAAAACAACGTGCTATGTCTCAACCGGGGTTGCCTGGATCCCCAGGAGAAAGGTGCATCACAGAGGGAGGCTCTCTGCCTCTCACGTATTGGGGCTTCCCTCACTTCTGTTAGCTAGGTGCTGTCACAGAGGCTGTTAGCCTCTGCGCTCCTTCCTGGGATCTAAGATGTCCTTCATGATTCTGGTGGATTCCCACTTTCCTTTGTAAATTAAAGCTTGCAGAGTTGATCTTTATGCACTATCTTGCTACTTCCAAGTGGCTGAGGCAAGCTGAAAGTCTCTAATCTACCATCTTGGGGAAACAACTTAAAAAAAAATAGAGACAAAGTTTCACTCTGTTGCCTCTACTGGAGGTCAGTGGCACAATAATAGCTCACTGCAGCCTCCAACCTCCGGGCTCAAGTGATCCTCCAAATCTTAGGTAATTTAGAACCTATGCACACATGGGTCAGCTGAAAACTATATTTCTTCTCAAAGTGCATAACTTCAATTTAATCATGTGAAAACATCAGACAAATATTCTCAAATTGAAGAACATTATAAAAATGTAACTGTCTTCTATTCTTTGAAACTGTCAATGTCATAAAATACCAAAAAAAAAATTCTTTTTTCTTTTTTCTTTTTTTTTTTTTTTTTTGAGACGGAGTCTCGCTCTGTGGCCCAGGCGGGAGTGCAGTGGCGCAATCTCGGCTCACTGCAAGCTCCGCCTCCAGGGTTCACGCCATTCTCCTGCCTCAGCCTCCCGAGTAGCTGGGACTACAGGCGCCCACCATCACGCCCGGCTAATTTTTTTTTTTGTATTTTTAGTAGAGACGGGGTTTCACCGTGTTAGCCAGGATGGTCTCGATCTCCTGACCTCGTGATCCGCCCGCCTCGGCCTCCCAAAGTGCTGGGATTACAAGCGTGAGCCACCGCGCCCGGCCAAAAAAATTCTTAAACATTAAAGGGGACCAAAGTCTTGACAACTGAATATAAGAAAGGATTTTGGATTTTCTTTTGCTCAAAATTCATCAATGAACATTGGTGAAATCACAAAAAAGTCTTGCATCAATATTAATTTTTTTGATGATTGTACTGTGGATATGTTTGTGGGAAATAAAGATTAAAGTGTTTATGCTAAAAGGACATTATGTCTGCAAATTGCTCTTGAATGGTTCAGAGAAAAGTTTTCTACTTATCTATTTATCTATCTAGAAAAATGATAAAGCAAATATAATAAGGTTTGGAGAATCTAGGTGAAAAGTACCAAGGAATTCTATATACTGTTCTTTTAAGTTTTCTGTAAACCAGAAACTATTTAAAAAATATAAATAGTGATAAGTGTAATTAGCATATAAATGTTAATTTTATCAGAACTATAATAGTTCCTTTTTCATTAACAATTATCAACATTTCTTCAAAATTTTTCTATTTTATTCTTCCATTCTTTATTTTGTTTAGTAAGAGATACCAACTAGTAGTCTGCAATACAATGGTAAATACTATTTATAATAAATAAGATAAAAAATACATTCAAATGTTGCGGGAAGTCAGGGACCCTGAATGGAGGGACCAGCTGAAGCCACAGCAGAAGAACATAAATTGTGAAGATTTCGTGGACATTTATCAGTTCCCAAAATTAATACTTTTATAATTTCTTACACCTGTCTTTACTGCAATCTCTGAACATAAATTTTGAAGATTTCATGGACATTTATTAGTTCCCCAAATTAATACTTTTATAATTTCTTACACTTGTCTTACTTTAATCTCTTAATCCCATCATCTTCGTAAACTGAGGATGTATGTCACCTCAGGACCCTGTGATGATTGTATTATTAACTGTACAAATTGTTTGTAAAACATGTGTGTTTGAACAATATGAAATCAGTGCACCCTGAAAAAGAACAGAATAACAGCAATTTTCAGGGAACAAGGAAGGATAACCATAAGGTCTGACTGCCTGCGGGGTAAAACAGAATAGAGCCATATTTTTCTTCTTGCAGAAAGCCTATAGATGGATGTGTGAGTAGGAGAAATAGCACTGAATTCTTTTCCCAGCAAGGAATATTAATAATTGAGACCCTGGGGAAGGAATGCATTCCTGGCAGTAGGTCTATAGATGGCCGCTCTGGGGGTGTCTGTCTTATGTGGTTGAGATAAGGACTGAAATATGCCCTGGTCTCCTGCAGTGCCCTCAGGCTTACTAGGATTGAGAAACTCCAGCCTGGTAATTTCTAGTCAGATGGTTGTCTGCTCTCAAACCCAGTTTCCTGTTAAGATGTTTATCAAGACAATGCATGCACAGCAGGACATAGGCCCTCATCAGTAATTCTAATTTTGCCTTTGCCTTGTGATATTTTATTGCCCTTTGAAACGTGATCTTTGTGACTTACTCACTGTTCGTACACCCCCTCCCCTTTTAGAATCCTTAATAAAAACTAGCTGGTTTTGCTGCTCAGGTGGGCATCATGGAACCTGCTGATATGTGATGTCACCTCCAGTGGCCCAGCTGTAAAATTTCTCTTTGTACTCTTTCTCTTATTTCTCATACCAGCCGACACTTAGGGAAAATAGAAAAGAACCTACGATGAAATATTGGTGGCTGGTTCCCCTGATATTCAAAATTTTTAAAAAGAAAGTTATTGAAATGTATAAACACTAATGCAATTATAAATAATTTAAAGAAATTTATATGTAAGTAGGTATAACATTTTTACTCACATTCATTATTTATAGGATGTTTGAACTATAGGGAACTGATTGCATTTTATACAAAAAAAACTAAAACCTTGGTAAATTAGGTGTGTAAGTTCACATAAGTGGGGAATGGCAGAGTTATAAATACAGCCTAAATTTCTGGACTTTACTGTGTGATGTGGTGATTATAATTTAGCACTTTGCCAGTTATTGGCTAGGTTTGACTCCATGATTTGGAAATTCTCTCTTATGAAGTAGTATGGCTAAGTGGTTTAGAGAACAAGATAGATGCCAAGGAGACTTGGTTCTAGAACCATCTTTGTTGCTTACTAACTGTGTGGCTTTGGGGAAATCTCTTCCAGCTCTGATTTTCAGTGTAACTATATCTTCCTGAAAATTTTACTTATTACAACAAAAAGTAATAAGAAATATTAATATTAAAGCAAAAATAAATTTAAAACATCTGTATCTATGCCATAACTCTAGCTTTATAGTTTAGATAAGTCCTTTGTTTTTCAAAATCAGTTCAAAGTTGACTATTAAATTTTCAGATATACAAATAATGCTGACAGGAATATAAATTAGTATATACTTTCTGAAGGGTAATATAACAATACATCCTCAAACCTATAATTATTTGTGTAAAGTTTTTCTAAGTTCTTGACTAGAAAAGGACCATAAGAGAATAATCAATTAATTATTAAAACTTACAGATACAAGGATAATCCACCTTAATGCTAAGTAAATAAAAAAACCTTAAAGTCCATTAATAATGGATTAATTAAATATACTATATAGAATGGAATAGAATATAGACATAAAATATAACAATATTTCCCAAGCATGTATTCAGAAACATTGATCTTTGGAAAGAATCCTATGGAAAAAAAATAAGTATCTCAGTCCAGCAAATTATATAATATATTTATGTGTCAATAAATATCACATAAGGTAATAGTCTAACATTCCTTGTGTTTCTCCACAGAGAAGGATGCAAGAGATATTGAATGAAATCCTTCTAAAAATAGGAAAACTATGTTTATAGATAATTTAAGGTCTCGTGGTACAGGGTTACCAGGATAATGTATGATAAATGCTGTTGTAGAATATTTAATGATGTGGCAAATATTTGAGAGGCATAGTTAATTAAAATATATATTCTTAAAATATATAGAGATTGTATATAACACTGTAGGTATATGTGTACCTAACTCTACACATATATGTATATATGCACACACATACATATATATGTATAGTTAGAATTATATATGGCAAAAATTAATAATCTTGCATTAAGAAACTAGAAATAAAAATATTTTGCTCATGTTTAATTACTTTAAAGACTTCCACAATGTAAATAAATTATTCACTTCATTCCAAATATTTTACTTATGTTACCAGATGTTCACATCTTTATCTTTTTGCTCTCTGGTTCTTTACTTTGCCATCTATTTTTTTTTTTTTAAGATTCCACATCATAAAATCAACCACTTAGTGTTATTTTGGAACCCACCTGAAAAAACTCAGTGTTTCTTCCTTCAAACATTCTTTTCTCTGTTTTCACAGTGGCATATTGCACATCTGGTTGATTTCATCTCACCTCTCCAACCTCCACGTATGTAGTCTCACCCCTCCTACATGTGTTTGTATTTCTACAACATGTTGCCAGACACTGCTGCCAAAATAATCTTGCAAATGCATTGCTTTGGCCACATCACTTCCATCTTCAAATCCTTCAAAAATGGTACTTATTTGCATATAAAATTCAAATTATTCATATACATTTCAAATAGACTTTATCTGCACAGACATATAAACCATGATATCTCTCATCTATCCTCTTTTACTTACTGCTTTTTGCTGCTTGATATGTCCAAATATTTAAAAATAATTTTGTTTATGTTAATGTTACTTTAAATATTTTTCTCCTTTAAAAAAATTGTCTTTGCTTTTCACTAAGTGATTTCTTAAAATTCTATGATTCCTGAATGTTTACATAAGGGAAGAAAGAAAGGACTCTAATATTTATTGAGTGCCTGTTATAGACAGCACAACAAACATGTTGACTTACTACATGTCTAAGTCAAAGTACGAAGATTTCATAAGCTAGGAATTAAAGACATTCTGATGAATTCTACTTTATATCATTTTTTTAATTCCTGCAAACTATTTGACTATCATTTTATTGCTGATTTTTTTTGCATTTTTATTCTTGATAAATGAGCTAAGTAGTAAATGACTATGCTTTTACTTACTATCTCCCACATGAATCCACTAATATTTTATTTTACATTTTACTTTATTTTAGAAACAGAGTTTCACTCTGTCACACAGGCTGGAGTAAAGTGGTGTGATCATAGTTCACTACAGTCTTGAACTTCTGGGCTCAAGCGACCTTCCCACCTCATCCTCCTGAGTAACTGGGACTACACACCAAACCACCGTGCCCATCTAATTTTCTTTTTTTTTTTTTGGTAGAGACTGTGTCTTGCTATGTTATCCATGCTTGTCTCAAACTCCTGGGCACCAGCAATCCTCTGCCTTGGCCTCCCACAGCATTGGGATTATAGCCATGAGCCACCATACCTGGCCCATTGCCATTTATTTTTTAAAGCTAAACTCTACAGAGAATTATTTTAGTTGTTTTTTCTTAGGGGGTTAAAGTTCTCCTACCAACTCTGACAGAAGGTTATAAACTTGTTATTTTATTAAGTCAGGGAAGTTAATATTAGTGAAGGAACAAAAATTTCTACCATTTACAATCAACATATTGCAAAAGAAAGAACAAGTTAAAAAGAATGTAGAAAGAGCTTAATTCTTTAAACAGAAGTCTATCCTTTCCCTAGAAGAATTGGCCACCATACATTAAAATATCCAAGAATCAGCCAGGCATGGTGGTTCCAAAGTGCCTGTAATCCCAGCACTTTGGAAGGCGGAGGCAGGCAGATCACTTGGAGGTCAAGATCACTTGGAGGTCAAGAGTTTGCGAACTACCTGGCTGACAGGGCAAAACCCCAACTCTACTAAAAATACAAAAATTAGCTGGGCATGGTGGAGCACCTGTAATCCCAGCTACTCAGGAGGCTGAGGCATGAGAATTGCTTGAGCCCACAAGGCAGAGTTTGCAGTGAGCTGAGATTGTGCCACTGCATTCCAGCCTGGGTGCAAAGTGAGACTCTCAAAAAAAAAAAAATCCCAGAATTAAATTTTTAAGCAATTATGATACATGTACATAAATACAAAACAATAAAACCATAGCCCAATATTTTATTTTATCATATTATATCACATTTAATTGCTTTCTTGATACGTCTTTCAATTTGAGGCTCTCTATTCTACACCAGATTCAAAGAATAATTTGAATCTCATTTGTTAAAATATTTTATTTATTAGTGATCAAAAACCCACCTATACTACTGTACCAGTTACCCGGGCAGCTATAACAAAACACCACAGACTGGGTGGCTTAAACAAAAAAAATGTATTGTATCACAATTATGGAAGCTAGAAATTCCAAATCAAGACAACAGCAGGTCTGGTTTCTCCTGAAGCTTGCTCCTTTGCTTACAGATGACCATCTTGTAGCTGTGTCCACATATGGTCTTTTCTCTGCGCGCACACATCTCTGATGTCTCTTTGTGTGTCCAAATGTTCTCTTCTTAAAAAGACTCTGGTCAGATTAAATCAGGACCCACCCCAGTGGCCTCATTTTAACATAATCACCTCTTTAAAGGCCCTATATAAAAATACAGTCATATTGTGTGGTCCTAGAGACTAGAACTTCAACATCTGAATTTGAGGGAGACAAAATTCAGCTCAAAATAACTGGGAACACTGCTATCTTTAAAATATTAACCTATCTAGGACTTTTACTTTCTCTGAGATTAGTTGTTTTAGTCAAAGTGATGTTAAGACTGAAAAGTTTACAAACTTATACATGTTATCTATGACTCTGAGGCAAGAATATTAGTTTCTACCAGAACTATTATATTCTTAGTTATGAAACAATTATTGCCAAGTCCTCTGATATTAAGAAACTAATTTGAGCTTTTCTTGTTTATATTTTTTAAGATTCTGTTATCCACTTTGATTTGGTGAACTTCCCACCCTAGCAATGACATCAATGTGGCACTGAGATTGGTGCAATGCTTTTCCCTTCTGATATGGTTTGGATCTGTGTCCCCAGCAAATCTCATGTTGAACTGTAATCTACAGTATTGTAGATGGGGCCTAGTGAGAGGTAATTAAATCATGGGGGTGGAATTCTGATGAGCGGTTTAGCACCATCTTCTCTTGGTACTATCTTGGTACTATCCTCGCATTAGTGAGTGAGTTCTTGTGAGATCTGGTTGTTTAAAAGTGTGTCTCATCTCCTCCTTCCTTGTTCTCTCTCTCTCTTGCTCCTGCTCCCACCATGTAAGACAGCTCCCACTTTGTCTTCTGCTGTAAGTACAAACTCCTGGGGGCTCCCCAGAAGCAGATGCCAGCATGCTTCTTGTACTGCCTACAGAACCATAAGCCAATTAAACCTCTTTTCTTATAAATTACCCCTTCTCAGGTATTTCTTTATAGCAATGCGAGAACAGCCTAATACTGAAAATTGATACCAAAAAGTGGGGGCATTGCTATAAAGACACCTGAAAATATGGAATCAGTTTTGGAATTGGTAACAGGCAGAAGTTGGAAGAGTGTGGAAGGCTCAGAAGAAGATAGGAAGCTGAGGAAAAGTTTAGAAGTTCCTAGAGACTGGTTAAATTGTTGTGACCAAAATACTGATAGTGATATGGACAGTGAAGTCCAGGCTGAGGAGATCACAGATAGAACTGAGAATTTATTGGGAATTGGAGCAAAGGTTACTTTTGTTATGCCTTAGAGAAGAAATTGGCTGCATTGTGCCCATGGCCTAGTGATCTGCAGAATCTGAACTTGAGAATGATGATTTAGGGTATCTGATGGAAGAAATTTTTAGCAGCAAAGTTTTCAAGATGTGTCCTGGTTGCTTCTAAAAACGTATTCTCATATATGTAAGCAAATGAATGACCTAAAGTTTGAACTTATATTTAAAGGGGAAGCAGAGCATAACAGTTTGCAAAATTTGCAGTCTGGCCATGTGGTAGAAAAGAAAAACCCATTTTCAGGGGAGGAATTGTAGAAGCAGGTTGCAGAAATTTTCATGAGTAAAAGCAGCCAATGCTAATAGGAAGACAATGGGCAAAGGCCTCGAAGACATTTCAGAGACCCTCATGACAGCACTTCCCATTACAGGCCCAGAGTCCTAGGAAGGAAGAATGGTTTCATAAGCAAGGCTCAGAGCCCCACTGCCCTGTGCAGCCTTAGGACACTGTTCCCTGCATTCCAGCTGCTCCAGCTCCGGCTCCAGCCATAGCTGAAAGGGTCTCAGGCACAGCTTGGGCTGCTGCTTCAGAGGGTGCAAGCCATAAGCCTTGGCAGCTTCCACGTGGTGTTAAACCTGCCAATACACAGAGGGCAAGAGTTGAGGCTTGGGAGCCTCCACTTAGATATCAGAGGATGTATGGAAAAGCCTGGATTTCCCAGCTCTGCTGCAGAGGCAGAGCCCTCATGGATAACCTCTACTATGGCAATGCAGAGAGGATATGTGGGATTGGAGCTCCCACACAGAGTCCCCACTAGGGCATCACCTAGTGGAGTTGTGAGAAGAGGGTCACCATCCTCCAGACCCCAGAATGGTAGATCCACCAGCAGTTTGCATCCTGTGTCTGGAAATGCCACAGGCACTCAACGTCAGCCCATAAGGAAAGCCATGGCGGTTGAACCTTATAAAGCCACAGGGGCAGAGCTTCCCAAGTCCTTGGGAGCCAACCTCTATACCAGTGTGCCCTGGATGTGGCACAGTGTGTCCTGGATGTGAACATAGAGTCAAAAAAGGTTATTTTGGAGCTTTAATGTTTAATGACTGCCCTGCTGGGTTTTGAACTTGCATGGGGCCTCTGGACTCTTTTATTGGCTGATTTATCTCTTTTGGGATAGGGGTATTTACCCAATGCCTATACCTCCATTGTATCTTGGAAAATACTGACTTGGTTTTTATTTTCCAGGCTCAGAGCAGAAGGGACCAGCCTTCTCTCAGATGAGACTTTGGACTTTTGAGTTAATATTGGAATGAGTTAAGACTTTGGGAGACTATTGGGAAGTCATGATTGTGTTTTGCAATATAAGAACGTGAGATTTGGGGTGCATGGTTTGGATCTGTGCCCCCACCAAATCTCATGTCAAATTGTAATCTCCAGTGTTAGAGGTGGGGCCTGGTGGGAGGTGATTGGATCATAAGGGTGAATTTTTTATGAATGCTTCAGCACCATTTCCCCTTTGTACTATCCTCATGATAGTGAGTTCCCTTGAGAACTGGTTGCTTAAAAGTGTGTAGCACCTCCCACCTTATTCTCTCTCTCTCTCTTGCTCCTACTCCCACCATGTAAGATGGCCTGCTTCCACTTTGCCTTCTACTGTAAGTTCCCTGAGGCTTCCCCAGAAGTGGATGCCACCATGCTTCCTGTACAGTCTGCAGGACTGTGAGCCCATTCAGTCTCTTACAAATTACATAGTCTCAGGTATTTCTTTATAGCAATGGAGGAACAGCTTAATATACCTTCACATCCCTCCCATATTGTCAATCTAGCATGGAAAACTTAGACTGTTTAGCACAGAGAAAAATGAAATAATTTTTAAAATAAAGTTGCATTCTTAGTGATGCTTCATCTTTGCATGTAGAATTTAAAAAAAAAAAAATTTTGAAAGTTAGTATAATGCCCACTTTTTAAGCATAGACAAAAGATGTATGCAAGAATCTGTTTCCCAAAGGCTTTTGTTTGGGGCTGTTTGGGGACATTTTTATTCATCCTGAATGTGTAGTGGGTTTTTGGTTGCAAGCAATAGATAGCAACTCTGGAAAATTTCAGCAAATAAATTACTCATTTCACAAAATTGAGGCTGAAGAACTTGGCTCAGAAACAGAAAGCACAGTTTTAGGGGCTGCTGATACTAGTATTATGCAGCCAATTTGCTGCAGCTATAGGCTTTACCAATACTCCTGTTGCTGCCAAAACTGTTCTGGCACCACAGAAGTTCCTATAATAGTCTTACTTCCACTGTCCCTTCCTGGAGACCACATGTTCAATATTTCAAGTTTCTGGCAGATATATCTTAGTGCTGCAGCTTTGGACAACTACTAACAAGATGAAGAAGGATGTAGTGTCTTTATGATCCATAGTGGAAGCCAGCACTGGAAGTCACCATTTTTACCAGGAGGCCACATGGTTGATGAGTAATTCCACACAGGGAACGTACTGTAGGAAGGCAAGTTTTATGATGAGAAGCTTGGATATGGGGAGGCCTAACGTTTGTTAAAATGCCTAATAAGTTCTCCTTATGGGTCTAGGGATATGAAACGGAAACTCTCTAAGTTCAACGAATTTCAAACCAAAATTTTGGGAAAAATTCCAAATCTTAATTTATAGAAAATAAAAGGGTTATGTGTTGTTGGCATTTCAAAAGAGTAATTTTTGATGATTTCTGAAAATTAAGTTTTACCTCAAGTAATAAGTAGATTCTAGATGTAGCATAGTTGTGTTAGTCTATTCAGCTTGCCATAACAAAATACCATAAAGTGGGCAGCTTTTGAACAACAGACATTTATTTCTCACAGTTCTGAATGCTGGGAACATCAAGATCAAGGCACTGGCAAATTTGGAGTTCGATGGCAAATGGCACCTTCCCTTCCCTCTGTGTCCTTATTTGGTGGAAGGGACAGCTCTCTGAGGCCCCTTTCATAAGAGGACTAATTTCATTTATGAGGGCTCCACCCTCATGATCTAATCACCTCCCCAACTCTACCTCTTAATACCATAACATGATGACTAGGTTTCAAAATATAAATTTTAGGATGACACAAATATTGAAATTACAGAAGTAGTCTAATTGTAGAAAGAAAAGATTCAAAATATTGTCTTGTTTTTCCCCAAATTTCAAAGAATCCTGGGACCAACTTCTGGCTTCATCAATAAACTCAGTGCCCTCATAAATGGATTCAGACTTGGAAATCTTGAATAAAGTGTTTTGGGACTCCTGCGATCCTAGATACATATAGGCTTAAGAGACAAATCCTGCTGGTTGCTACACAAAGGCTGCTGGAGTTTAAGTACAACAAATAATCAATAAAAGAAATTATTATTATCTGTACTTAGATAACTAACATTTAATTACATTTATGTAGGTTTTTGTGTGATTATTGTTGAGAAATTCTAAAATGAAGAAATAGCCAAATAACAATATAATGGATAACCATTTACCCAACAACCAGAATGAAAAGTTATTACAATTTGGTTATACTTGTTTCAACTGTTTTTGTACAAGCAATAACACAACCTATAGATAAATTTGAAGCACTTCCCTCAAATCTAGTCACTTTCTTTTCCCTTGAATTAAACATGATTATGAACTTAATATGTATACTTATAATTTTTTAATACATTTGAATCTACATTATATGCACTCTTGGAGAGTATTTAGAATTTTTGCGTGTTTTGTTATAAATATACATAAATGGTACCATATGTTTTTGTAGTGTCTTATCATTTTATAAATTGTTTATCATTTTGTTTTGAGCTTTATTTTTTGATACATTAAGTTTATTTATTTTGTTGTAACTGATATTCTACATCACATCTTATAAATATAACATATCTTATCTACCCTCTATTAATGAGCATTTTCTTTTGTTTCTGCTAGTAATACAGAAATGAACACTTGTACATATCTTTTTGTGCACATGTGTGAGAATTTTCTGGAAATGTAAATTCTAAGTTGCAAAGTACGTACATTTTTTCTTGTGCTAGGTAATTGCAAATTACTTTTCCTTCTGCATAGATTTTAAAAATAAGAATCCTCAAAGACAAATTTCATTTTTCTTGTTACTGTAATTTTTAGACATAAAAAGTTCTTTTCACATCACAAAGACAAATCTTTCTAACACGTTTAAATATAAGCTAAATTTTTTTTCAGTATTGCAGGTTTGTGTAATCATTTTATTTGCCAATTTGTTCATTTTTCTTTACAAACTAATTTGTTGTATGACTGGAGTCTCTATTCAAAGTTCTGGGAAAAATACTAAATCATAAAAATTAAAGGCAGATTTTCTCCTGGAAAATCTGAACAAATTGGCAGAATCAGAAGCATTTTTACAGAAGTTTGGGAGAACAAAACCTCATTAAAATTCCTAAAATTAGACAAATAAAAATCTTAGTCATCAGTTCTGAAATATATTTTGAGGATTTCAATAGGACAGAGTACAGGATTATATCAAAAACTATCATTAATTAGATTTGAAAGAGAATTTTCACAATGACTCCTACTTGGATGTGTGTGTGTGTGTGTGTGTGTGTATGCATAAATATAAATATAGATTTATATATTTTATCCAATATTTTCATGAGTTTTTTTCTTATTTATTCAGGTAAAGGCTTTTTATTCTATCCAACTTTTTCTATTTGACCAAGAACTGGGAGGATGGGAGGAAATAACAATTCAGTTTCACCCATATTTATGCTGGATTCTGAAAAAAAAAAAAAAAAAAAAAAAAAAAAAAAAACATAAGCTACTCTATGAAATAGATGACTTATTGAGCTTAGTTATCTAATAAAAGATGTTAGGAGCATTCTTTATCACTGGGAAACTATAGTCAATTAGGATTTATTTTCCATCTTTTTTCTTCTTCCTCATGAAATGATTTTCTAAATAAACATTTTTCAAAATTAATTCCCACATTCTGGAAGACTTCTGGTTCCAAAATGATGTGTAGAAGTAAACTGGCTTCACTCTCCCCTACAGAAAACCAAAAGCAAATATACAGTGCCAAAGTTATCACCAGTAATGTGCCAGAACTCAAATATGAGGAAACAGCTCCCTGGGCCACAGAGAACTGGAAAAACTTTGAGCAGATGGTAAGAGAATTGGGTTTCCATAACCAGGATCCCCTTGACCCCAATCTGCCCAGCACTAAGTACCCAGCAAATTGCCCCCCGCCCTCCACCAACTTACAGTTTCTACACTGGAAAAGGTGAGATTGAGGTTGACAACCAGCTTTGCTACCATCTTGATTTCCGTGGAAGGATACCTTTCCCTGGCGGGACACCTGTCTCTGCCTCAATTCATAGGAAGTATCAGCAGTGTTTGAAGGGAGAAATATTCTTGAGGTCTTCCAGAGACAAAGGTAGGAGGTGAGACTGCCATTGCTGGCCCTGGAAACTCTGCTCTTGTAACTTGGCCAGACGAGATGTCAAATCAGAGTGACTGTTCGGCAGCACCATGCTGAAGGAAGTATGTTTCACAGACTTCCCTGGGCATGAATTTCTAGCCAGCCTTTCCACACTACTGAGCTATCACCTTTGAGATGGGATGGGCAGCACTCTGATTGTTTACTAAAATCAAGGCAAACCTGGGCTTACATTGTCATCTAGTGCTGAAAAGGAGATAGGGAGCAAGTCAGAAAAAAAAGAAAGAAAATCAACAGGCAAATTACAAAGAATCTCTAAGCAAACATATCCAATAAAAAAATAGAAACAGTCCAGATAGAAAAGACTGAAATAAATAAATGATCCTTCAATGAAAAGACACAGACATTGTGTCACAAGAAACAACAAGCAAAAAGAGAACTATCACTTGCCCAAATAGATAAAGGAAGGAACCAGTTACTGACCTTAACGAGACAGCAGTATATGATATCTATGACCAATAATTCAAAACAGCAGTTTCAAGGAAACTCATTAATCTCTAAAATAACACAGAAAAGCAATTCAGAAATTTATCAAAAATTTAACAAGAGAGTAAATTTAAAATATCAAACAGAAATCTTGGAACTGAGAAATACATTTGGTGAACTGAAAAATTTATGAGAGGATCTCAATAGCAGAATGAATCAAGCAGAGGAAAGTATTAGAGATCTCAAAGACAGGCTGTTTGACAATACACAGTCAGAGGAGAAAAAAGAATGAAAAGGAACATATTACCTACTAGATATAAAAATGTACTCAAAATACTAAATTATGAAATATTGGTGTTCAACTTGGAATTGTACAAGGGCAAGGGGTAGAGAGAATTTCAAAAGCAGCAAGGGGAAAGACACAAATAACATATTAAAAAGCTTTAATTTCTTTGGCAACTGACCTCTCAATAAAAACCATAGAGGCCAGGAAGGAGTGATATGACATTTTGAAAGTGCTAAAAGAAAAAACTGCCATCCAATAATATGGTATCCAGCAAAGCTATCCTTCAAATATGAAGGAAAGAGAGGGAAAACAAAAAGCTGTGAGAATTCATTACCACCAGATCAGTCTTACAAGAAATGCTAAAGGGAGTTATTTAATCTGAAACAATAAAACACTAGTGTAAAAAAAGAAAACATTCGCAGGTGTAAAATCCACTGTAAAATTAAGCACATGGACAAACTCAGAATGCTCTAATACTATAATCATGGTGTGCATTCCAGTCATAAGTCTAGTATGAAGCCCAAAAGAAAAAGTCCTAAGAAATAATTATAGGTAGAAAAATCTGTTAAGAGAAAGGCTATATAAACATATATAAATTGAGAAAACTTGAAGTTAAAATATGGGAGATGTTATTAAAATCGAGTTTTTTCATTTATTAGTTGTTTCTATTATTTTATTTGTGATCTAAAATAAATTATCATCTCTTTAATTTAACTTGTTATATCTATAAGAGGTATTTTGTAAGCCTTACAGTAACAACAATGCAAAAAGTTATATCTATTCACTAAAAATAAAAAGTCACAAATTAAAACACGCTGCTGGAGAAAATCACTTAACCACAAAGGAAGCCAGTAAGAAAAAAGAAGGAAAGAGAAAGAAAGGAAGAGGAGAGTTACAAAACAACTAAAAAATAAGCAACAAAATGACAGAATTAAGTCCTTACTTATCAATAGTAACACTGAATGCAAATAAACTCAATTTTTCAATTAAAAGGCATAGAATGCTTGAATGGAATTAAAAAAAAAAAAGACCCACTATATGCTGCCTACAGGAAACCCATTTTGCCTTCAAAGATATACATAGTTTGAAAGTGAAGAGGTGGGAAAAGATATTTCATGCAAATAGAAACCCAAAGAGAGTAGTATGTGCTGTATTCATATCTGATAAAATACATCACAAATCTAAGATTTTAAAAAGAGATTAAAAGATTACTATATAGAGAAAGGAGTCAATCTAGCAAAAGAATAAATCAATTATAAATATGCATCCAATGCTGGAGCTCCCAGATATATAAAGTAAACATTAATAGATTTAAAGGGAGAGATACACTGAAATACAATAGCAGAGGAGTTTAACACTCCACTCTCAGTAATGAACAGATCATTTAGACAGAAAATCAGCAAAGAAAGATCAAAGCTGAACTACACACTAGACTAAATAAGCCTAACAGACATTTACAGAACATTTCATCCAACTGCTGCAGGATACACATTCTTTTCATCAGCACATGGAACATTCTTCAGAATAGACCATGTCTTAAGCCAAAACACAAGTCTCAACAAATTCAAGAAAGTATAAACTATATTAAGTATTTTTTCTAACCACGATGGAATAAAACTAGAAATCAACAATAACAGGAACTGTGGAAAATTATATACAAACACATAAATTAATGTGTTTCTGACTGACCAATGAGTCAATGAAGAAATTAAGAAGGAAATTTAAAAATTTTTTTGAAATAAATGAAAATAGAAATAGAACATACTAAAACCTATGGGATACAGTAAAACTAAAACTAAGAGGGCAATTTATAGCAACAAGCACCTCTATCGAAAAAGTGGAAAGATTTTAAATAAACAACCTAACATGACACTTCCAGGAGCTGGAAAAGCAAGAACAACCCAAACGCAAAATTAGTAGAAAGAAACAATAAAAATGAGAGCAAAAATAAATGAAATTGAAACTAAAAAAATCCAACAAATCAATTAAACAAAAAGTTAGGTTTTTTGAAAAGATAAACAAAATTGACAAACCTTTTGCTAGACTAAGAAAAAAGAGAGAAGACACAAATAAATAAAATCAGAAATTAAACAGGACACATAACAAATGAGACCATAGAAATAAAAGGAATCATTAGAAACTATTACTAACAAATATACAGCAAAGAATTGGAAAACCTAGGAGAAATCTCACTCTGTTGCCCAGGCTGGAGTACAGTAGCATCATCTCAGTTAACTGCAACCTCTTCCTCCCAGGCTCAAGTAATTCTCCCACCTCAGCCTCTCAAGTACCTGGGACTATAGGTGCATACAACCACACCTGGCTATGTTTTGTATTTTGTTGTTATTATTATTATTATTATTATTATTATTATTATTATTATTATTATTATTTGTAGAGGTGGGGTTTTGCCATGTTGCCCAGGCTGGTCTTGAACTCCTGGGCTCAAGAGATCTCCCTACCTCAGTCTCCCAAAGTACTGGGATTATAAAAATGAGCCACAACACCCAACCTAAATTCTTTTACACGTACAGCCTACAAAGATTGAATAATGAAGAAATAGAAAATCTGAACAAACCAATAATGAGTAATGAGATTGAAACTGTAATAAAGAGTCTTCCATGAAAGAAAAACCTAGAACTTGATGGTTTCCTGCTGAATTACACAAAACATTCTTTAGAAAACTAATATCGATTCTATTCAAATTCTTCACAAAAATTAAAGAGGCGGGAAAGCTTCCAAATTTATTCTACCAGGCCAGCATTACCCTGATACAAAAACCAGAGAAAGACAAAACAACAACCAAAAACTACAGAACAATATTAGTGATGAACATATTGGAAAAATTCTCAACAACATACTAGCCAACTGAATTTAACAACACATTAAAAATATTCATCATGACCAAGTAGGAATCATGGCAGGGATGCAAGGCTGGTTCAATATACATAAGTCAATAAATGGGATACCTCACATTAACAGGACCAAGAACAATAAACCTATGATTATTTCAATAGATGTCAAAAAAGCATTTGATAAAATTCAACATTGTTTATGATGAAATCCCTTAACAAGGTAGGCATAGACACAATATATCTAAAAATAATGCAGGCCATATATGACAAACCCACAGCTAACATCATGATGAGGAGTGGGGAAAAACTGAAGGCCTTTCCTCTCAAGATTTGAAACAAGACAAGCATGTCCACTTTCACGACTTTTATTCAATTTAATACTGGAAGTCCTGGGCAGAAAAATTAGGGAAGAGAAAGAAATAAAGGGCATCCAAATAGGAAAAGAAATCAAATTAGTCTTGTTTGCAAACAATATGATGTTATACTTAGAAAAACTTAAAGAACTGTTAAAAAACCAAAAACTGTTAGAACTGATAAACTAATTCAGTCAGATTGCAGAATACAAAATCAACATACAAAAATCAATAGCATTTATATAAGCCAACAGCAAATAATCTGAAAAATAAATCAAGAAAGCAACCCCACTTACAATAGCTACAAAGAATATCAAATACCTAGGAATAAATTCAATCAATGAGGTGAAAGATCCATACTAGAAAAACTATATAACACTGATGATAGAAATGGAAGACGACACAACAAAAGGAAAGATATTCCATGCTCATGGATTGGAAGAACCAATATTGTTAAAACGACCATACCACCTAAAGCAAATTACGTATTCAATGCAATCTCCAAAAAATGCCAATAACATTCTTCATAAAAATAGAAAAAAATTCTAAAATTTATGTGGAATCATAAAAGTACCCTGAATAGCCAAAGCAATTCTGAGCAAATACAACAAAACTGAAGGCATTACACTAACTTCAAAATATATACAAAGCTATAGTAACAAAATCAGCATGTTAGTGGCATGAAAACCGACATATAGACCAATGGAATAGAATAGAGAGCTCAGATATAAACCTATGCATTACAGCCAACTTGTTTTTGACACAGGTGCCAAGAATATTTAATGGAAAAAGGACAGCCTCCTCATTAAAGGGTGTGGGGAAACAGAAAAATAACATATACAGAAGAATGAAAAGACCCTTATCTTTCACCGTATACAAAAATCAAATCAAAATGGATTAAATATTTTAATTGAAGACCTATAACTATGAAACTACTAGAAGAAAACATTGGAGAAAACATCCAGGACATTGGTCTGGGTAAAGATTTTGTGTGTAAGATCTCAAAAGCATAGGCAACCAAAGCAAAAAATATACAATTGGATTACATCAAGCTAAAATTCTTCTGCACAGCAAAGGAAACAGTCAACAAAGTGAAAAGGCAACCCATATAATGGGATAAAATATTTTCAAACTATCCATCTGACAAGGGATTCATAAGCAGAATATCTAAGGAGCTCAAACAACTCAATAGCAAAAAATAAATAATTCAATAAAACAATGAGGAAAAGATCTGAATAGACATTTCTCAAAAGAAGACATATAAATGATGAAAAAGTACATTTTAAAAATGCTCAACATCACATATCATCAGAGAAATGCAAATTAAAACACAATGAAATAACATCTCATCCCAGGTATAATGGCTTTTATAAAAAATGAAATAACAGGTGCTGGCAAAGATGTGGAGAAAGGGGAATCTTAGTACACTGTTGGTGGGAATGTAATTAGTACAGTCACTATGGAAAACTGTATGGAGGTTTCTCAAAAAATTTAAAATGGAACTATCATATGATCCATCATTTACACTACTGAGTATATATTCAAAGGGAAAAAATCAATATATTGAAGAGATATCTGCACTTCCATGTTTATTGCAGCATTATTCACAACAATAGCAAAAATATGAAATCAATCTATGTCAATGAATTAATGGATAAAGAAAATGTGGTGTGTGTGTGTGTGTGTGTGTGTGTGTGTGTGTGTGTGTGTAGTGGAATATTATTTAGCCATAAAAAGAAGGAAATCCTGTCACTTGCAGCAACATTAACGGAGTTGGAGACCATTACGTTAAGTGAAATAAGACAAAGACAGAAAGACAAATATCAAATATCACACGTTCTCACTCATTTGAGAGAGCTAAAAAAAAAGTGTATCTTATGAAGATAGAGAGTAAATTGTTTGTTACCAAAGTCTGGGAAGGGGACTGGAGAGGGGAGGATGAAGAGAAGTTGATTAATGAGTGTAAACATGCAATTTGATAGAAGAAATAACACTTACTGTTTGATATATCAGTAGGGTGACTATAGTTTACAATATCTATTGTATATTTCAAAAATAGCTAGAAGAGAATAATTTGAATATCTAGCATAAAGAAAAGACAAATATTTAAGGTGAAAATTATTCCATTTACACTGACTTGATCTTTAGAAATTATATGAATGTATTAAATTATCAATGTAGTACCAAAATATGTACATCTATTATGTATCAGTGAAAATTTAATTTAAAAAATTCTACATCCTTCTTCCTGGCTTTGCAGAGTTAAAGCAGGGAAGTATGTTTAAGGATGTATGCACACACATGTGCGTGTGTGTGTGTGTGTGTGTGTGTGTGTGTATGGGGTAGATGACTGGCTTCCTTCACTGCTCCCATACTGAAATAGAGGAAATGCTTTCTTACAGGGCAAAGATCCTACTTGGTTACTAGCCAAATATATTCAACACTCTCAGACAAGGGGTGTATTTGAGGTCTAGAGGTAGACTTTTCTAGGGGAGAGAAAAGTGATTTTGTTAACGTAAATAATAATATATTCAGCCTCAAATTTTTGCATGTTTCCACTTATGCCATGTGTTGACTTTTATTGCAACTCTGCTACAGAATTTCGTCAGTCTGAGGGTGACATTTTTAATAGTTGAGGTTTCCCAAGATTAGAATAGGATTTCTTCTGGCTGACTGACCTTCCTGTCAAGGATAGCATTCAGGTAGTCTGATTATCTGTTGTGGATGTTGTTGGATTGGTGACTGTTTTAACTGGGATGTAGTCCTATGTTATTTTGTAAGACATTTCTAATATATTAACGTGTTATGATTTTATCAATTTGGAAAAAGGAAAGATTAGTTTGACTCAGTAGTTAGAGAAAGTATAAAAGGAGAAGTAGGTTTTTAAAGATAAAAGATGGGTCAACTTTTCCTGTGTGGTAACATCTGAGGGACAGTTCAGTCAGAAGGAGAACCTAAACAAAAGCATGGTGGTGATGATCATCTGGTATGTGAATTGCTTGTGAAACAAAGAACTTTGCAACCAAATTGAGATTAGGAATCAAATTTCCCCTACTCCTGAGGCCTCATTCTAGTCTGTCTGCAGTGTAAAAAGGTCTTGTGATTCATGCAATTTTAGGTAACTTAACTCCCATTAAAATATAAAGGTAAATTTTATTTCAAAAATATATATAGAGAGAATGTATTATTAATATAAAAGGTGAGAGAATTTTCTGAGGAATCAGTAATAGTATAAATAAAGTATAATGGAAAATGTAATGTTTATATTGATGTATCAAAATGGACAAAAGATTTGAATAGACATTTCCCCAAAGAAGAAATACAAATGACCAGCAGGTATATGAAAAAATGTTCAGTATCTCTGATCATCAGGCAGATGTAAATGAAAACCAGAATGATATATCACCTCACTCTGATTAGAATGACTATTATCAAAAAGACAAAAATTAACATGCTGGCATGGATGTGGAGAAAGGGGAACTGTTATACATTATTGGTGGAAATGTAAAGTAGTATAACCATTATGGAAAACAATAAAAGGTTTCTCAAAAGATTAAAACTGGAACTACCATATGATCCAACAATCCCACTACTGGGTATAGATCCAAAGGAAATGAAATCAGTATGTTGAAGAGATAGCTGCTATATTCGTCAGTTCTCATGCTGTTAATAAAGACATACTTGAGACTGCATAATTTATAAAGGAAAGAGTTTAATAGACTCACAGTTCCACATGGCTAGGGAGGCCTCACAATCATGGCAGAAGACTATGGAAGAGCAAAGGGATGGCTTACATGGTGTCAGGCAAGAGCGCATGCACAGGAGAACTCCCCTTTACAAAACCAACAGATTTTGTAAGACTTATTCACTATCACAAGAACAACCTGAGAAAAACCCACCCCCATGATTCAATACCTTCTACCCGGGTCCCTCCCACTACAAGTGGGGATTATTACAATCCAAGGTGAGATTTGGGTGGGGACACAGAGCCAAACCATGTCATCTGCCCTCTGATGTTTATTGCAGCATTATTCACAAGAGCTAAGATAGGGAATCAGCCTAAGTGCCCATTGAAGGATGAATGGATAAAGAAAATGTGGTATATATACACAATGGAATACTATTTGGCCACAAAAAATAAATTTGTGGCAACATGGATGGACCTGGAAGACATGCTAAATGAAATAAGACAAGCATAGAAAAACATATGTCTCATGTTTTCATTCATATGTGGGAGCTAAAAAATTGGATCTCATGAAGATAGTAAATCGGTGGCAACCAGAGCCTGGGAAGGTGGGAAGGGATAGAAAGAGACTGGTCAATGGGTATAAAGTTATAGTTAGACAGGAGGAATACATTCTGGTGCTCTCTTGCACAGTGTGGTGACTATAGTTAACAATATCGTATATTTAAAAATAGCTAGGAGAGAAGATTGTGAATGCTCTCACCACAATGAAGTGATAAGTGTTTGAAATGATGGATAAGCTAAATATTCTGTTTTCATCATTATACAATGTATATTTGTATCAAAAATCACACATAAATATGTAAAATTAGTGTGTCAATTATAAATAAAATAAAACCTAAAACATTAATTAAATAGCAAAGGATGTATCTCCAAATACTAAGTTATCAAACCAGCAAATAAGGAAAAATATATGTTCATTAGTTCCATTTAGGGACAATATTCATTATGATATACACACCATCCTCATTATTTCTAGAAAAATTTATTTATAAGGTACTTAAGATAATTTGAAATAATAATTTGCCTGAGGAGTAAATGTAAGTATATTAACCAAATTATGATTTGAATCAATAGCAAATTCACAGTTACCTTCAATCTGGCAAAAACAGATTTAGACACACACACACACGCACGCACGCACACACACACATAACTCTTACTGAAAAGCTAAGGTTTCACCTCCCAGGCAAGTCTGGTGTTAACGTACTTCACATCTTCCAAACCACGAACTAGCTAGGGCCACTTGCCTAAAGTTAACCACCTCTTTTTAATCAAAACTGAGCAAAACATTCATTCCATTTCATGGTGTTTCAACGTGTACCTTTTTAGAAAGATGAAGTAAGGAAAACTAACCCTAAATCAACTATTAAAGCCCATTGAAGTGTGCTTGTTTGCATATTTTTGCTTTATATGGATAACACGCTCCTGAGAGCTGCAGAACATGAACTTCTAGGCTGAATGAGATACAGGGTTGCAGCTGATGCTTTCTGGTATAGCCCATTCAGAACTCACATGGCATCTAAAGTGTTACTGATGGGTCTGTCATTGATCAGCACTACTTGGATATTTGCGTGAACAAAGAGGTTCAGAAGTATTGAATCTGGAAACTCGTAGGAGTTCAAGGCCAATTGAGCGTGCTACTTAGAAAAATGCATCTTATGTAGGTTTGAGCTCTTGATATTTAATTATCACTGCTGAGTTTACATTCCACCACTGGAGTCCATCTTTCTGATATAAAAGTAGGAAACTACATAAAATAAAATTGATAGTTTATTCAGTGTAAAACTTCAGCTTGTGAGGGCTAATGGAGAGCCAAACAACTTAGAAGTAGTGGATTTTGGCGCAAAAGAACAGGAAAAAAAGATCTGTTGAATGATTGACAGCTCAGATTCTGAAGGGGAAAAACACTCCAACTTGTTTAAAGAGGCACAGATAATAATGTGCTTCTGAATATTGAAGCACATCCTGTTATTTTAAACTTTAAGTCTAAATGGAGTAAAAGAATCAAAAAACTAAATTTAAAAATACAATTCAAACCCAAGAGAATCAGATAGAATTTCTTAATACTCAAATTACACTTCTATGCTTTCAAAAGTTATATTTCATACTTAAAAATTTTAAAGTTCTATGTTGTACAAATCAGTGTTGAAACCTTTGATAAGACCAAGTTCTAAGTGCCAGAATTATGCAAATTGTTCCTTAATTTATGCATGTGTCAGCACAGCACATTTAACAGTTAAGAACTGCTATAGTATACTTAATGAAAAGTTAAAGAGACTGTGTTATTTGATGTTTAACAACGTTAGAAAATAAATTTTATGAAGCTATCTCTTTTAGATGGTGCAATCTTAGTATTCTACAAATAAGAATAAGTGGCATGTTTACTCGGCCCAAATGTAAAATAACTTTTGCCTATAGTGCTGGACTCAACTTTATAGCACTATCATTTTAAAATCCAAACATTCAAAATGATTTAATCTTCAGGAATACATTAGAATACACTGATTTGTAAAAATAAGTAACTGCAAAGAGAAAGTGCTCAACCTTACTCTGCAATTTAGTCTCCCATTCAAGATTCTATATTAATTTATTTTTGCTTAAATGACAAACACTTGTATAGCACTATGTGGGGACACTCTTCCATATACTTTTTATTTTATTTTTTCTTTATTATTATTTTTTGAGATGGAGTCTCACTCTGTTGCCCAGGCTTGAGTGCAATGGTACCCTATTGGCTCACTGCAACCTCCTCCCCGCTACCTCAGCCTCCCAAGTGGCTGGGACTACAGGCATGCACCACCACACCTGGCTAATTTTTTGTATTTTTAGTAGAGATAGGGTTTCACCATGTTGGCCAGGTTGGTCTCGAACTCCTGGCCTCAACTGATCCACCTGCCTTGGCTTCCCAAAGTGCTGGGATTACAGGCGTGAGCCACCATGCCCGGCCTCCATATACTTTATTCATATTAATTCATTAATCACCATTAGATTTCTGTAATATATTATGTGTTTCACAGATGAGGAAACTGGGCTGAGGTTTACTCATTTCTCCAAGGTTACATAGCTACTAAAAGGCTTAGTCAGGATTTGAACCCAGAAAATCTGGCTCCAGAGTCCACGTTTTTCAACCACACTCCATAATATTTATACTCCACATGGATCCACCCAAGAGAAGACTGTTTGGGATCACAAGCCGAGCAAAGAGAAAATGACATCAAATTTGAATCACTCATAACATCTAATGTTCTTTAATGTATTAGACATGGTGAAAATCATTGAATATGTTTGTCATCCAGTTTCAATTTTCATTTCTGATGAAATTTTTCTTGATAATCAGAAGTATCATTTACAACAATTACAGCAATTTTTCAGAGAAGAGGAGGTACCTTTGTCAAATATTCAAATATTCAAAGTTTTAATACAGTTTTTCCATTTTCTTGTAAATACTTATCTCTTCTTGTGAGGTAGTAACACTGTTACAGAACCTAGAGTGGCAAATTAAAACTGTTCAGTTATTAAATAAATCATAAGAAAAAGCCCACAAAATCCTCAAACTGTTTCTAAGCTGCTATATTTGACAGCTATTTAGCAAACAGAAACTATCAACATATATATATTGTTGATATGCAATTGCAATATTTACACTAATATCTCACTTTGGGACAATGTTATTATATTTGTATTTACTTTTTATTGTACTCCTGGTCATTGCTATGTTAAGTATCTGCTCAGAGCAGATACATCTGAGCCCTGCCTGGCATTTTACTAAGTGTGGTGCACATGTGCTATGGGTAGGCCTGCATGTAAAAAGAAGACTTTTAATTAATATTAGTTTTTTAAAAATATATTTTAGAAAAAAAGATTTGTTTAAAGACTGAATAAACAATGAGTTAGCATAATTGTGCAAGTAAACACTTTTTGGTATAATGTCTTTGGACATTTTTATTAAATATAATTTAGTATGTGCATTTAACTATAGTTTTTCTTTACCAATTTAAAATGATGTAATAGGTATAAAAAGAATACAGTTTGATTTTATCATTTATTTAAGAAAACTCTGAAGTACCTTCTTAGAAATGAACCTGGGAAAATATTGTCTAAAGACATCATTCTAAATGCCTATAATTTTCCAATATGCATTAATTGCTACATTTCCCATACTTCTTTTTTGGACATTCAGCCCCTATGGGATACTGATATTTTCATGGTGCCCTGTTTGAGGTTACACTCAGATATCTTCACTCTGCAAATCGCCTGATGAACTTCCTTCTTTACACCTCTTGTTCTCATCAAAATTTACCTGTTTTGAAATGATCTACTTCTCTCTAATTCTTAAGGTAACTTTTTAATCGAACAGACCCAGTGTAACAATTCTATGGGATGAGTTCAAGATGGAAAGTAAAGCTCTATGCCACAAACTCTTTAAAGTGGACACATTCATTTTTGTTTATGTTTTTGTTTTGTTTTTATTATACTTTAAGTTCTGGCATACATGTGCAGAGTGTGCAGGTTTATTACATAAGGTATACACGTGCCATGGTGGTTTGCTGCACCCATCAACCCATCATCTACATTAGGTATTTCTCCTAATGTTATCCCTCCCCTAGCCCCCCACCCCCTGAAAGGCCCCGGTGTGTGATGTTTCCCTCCCTGTGTCCATGTGTTCTCATTGTTCAACTCCCACTTATGAGTGAGAACATGCAGTGTTTGGTTTTCTGTTCCTGTGTTAGTTTGCTGAGAATGACGGTTTCCAGCTTCATCCATGTCCCTCCAAAGGACATAAACTCATCCTTTTTTATGGCTGCCTAGTATTCCGTGATGTATATGTGCCACATTTTCTTTATCCAGTCTATCATTGATGGGCATTTGGGTTGGTTCCAAGTCTTTGCTATTGTGAATAGTGCTCCAATAAACGTACCTGTGCATGTATCTTTATAATAGAATGATTTATAATCCTTTGGGTATATACCCAGTAATAGGATTGCTGGGTCAAATGGTATTTCTGGTTCTAGATCCTTGAGGAATCACCATACTGTTTTCTACAATGGTTGAACTAATTTACACTCCCACCAACAATGTAAAAGCGTTCCTATTTCTCCACATCCTCTCCAGCATCTGCTGTTTCCTGACTTTTTAATGATCACCATTCTAACTGGTGTGAGATGGTATCTCATTGTGGTTTTGATTTGCATTTCTCTAATGACCAGTGATGATAGGCTTTTTTTCATATGTTTGTTGGCCGCATAAATGTCTTCTTTTGAGAAATGTCTGTTCATATCCTAGGCCCACTTTTTGACGGGGTTGTTTTTTTCTTGTAAATTTGTTTGAGTTCTTGGTAGATTCTGGATATTAGCCCTTTGTCATATGGATAGATTGCAAAAATTTTCTTCCATTCTGTAGGTTGCCTGTTCACACTAATGATAGTTACTTTTGCTGTGCAGAAGCTCTTTAGTTTAATTAGATCCCATTTGTCGATTTTGGCTTTTATTGTCATTTCTTTTGGTGTTTTAGTCATGAAGTTTTCCTCATACCCATGTCCTGAATGGTATTGCCTAGGTTTTCTTCTAGGGTTTTTATGGTTTTAGGTCTTACATTTAAGTCTTTAATCCATCTTGAGTTAATTTTTGTATAAGGTGTAAGGAAGGGCTCCAGTTTCAGTTTTTTGCACATGGCTAGCCAGTTTTCCCAACACCATTTATTAAATAAGGAATCCTTTCTCCATTGCTTGTTTTTGTCAGGTTTATCAAACATCAGATGGTTATAGAAGTGTGGCATTATTTCTGAGTTCTCTGTTCTGTTCCATTGGTCTATATATCTGTTTTTGTACCAGTACCATGCTGTTTTGGTTACCGTAGCCTTGTAATATAGTTTGAAGTCAGGTAGCATAATGCCTCCAGCTTTGTTCTTTTTGTTTAGGATTGTCTTGGCTATACGGGCCCCTTTTTGGTTCCATATGAAATTTAAAGTATTTTTTTCTAGTTCTGTGAATAAAGTCAATGGTAGCTTGAGGTAGCTTGATAGGGATAGCATTGAATCTATAAATTACTTTGAGCAGTATGGCCATTTTCATGATATTGGTTCTTCCTATCCATGAGCACGGAATGTTTTTCCATTTGTTTGTGTCCTCTCTTATTTCCTTGACCAGCGTTTTGTAGTTCTTCTTGAAGAGGTCCTTCACATTCCTTATAAGTTGTATTCGTAGGTATTTTATTCTCTTTGTAGCAATTGTGAATGGAAGACACATTCATTTTTTAAACAGTGATTTCATAAGATCTCAAATTTTGAACTTTTGAACTTTTATAAATATTTTCCTTTGAATTTTTACCATGAACTTTTCAAATATGCATAAAATTTGAAAGATAACACAATGTATCCATTATTTAACATTCATAATTTTCAGTATTTTACTAATTTTATTTTATCTACCATCCTATCCCATTTTTGACATACATTAAAGCATGTCCCAAACAATTCATAATTTTATCTATTGTAATATAAATACTTTATAATGTAGCTCTAAATAATACATGTCTTTTAACACAACCATAATGCCAACAGTACATCTAAAAATTAACAATAATTTAAATTAATTATTTAAAAAATAATATTGTCTCCAGTTGTCTCAAAAATGTTAATTTACAGTTGGCACGATTATATCAGTATCCAAACAAGCTCTCTGTATGCCAAAGTCAATATTTTAATGGTTGATATTTCTGACTAGACAGAAAAGTTATGCCATGGTCTCTAGTACAGTGTGAGATAAAAACAATGGAAGACTGTTTTGTTTGCAGTTAAGGGATGTCCCAGCTCTACAGTCAGATGTCTGCGCTCAGATCATGTGCTGTGTTACTCATGAGCTGTGTAATATTGGGCAAGTTTCTTAGCATCACTGAGCCCGTTTCTTCATCTATAAAATGAGAGTTGTATGTATTAAATGAGCATATATATATTTAAAAACAGTTTGCACAGTCCTTAGAAATAGTCATAAATGCATTTACTTTATTACTTAATGTAGGTGTCTTTTCTTTCTTTGTGTGGGTTTTGTTTTAAGATATGAAAATCTTAGGTATCAGTTTCTCAGGAAAACATAATCACAAGGGAGCTAGTTCTTCCTGAACCTCACTTGCAGAAAAAAGGCACTTCCAGATGGGTGTATTACCTAAGGTTTTAGAGGTGTGGTCAAATTACAACTCATTTATGGCACACTCTTAATATGAAAACATACTGGAGAACTTCATTGGTAAATTTCATGCTGTGTGTGCCCTGAGTACGACCTATGTAAGTATATCATGGAGACAATGCTAGAGTGTGCCAGATATTCCTATGAAATTCAGTTAATTAGAAGTTTGAATATTCACCCTAATGTTTGAAAACAAGGAAAATTGTGTTTATTTAATTAAGGATACAAGAGTGCCATCTAGTGATCAAATTCAGTAAACTGCAGACACGTGACCCTTAGAAACCCAGTACATGATGGAGGGGCATGTGCTACTGATACAAAGTATACAAAATAACAGAAAACAGGACAATTTTCTAATTTTATAGAGTTTTCTGGTAGAGTATCACCTGATGTTTATTCCGATTTTGATCAGGTGGACTGTTATGTTCTTGTTGTATTCCTGTCGGTTTTCCCTGAGATTTTGTTTTGTGTGTCATAATAAAACGCCATTAGCGTCCGATGAAACTTTGTTAAATTAAAGGCAAAATTCTAATAACAGGAAAATGAAACTTGCATTAATGAATAATAATAGTAATAATAATGTCTAATATATTTTGAACGCGTTATATGTAAATTAATGTACTTTGCTCTTTACCTTTATTATCTCATTTAATACAAGAATTCTATGAATGAGATGTTATATTCATTTTACGTCTGTAATTAAACAGATTATGTTGCAACATTGCATTGCTAGTAAGTGTGGAAGACATTATGATAGGTGCGATCTTCATGAGATGGCACTGGGCTCGATTACATAGTACCTAATTCTATAATATTTCAATCTTGTCAATCATCAAACTAAAGCATAAAAATGCCCAAGAATTAGAGATAACGAAATATGACATTTGTCTACAGGTGACCTTGTAACTGAAAATATTTCAACTACTATGTCATACTATTGTAATTATAAAAGAAATTGATACAAACAACAACTTTATCAAGTTATGTAGTATTATGTTGCACTTGTGAAAGGGCATTTATTAATTTTTAAATGTTACTTTAAGTAATAAAAAAAAGCACTGGTTCTCTTTCCCTCTAGACCAGAGTTTCTTAGCTGTGAGCCAGATAATTCTTTTTCTGCAGAGGACTGTACTTTTAATTGTAGGGTGAATATTGTCTTCAGCTACCCATGCCCAGGATCAGAGTGATGAAATATGTGTGGTGGTCCTTGAAAAAGGCTCTCATAAATAATTGCCTTCTTATTTTTATCTAGGCCCATTCCAAATTACTGTTGAAAATATTGAACACATATAGATAGTGGGGCAGGGTAGCTGTGAATAAAACAAAGCTCTATTCTATTTCACTTACAGTCTAATGGAAATAACTACTTTTAGTCAAAGTTTAAAAATTACTTCATGTCAGAAATTAATTTCAAAATTATATCATTTATGTTCTGGTAGAAACTTTTCTGCAAAAATCTTATTCCAAGACTCTTTTCTATTTGTAAAGACTAATCACTGTATATGGTGAGTGCAGCTTGGATTTCTCATAGTTTTGTGTTTTGTCCTTATTTATGTTATTAAAAAATTGATACCAATTCTAGGTGAAATATTTTAATGAACAGACAACAAAAAATAAGCAATTAACTCCTTATTTCCTCAATATAAAGCAATACTTTTGTTTTCTTTTACTATTAGGTGGTAGAAAGAAGTTGTAAGTAGAACAAAAGCATTGGAGAATAAACAAAGATAATCAAGATAAAAAAAATAGAGGCAATAGGGCATGTAGGTGGGGACCTTACTAAAATTTTAAAGACAATTGTAGTATAATTTTTAACTAGCAGAGTGACTGTTGGTATGGGTTCATAAATAGTTTTTGAAAAAATAAAAAGATGAATAATTGAACAAACTCTCCCAAGTCTTAATTTCCTCATACATAAGGGGTTATATGTACTCTTGATAGCATTCAAGAAACTTATAAAGAATAAGTGAACAAATGAGTTTGAAGGTAGTTTATTTATAAAGATCAAATAAAATGTGTATGATATAAATCATCTCTACTTTCCATTAAAATACACATAAATTTACAAAAAGATAGCATTTGTCGATATCACTGTAAGAAGACTTTCGGTTTTAGCTTGAGCAAAATTTCAACTCACTACCTGGTCATTCCTTTTTATGGTTTTCAAATTATCTTAACAATTCTTACTAAACATGGGATTCAATTTTTATTTGCAGATTTTGTTACCAGTATACTTTTTTACTTTTGTATTTGACCTTGCCTTGCTAATATCAACAATAGTCTCAGAATTCAAGAAGTATTTTTGGTAGCTACAAATTATAACAAAGTAAATCACACTTCTTTTGCATTTGTCTCTCTGACTATTCTTCATCTTTGTGAAAAACAAATAAATAGACATAAGAAATGCAGGTAGGCACTTTTGCGCTGGCAAATTGAATTAATTTGGCAGATATATTTAATTTTGCCTGCAAGCAGCTATTCAGTGCTAAATTATTAGAAGTATATTACTGGATGTGATATGTTATAGGTTCCTAGAAAACTATGCATAAATTCAAATTCATTAGTTTAACATAAGTTCCTCTAGTAGAACAAGAATCCCTCCATGATGAGGCAACCAAAGTAAAACATGTGTATTTGTTATTTTATATGTTCCAAGTTGACTTTACAGAAGACTTATGATAATATCGATAATACAGTGACAAGCTATATGACATTTACTTTCGGTTGATTTTGGGGGAAAAAAGTATTTAAACATACCAAAAATATATTCTAAATATATTCCAAACAAACACTAAACTAATGGAATAGGTATAGATGAATTTTATAAAAGCTTTTAAATGCACAAGGGTGAGCTAACCATCTAAAGGAAAACTCTAGAGTATCCTTTTAGAAAATGAAGTTTCTTCTGTTAAGTAAAAACTCACCTTAATTCAACTGCTTTGTATGTTCATGTTCTGGCATGTTGGGTTTTCTTCAAGAGAAGCACTCATTGACTTTGTAGTGTGGAGAAACTTTCTATTAGTATTTACAAGCTCAATGCTGCCTTGTGTTTTGAAACATGTTATTAACTGGCAATCCACACAACACCCCTTGTTAAATAGGTCATTATTATTATCTTCACTTTCCAGCTGAGGAAACACACCAAGAGAGGTCACGGAGTGGTGAGTCAGGGCCAGGATTAGCAATGAAAAGCACCCAGTTGTCAGTGCTTTCCTTGGTCCACCCGGCTACGTTAAATAGGTGAGATGGCTTGCCTGGATAGCCACAAAGAATGGGCGCCGGCCCAGACCTTGTATAACCAAACTGCTCATAAAGGCAGCCTGTGTAGTTCTTGCTTCTGGACTTCATACAAGTTACCCTAAATTTGAATTGGTGGGGCCCTCACTAATATTCTTGACCTAGTTCCTGAACGTTGCCCTTACTATTCCTCACCTTATGGCACCATCACACTGAAACCCTGTGAGTTTACCTGTGGTTTGCTCTACTCTGAACTCATTTCTGAGTAGAGAAAGATAAATAGTACTGAGGGGATTTTACAACCTGGGGTGATATTTCTGGAGGGACTAAAATCTGTGTTAATTCTCTTGAAATATCTAGAGAAAATTTATAACTTTTGCATTTTTCTTATCTAAATATTTTTTGAGAAAAAAAGAATGCATATGTAATAAATACTATCTGAAATTCTGGACAATAGTCAGAGCATAGGTAATAGATATGATACTGCATAGTATAATTTATTAAATATTGATAGCAGTGAGGTCATGAATTTTACAAATAATTCAGCTTCCAATTATTAAGAAAACTTCACTGTGTTAGCATTTCAACTGTAAAAAATAGTATGATCAAGAGAAGGGTAATAATGCAGGAAATAGTGCAAAAATCTCTTAAGAACATCTAATAGCAAACAAAAAACCTAGGCTTTGGTGGAACTACATAGATTTCACAGTTTTTGAAATGTGGAAGGTGTGGGGGTTATCAATAATATTTAACAAAAACATTCCTATTTTAGTTAATCTAATATCATATTGGGAAATAAAGACATTTGTTCAAAGTAACATGTAGAAGTTGACCTGTTGCTAAAATATCCTATCAATATATAATATTTAACATATTTGATTTAGTTTGTGAAAATGTTTTAAAATCTTTTGTTTTATTTAAAGAAATATAATCTAAGTCAGATTTTTCTTAATTTGAATGAAAAATATCCTCTGGAGAAAAAAAATAACAAAATATACCAAAGCGAACAGAAAAATAAATATAAATTCAGACTAAGCAGATACATACAAATGCAATTGAACATACTATTTAAAACCTTCACTCTAATGAAAGAAAAACTTTGGCTCAGATGGATTCACTGTTGAATTCTTTTAAAAATTTGGGAAAAAATGTAATAATTCTACTGAACACTTTCAGAGGAGAGGAAAAAAAGGACAATTCCCAATTCACTTTATGAGTCAACATAGCCTTTCCTCTAAAATGTTACAAGGGCATTATGAGAAAAGTAAAATACAAGTAAGTTTCTTTCAGAAACATAGTTGAAAATTTCTAAACAAAATGTGAGCAAATCAAATAATAAAACAGATAATACATCAAAACTAAGTAAGGTTGATATTAGGCCTATAAGACAAGTTTAACATTCAGAAGCAATTAATCTAATTAATCATGTTGATAGAATAAAGGAGAAAATGGCATAAAGTTATCTCAATAGATGCAAGAAACCCTTTGACGAAATTTGATATTCTTTCATGATAAAAGCTTTTAACAAACTAGAAACAAAGGATAATCTTCTTAAGCTGAAAAAGAATATCTATAAATATCTATAGTAAGCGTTATATTTTATAATGAAATATAAAAATTTCTTACCAAGATTGAGAATAAGGTAAGGACTTCTGATATTATCACTTCTGTTCAACTTTGTCCTGGATGCCCTAGCCTGTGCAATACTGTTATAAAAATAAATGTAAATTATAAAGTTTGAAAATAAATAAACAAATGAACATTGTATGCAAATAGCATTGACTGTGCACACAAAATACACAGAAGCATCTGCAGATATATGTATTAGAATTTGCTTAGTATTAGAATTAGATAATAAAAAATGTAAAAGAAAGCATTAAATTGAGCATGAAGTGCGTCAGATTCTTAAATATAAGTCTAATAAAATTGTGTAAAATTTTCTAACAAAAATGAGGCAAGACAATTGTGAACAAAAACAAGAAAAAAGAGTACTAACATTAGCATACCAAGATTTATCAAAATGTCACAATAACTGAGACATTATGCTGTTGACGCAAGAGTAAAAAACTGACCACGGAAATAATCTAGAAATAGCCATATATACAGCCTATTTATAATAAAGGTGACATTATATTGTGATGGGGGAAAAGTTAGGTTAACAAATCTGGACCCTTATGTCCTTAACACAAAATAAATTCCAGATGAAGTGGTGATCTCAATATGAGCTACAAAGTAACATAAGTTGTAGAATATAATATATGTGGATAGCTTTACAATCAGAATGATGTTGTACTTAATAAAAGAACACATAAAGTTCTAGCCAAAAGATAACAATTGATAAATTATACTTCATAAAAATTAAGATCTCCTGTTTATTAAAATACTCCATGAAGATAGTTTAAAAGGCAGAGTAGAAGAAAACATATACATATATATATAATGTTACATATTGAATATAAACAGAATATATAAACAATGTGTACAAATCAAGACAATAAAGATAGACAACCCAATGGAAAAAAATAGGCAAACATTTGAGCTGACATTCACAAGGAGAGTAGCCAAATGGCTAATAAGCACATGTAAAAGTGTTCAATATCTTTAGTCATCAGGTACATATGAATGAGAACCACAATATAACACCACTATATACAAGCCAGAAATGCTGAGGGGTAAACACTGCCAATGAGAGTGCCAGCTAGTACAATTTGTTTGGAAAGGTGTCCACACACAAAAAAAATACTATTTATCTTGCAGTATCTCCTAAAGCAAAGCATACAAATACCTATGGCATAGCAATTACATTGGATATTGAAAATGTGTACATATATACACTGAAGACATGTACAAAAATGTTGACAGCATCACCATTTGATATAGTGAGAAATTGGACAGAATTCAAATATCCATCAACACTACAGGGAATACAATTTTAGAATATTGATACAAGGGAATATTACATGGCAATGAAAATGAGTAATCTGCTACTCTCAACAACATGGATAAATTTCACAGGCATACTACTGAGTGAAAGAAAGTATACACAAAAATAAATATTGTATGATTACATTTATATAAAAATTTCCAAAAGGCAAAACCAGTCTGTGTGATGGAAGTCAAAATAGTTGTTCTCTGGAGGGGGTTAGGGGAGTGATAACAAAGAAAATACAAGGTATGCTTCTGATAATATTCTATTTCTTCATCTAGGTAGTGTTTCCAAAGGTGGTATGGACAGCTAAGAGTAATTGAGCTGAATACTTGAAGTTTTACATACATATCAACTTATTTGTTATGCATTACACATCAATAGGAAAATTAAACACAAATCAGAGATTACTTCAAATGCAAAGAACATGCAACATTTGTCTCTTTCCACTATTGCATAACAATGTCTCTAAATTCAAGTAACAAAGCCAATCTAAGCAGATCAGGGTGACGCTAAGAGGAAACTTTTAATTCTTCAATAAAAAATCAATAATCTCTATTTGAGTTATATTACTTGCCAAGAGACATTTTCTCCTTAAGTGTTGTTCATATATTCCAATTATTTTCAGATGAGATAAAAATTATTTCCCGTAGGCATATATTGCTTTTCTTAAACTCAGACAACTACTTCACAAGTTTCCAAATCGTAAAGGAGATAACTCAGCCAACATATCACCACTATTATTAAAATAAATCCAAAGTACACATTTCTCTTGCCATGAACCAAATTCAAAATATTCAGGTTATCTGTAGTGAAGTGTGAGTGAGTTTTATTTCCTTTTTGGTTCAAAATACCAGAGGGACCCTTTCATGCCAGCTAGTGGCTGCAGGAGCCACACAGAAATGAAACAGCAAATTATAAAGCCACCAGGGCTGCCTCGTACTTAAACACCCTGCCCTGTTATCAAATATCATACTGTTCCTAATTCCAGCACCTTCCTCTTGGATTGGTGACCTAGCATTTTAATTTCAAGCACTCTATCCCATAGTAATCATAAAATAAACCAAGTTTTCTAAATTCACTCCTTGGATGCAGGCACAGATACATTTTAGCTTTGCAGATTGTTACTCATGTCCTTAGCTAACTTTATTATGGTCACTCTGATTATTAATAGTTTTCTGGCTAATCAGTGTCTTTGAGGCCCTCCCCAGATAATTCTATGCCTATGCACATTTAGACACAGTTATTCTATTTTAGTACCTTGCCTACATCACTCTTTCACCAAATTTAGAATGAAAGACAAACAGATCTAGTTCTGGGGGGGCACTATCTCCACCTGTACTGCCCTGAGCACCCTAGTGCTCAGAACATGGGTCCCATGATAGTTTCATTTCATGGGTTATAAGGTTATATATTTTCCTAAAGATAAGTGAATTGATTGATTCATTCATTGATTCATTCATTCATTCATTTTGTGGATTAGAACTAGAGGATAAGAAATCTCCCTCCTTATTCAGGTTAGTATTTCATATTGTAGAACCATAACGTATAGCAGAACGTTCTCTGATCCATATATTGGCCTAGTCTATCAAAAACAACTCAATACATCCAATTCCACCTTTTAGTAGCAATTAAGTGAATTAGTAATTAAAAGAAAATTATTTGATCAATTTGGAGCCAATTAAGAGAAAATTTTGGGACTGAACAGAATATACATCATATTCTAAAAGAACCATATAAATGAAGATATAGGGGCTTAAAAAAATCTATGACTTAACCTAGATCACAGAAGTATTCAATTGGTATGAACTAATTTGCCTCTTTTATTAATGTGTAATAAAGAAAAACAGAAGCAAGTGAAATAATTTTCTTTTTTTATTTCCTATCTCTTTATTTTGACCTATATCATCTATGAAATTGAAAAGTTAAAGAGGTTATTGCTTTGACCTTTGAGTCAGACATTAGTTAAACCCATAGTGTTTCAAAACATTTCATTTTGAAATAACTGGAAATTCATAGGAAGTTGCAAAAATAGTGCATTATTCATATCACCTTAGCTTTTACCTAATGTCCAATTTCTGTTTTAGCATCTCATTATTTTAATTATACTTTAAGTTCTAGGGTACATGTGCACAACATGCAGGTTTGTTATATAGGTATACATGTGCCATTTTGGCTTGCTCCACCCATCAACTCATCATTTACAATAGGTATTTCTCCTAATGCTATCCCTCCCCGAGCCCCAACCCCCGGACAGGCCCTGTGTGTGATGATGTTCCCTGCCCTGTGTCCATGTGTTTTCATTGTTCAATTCCCACTTATGAGTGAGAACATGCGGTATTTGGTTTTCTGTCCTTGTGATAGTTTACTGAGAATGATGGTTTCCAGCTTCATCCACATCCCTGCAAAGGACATGAACTCATCCTTTTTTATGGCTGCATAGTATTCCATGGTGTATATTTGCCACATTTTCTTAATCCAGTCTATCATTGATGGACATTTGGGTTGGTTCCCAATAGCAACACTTTGCTGTTGTGAATAGTGCCGCAATAAACATATATGTGCATGTGTCTTTACAGTAGCATGATTTATAATCCTTTGGGTATATACCCAGTAATAGGATCACTGGGTCAAATGGTATTTCTAAATGCTGGAAAAGTTGGTTTTCCTATTTGACAAAAGGATTCCCCAAAATATTTTGGAAGTACTAAAAGAGGACAATATTTTTGTATTAATAATAAAAAATCAGAAAAAAATTTTAAAACAATTCATTCTTATTTTTATACATTTCAAATTTTATATACATACTTTAAGTATTTTGGTCTAATACATTTATATAATTTATAAAGATAGACTATACATGCATATATACTTTTTACACATATTATATATATACTCAGCAAATTCTCAAAAATATTTTATTGATGGGGTGCAACAATTTCTGAGATAACCAATTGAGGCTACAATTCTTCACCAGTATGACATTTGGTAGGATATATTTAATTTTACGTATATGTGTATATGCACACACATATAGGTACAAAAATACTTATATGTGTACAGGTTTCAACTTTTTGAGAACTAAAACATCACAGTAACCTCAGAAATGTAAAAGAGCACAGCACTCTAGTATAGAATTTCTTAAGGAAGACCCAAGGTCTTCAGGAGATTTCATAAGTTCAAAGCATCTGTGAGCCTGCTGATATTTGTGAATATTTGGTATGTACATATACATGTACGTGTGTATATTTCTGCATTCAAAAATATAATGAGTTTATATTCTTTACTAGATTCTCAAGGGAGTCCTTCACCAAGAACAGTTTAAGCAGCAATATTCTATACTCAGTTTTGTGTTATTTGCTCTGGCTCACGCTGCAAAACTAGCTACTGTTTTGTCTTTTTTTGTTTTTGTTTTTGTTTTTTGGTCAAAATGTTAACTTCTTGTATTGAATAATCTATAGCCCATAACTCTTCAAAGTTAAACTTTTCACATTTAAACTCTAGAGAAACATGAGTCAAGTACCAATCAAGCTTAATTCCTATAGCATAAATTCTCCAAATTTAACTAATCAGTTTTGCCAACTCCCATAGAATTATTTCATAAGTAGTAGCACGTAACTAAACTCCCACACTGTCTTTGAAGGCACATTTTGATTTATATAGCCATTACCAAGTAGTATTTTCCAATTAACTGTCTCACCGTGGCACTATTATATGAATAGCTCTAGAAACAAGTTGCATTGACTGTTGCCAACCTAAACATCTTTCAGTTGTAAAGTTTGTTGATTTTCTAATAGCTTTATCCAAGAGTATTGTCAAGTTGTCTGCCCTATCTGTTTATTTTTTGTCTTATATTTTGACTAAAATGTAAGTTGCTGAAGGCAAAGACTCTTTGGTTTGTAACATGTGGTAGATACAGTAGACTGGCATAGTTTATTTCTTCCAACTTTCTTGAGGGATAACTTCCTATACTGCAGAAACCAGAAAGCTAAGAAAACCTTTACCAGAACACCTCCCAGGTAACTTTCCAGAGGTGATTTATGTTCTTGAATCATATGTGTGTATCTATTTGAATTTGTAACAATGTTAAATGAGGAAAACAGCAAAGATGGTAAAAGACATCCAATTCACTGGTACATATCTAGTAGGTAGGATGAGACTCTGGAGCCAGTGGTTCTAGCAGTTGCTTTCTGACCCCAGAATTGCAGCTTAGGTGCTGAAATATAACCAGTCATTAATTTAAGAAAGTCTGTTTCACTCTCCATCTTCTTGCTTAGGCAAAAATGACACTCAGTCATGGGAGTCCAACCATTCCAAAGATGTAGAAGGACCCAATTCTTTGTATTAAATCCATTTTTGCTAAAAATAGAGTGGTTTGCTACTTACAATTTATTTTTGACTGATACATGAGAACTCAATTTGTGTTGATTGAATGAATACAGTTCTAAAGAAGCATAAAATGCATTAATAAAGGAGACAACATTGCAGTGAAGATTCACATGTTGGATACCCCAGAAAGCAGACTCTAAAACAGAGATGTACACAGTTACTTCATTGGCAGGTGCTCTTGGAATCAACACCTGGATGAGGCAGTGAGTGAAGTTGAACTGTGATGCATTTGCAACCAAGGCATCAGCTGATCATACCTGGGAAGCTCTACAGCTAGGGTAGTCCTTTAGAGTTGTCCAAAATTGGAGTGAGTGGACAGGCTCTTATGCCCTTGCATCAGCAAATAATTAGAGGTGTACTGACATCCTTTCAAATTGTGCGAGTGTGGACTGGGCTGGGCTCGTTTTGGGCTAGGGTAAATCCCAAAGAGGACTTGCTGACTCAGCTGAGAACTGTCAGCCATCAACACTCCCAGCAGCTGGGGAAATGAGGGTTTAGTTCTGGGAGGAGATAGGCATTGAACTGGGCAGCTCACTGAGACATGCATCACACAAAGATAGCATAAAAAACCCAGCTATACTCTTGGACCAGAAAGCCTGAATTTGAGTATCACTTCTTTCACTTACTAGCAATGAGAATTTGACAAGTCATTTAACTTTCTGAATTTGTTTCCTCATCTGTAGAAACATAATAATAATAACAATTATTATTCATAACAATAGTAACACAAATGCATATGTTTGTTGCAATATATGCAACTGAACATTGCACTCTGCAAATTTTACTATTCAAATTCCAGTTACTATAATTTTGCGGAAAGTTTCACTCAAATAACATGATCTGTTTTTATAAGTCAGTGCTCACTTAAACCACACATCTACTATAAACTGGAATGAAATAGAAAACAATTACAGAGAAAGAAAATCAAAGAAAAAGAATTTGGTCCTGCTACATTTCATTTATTCACTCATTCTTACATTTATTGATTTATCAAATAACATGCTATTGTGAGTACACTCTGTGAATAGACTCAGATATCACTAGGGCATGCACACCATGGCAGAGATAGAACATGAGTAGACACTGACCTTCTTTGACTTTAAAGGAAAATATACTATCCAAACTCTCTACCTTGTTACTATACATGGGCAGGCCTAGAAGAGCATTCCAAGTAAAAGTTATCAGGATCTGGGTTCCCAAAACAAACCCCATACCCCACTAAACCTTTTCATGACTGTTATGTAGCATGTAATTTTCTTTTAAAAAAAAGACATTAAATTAAAACCATGCTGGCCTGTGCTTTTCAACACACAATTTCCCACAACTCCACTTATATTTGAGGATTCCGTGCAGTAACCAAGGTCCTATGATGTATGTGCCAAAGTCAGCATGCCAGGGGAGTGTGGGGGTAATATTTCGTACCTCCTACACAATTTCCTTTATACCTTCTGTGGCAGCTCCTGCTGTCAGGAGAATTGATGGTCACAACATAGTCATATATTCTTTACCCTCTGTCATTAAAAGTCAAGAAGCAGTTTGGTTGCTAAAACCATGACACATATCTCTTAAAAGGTGGCCAACCTCTGGTTTAGAAAATGCTGTTCTAAATTTTCTTGTCGTTCTGGCTACCATCTAGGTAAACATTTTTTTTAAATATAAAGTAAAAATATACATGAAGAAAAGAATACATATTAAAAATATACAGCTCAATAAATTAAGTAATTTTAAGGCCTGTATGAACTCTCTTGTAGCTATTATACTAAGTTCACACATAGTTTCCTGAAACAGTTAAAATAAAATAAGAGCAAAGCAAATCATGAAGTTTACAATGTGTTGAATAGACCTTTGGAGGGAATACGGGAGTGCTACAAAGAATGAGATTGTAATTGTATTTATAGATGACTATATCCTGAAGTCTTGGAAAACTAGGTCAATTACAGAAATGCATTTGAAGACATACCGTAATTGCCCTGGATTGCAAGCTGTATCTATTTATTGCAGTTAATTAAGCCACCGTAAAACTTGGTGATTTAAAAGACCAATCATTTATTTGCCTATGATTCCAGCTAAGCCCGCCTTGTCAGTTCACTTGTTGACTTGCCTGAGTTCACTCATGTGGCTGTAATCAGCTGGTGTGTCAGCTTGTGGCCTCAGCTAGGAAGGCTCATGTCTGCTCTTCATGGTCGTGTCCTCAGATGGGCTAACCCAGGCTTCTACATGGCAGCAGTGTTATCAAGAGCAAGAATGTCCAAGCCCCAATTCAAAAGGGCTTTTCCTGTGTACGCGGGCATCTCATCTGGTAATGGCCACTGGCCAAAGCAAGTCACATATAGCTTCGCTTAGATCGATGAGACAGGGACTTCACAAGTGCAGGTATCCATTGGGCGTCATCACTATAATAATTGAGCACCAAAAACAACTAAGTTAACTCGGGCGGCGTGATTCGTGGGGGTCTAAACAAAACTGAATTATCCACACATGAAGGTGAAATCTATGGCCTTATTACTAACTGACTGTGTGGCTTCAGAGACACTAGTCTGAGTCTCAGATTCCTCTTATGTAAAATGATATAAAAACTACTATCGGCCGGACGCGGTGGCTCACGCCTGTAATCCCAGCATTTTGGGAGGCCGAGGCGGGCGGATCACGAGGTCAGGAGATGGAGACCATCCTGGCTAACATGGTGAAACCCCGTCTCTACTGAAAATACAAAAAATTAGCGGGGCATGATGGTGGGCGCCTGTAGTCCCAGCTCCTCGGGAGGCTGAGGCAGGAGAATGGCATGAACCTGGGAGGCAGAGCTTGCAGTTAGCCGAGATTGTGCCACTGCACTCCAGCCTGGGGGACAGAGTGTGAGACTCCGTCTCAAAAAAAAAAAAAAAACTATTATCTTTAGAGATAATGATGATATAGTGAGGTGATTCTGTGTTAACACCCACTGAAACATGTTTTATAAATTATTAATTGTATAATTAAATTATTTAATTGCTATGTTTTATGATAAGTAATTCTACTGAATAATTACCTTGTATATTTAGAATGGTAAAATGTAGACCTATTTTATACCACCCAATATATGAATAAGAAGTCTAATGTATCATCTTTTTAGAACTTGCGTCATATTGTAAACACCCTATTTAGAGAACTTTATCTTTATTTACAATATAATCACGGGATTGACAGCCATAAGTTTGGTTCATCCTATGTGCTGCTAAAATTTATCTCAGGAATGCTCCTAATACATACAAACTGCTTTACTCGGGCGGCTTTTTGTGCAACGTAAATAACTAGTGTCCTTTCTATTTAAACAGTTCTACAAATAATTGTTATGTCGTTAGGCCAGCTAACCAGTTTTTTTTTTCCCTGTATTTAAACCAAAAATGATTCCTGAAAATTCTTAATTTGCAGTGCATTAGACATAGGGAAGTGTTGCAGTAACACAAAGATCCATAAGTTAATTTTCAAAGTTAGTTCATTTATTTCTCAGTGGAAGGACGATAGGAGGGTTCTGACCCCAAAAATTAATCCAAAAAATCCAGTGGAAGGGTTAACCCTGCCACTTTAAACACAAAGTTTCAATGGATATTTCATATGTCAAACTCTTCAGCCATTAGGAAGGAAAGAGAGAGAGCCAGTACTCTGCAAAGGTCTTTTCATTAAATGAAGTGGACCCTGTATACATTACTTTCAAATATTCTGTTGGTTAGAACTGAGGCTCACAGCCACACTTAACTGTGCCTAGTTACAAAGGAAGCTGAGAAATATAGTTTTGCCAAGAAACCATTTTCCCAGGAAAATGAAGGAAACAGATTGAGGAGGGGTCAATACTCTCCACCATATACAAAATTTAGATGTCTAAATATTTCTTATAAATGGAATGTAAGTGTATTCATGCTTCATTTGTATTTCTTTAGTCTCTAAACTCCTCAACTATATTTTTAAATTTTTGTATTCATTATAAAAATCACAGACTTTTAGATTTGAAAGTAAGAAATCTACTGTAAGAATCCCCTTGACAATTTTTCTGCAAGGTGGCCAGCCATTCAGATGTTAACTGAATGTTTCCATTGACATGAAACTCCTGTTGCATAATGTTACCCAGTTCAAAAACCCTCATGGGTGCCCAAATTCTACTCTCTTAATTTCTGTTTATTAATCTTAGTTCTGCTTGTGGAACAACACAAAACTGATTCCCTTTAGAACTTGTGTTATATTGTAAACACCCTATTTAGAGATCTTTATCTTTATTTACAATATAATCATGGGATTGACAGCCGTAAGTTTGGTTCATCGTATGTGCTGCTAAAATTTATCTCAGGAATGCTCCTAATACATACAAACTGCTTTACTCAGGCGGCTTTTTGTGCAATGTAAATAAGTAGTGTATGGTATAAAACCTATATGATATTTATATGGTATAAAATCTATATGATATCCTACATGTATCTGAAGACCTTATTTCCCTTAATTGTTTCTCTGGGGTGCTGGAGAGGATGTGGAGAAATAGGAACACTTTTACACTGTTGGTGGGACTGTAAACTAGTTCAACCATTGTGGAAGTCAGTGTGGCGATTCCTCAGGGATCTAGAACTAGAAATACCATTTGACCCAGCCATCCCATTACTGGGTATATACCCAAAGGACTATAAATCATGCTGCTATAAAGACACATGCACACGTATGTTTATTGCGGCATTATTCACAATAGCAAAGACTTGGAACCAACCCAAATGTCCAACAATGATAGACTGGATTAAGAAAATGTGGCACATATACACCATGGAATACTATGCAGCCATAAAAATGATGAGTTCATGTCCTTTGTAGGGACATGAATGAAATTGGAAATCATCATTTTCAGTAAACTATCGCAAGAACAAAAAACCAAACACCGCATATTCTCACTCATAGGTGGGAATTGAACAATGAGAACGCATGGACACAGGAAGGGGAACATCACACTCTGGGGACTGTTGTGGGGTGGGGGGAGGGGGGAGGGATAGCATTGGGAGATATACCTAATGCTAGATGACAAGTTAGTGGGTGCAGCGCACCAGCATGGCACATGTATACATATGTAACTAACCTGCATATTGTGCACATGTACCCTAAAACTTACAGTATAATAATAATAATAAAAAAGTCCTCTTATACTGAAGAATTTTTGGTATAAATTTGAGGAAGTGTAGAAAATCTCCCATGTTTTGCCTGGATACATACTCTTCATGAGAAATAAATTATCTGTTTGAAAATGTTGAAGCAGTGTATTTCTCCAACAAATACTAAATATTTATTTTTAAATGATGATTTATTTCCTGAATTTTTTCGGTAGTTTGAGACTGTGGTTCTGCAAATGTGGTCCACAGACCAGCAGCATCAGAAGCACAAGGGGAAAATTTTTAGAAGAGCAGAATGTAAATGTTTGGACCCAAACCCAGATTTACAGAATCAGAATCTTGAGGGGTAGAGTCCTGAAACTTGTTTTAATATGTGATTTCTCATGATGAAATGGAAAAACATAGGACTAAGGCAATAGAAATAAGCTATGTGTACTGATTGTTTTAAAATAGGTAGAACATGTTAGTTCACTTACCAGTGACATGCTAAACTGTTTACTAGAAAATAATTTATTTTTTATTTATTCAGTAAAATATTCTCTTCTTTTTAAAAATGTATGTAAACTTCAGGTTGCCTTGCCTGTTAGGTAACGATGGTAATAATCAACATCTCCTGGATTCAATGAACAATTATAAGAGTGTCTAGGAAGTTTCCTGATGATAGTTTTCTGTGCTTTAATTGTTTTGTAAATATAATGACTGTAATGAGTAAGCAGAAAGAGAAGCCAACTGAAGGGAACAGTGCGTTTTTTATAATCCTCTTTCCTAGTTTCCATTTGCTTGGCTTTATTTCCATTTGGAAATGGTAAACTGCTCAATAGTTTCTGAAAGCCAGAAACAATGTTTACATGGCCTACATAATTTACATGGTAAATTCCATCCCATGTGTGACTGAATTTTAACTTCAGAAACAATATTATCTTCCTGAGTTTTCAAACAAGCAAAGCCACCTTGCAGCATAAGTAAACACAGCAGGCTTTCATTCAATTTGAAAAGTATTAACAGATTCTTTTAAAATAAAGATGGATTTTATATATTGATTTAAATACTGATTCATTTTAAGTTTCAGTAAGCATTTGAGTATCTGCTATAACCCAGGAACTGATTCATGCTGTTGGTGAAATGAGAGCACTTTCTCCTCTTTCTGTGGTCTATAGATTTGGACACTCCAGGACTCTCATTACCTTCCCCAAATATTTGGACATATGTGACTTTCCAGAGAAATTGAAGGAATGACAACAGATAATACCGGGTATTCCAATCCAGGAAACAAAGTAGGTAGGAGAACAGAGTTTGACCTAAAACAAAACTAGAAGACATATATAAATTTTTCTAAATGTTTACTTCCACTAATATGGGGTTTCTGATGCTTTTTTTTCACATAATTGCTAGGTTAGTGTGTCATTACTAAACATTATAGAGAAAAGGGATTCTAAAACTCTTGGATTCCAATAAGCCCAGTGGTAAGAATTAAATAAACTCTTAAAAAACAAAGAAAAGGCAGGGGATAATGACCATAGCCAAGTTTTCAAATTCAGGCTGATCTGAGTTGACTCAAAAGGCAACCTCAGTGTACTAACTTGAGACAGTTCATGTAGCCTAACTGGACACCATTAAAAATTTAATTTCTACCTGTACTACCTCTATAAATTAATTGTTCTCTTGTAACTGTGTCTTTATTTGTAAAATGATTATTAAATATTCACACCTCTTAGAGTGTTTCTAATTGGTAAATTTAACTATGTAACTTTAGCAGGACAGGATTCCTGTGCTATGTACCCTTCACTTCTACCTTCATCCCAAGTTGGCTGAAATGATTCTATGAGTGGCGATTAATATTAAAAAGATCCTCCATTAGGAAGTGGATTAGTTCATTTTCACACTGCTGTAAAGAATACCTGAGGCTGGGTAATCTATAAAGGAAAGAGGCTTAATTGGCACAGTTCTGCATGGCTGGGGAGGCCTCAGGAAACTTACAATCATGGCAGAAAGCTAAGGGAAGCAAGGCACGTCTTACATGACAACGGGAAAGAGAGAGCACAGGGGAAACTGCAACTTTTAAAACCATCAGATCTCGTGAGAACTCCCTCACTGTCACAAAAACAGCCCGGGGGAAACAGCACCCATGATCCAATCATCTCCCACCAGGTACCTCCCTCAACATGTAAAGATTACAATTTGAGATGAGATTTGAGTGAGGACACAGAGCCACACCATATAATTCTGCCCCAACCCTCCCAAATCTCATGTCCTTTTCACAATTCAAAACCAATCATGCCTTCCCACAGTCTCCCAGAGTCTTAACTCATTCCAGCATGAACCCAAAAGTCCAAATCCAAAGTCTTATCTGAGACAAGGTAAGTCTCTTTTACCTATGAGCCTATACAATCAAAACAAGTTAGTTGCTTCCAAGATGGGGGTACAGGCATTGGGTAAATGTTCCTGTTCCAAATGAGAGAAATTGGTCAAAACAAAGGGGCCACAAGCCCCATGCTAAACTAACACCCAGCAGGGCAGTCATGATAAATCTTTAAGCTCCAAAACAGTCTCCTTTGACACCATGTCTCACATCCCAGGCATGCTGATGCAAGAGTTTGGCTCCCAAGGTTGTAAGCAGCTCTGCCCCTGTGGCTCTGCAGGATACAACTGCTTTCATGGGCTGACATTGAGTGCCTGTGGCTCTTCCAGGTGCATGGTACAAGCTGCTGGTGGATCTACCATTCTGGGGTCTGGAGGACAGTGGCCCTCTTTCCCACAGTTCCACTAGGTGGTGCCCCAGTGGGGACTCTGTGGGGGCTCCAACCCCACATGTCCCCTCTAAACTGCCCTAGTAGAGGGTCTCAATTCAGTAGACTTCTGCCTGGAGATCCAGGCATTTCCATACATCCTCTGAAATCTAGGCAGAGGCTCCCAAAGCTCAACTCTTGTCTTCTGAGCACCCACAGGCTCAACGCCATGTGGAAGCCAAGGCTTGGGGCTTGCACCCTCTGAAGCCATGCCTCAAGCTGTACCTTGGCCCCTTTCAGCCATGGCTGGAGTTGGAGCAGCTCAGATGCAGGGCATCAAGTCCTGAGGCTGTGTGGGCCTGGCCCACGAAACTATTTTTCCCACCCAGGCTTCCAGACCTGTGATGGGAGGGGCTGCAGTGAAGATTTCTGACATGCCTTCTTAGTCCTTTTTCATGCTGCTGATAAAGACATACCCAAGACCAGGCAATTTACAAAAGAAAGAGGTTTAATGGACTTACAGCTCCACATGGCTGGTCTTTCCACATGGGGAAAGATCTTTCCCCATGATTCAATTACCTCCCACCGGGTCCCTCCCATGTGGGAATTCAAGATGAGATTTGGATGGGGACACAGCCAAATCATATCACATGCCCTGGAGACATTTTTCCCATTGTATTGGCTATTAACATTTGACTCCTCCTTACTTATGCAAATTTCTGCAGCAGGTTTGAATTTCTCCCAGAAAATGGGTTTTTCTTTTCTACCACATAATCAGGCTTCAAGTTTTCCAAACTTTTATGCTCTGCTTTCCTTTTGAACATAAGTTCCAATTTCAAATCATCTCTTTGTGAGTGCATATAACTATATACTTTCAGGAAAAGCCAAGTCACCTCTTGAATGCTTTGCTGCTTAGAAATTTCTTCTGCCAGATACTCTAAATAATCTCTCTCAGTTTCAAAGTTCCACATATCTCTATGGCAGGGGCACAATGCCACCAGTCTCTTTGCTAAAGCATAGCAAGAGTGGCTTTTGCTCCAGTTCCCAAGAAGTTCCTCATCTCCATCTGAGACCACCTCAACCTGGACTTCATTGTCCATATTCCTATCAGCATTTTGGTCAAAAGCATTTAACAAATCTCTAGGAAGTACCAAACTTTCCCACATCTTCCTGTCTTCTTCTGAGTCTTCCAAACTGTTGCAACTTCTGCACGCTACCCAGTTCCAAAGTTGCTTTCACATTCTGAGGTATCTTTATAGCAGTGTCCTACTCTCTGCAGTACCAATTTTCTGTATCAGTTCATTTACACAATGCTGAAAAGATACTACCTGAGACTGGGTAACTTATAATGAAAAGTTTAATTGACTCAAAGTTCTGTATGGCTGGGGAGGCCTCAGGAAACTTACAAGAATGGCAGAAGGTGAAGGGAAACAAGACATGTCTTACATGGTGGCAGGAGAGAGAGAGTGCCCACAGGGGAAACTGCCACTTTTGAAACCACCAGATCTCATGAGAACTCCCTCACTGTCACTAGAACAGCATGGGGGAAACCACCCCCATGATCCAATCACCTCCCTCCAGCTTCCTCCCTTGACATGTGGGGATTACAATTCAAAATGAGATTTGGGCAGGGACACTAACCTAACCATATCAGGAAGACATGGACAAAACAAAAATTATATCTCTCTCAGATACTAAAGTCTCTCTGTCTCTGTATCTCTCCTCTCTCACACACACACATATACACAAACATAATGTCAGAATGTAGATAGTATACAGTAGGAAGAGACAATAATTTTTTTCTAAGAATAGAAATGAAAGCAGTTACGGAGAAAGACAATGAACATATAGACATAAATCTTAGCATCTGTAAAACGTTCCAAATCTTAGGGCAATGTCTCATTGGGACATTGAGCCTGCATAGTGTCTCCTACGTTGTGTGCCTTTTCATAGGAAGTTCTCAATAAATTGAATCGTAGCAGCAGCACAACTTAGACATATTACACCTCCATGCCGCACCTTAGGCAAGTTACTTATCATCTGTCATCATTTAATGCATCTGAAAACTGAGAATAATAAAAAGAATAGAGCCCACTTTATCCCAAGAAGAAAAGCATGTGGTTTTCAGAATCTTACTCTTCTGATTCTGCCTTCTACCAGAATGGCATACTTTATTTGTCCCAGAGAGCCTAGAGAAGGCAACCATTTCTAAGAATTGAATTATTTTGAAGGAAAGGTTATAATTGTAATGCCTCTGGGAATACTTTATGCTGAAAAAATGTGGAGAAACAAAGGATGCTCTGTTTTGGAAAGCCCCTAAAAGAGTTTTTGGATGTACAAATTGAGTATATTTTCAAAATGTTTTGAAAACTTGAAATACTTTGGAGTAGAGAAAAAAAATCTTAAAACGCTTTAATACCAGCTAGTTCAGACCCTTGCATTCCAATATAAGAACAAAGACTAACTGATTTAAAAGTAACTTTATAAAGACACGTATGTCCCAAAAAATAAGACCACTAGCTATTCCAGCAAATTTCCTAGTTTACAAGATCTTTCTTCTTTCCCTAACTTTTGCCTGATGCTACCTGATGACTAAAATCTCAATCCTCAAAGCCCTATAAAAACCCTTCCCTAATTCTCTTTTTAGATACTTCTCCAAACTGATACTCTTTTTGCTTAGTGAATTTTATACCCGGTTGGTTTCCCTGGAGGCTTGTAGAGCTTTAACAAATTTTAGATGAGAAACACAATTTTTAATGTACAGTTGGAGAGTAGGTAAAAGAGGAGGAAATCTAGGGAGAGACACAGGGTTCATTAACATGGAGTACGGAAGCAGAGACCCATAAGAAATCCGCAAGGCTGGAAACAAGCAAAGATATTTAAAATCAGCAAGATCATATTAAATATTTACTGCATCACTGGCTTCTAACATCAACCCACTCTGTTTACTCCAACTTTGGGGGAAAGTTCTGCTAGGTACAGTACCTCATGTTATTACTAATTTACTTTCTGCATAAACTAAATAGATAGTGAGTGGGGATAAATGGAGGTCTATGCCTCACACTTAGTTTGACATGGTGCAAATAGAAAATAACTGTAGCTGCAGAAAATGAAATTTTAGAGAGAAAGCTAATAATTTACCAAAAAACAAGTATTTAAATCAAAGGTAATAAATATAAAAAAATCCCTCTATAATCCACAAAAATATTAAAAGGAATGCTTTATTTCCCAAATGACCAGGATTGTATTCTCTAGGCAGTTTATTTCAAATATTAGAAGAAAAGATAATTCCAGAAGGTCTGAGATTCTAGGGACACCCAGTCTGCTGGCATCTGTGTCACTGCCACGTAAAGATTAAATATTAAATTTGCTATTACAAATGAAAATAATTACCTTACCCTCAACACCAAGATATTTGAGTAGATTAGTATGGAGGAGCATGGTAAAGGAGGAAAAAGAAAAGAAAGGAGATGTATTAGTTTTCCTTTTCTGCTGTAACAAATTACCACAAACTTAGTGGCTTAGAGCAATACAAATGTATTATATTACAGTCCTGGAGGTTCAAAGCCTGAAATTGGTTTTACTGGGCTGAAATTCAGTGTTGGCAGGGCTGTGTTCCTTCTGAAAACTCTAGGAAAGAATCTTCTTTTTTGCCCTTTATCAGTTTCTAGAGGATGTCTGCATTCCTTGGTTCATGGTCCCATCAATCCAACCTTCATTTCCTTTGTTATCTCTCCTCTCTAGGTTGACACTCCTGCCTCCCTCTTATGAAGACTCTTGTAATTATATTAGATCCCTCTGGTCCCTCTGGATAATCCAGTAAAAAACCCCAATCTCAGGATCCTTAATCTTATCATAAGGTCCTTTTTGCCATGTAAAGTAACAGGGATTAGGATGTAGACAACTTTAGGGTCTATTATTCTGCCTACTGTAAGAGGTATCTAAACAAGTGCATGAAAAAAATAGGACTGAAAAGTATGATGGCCCAGGAAAGAGGTGGTAGGTAGTGATGTGTGCATGGGTACATCTCTGTGCACACTCTGGAAGATTAGAACAATGGAATTTTTCTATGCGTTGGTCTTTTTGTTCAGGAGACAGAGCATAGCAGAAAGAGCTTGGAGTTGGAAGAATTGCTTTGAGTCTAAATCCTACTGCATTCTGGCTTTATGGTATTGAGCAAACCATTAACCCTCACTGAAAAATCAGGGTGAACTTTTCTTGAGTGCATACTATGTGCAGCCACTGTACAAACAAATAGTTCACCTGTAATATCTCATTTATTCTTCTCCACTACTGTAAGGATGTGGAATTAAGAAGAAAAGAATTAAGAAGAAAAGAAAGACTATGTTAGCATCAGTGTCCAAAATCATCCAAAATTACCCTTGTTAATAAATTGGCTCAGTTTCTTCTTCACTAAAATAATAGGAATAATGCCTCCCAGAAAGGCATTATTGTGAGAAATAATATGTTTCAGCAGCACTTTGTTAACTGTTACAAAATTACGTAGTGATGTAAGGTTGTATGTAGCATTTAACTTCTTTGAGGGTAAAGCGAAGAAACACAGGTAAAGTATCCTTGTTAAAAATAATTTATTGTATATTTCAAATAGCTATAAGAGAATAATTGTAATGTTCTCAACACAAGAGAAAGAGAAATGTTTGGGGTGATGGACATACCTATTACCCCAATTTGATTATTACACTTTGCATACATGTATCAAAATGTCACATGTACTCCAAAAACATATACAGCTATAATACATCAATTTTAAAAATCTAAATAAATAAGGCAAACAGTTTAGCAAAAGGATTGTATCATTTCATATTCTCACCAGCAAGGTATGAAAGTTCTGGTTTCTCTACATTTCTGCTGACGTTTGTTGTCCGAGTTTTTAATTTCAATCATTCTAGTAGGTATGTAGTACTATTTCTTGGTGGTCTAATTTGCATTTCCCTGATGACTAATGATATTGAGGTTGTTATGTGTGTTTATTGGCCGTGCATATAACTGATTCAGTGAAGTGTCCACTCACACATTACACCTATGTTTCAATGGGTTGTTATTAAGCTATTCTTTATATATTCTTTATATTCTGAATACAAGTCCTTCATCAAATATATGCTTTGCAAATATGAAAAAACATATGCTAGTTAATGTCTGATACAAACAAGTACTTTAAAAAGCTTATTTCTCTCCCTTTAACACTTTCTGTATTCTTAGGCAAAGAAAAAGATTATTTTTACAGTGACAGAAGTATTGGACATTGGAGTGTCATAAACCATTTCACATTCTCTTTGCCCAAATCTGAACATCACATGTAAGTGAACTGCCAAGCTGGGCCTCCTTCCCTTCTTTTATTGCAGTTGTTTTATTTCCAGTAAATCTTCCCTGACAGCCCTAAGACATTTGGCAAGTGTGAGTCTAGAAGGCAGGACAAGGGCATGTAGATAAAGAATGACTTGAAGGAATGGAATGACAGGCAGCAATAGACTATTTCACTTAGCACATGAAATCCTTTCCATTGTTCCTCCTCTGCCTTTCTGGCACTTGTGCTCTCAAGACAACTTGCAAATTATGGGATCATCTATTTTCACTTGAATGCAAAAAGATTTCCAGTTCAAAAGTTTATTTCTAAAAATAAATAGAGCTCTTCACCAACATCACACGCATCATGAGTTACCAATGTATGTTATCTCAGAAAAATGACCAGTTCTTCCTAAGTCTTTCATTTTATTGAATATTTCATTTAAAAACCACAAAAGAACTCTGGTAACACTATCACCTACATTCAAGTCTAACATCCGAGCTAGAGAATGAACAAGGTTTATTCCCTGACATTTCTCTAGTGAGTTGAACATTGCTAAGGAAGACTGGGCATAACCATTTTAAGTAACATGATGTCAGCCCTAGAAATTATTAGTCTGAAATTTACTTGTGTTATTTTTCTCATCTGGGCATATGCAACAGCATGGCTAATTGACATTAAATTTTTATTTTGTTTCAAATCTTTTAATTGGAGAGAATAATGTAGTTTTCCTTCAGTGGAGGTGGGGGGCGGAAAGCATTGCTGGAAAGGATTTCAAGATCAGTCCTTTTTGTTGTTGTTTTCTGGGGGCATGGAAATAATTGTGATTTGAAGTTTCTGTTTGAAAAATAAAAGCGTCCAGGGAGAGAGGCTAGGAAAAAGGCAGGGAAATAAGTGATGAATCTTGAAGTTTAGAAATGTGGGTCACATCCCTGAGAATGTTGTCATAAGTGACACCCTGGTTTCAAAAGTTTTGGATCCAGGAACAAGAAGAACCATGAAGATGAGGATTATGAAAGTGGTGAAGGGAACTGACTCTAACTCTATGGTCTAGAAAATAACTCACAGGGACAGCTTGCCCACGGAACAGGAATAAATATTGTCTCATATGAACTTTATATTATAACCCAGGTGAGAAATTACCTTGAAATCTTGGCATAGAAGCAGCCTCCTACCAGTTCTTTGTGTCCCTGCATTCTTAATTACATGGCTATTCTATGGGAATAATTTCTTTTTGAATGACTGAAGACCCTTGGGTCCAAAGGACACAACTGCACATCAGTCATGGTAAGGAGGAGGGCAATTTTTTTCCTGTCCATTAGGGCTGAACTGAGATTTGCTAAGACATCCTGAGTAGGTAAGGAAGGGGAGCGGACACCGATATTCGCCATCATGTAGGAGACGTTCCTTGTTTTGCTCTGAGGCTCCATAACCCCTGCTGCACTGGCAGTAAGCTGATTTTTCTTTGGGGTATTACTCATTCCTGCCCAACTCTCAGACTGGAGAAGGTGGCAAGGGCTAAAAGTACCCACAATGACATTTTTTTAAGTCTCTAATAATGTATGCTCTGTCTATAACTAAGTCTTAATCCTGAGTTTTCAGTTAGTTAAGCCAATAATTTCGCATTTAAAGTCAATTTGAGTTGGTCTTTCTGCTTGCTATTTGCCTCTAAAAGAGATTCTGAACTGATACATATAATATTTATTTTTGGTTATTAACTGTCACTCTCTTGAACACTCTGTAATCTGAGGAACTTTTAGAACCTGAAGTTCAAATAGGTCTACCCATTGAACATTGGAACCCCTCCAAATACAATGCCACAGTAAACACATAAAATACAGGCAAAGGCAAGAATTTGGATCCATATATTGCCCAGTCTATTCACCACTTATTCAATCTCCTTACCTATTGCTTTAGGATTTTTTTACCCCTGGGCTCTTTATACTTTTGCTTTCTCTATCTGCTTTCAGCCTTTGTTTTGAAAAGATGCTAGCCTTTCCCTCTGTGGCCTACTGTCCTTAGCTCAACTGTACTCTGTATTCATAGAGTGTCTGGGGTGTAAACTCTTGTCTCCTGGTTTTGGGAGCTAATCCCCAGTCTCTTCATTGCATCCCACCCTCAACAAGAAACACCCTTACCTAGATAAGAGGATTTCTGCATTGAGTTTTAGAGATGTCACTCTTCCTGTGGAAAGACTTAATTATTAACTTAGAAACATTCAACTGTATAAAGCTAAGGGAATCTTAGAGATTATTGTATACATTTCTTACTTTAGTGGAGAGAAATCTAAGGTTTAGAGCAATTGTATGGATTGTTGAGATCACAAAATTAGTTGTAGGTATCATAAACCATTACTGAAGGTGATTTTATTGCATTTAAAATGTAATTTATGTCCTCTCATAATAATATAAAAAGCACCAAAGCACTAATTGGGAGCAGGGGACTTCTCTGTCTTGTGTGTACCTGGGAGCGAATAACTGAGTACTGAGTGAAATTGGAAGCTCTTTTTATCTGGTAATACTTTCTAACGCTATCTATGTTTAGACAGAGAAAGTTAGTGACGTTAAGGCTAGTTTAAATCGTCAAAGCTTTCTGGGTAATCTTATGACGATCTTCTGGCTTATCTCCCACTTCCTGCTGCTCATATTATTTTCTGCTTAAAATAAGGACTTTATAACTAGAACTGACTTGGAGCTGTTTCTCAAGAAATTATCACCTCCTTCAATTTCTGACCTTAATATCTAGTCTCTATTCAAGCAGAACTGTTAACTTGCCAAAAACACAATATTCCTCATATTTATCCTATTTATCCATACTGCATTTACTTTTTGGTTCATTTAAAAGAGCTCCTTGGGGAATAATAGATGAACTAGCTCAGGAACACACACACACACACACACACACACACACACTAAACTGGCCATGTCTATGGAAAGAGAAGGGAAAGTGTAAAAATGAAAAATGTTCATCTTGCTCTCAAAGTGAATTTGTCCTTTTTTGGATGAAAACCTGGGGCAAGTCCTGGCTTCAAACTTACTTATTTTGTGTCTCTGAGAAACTGTTCCACCTGTGCTCTGAATCACATCCCCTCCTCCCTTCTCAAGAACTACAGATAATTTCTTTCTTATATCTTTTACCTCTTGCTGCTTACCCAATCCTTCCAATCAGCATTTAAGTTTCTCAATTGTCTCCTACCTTAAAATCACACACTCATTAAACAAACAAAAATACAAAAATTCTCTCCCCTCAATTATTATCCCTTGTCTGTTTTCTCCCTCCTATAGACAAATTTCCTGAAATACCTACTCACCATATCCAGTTTTATTCTTCTCCTCACTTCTCAGCACACTCCTTACTGACTTCTGTTTCCAACACACACTGACAACATCTTCTCACTGGTCACCAATGATCTCTGTGTTGCTAAATGCTATTGGTCTATTTTTATCTGATTATTCTGAGACATCTTAGACTACATATTGCACAGTAGCTCTCTTCTGGAGCATCACACTCTTGTGGTTTTCCCCTGTTCTGACACTTCCTTCTAAGTCATCTCTGCTGACTAACACACATCCACGTTGTCATCAACCTAGCTTCTGTTTTTATAAAATGGCAGCTATTCTACTTAATTGCAAGGATTGTTATAAGAAATAAATGAGATACTATATAGGAAATTCCCTAGAACCTACTCACAGAATATAATTGACTTTCAAATGTTACTTATAAAAAATAAGTAAAAACAAAGATTTAAAGTCTATTAAATCTATTGTTAATAATAATGTAGCATATACTTGAAATTTGGTGAAAGAGTAGTTCATAAGTATTCTCAACACTACACACACACACACACATAAACAAGGTAACTATGTGAAGTGATGGATATCTTAATTAACTTGATTGTGGTAATCATTTTGTAATGTATACATATATCAAAGCATCACAGTGTACATCTTTAACATATTTAATTTTTTTTTTTTTTTTTGAGACAGAATCTCTCTCTGTCACCCAGGCTGGAGTACAGTGGTATGATCTCGGCTCACTCGAACCCTCCTCCTCCCGGGTTCAAGCGATTCTTCTCCCTCAGTCGCCCGAGTAGCTAGTACCACAGGTGCGTGCCACTACACCCAGCTAATTTTTGTATTTTTAGTAGAAATGAGGTTTTGCCATATTGGCCATGCTGGTCTCGAACTCCTGACCTCGTGACCCACCCACCTCGGCCTCCCAAATTGCTGGGATTACAGGCATGAGCCACCATGCCCAGCCAATATATTTAATTTTTATTTGTCAATTATATCTCAGTAAAGCTGAAAAGCAAATAAAATATAAGGTCGATCATATTTTCCCTTAAATGCAGCACTGACCATTTTGCTAAGAAACTCTGAATCTAGAGACAGCCATTCTCTTTGATTAATACAAATATATATTCAAAACCAACATATTTTGATCAATTCATTTACTTCAGGGTAGATTAATGGTTTTCTTTTCCAATTATAAAATTCACAAATTGGAAATCAGGACAAAAGTTCTCCAAATAGTTAAGTTCTGAATAAATTTAAAATATGATACATGAAACTGATATACATAAAATTAGTTTTGAAGAGACAGATAAGAACTTAATTTTGGACTTGAGGAGTTCCAGTGGGATAACTAATTTTCCTCCACAGAAAATTTTCTGCTTCTCTTTATTTGGTAACACATGTGGCCCCCATGGACCCAGAGACAGGATAATTGACTTAGGCTTGAACAGTCATAGACCATATTCCTTTTATCCTTAAGGATAAAAGAATAACATCCTTGAGGAGTTCTAGTGAGATGGATAACTAATTTTTCTCCAGTCCAAATGGTGGCCCCCAAGTATCCCCATTTCTGCTGTTAATGTCCCTGTATCATCGCCACCCACTGAGCATGAGCAGCAACAATGACTTTCTTCTAATCAATAGAATATAGCAGAGGTAAAAGGGTGCTGCTTCTGTGATTACATTGCACAAGATTTTAACTTCCATCTTGCGAGAAAACTCTCTATTGACTTCTTCCCCAGTTGTCTTTGATAACGTAAGTCACCGTATCGCAAGGCCCTTTGGCAAGGAAGTGAGAGCGGCCTCCTCATAATAGTCAGCAAGAAACTAAGGCCCTCAGCTCAACAGCCTGCAAGGAAGCAAGCCCAGCCCACAACCCTGTGAGCTTCAAAGTGGATTCTTCTTCAGTCAGGCTTCCAGATGACAGCCTAGCCCTTGATCGCAGTCTGTGACAGACACTGAAGCAAAGCATCCAACTAAACTGTGTCTGGATTCTTGTCCCACTGGAGTTAAAATAATAAATTTGCATTATTTAAACTGCTACGTTTGTGGTCATTTGTTACACAGCAATAAATAATACAGCATGAGGGCAAATCAAAGCTCTTCCTAGAAATGTATGAACAGCAGGATAGCAAAGCCTGTTTCCCCTTGGGTAAAGAAACCTTGCATTCTGGCGTCACAATGTAGGAACAATGTCTATTTACAGTAGGAGACATTAAATCCTACATTTAAAATGTAGAAGAGACAAATGGACAGATGAAGTGGAAAAAGAGGAAGGAAAAAGAGGGAGAAAAAATGTTGGTAGCTGACCCTGACACCAGGATTCTTCCAGTTTGTTTTTATATTATTGTTAGTTCTCTGACAAAATTCCTCAGCCATTGTCTCAGTTTCATGAGTCAACAAATGTATTGCATTGCTTAAACTAGTTTGAGTTGAGTTTCTACCACTTAAAACCTAAATTTTTCTACAAAGAGAAAGGGATGTTAATGAAGAAAAACAGAATGGTATTCCTCCAAATTGTATAACTATCCTCAAAGTTAGTGTATTTATGTGAGTTCAGAAAGTCATGCACATTACTATTCCCTTAAGAACAACTTGCTGTCTAAGTATTAAAAACATCATCCTAATTCTGCCACTTATGGCTATGTGACTTGGTTAAGTCATGTAACTTCTCTATACTTGTGTTTTCTCTTCAAAGAGTGGAAATAATATTACTGTAACTTGACAATGTTATTGTGAGATATAAATTAGTACATTATTTTTATGCAATATTACTGTGTCAACACCAGAGATGAAATAAAAACTAAAGAAATGTTAGCTGCTATCATTACTATCCCCTCCAAGAATGCAAAAAAGGGATTCTCCCACTAGAGGTATGAAGTTTATTGAAGATTACGGAATTACTGGTAGAAACTAGTGACTATTGTAATGTCTACTGTTCTTACATCTTTTGTGGTATTTTGGGGGCAAATGACAAGAGGTATTTTCATTGGACCTCAGGATTCTTCACTGGACCCGAGGATTTTCATTTGTCAGAGGATAGGAAATTCATAAATAGAAATTTGCATGCTTAATAAGCACCACTTTCTACATAAAACATTTCTGAATGATTTGAGGACCTTAACATAAAGCTCCTTTAGGTTGGGGGGTGGCATCTAATACATCATGAATACATAAAGGTAAGTATTGAATACCTTAACTCCCCTTAAGTAAGGCATTCCTCAACTAATGTTTTGTTCCATATGTGTTTAAGTGAAAGAATTAGGGAACTTAAAATGGGCCACAGACATAAATACAAAAGCTAACTGTAAAATGTGTGGAAGAAAATACAGGTGAGATTTTTGGGGACTGTGGGATAGACAAAGGTTTCATAGGCACAAAAATCAAGAATGTATAAAAATTATCAAGTGGACTTTGTCAAAATTAGAAACTTTTCCTTTTTGAAAGCTATTGTTAGGCAAATAAGAACACAAGCCACTGACTGGAAGAAAATATTTGTAACTCATTGGATACAGGAAGACTTGTATCTAATATATAAAGAACTCTTCAACACTAAAACTGGAACAAGAACAACTCAGAAAACATTGGCAAAAGGTTTGAGCAGACATAAGATACAAAAGGCCTATGAATGGTTGATTATCATGTGGAAAGATGCCAAAAATCATTACTAATTAAGGAAATGCAAATTGAAATCTCAGTGAGATACCAGTGCATGTTCACTAGAAAGGCTAAAATCGAAACCAACCAACAAACAAAAATAATGAATATTGATTGTTTGTGAGGATTTGGAGCCACTGGAACTTTCAGACATGACAGGTGAAATACAAAATCATACTATAATACTTGTTTGGAAAACTGCCCTGAAGTTTCTTAAAATGTTTATATATCTTACCATAAGATCAAGGCATTCCACTCAAAGAGAAATGAGGACAGATGTTGCACAATGTCTTGAAGACAAATGTTCTTAAGAGCCTTCTTCACACAAGCCAAATACTGTAAATGACTAAAATGCCCACAAGCAGATGAACAGATAAACAGAACAAGATCTATCATACAGTGGAATGTTATTCAGCAAAAAAATAAAAAAAAATGAGGGGAAAAACAGTGACTAGTGGGATGTTTGTAAAGATGTATTCATTTGTCAAGTTCACTGAATTCTGCATTTCAATATCATGCACACCTTAATAAAGTTGATTTGATGTTTAAATAAAAATAGTTTTTCTATGCAGATTGTTAATTGAGTTTTAATATTTCTGCAGAAATATTGTTAAATGAATGGTCTGCTGCAGCTTGCAGACTCTAGGACAGTTAAACCACTACATAACCCAGCCGGCATGCATTTGGGATATATCTGGGTCAAGTGATTTTCAAACTGTGGGAGAACAACTTTCGTCATTAAATTTTTACTCAATAAATCATGCCTGGTGTTGGTTTTGAATCCTTTTACTTCACCAATCTTAAATTCCACTTAAGTAACCATTTTTGTTCTAAAGCAGACAGCTTGGCATGTCTAACTTTTTCTTCCAATTTGACATCAGGAAACTGTAACCTCTTATTATTAGCAAAACTAATTCAAAAACTCTCTAAAGTGTGGTATAAAAATAATCTCTTTAGTGATGCAACAAAAATCCCTCGAGAATTTAAAATGCGATTCAAGCGACATTATAGCAAGACCTATAAACATTTCTATGCCTGCAAGATAGAGGATCCACTGCAGTAATAACTTCTACTACTTGCACAGGACTTCACAATTTAAAAAAGCACTTCTACCTTTTATCTCTCCTGATCATTGTAATAACATTTTATAAGAATATTATTAAATATTAAAGTATTAAATGTTTTTACCAAGAACTAAATATTGATTATTGGTGAAGATTTGGAGCTCCTTCTCATACATGGCTGGTAGAACTGCAAAATTGTACAATTACTTCTTGGAAAATTGCTCTGCAGTTTCTTTTATTTTTCTAGATGAAATGATTTTTATTGTAGAGATAGGTGTATACATACACCTAATCAAATTGTACACTTTACATATGTGCAGTTTTTATATATTAAGTATGCCTCATTAAACTTGTTTTCAGATTTTGCATTAAATAAACAAATTCTGCAGTTTCTTAAAATATTCAATGTACCTTACCATAAGACCAAGTCATTCTGTTTCTAGGTATCTATCCAGGAAATACGAGAACATATGCCACGCAATGTCTTGAAGACAAGTGTTCTTAAGAGACTTTCTCATGCTACCCCAAAACTGGAAACAACCCAAAAGTCCATAAGCAGGCTTCTGCAGAAGTATGAACTACACTCTACAAAGTAGTTGTTCTATTGCTAGACCTGTAAGTGGTAAACACAGGACTGGAAATATGTGTCTACTCCACAACACTGCCTTCTTTCTTTCTTTAAGTAGGCTACCACTAGTCTAACGGCAAAGACTCAAATTCCTTGGAGTGGAATTCCAGGCCCTTGAAAATTTGGCCCATTCTTGTCTTTCCTGCCTCATCTTCTAATGTCTTCTACATTCATTCATCATTTGTTTTATGCTTATTTGCTTTTTTCTTCTCCCATATTCACTATGCATGTAATAAGATAGAAAAGTAATTAAAACTTTCTGTTTATCACAGCAGTGGTTCACTAACTTTACAGTTTATAAAAGTCACATAAAGTGCTTGTTTTGAAAGGCAGATTCCTAAGTCTCATAGCTATAAGGTTATACCTCAGTCGACCTGGGATGGGTGACAATACTTGTAATTTTAAATATGTATCCCGAGGTTCTAAATCGTGTGACCCATGAACTATCTTTTGTGAATTTCTATTTCAATGACTTACAGCGCAATAGACAAGTCATGTAAACTACTAATTACAATATGTCTTGAAAAATTTTCTAAATATTTCTGGTGCCTCTGAAGCCAAGAAAATGATCTTTGCCTAGAAAATACATTCAGAGGAGACTAGAGGTAGACAGCACCAAGGAGGCCATCGCCATAGATAGAGTTGCTAACTGATGTTAATAAAGAAGTTTGGACTGGAATAGCTATAAGGAGGAAAAGGACTGAATAAATTGTGGAAACAATTAAAACAAAAAAATTGACAAAACTTCTGAGTTGTTGAAAAAAGAGACATAGGAAAAAGGAACCTAAAAATTACATTTAAATATTCACATATAGATCAGTTGTCATGCTTTTCTCAGAGATTAAGAATACAACCTGAGGAGATTTTGATGACTTTGGCTTGGTGGGTTTTGAGCCGTCTGTGTAGTAACTGAGAAAACTAGATTTAGCAAATAATCAGATTTGCGTGGCTGAAATTAAAGAGAGAGGTAGAGGCTGCATATATAGATCTTAGCATCACTATCATGTCAACAGTAGTTAAAACAAGTGACAGAAAAAAATCCCATTCAAATAGAGCAAGTACAATAAAACGATAAATAGACGAAGAACTGAACTTCAGGAAACACAGTCAAGCCATTCCCAAACCTACCATTGTCTGGGAAACTTGGTACCTTCCTGCATACTGCCCACATATTTTACTATATAGAGTCTCTGCTCTGCACTTACTCTGGACATGGAGAAACTTATTTTTTTCCTTCCAAATGTATTTCATCAACAAGTATTTAACATTTTACCCACCTTAATATTTACCATTAGACGAAGGAATTACTTCCTCTTCTGCACTCCTACAGTATATAATTTTTAATATAGTCTATAATTTTTTCATAGCTATAATTATACTGTTTATAATTAGTATTATATTTATATCTCATGGAAGGCTGTGGCAATCTTGAAGGCTGGAACCATACCATAATTCTTTCCATCCTTAATGCTTAGGGCTGCCAAATGGTTACTATTTGATGAATGTTTGTTGAACAGAGTATTTATTCTGTTTAACAAGTAATTTTCATAATAATATTAAAAATGTTAAATTAGTATGATTAAAAAGTTGGTGAAATGAAGTCAGTAATAAGTAGGAAAATCATAGAAAAGACTCAAAATAAAAATAATAGGCCGCATGTGGTGGCTCACGCCTGTATTCCCAGCGCTTTGGGAGGCCAAGGAGGGCAGATCATGAGGTGAAGAGATGGAGACCATCCTGGCCGATGTGGTGAAACCCTGTCTCTACTAAAAATACAAAACTTAACTGGGCATGCTGGCATGTGCCTGTAGTCCCAGCTACTCAGAAGGCTGAGGCAGGAGAATCGCTTGAACCTGGGAGGTGGAGATTGCAGTGAGCTGAGATCGCCCCACGGCACTCCAGCCTGGTGACAGAGCGAGACTCCGTCTCAAAATAATAATAATAATAAGCTATTTAGAAAAAAAGACAAAAGAAACTTCACATATTAATCACTACACACTAAAAGACATTAAAATTCTCTAACATTCCTCTATTCATTCTACAGAATTTCATTGGCAAGGCTTTGTTCTAACACTTTGCAAGTATGCAAAGCATTAAATAATAAACTCCTATCCAAACAATAATTAAACTATTTTCACACCAAATAGGACAAAGTGATGTCTTTTTCAAAACTGTATAGTAAACCATTTACAGCTATTCTATGCAATACTGCCTCGAGTTTGTTTGTATACATACAAATATTATTTACCTATCCTTATAACTCTTGAAAGTCTTCCCAGAATCTTTCTAAGAGAATCTTATTATAAGCCATCTTTTTAACTTTTGTGAGTATTGTAAAATATTTTGAACATGCAGAATAAATGTACAAATAGCATTAAATATCTAGCAGTAAGTCTACATAAGTTTCTTTAACAATATGAAACATGAAGTGAATTAGGAACAAGGATTAATAGAAATGAAATGGAAATAAAACAAAACACCAAGAGAAAAAAACAGCTAAGTTGGACTTTATCTATATTTAAAAATGATTTGCTTCAAAAGACACCACTGACAGTGAAAAACAACTCACAAACTGGGAGAAAGTATTTGTAAATTATATATATGAAACAGTACTTGTATCCAGAGTATATAAGGAATTCTTAACAATTGTAAAACAAAACAAAACAAAAATCCAATTTTTTAAATGGGCAAAGTATTCAAATACCTACTTCTTCAAATAAGACATGCAAATGGTCAACAAACACATGAAAAAAGGCTTACCCATCAGGGAAATACAATCAAAACCACAATGAGTTACCACTTCATATCCACTAGCATGGCTATAATCAAAAAGTCAGAAAATAATGAGTTTTGGTGAGAAAGCAGAGAAACCAGAACCCTCAGACATAGCAAGGATTATGTTAAATTGTGCAACTGCTTTGGAAAACAGTTAAGCATTTTCTCAAAATGTTGAACTTAGAGTTAACATATGTCCCAGTAATTCTCTGCTTGGGTGCTAAAAAAAATTGAAAACATATATTCACATAAAAACTTGCAGATAAATGATTATAACGTTATTCAAAGTATAAATGTGGAAACAACACAACACACATTTGCATCAACTGGTTAATGGATGAACCAATGTGGTTTGTCCATGCAATGGAATATTATTTGGCTGCAAAAAGAACAAAGTTCTTATGCATGTTGCAATATGAATGAACCTTGAAAACATTATGCTAAGTGAAAGAATCCAAACACAATAAGACATATATTATATCGTTCAATTTATATAAAATGTTCAGAATAAGCAAAACCGTAAGAAAGAAAATGTACTCATGGTTTTCAGAGACTGTGGTTAAGGTGAATGGGGAGTGCTAATGACCACGAGGATTTTGCGGAAAGGTGATGAAAACATTCTGGAATTGGATAATGGTCATTGTTTAACAAAACTTTGTGACTATACTGAAAATCAATCACTGTATACTTTCAAGGGGTGAACTGTATGATATGTGAATTATACCTCAATAAAACTGCCATTTTTCTAAGTGCTCATGCAGTTCTTTGAATTGCTTCAAAAACTATGGTATCGCCCAAGCCAAACTTTACCTCCATTGAGAATTCTCCAGATCATCCTATATAGAATAATTCTGTTGTGTATACCTTTTATTTTCTTCACTACATTTGCCACAACCTATATTTTTAAAATGTGTTTATTTTCTTTCTTCCAGTAGGATGCAAAATGTATGCAGGGTGGGGACTCATCTTGTTCATCACTGTATCGTTATTCACCTAGCACAGTGCTTATCAGAGGTAGTTTATTGTGAAGAAAATGATGCTTAAGTTTCAGAGCCTCTCAGTTGCATAGGATCTTTCCAAGCCTGTGGGAGAGACCCTAATAAATGTGCCCACGTAGTCACATATTTTTGCAAAATTGCAAAACTAAGATATTTAAGCTACAATTAAGAACACTGTCCCTTCCAGTCTAAACTTTTTATCAGATTTCCCCTCCTGTCAGGATATAATAGAATGGCTGTAAGTATTTTTGAAATTCCCCTAAGGGTAAGATAAGATGAAAAGACATTTAGTTTAGGTTTGGTGAGACATATGTGAAAGAAACTTAACTGAGGTTTTCCCGAAGTTTAAAACAATAATAACAATTTCCAGGAAATAACTAAAAATGATTTGTGAGGACTAAATAAATATTTCTAAACTTTCAATAATAATAATTTTAAAATTGATCCATCATACTAGAGAAAAAACAAGAGACTTCAATATCTTAGTATATCTTTAAACAATGGATAGATTGTCCAGACATAAAGCCAATAATGAAACAGCAGACTTGAATAACACTATAGATCAAATAGACCTAACATACATACACAGAACATTTCATCCAATAGCAGTAGAATGCAGAGTCTTTTCAAGCACATATGGAACGTTCTCCAGGATAGATTATCTCTTGGGTGACAAAACAAGCCTCCACAAATTTAAGACTAAAATAATATCAAGTAGCTTTTCTGATCACAACTGTTTGAAACTAGAAAACAATAACTAAAGAAAAATTAGAAAATTCACAAATAGAGTGGAAATTAAACAATATAATGAGGAATAGCCCATGAGTCAAAGAAAAGATCACAAGGAAAATCAAAAAGCATTTTGAGACAAATAAAAGTGGAAACATAACCACCAAAACTTATGGGAAGCAGCAAAAGTAGTTGTAAGAAGGAAGTTTATAGCATAAATTCCTATATTAAGAAAAAAAAACTCAAATAAGCAACCTTACTTATACCCAAAAGAACTAGATAAAGGAGAACATATTAAGCCCAAAGTTAGAAGGAAGCAAATAATAAAGATTAGAGCAGAAATAAATCAAACAGAGAGTAGAAAAGTAAAACAAAAGATCAATGAAAACAAGGGTTGCTTTTTTGAAAAGATAAAACTGACAGACATTTAGCTATATTAACCAAGAGAAAAAGATAATACTCAAAAAATTATAAATGAAAAAGAAGATACTATTACTGATACCACAGAGATACAGAATATAGTAGAGACTACCATAAACAATTATACACCAACAAATTGGATAACTGAGAAGAGACAAATAAATACCTAGAAATTTATAACCTACCAAGACTGAATCACGAAGAAGTAGAAACTCTGAAAAGGTGAATAACAAGCAAAGCGATAGATGCAATTTAAAAAATTTGAAAAACCTCCCCCGCAAAAAAAGCCCAGGAACAGAGCTGATGGATTCAACAGTGAATTCTTCCAAGCCTTTAAAAAATTAATGCCAATCCTTCTCAAAGTCTTCCAAAAACTTGAAAATGAAGGAACACTGTCCAACTCATTTAACGAGGCAAGCATTATCTTTATATAAAAGCCATAAAAGGCCACTACAGAAAAAGAAAATTACAAGCCAATATCCCTGATTTTCATAGATCCAAAAATTCTCAGCAAAGTACTGGCAAGCCATACTCAATAGCACATGAAAAGGATAATACCATGATCAAGTGGCATTATCTCTGGGATGCAAGGAAAGTTCAACATAAGCAAATCAATAAATGTAAATACATCATATTAATGGAATAAAGGATTAAAATTATATGATTATCTCAATAGAAAAGGATAAAATCATTTAACAAAATTCACCATCTTTTTATGATAAAACTCTCAACAAATTAAGTAAAGAAAGAATATACTTCGACATACTAAAGATCTATATGACAAGCCCACAGCTAACATTATACTCAATGGTGAAAAGCTGCAAGTTTCTTCTATAATATCAGGAAGTTTTCTCTTCTCTAAGACAAGAAAGAAGGATGCACACATTTGCCACTTCTGTTTAGCACAGTAATGGAAGTCATATCAGAATAATTAGTCTAGAAAAATAAATAAACGACATCCAAATAAGAAAGAAAGGTTAATTTCTTTCTATTTGCCAATGACAAGATCATATATAGAGAAAACCCTAAAGACCCCTCAAAAAAACTGTTAGAACTGATAAGTAAATTTGGTAAAGTTGCAGGACACAAAAATCAATATACAAAAATACATTGCATTTCTATAAACTAAGAACAAACTGCTCAAAAACGAAATTAAGAAAGCAATTGCATTCATATGACATCAAAAAAATAAAATACTTAGAAACCAGCTTAACCAAGGGCATAAAAGATTTGTACATGTAACTATAAGGCATTGATAAAAGAAATTGAAGAAGACACAAGTAAATGAAAAGACCTCTTGTGTTCATGGATTGGAAGAATTAGTATTGTTAAAATGTCCATACTACACAAAGTGATCTATAGATTCAATGCAATTTTTCAAAAGTCCAGTGGCATTTTTCAGAAATAGGGAAAAAGTCTTCAATTTCATATGGAACCACAAAAGGCCCTGAATAGCCTAAGCAACCCTGAGAAAGAACAAAGCTGGAAGCACCACAATTCCTGATTTCAAACTATATTACAAAGCTATAGTAATCAAAACAGTGTGTTACAGACATAAAAGCATACATATAGACCAATGGAATGAAATAGTGAGCCCAGATAGAAACCCATGCATACATAGTCAACTAATCTTTGACAGGGATGCCAAGAATACATACTAAGGAAAGGATAGCTTCTTTAAGAAATGGTATCGGGAAAACTGGATATATATATATGCAAAAAAGTGAAATTGAAGTCTTATGTTACACCATATATAATAGATTAAAGACTTAACTGTAAGACCTGAAACTATAAAACTCCTAGAATAAAACACAGGAAAAGCTCCTTAACATTGGTCTTGACAATGATTTGTTGTGTATGACACCAAAAGCACATATAAGCAAAGCAAAAATAAACAAGTGAGACTATTCTACATCAAACTAAAATCTTCTGGAAATCAAAGAAAACAATCAACAAAATGAAAAGGTAACCTACAGAATGAGAGAAAATATTTGCAATCTATATGTCTGATAAAGGGCTAATATCCAAAATATATAAGAAACTCATACAATTCAATAGGAAAAAAAAAACTGATAAAAAATAGGCAAAGGACCTGACTAGACATTTGTTTGCCAAGAAGACCTAAGAATAAATGGCCAACAATCATATGAAAAGATAATCACTAATTACCTGGAAATACAAATTAAGACGACAGTGAGATATCACCTCACACCTATTAGAATGGCTTTTATTAAAAAGACGAGATAAAAAATGTTGTCGAGAGTGTAGAGAAAAGGGGCCCTTGTGCACTGTCAATGGATATGTTAACTGGTATAGCCATCATGGAAAACTGCATGGAGTTATCGTAAAAAAATAAAAATAGAATTAGCAAATAATTCAGCAATCCCATTTTTTGGGTATACATCGGAAGAGAATAAAATTATCTTAAAGACCTATCTGCACTTCCATGTTCATTGCAGTAGCATTACTCGCAATAGCCAAGATATGGAAATAACGTAAATGTCCATTGCTGAATGAATTGATAAAGATAATGTGAGGTATATATATCCAATAAAATATTATTCAGCCTTAAAAAAGAAAAAAAAATCCCTGTCTTTCAGACAACATGGATGGGCCTATGGAGCAGGATGCTTTGTGACATAGGAAGGTAAATACTGCATGATCTCACCGATGCAGAATCGAAAAATGTTGAACTCACAGAAGCAGAGAGTAGAAGGGTGTTTGCCAGGGGCAGAGAGGGTGGGGAAGGAAATTGGGAGATCTTGGTCAAAGGCTACAAAATTTCAGTTATAAGATGAATAACTTCTGGGGACTTAATGTATAGCATGGTGGCCATATTTAATAGTACTGTGTCATAAACTTGAAATTTTCCAAGAGAATAGATGTTAAGTATTCTCACCACACACACACAAAAAATTATTGGTAAAATTATGTGAGGTAATGAATGTGTTAGTTAACTTGCATACCTACGTCAAACCATCACGTTGTACACCTTAAATATATAAAATTTTTACTTTTCAATTATATCTCAATAGGCAAAAAAAGAAAGCAGCAAACATAACAAGAAATATAAAATAACGCATTTAATAATTTATTTCATTTATATTATGAAAGTTCTAAGTGAAGGAAGAAATCATGTCATTTAGTATATAAGACTTTACTTTGTGGATGATATTTAGACTATCAGAAGTACTAAGTTGAGACAAGTTTATGAAAAGTCATACAGACATAGATTTCTCTCCTTTTTAATTCATTTAAGGATATTTAGTTTGAACTATAGTTTTTAATTTGACATTATGGAAATAAATATGCTCCTTATATGCTTCAGGCAAAAAAATGTGGAATTATTTTTATCCTTCAATAAACTATAGAAAACTGTAATTTTCATTCAAGTTTGAGAGACATAATCATTTCCATAAATTAAGGCAATAATCTCTGAACTGAGAGCTATGGGATTATGCTTGATAATTCAGAAGCTTAGAGATATCTATTAGAATTTATATGCCAAATAAAAATGCAAATGTTTTGTGCTAGCTTTCTAAACTTTTGTTTTGGTACTTTTTTATTAAACAAAAATTAAAAGTTACAGGAATTTATGCCTAAAATAATTTTTTGGACTACAGTTTGGAAACCAGATTTAGCTGCAACGAGAAAAGGAAAAAATGTTCTCTGTTGCCAATTGAAATAGAAATGGCTAATAAAAAACAAAAAGCTGATGTTTGAAAATTAGGAAAGGATTCCTAATTAAACAATTGAATATGTTCAAAATCAAACTTCCAAATCCTGAATGGATTATAAAAGTGAAATTTGCATTTATTATCGCATATTGAGCATTGTTCATAGAGATACGTAGTTTGACTGTCTTTTAATTCCAAAGAAAATATTTTTCTTCAACAATTCTTTAATAGTGCATATTTTTCCAGCTTCTATTTGAAATATGTCCCTTATGTCCTGAGATATCTGAAAAAAACTTCTTCTTTAAAGGTATACATCATTTATCAGTATGAATATTGTTGGAGCCCATGTATCTTCATGATTTTAATATTTTCCCAACAGTACCTGATGATGTCTTATTATAAAGATAAAGTGTAACACTATATTTTTGTTTTATTTTAAATTTTCCTGAACTGCTACATTTCAATCTACTGATCTGTGCAAGTATAGCAGTAATAAAACATTCACTTTTTTTTTCTTTTCTTTTCTTTTCTTTTTTTTTTTTTCTTGAGACAGAGTCTCGCTCTGTTGCCCAGGCTGGAGTGCAATGGCGCAATCTCAGCTCACTGCAACCTCCACCTCTCAGGTTCAAGCTATTCTCCTGTCTCAGCATCCTGAGTAGCTGGGACTACAGGCACCCACCACCACACCAGGCTAATTTTTGTATTTTTAGTAGAGATGGGGTTTCACCATATTGGCCAGGCTGGTCTTGAACTCCTCACCTTGTGATCCACCCATCTAGGCCTCCCAAAGTGCTGGGATTACAGGTGTGAGCCACCGTGCCCAGCCAAACATTCACTTTTAACAATAATTATTCTATGTTCTGAAATGAAAAGACCCTATTAGTAGGGTTACCTTTGTTTAAATCTAGTCTATATCAATTGTAACAGTGATATGAAAAGCTATGATTTATTGCTTGTTGGACCTTTACAAATTTTCTTTTCACCTAATTTTCACAAAACAATAAAAATATGGCTAACTTAGGGGGATGAAAGATGTAGGTCAGTAGCTAGAAGATATAGGACTTAGAAAATGCTTTTTTAAAGGAGATATTAGACTACAAGCTCATGTGGTATGTTAGTCCGTTCTCACATTGCTATAAAGAACTACCTGAGACTGGGTAATTTATAAAGAAAAGAGGTTTGTTGGCTCACGGTTCTGCAGGCTGTACAGGAAGCATGACTGGGGAGACCTCAGGAAACTTACAGCCATGGAAGAAGGAGAAAGGGAAGCAAGTGCATGTTCACATTGCCAGCAGGAGAGAGAGAGTGAAAGGGGAGGTGCTACACACTTTAAACAATCACATCTCATGAAAACTCACTCACTGTCATGAGAACAGTAAAGGAGAAATCTGCTCCACTGATCCAATCACCTCTCACCAGGTCCCTCCCCCAACACTGGGGATTACAATTCAACATGAGATTTGGGTGGGGACACAGAGCCATATAATATCCTGTGGCTTAAGACTTAAACAGCCATCTGAGAATTCACTTTAACCCTATGGAAAGATTCATATAGTCACCAAAATCACAATTTTGGAGTCTATCAGAGTCCTGAGGTCATAAATTAAGCAAGTGTCTCAAATTGCAAAGTGTGACAAGCCCCCCAAGGGAAAATGGGACACATAAATTATTTCACCTTAACAGAATATATGAAAAAGAGGAGGCAACCATAAAAGTAAGGAGAAAATCTAAAACTTTGAACAGTTTCTTAAAGGCTAAGTTTCTTGAAGGCACACATGATAGTTTAGAATCTTTGGATGTCCCAGATGCAGGAAGAGCCAGCACCAACTGCCAGCCATCTCCACAGCCTTCCCCCAGGTGCCTGGGAAGAAGGGCAAGGAAAACACTGGACAGTCAGTGGTTCAGATGGGCAAGTCCTGGTTGGTGGGTGAAGCAGGCAAACTTGGAGAAGCCCATCCATGCCTGAGTGTCAGACTTGATAATGCTTTAAAAGAAATGATGGCTACCACTGGGAGAGAGACAGGAAATACTTCTGCCCCCCGTTCTAGAAAGTAAGTTCCCTCTGGGGAGATGTCATATTGTGATATAACAAGAAATATATACTTGGTCTCTGCCTCCAGTTCCTGGCGCATAACTCCTAGAACTCTTTTAATTTCCAGAGTGATGGGGTTCCAGGTGCATTTTTTGTTCTAATATTTTTGGTCTTTGACCCTGGTTCCTGACATAGAGCTCCTAATTTCTTAGAGTTTTGTTAATGATAGTAATTTCTCAAATACATAGTTTGGCTATCTTTTCTAGATATTATCTTATCCAGAATAGCTCATACTCTAATGAGGTAATTCTTCATGGGCTCATGGATGGGGACTGCTCACCAGAAAGGACCAAGGCATTATTAGAAGCTTGGAACTTTCACCTCCAGCCGCCTTCTTCGGAGAGGGAAGAGAAGCTGGAAATTGAATTAGTAATTGATCATACCTATGTGATGAATACTCTGTAAAAATTAGGGATTTAGAAAGTTTGTTTGTTGCTGAACACATGGAGGTGCTAAGAGGGTGGCATGCCCAGGGCACAGATGTTTCATGCCCCTTCCCAGATATCTTGTCCTGTGCATTCCTTCATCTGGCTATTCATCTGTATCTTGTACAATAAAGGTAAGCGAAGTGTAACCCTAAGTTCTGTGAGCTGCTCTAGCAAATTAGTGGGACCCAGAGAGGGGGTTATAAAGACTCCTGATTTATAGCCAGTTGGTTAGAAGGTTTGAAGCATAAGTCACAACCTGAAACTTGTGATTGGGATCTGAAGTGGGGGCAGTTTTATGGGACTGAGACTTTAACCTATGGGATCTGACTCTAACTTCAGGTAGATAGTATCAGAATTGAGTTAGTATGTAGACATGTAGTAGGTGCCCACTGGAAAACTGATTGATATGTGCAAAAAACAAAAACACACACAAACAAAACAAAACAAAACTGCACACACTTTGGTGAGCAGAAGTGTTCTGTATTTCCATGACTGTTTAAGAGAAGAGAAAGTGAGGCCGGGCATGGTGGCTCACGCCTGTAACACCAGCATTTTGGGAGACTGAGGCAGGAGAATCCCTTGAACCCGGGAGGCAGAGGTTGCTATAAGCTGTGACTGGGCCATGGCACTCAAGCCTGGGGCGACCGCAGTGAAACTGTCTCAAAAAAAAAAAAAGAAGAAAAAGAAAGAAAGAAAGAAGAAAGAGAAAGAAAGGAAAGGAAAGGAAAGGAAAGGAAAGGAAAGGAAAGGAAAGGAAAGGAAAGGAAAGGAAAGGAAAGGAAAGGAAAGGAAAGGAAAGGAAAGGAAAGGAAAGGAAAGGAAAGGAAAGGAAAGGAAAGGAAAGGAAAGGAAAGGAAAGGAAAGGAAAGGAAAGGAAAGGAAAGGAAAGGAAAAAGAAAAGAAAGAAAGGGCCGGGCACAGTGGCTTGGCTCACACCTGTAATCCCAGCACTTTGGGAGGTCAAGGTGGGTGGATCACGAGGTCAGGTGTTCGAGACCAGCCTGGCCAACATAGTGAAACCCCATCTCTACTAAAAATACAAAAATTAGCCGGATGTGGTGGCACTTAGCTACTAAGGAGACTGAGGTGGGAGAAACACTTGAACCTGGGAGGCAGAGGTTGCAGTGAGCCAAGACCATGCCATTGTACTCCAGCCTGGGTGACAGAGTGAGACTCTGTCTCAAAAAAGAAAAAAAAAAAAGAAAAAGAAAGAAAGAAGAAGAAAGAACGAAAAAGAAAGAAAGAAAAGAAAAAAGAAAGAAAGAAGAAAGAAAGAAAGAAAAAGAAAGGAGATGTTGAAACAAAATTCAAAGAAGGATAGGAAGAGCAGCCTGTCTCTTGTTACAATGAGAAGGTTACGATGAGTGCAGAATAGGCACTTACATACGTTTGTTTGGTTGCTGCTGTGAAGATCCCAGCTTGAAAATAACGTGCTCTGCATCCCCATGGTATCATAATGAAAATATTGTTACACTGAAATTACTATTGTTGTATTATAGTTTGGTGGATCCCTACGTGAAGCATGTAGAATCAGAAAATCACATAGCATTCCCTACCAAGAAGACTCATGGGTAACTGTGTCAGATAGGTTTAGTCAATACAGCAGAAGCCACTCCGAACACCTGAGAAGTAGTGCAAAACAGGAAATTTGTGATCTACAAAACTACTGGCAGAACTAAGGAGTTAAGATCAAGAAAAGTACTTTCAAAAAGTTTAAAAGTAAGGAAATCGCATAGAAACCACCACCAATAATTGTGACTGACCGTAATACAAAATGAATGACTCTCAGGAGAACTTTGGAAGCTTCTGGTACAGTCTCACTTCTGCTGTCTGCCACATTCCTGCTTACAGCTGCTACTGGAGAATAATGCTGTCTCCCTCAGCTTTCATGAGTGTCTCTTATTGGTGAAATCTAATTGAAATCCTGCTGGCAGAGCCTAGTTTCCAATCTTTCATCTTCAGTAAGACATGGAGTGTCTAATAACGAGAAGTGAAGATGGTAGTGAGATTCAAACAATATCTGGCATGGTGGCATTTTACCCAATAAAATTTCCATAGTCTGTGGCCTGGTTCTTAACTTTGTAGATCAACAAATTTCATCTTTCTAGTTTCCCAGAATTGACTGAACCTGAGAGTTTAACTCAAAATATTCAAAGTTGTGATATCTATTATACAGCAGGGTGACTATCATCAATAATAATGTATTGTATATTTCAAAATAAGAGAGTAAACTCCAAATGTATCATCACAAAAAATGTTAAATAAGTGAGATGGATCTTTCAATTAGTGTGATTTAATCATTTCACATTGTACAGTGTGCATGTATGAAAACATTACATTGTACCTTATAAATGTAATACAATTATGATTTGCCAATTAAAATAATGTTAATGAAAAAATTTAAAAACATATTAAGAATAGTAAGAATCTTAAAGTAGGATGTCACATATGACTGTTATTTAAGCATATGTGACATCCTAGATGAAGAGCCGGCATGTGTGAGACATAAATGTGTGAGTAATAAAAACAAGACTTCCTATTTGTTGGGTGGTCACCAAGAGCCAGGCTTTGGGCTAAGCATTTTCTGTGAATTCTCTCATGTAATTCTCACGTTAACCCTAGGAGATGAGAATTAGTATATACATTTACTGAAGATGACCATGCTCGAGAAATTAAATTGCCAAAGTTCTATTGAGAAGTGAACTGGGAATTAAAGCAAAATTCTCAGCAATAGTTATGTTCTACCACATTGAAACATGTTTTCACGTGCTTAATACATTATCATAATTTGTTAGTTCTAGATATGAAGCAAATTTATATGCCAGCCTAAAATCAGAACAGAAGGAACTGAGTAATTCTAGTATGGTATCCTGTATCTATCTCCATAATCCCTAGTAAAAATAATGGCTGGCATTTATTTCTCATACATGCCAGCCCTTTATCTATATATTATTCAAGTATTGACTCAGTCTTTCTGAGGTAGGTACAATTAGTATCCATTAGAGATAAGAAAACAGACACAAGAAAATTAAATCACTTGCTCAGGGTCACGTAGCTAATAAATGGTGGAGCTAGATTTAGAAACCAGGCAGTCTGGGCTGGGCGTGGTGGCTCACGCCTGTAATCCGAGCACTTTGGGAGGCCAAGGCGGGCGGATCACGAGGTCAGGAGATCAAGACCATCCTGGCTAACACGGTGAAACCCCGTCTCTACTAAAAAAAAGAAAAAAAAAAAAAAAAAAAAAAATTAGCCAGGCGTAGTGGCGGGCGCCTGTAATCCCAGCTACTCGGGAGGCTGAGGCAGGAGAATGGCATGAACCCGGGAGGCAGAGCTTGCAGTGAGCCGAGATTGCACCACTGCACTCCTGCCTGGGCGACAGAGCAAGACTCAGCCTCAAAAAAAAAAAAAAAAAAAAAAAAAGAAACCAGACAGTCTGGCTTCAGAGGCCTTTCAACTCTGACTTTGAAATCCTTTGTCTCAGATCAATTTAATATTTTTGAATGCTGTTGAAGCAACATTAAACCATAATTCTAATTTCCCCCATGAAATTGTTTTCAAAGAAAGTCCCCACCCCCCACAATAAAAGGCCTAAGGTAATTTGTTGCTGGCAAATCTACCCTTAAAGAAGTTGTCTGAACAGAAAGGAAATGCTAACAAAGGCTTGAAACTTCAGAAAGATATGGCAAACATAGGAGTAAATAAAACAGACTAGCCTACCTCTTAGGAATTTTTAAAATAATACTTGAAACAAAAATTATACCACCGCATAATGTGGTACTCAAGGAATGTAGAGGAAATACTTCAGACAATTATATTTAGAAGTTGGAAGGCCTAAATGAAAGCAAGACTTCTACCCTTTATTCAAAGTGGCAAGACATCGATACCAGTAGACTGTGTATTGTAATACCTAGAGCAACCAGTAAGAAAACTTTACAAGGAGATATATTCAAAATAAAATGGCAGACTTATGCCTTAAATCAACAATTTCAACCATTTTCTTAAATTGAATTCATCTACATTCATCTACACCAGTTTAAAAACAAAATTGCTGGAGTATATTAAAGAAAATAATCCAAAATATGCTGTCTACAGGAAACTCACTTCAAATATAACAATAGGTAGATAGGTAGCCTGAAAGTAAGTGGGAGGAAAAACATGTACCAAGCAAGTATTAAAACAATAAGAAGTGTTTACTGATGTCAGATAAAGTAGACTTCATAGCATAGAAAATTATTAGAGACAAAGAGGTACATTATATAACGATGAAAGGATCAATCTAACAAGACAAAAAACCGTATTTATCATGAAAAATAGCTAACACCCATAATGATGTATAAAGTATAAATGCAAAAAGGTACCTGGGTAACTTTCAGTGTGAGCATAACAGTATGGCATTAGAATATGTCTAAGTGAATTAATTATCTTTTATTCTGATGTAGGTCTTTCAAGACCTCCATAGATTTACAATGATGAATAATGTAATACAGTAATTCTCAAGCTTTTGTGTGCATCTGAATCACCTGGAGGACTAATTAAAACACAGGTTGCTAGGCTCATTGCTTTCATTTAGGCCTTCCCACTTTCTAAACATATCCAGTTTCTGATTCAGTAGGTGTGAGACGGATCATAAGAATTTGCATCTCAAACAACTTCTCAGTTGAGAACTACTGCCTAGCCACATTATTGGACCGTCATTGGACAATAGGTTTAATTTTAGTTATAATTCATCATAAGCATTGGAAAGTTTCTTATATCTCAACTATGTTAACATTTCAACCTTTTTTTTCATAATGCTGCCTACCAATAGACTATTTCACATATTATTTCAACAAGTATAATTTAAGCAACTACTGGACATATCCAAATAAATTAATCCAAACACGAAGGCAAATACAAACAGAACAACTTTAAAAAATAAGTTATAGTCCAGTTATATATACTTGAAACCATAATGTTACCAAAAAAGTCATAATATTACAAAAAACTGATAGAAGGAAAGCTGGAAAATAATGGAAATGAGATGAACATGTCCTTAGACACAGGGCAATAAGGCAGATGGCAACACATAATAAAGCTTCAGACTAATCTAAGGTTCATAGTTCTAACAACATCTTAAACCAAACAACCACAGATGATATATTCAGCATTTTTTGTTAAAAACTACATTAAGTTTTCAAGGAAAAAGTTAGTGTTATTATCAGATGTTTCTCAGTCTACCTCTAGGACACCCTGAAAATCATTTAAAAAGCTTGTTGTGGGTGGAAAACAATGAATGAGATTGGTATATGTAAGTTTCATGTATCAGAATGCCGAACATATGCACATGGTTCTTATGTGCAGGATGATTTCAATCATAGAACCATGGTAATGAACCTCTGTTTCTGAGATACACTAGAAGAACCAACCAGCATGTTAAAATAAGACAATGAGGAAATAAATAGAGCTGCAAATAGCAACAGCCTATAAAAATAGTAACCATACTTAAAAATAAAACAAAAACATGGTTCTTTTATGTATACATATTTTAAAAATCATCTTAATGTTGGAAGTTTTAGGCAATATCATATATGCATACAAATTGTCAAAAAGAAAAATTTTGAATGGAGATAACTTTGTATAAAACAAAAACTGAAAATAATGACTTTTTAATCTTTTGTTTTGACTTCAGAGGTACACATGAAGGTTTGTTATATAGGTAAACTCATGTAATGGGGGTTTGTTATACAGATTATTTCGGCATCCAGCTACTAAGCCTAGTGCCCAAGAGTTATTTTTTCTGCTCCTCTCCCTCCTACCGCCCTGCACCCTCAAGTAGACACCAGTGTCTGTTGTTCCCTTCATTGTGAATGATTCTATTTTTTTTTTTTTTTTTTTTGAGACAGAGTCTCGCTCTGTTGCCCAGGCTGGAGTGCAGTGGCACGATCTCGGCTCACTACAAGCTCTGCCTCCCAGGTTCATGCCATTCTCCTGCCTCAGCCTCCCGAGTAGCTGGGACTACAGGCGCCCGCTACCACGCCCGGCTGATTTTTTGTAGTTTTAGTAGAGACAGGGTTTCACCGTGTTAGTTAGGATGGTCTCGATTTCCTGACCTCGTGATCTGCCTGCCTCAGCCTCCCAAAGTGCTGGGATTACAGGCGTGAGCCACCACGCCCAGCCGCGAATGATTCTATTTTTAACTGCAGTCACTTTAAGCCTTTCCCCAATTTGTATTACTACATTACTTTCAGCATGTTCCTCTTAAACGTTCCTCATTTCTATTAGAATATGTTAATTTTTATATACAGTTTTCTTGTATTTTTATTGTCATTTTTCATTCAGCAAAACGAATAAAACTTTTTTAATATAAGGATAATTTTTTGGCCTATAGACAGAAAATATAGGATTGCAAATTTTAACTTTTCATTCTCAGTGACACCCTATCTGGTCTTAGATAAATGAATTTGAATTGAAAAGTATGTTTACTTATTGTAGACATGAAGTAAAAGGAAATGCTAAGGCCATGCTCAGATTTAACTTAGGGCAATGACCTCTATGCCAGAAAAATACATGTTTTGAAAATAAATCTATTGTCTGATTTTCTTGTATATGAGACTACAGCTGTAACATTCTAGGATTATAAAATAGTCTTTGTATTAGCTCTGATTTGTCTCTGTAATTAATTAATATCATAATATTTTTAAGTTTTTTGGAAGACAGATATCTAGTGCAATCTTTTCCATGTTTAATTAATACATGTATTTTTATTCTTTTTTTCAGAAACTGTTCAAGAATTCAGCAACACCCAATAAGCATATTTATTTATTTATTTATTTATTGAGATGGAGTTTCACTCTTGTCACCCAGGCTGGAGTGCAATGGTGCGATCTTGGCTCGCTGCAACCTCCACCTCCCAAGTTAAAGCAATTCTCCTGCCTCAGCCTCCCGAGTAGCTGGGACTACAGGTGTGCACCACCACACCTGGCTAATTTTTGTATATTTGCTAGAGACGAGGTTTCACCATGTTGGCCAGGCTGGTTTCGAACTCCTGACCTCAGGTGATCCACTCGCTTTGGCCTCCCAAAGTGCTGGGATTACAGGTGTGAGCCACCGCACCTGGCCTCTGATAAGCATATTTTAAAAATATAACAAACACTTTCTAGGGCTTCTCATCCCATATATTGTTGAGTATCTAGAGTTACATGGTTTGCTGGTAAATACACTAGGGTTTATTTTCAAAAGACATATATTTTAGGCACATTTACGTCATCAAATATTCAAATGCCCTTAGGGAAACTATTAATTTATTTTAAGAAATTATCCAGTGGTTTGGTGCTAGACATTGCAAATAATACAATTAAAGACAAAATCTATTCTTGAGTTACTTACTACTGGGTAAGCAAAACAATTACAATACATAAATACCAGAGAAGACTAATTATAGCATCTGAAAGTATCTCAAGCAGGATCACTAAATCTTGGTTAGTTATGAGAGGCTTCCTAAAGATTTAATTTCTAACTGACATGCAAAGACAAACACTGTGTCTTAGATTGGGCTTCCTGGAAACACACTTTATGATAGTTACATGAGAAGATATATTGGTGAGTACTGAAGAGAAAATTTGGTAGTACCAGTGTATCTGCTACTAGAGTGTGTGTGTTGGAAGTTGTAAATGAGAAAAGAGTAAGGCAAGATAGGCAAATAAAATAGAAAGACCCTGCAGAGAGGGAGTGAACATATTTGTTCAGAGATTTGCAAGTGCTTCAGTGTAGTGGGAACACAGGATAGGAAAGAGATAAGGTAAGAATTTAGAGGAGTTAGAGTGACCAGATTTTTAAAAATCATATATGCCATAGAAAGAGCTTTAGAATTTATCCTGAAGGAACAGGTAGAAGCATGGAAGGTTTTAAGTAACAGGGATTAACAAACTCCACTTTGTCTGGAGTGTTGGCAGCAGACGAAATAAGAGGAAAAACTGAAAGCAGAGTGGCAAATCAGGAAATAGTTATAATAGTTTATAAAAGAAAAAACGTGTCCTAACCTAAATGGACGGAATGGGAGAATCGAAAGACTTGAAATGTGGGAGGGAAAAGTGAAAAGTGATAGCTTTGGTGATTTATCAGACAGGGAAACTGAGAGAGAAGAAAGCCAAGGATGACTTCTTAGTTACTGACTTTAATAACTGGATTAACAATGACAGATGATGTTGACAGAGATGAACACCCAGAAGGAAAAGTATATAGAATCCAGATAAAGATGATCAATATATAGTTGAATATGCAAATCATTGTAGTAAGGAGAGTAATTTAGATCAACAATTTATAGACAAAATGAAAACAAAATAGATTAACACAATTTAGAAATGATGTAGAAAACAGTAAAGAAGGTGAATACATCATGTAAGATTGCACTAAATGAAAACAACTGGAAGGAAATTATGAAGAAAGAATCAATTTCTTAATTTGTAAGAATGACCTATCAGAAGTGTCATACTCACTTCACCTTTCCTATATTCAATTTGAGATGTACTTAAAATTTCTAATAAGAAAATGCTTCAGGAAAAAATTAGTTAGTAGACAAACATAAAACATTATTATGTTACTTAAGTGACTTTAATTTGTACACTTCTCTCACCATTCCTTCTTTGTCTCTTTCACATTTCTTCTTCTCTCTGAACTTTAATCTCAGATATATATGTCAAGATTCATTCCTGGTTCACTTTTGTTTTTCTGCAGTCCTGTATCTTGTCATACCTAGTATACTCTCAAGATTGTAACCGCCTTCTGTATACTCAGCAATGTGAAATCTATGTTTCCAGCTCAGACTTATTTTCTAAGGCTCAAAGTCATATTTTGAGCTGCCTGAAGAATATTGTCACTGCATGAATAGACACTTTTCAAAAGAAGACCTACATATGGCCAACAAGCCTATGAAAAAAAGCTCAACATCCCTGATCATTAGAGAAATGCAAATCAAAACCACAATGAAATACCATCTTGCACCAGTCAGAATGGCTATTATTGAACAGTCAAAAAACAACAGATGCTGGGGAGGTTGTAGAGAAAAAAGGAATGCTTATACACTGTTGATGGGAGTGTAAGTTAGTTCAACCATTGTGGAAAACAGTGTGGAAATCACTCTAAGACTTAAAAACAAAACTACCATTTGACCCAGTGATCTCGTTACTGGGCATATACCCAAAGAAATAGAAATCCTTCTATCATAAAGAAACATGCACACATATGTTCATTGCAGCACTATTTACAATAGTAAAGACATGAAGTCAACCTACGTGCCCATCAATGGTAGAATGAATAAAGAAAATGTAGTACATATACACCATAAAATACCATGGAGCCATACAAAAGAACAAAATAATGTTCTTTGCAGGAACATGGATGGAGCTGGAGGCCATTATCCTTAGCAAACTAATGCAGGAAAAGAAAACTAAATACTACATGTTCTCACTTATAAATGTGAGCTAAATGTTGAGAACACATGGACACATAGAGGGCAACAGACATGAAGGCTTACCTACCAGAGGGTGGAGGTTGGGAGGCGGGGAGAGGGATCAGGAAAAACAACCAGTGAGCACTAAACTTAATGCCTGGGTGACAAAATAATGTGTACAACAAACCTCTATGACACGAGTTTACCTATATAACAAACCTGTACATGTACCCCGGAACTTAAAATAAAAGTTAAAAAAATAGTAAAATAAGAATATCGTCACGGGTGTGTCCCTAAAAATGCATATTTAATTATTCGTCTTTCCCAACACCTTTTTCCCTATATGCTCGAGTGCTATTGGGAGCACCTTAGTCTATGCAGTTATTAACACCAGAAACCTTTACCTCACAGCCCATACCCAACCAGTCACCACACTCTTGTCATTGTATCTCTTCATAATCTATCTTCTTAGCCATTGCCTCATCAACTCTTTCTGGATTATTACATTAGTCACTTAATTTCGCCCTCTTTAAGCTCATTCTTCACCCTGCAACAAACATAATCTACCTAACAAGCAAATCGTATCATATAACAGCTAACAGCTTAAAACCTTCTTTGGCTCCCCTTCCTAAAAGGACTTTAGCAAGATCTTTAACAGTGTCTTTAGCACTCTCTTATTCCCTCTCTGGTTTCAGTTCTCATAACTCTTCTCCTCTACATACTCAGATTACTGAATTATAGAATTGCTGAGTTATAATTTCTTGCACAATATTTGTAATTCACATCACTTTGCATTCACAAATATTCCTTTTGCTTGTAATTTTCTTCCGACTCTTTCTTTGGCTAAAACTAGAACCCTCCAAAGCTCAGTCTTTTCCTAAGACAGCGTTTTGTGAATCTTCATCTTAGTTCAAATTCTGAGCCCCTTTTTTTGAGCTTCTATAATGCTCTGCATTAATATTTCACAAACTTTGTTGACACTTTTGTGTTTATGTCTGTCTATCCTGCTAGACTGTCAACTCCTCAAAGGTAGGGACCATGTCTAAATCATGTTTACAGCTTTCATGCAGTTCCTGAAGCACGATAAATGTTTCAGGAATACCTGTTAAGTAATGATACTAATGCAGTAACTTCTATTGACATCTTTCTTGCACGATTCCAAATTGTCCTTGATCTAAATCTTCACCTATTGTTCCTATGAAGGAAGGTTAAGAATTAAATCGAAGTTTAATAGCATCTTCTGCTCTGGGCTGTATTTTCTATTTAAAGTCCATTGTTATACACTTACTGTCTTAAGCAGCAATATTAACTAAATTAGGACGATTAATGAATGATGCCAGGCTGACTCATTCTCTCACCATCAGAGAGAGAATAATCTGGCAATTGTGCCAAAGACTTGGAGTGAAAAGACCTGTTTACTGTTCCTGGCTCTGACTCCAGCTTGTTGAATGTTTTTGAGAAATTTATTTAGCCTCTCCATTTGCTTGCATTTCCTGTACTATAAAGATGCCTCTGAGGATTTGGTATTGAGGCTCATGAGAATCCTTATTTGAAAGGCAGTACAGGAATGTCTTTATCCACATATTTTTGAAAGTAAGGGACTTGGATATCAACAAAAGGAAAGGCACCCTCCCAAGAGAGAAACTAAGGAGCAATGAAAACTCTAAATCAGGTTAGGTGAGGTGATAAATTATAAAGTTTATTCAATTTTTCAGTATTACTAATTAGTTTATTGGCCCAAACCAAGGTAGATCAGTGCAAAACAACAAGGCTTTATTTCAAGCAGAGAGCCACTCCCATTCACAATTGCTACAAAGAGAATAAAATACCTAGGAATACAGTTAAGAAGAAAAGTGAAGGACCTCTTCAGAGAGAACTACAAGCCACTGCTCAAGGAAATCAGAGAGGATGCAAACAAATGGAAAAACATTCCATGCTCATGGATAGAAAGAATCAATATTGTGAAAATGGCCATACTGCCAAAAGTAGTTCATAGCTTAAGTGCTATTCCCATTAAAATACCATTGATATTCTTCACAGAATTAGAAGAAACTATTTCAAAATTCATATGGAACCAAAAAAGAGCCCAAATAGCCAAGACAATTGTAAACAAAAAGAACAAAGCTGGAGGCATCCACCACCCAACTTCAAACCATAATACAGAGCTACAGTAACCAAAATAGATAGCATGGTACTGGTACAAAAAAAGACACATAGACCGATGGAACAGAAGAGAGAACTCAGAAACAAGACTGCACACCTACAAGTATCTGATCTTCGACAAACTTGACAAAAGCAAGCAATGGGGTAAGGATTCCCCATTTAATAAATGGTGCTCGGAGAACTGGTTAGTCATATGCAGAAAATTGAAACCGGACACTTTCTTACACCTTATACAAAAATTAACTGAAGATAGATTAAAGACTTAGATGTAAAACCCAAAACTATAAAAACCCTAGAAGAAAATCTAGGCAGCACCATTCAGGACATAAGCAGAGGCAAAGATTTCATGACAAAAAAATGCCAAAAGCAATAGCAATAAAAGCAAAAATTGACAAATGGGATCTAACTAAACTAAAGAGCTTCTGCACAGCAAAATAAACTATCATCAGAGCAAAGAGACACCCTACAGAATACAAGAAAAATTTTGTAATCTATCCATCTGACAAAGGTCTAATATCCAGAGTCTACAAGGAACTTAAACAAATTTACAAGAAAACAACAAACCCATTAAAAAGTGAGCAAAGGCATGAATAGACAGTTTCAAAAGAAAACATCATGTGGCCAATATACATATGAAAAAAGCTAATTATCACTGATCATTAGAGAAATGCAAATCAAAACCTCAATGAGATACCATCTCACACCAGTCAGAATGGTAATTACTAAGAAGTGAAAAAACAACAGATGCTGGTCAGGTTGTGGAGAAAAAGGAACAGTTTTACAGTTTGTGATAGTGTAAATTAGTTCAACCATTGTGGAAGACAGTGTGGTGATTCCTCAAAGATGTAGAGGCAGAAATACCATTTGACCCAGCAATCCCACTACTGGGTATATTCCCAAAGGAATATAAATCATTCTGTTATAAGATACATGCCCTCCTTTGTTCACTGCAGCACTATTCACAATAGTGAAGACATGGAAACACCCCAAATGCCCATCAGTGATAGGCTGGATAAAGAAAATGTGGTAAATATACACCATGGAATCCTATACAGCCATGAGAAGGAATGAAATAATGTCCTTTGTAGGGATATGGGTGGAGCTGGAAGCCGTTATCCTAAGCAATCTAATGCAGGATCAGAAAACCGAATACTGTATATTCTCACTTATAAGTGAGAGCTGAACAATTAGAACCCATGGACACATGGAAGGGAACAACACGCACTGCAGCCTGTCAAGGGGGACACAGGGAGGGAGAGCATCAGGAAGACTGGCTAACGGATGCTGGGCTTAATACCAGGGTGATGGGTTGATCTGTGCAGCAAACCAACTTAGCACACATTTACCTATGTAACAAACCTGTACCTCCTGCACATGTACCCAGAACTTAAAAAAAAGTTGAAGAAAAAAAAAAAGAAAATATATTATTGCCCCACAAACAGGTAATTTTAGCTATAATAAAATACAGTGATTGTGACAGAAAGCTTAAATCATATATTGCCTATACTCTGTTTCAGATACAAATTCAGGATATCCTCTCACTTTATAGCAACGTGATATAAGGATGAAACATTTGCATATTTATTATAAATAACCTTGGAGATTAAAGGCAGTTAGTCAACTCCTATAACCTCTGTTTTATATTGTCACATGAATAAAACTATGGCTACAAGATGTGGCATGATTAAAAGTGAAGAAAGTGTTTTAACTAACACAGGGGTAAGTGATATGATAAAATAATATGAGCAGAATAAATAATACTTTAATTTTCATTATGTTTCCTGGAATACATTGAATGGGATCAATTGTTACAGTATTTTTTCACTTCTAGCACAGTTTAGCATTCTAAATATGTATATATGTGTATATCAACAGCAATAGCAATTTTTAATAATCAAATGACATTCATAAACAATAAAATTGCCAGTAGATCCGCAGAGTTTATATTTATTAATGATGACTGCTTTTTTGTTCAAACTAATGTTTTTGGTTCATTTTAGAAAAGTTTCTAAAACAACTTAAAATGCTGTCAATTGATAATTTTTCAAAGAAATAAAAGAGACAAAGTTAATTCTTTTCTGAGTGACTCAACAAAAGGTATTTTATAAGTATTATATACTCATTTTAGAGATTATATTAAAATTTAGTGAAAAGATCTACCAAACTTACAACAAATATGTTTTCCATAAGTCCCACTCCCTTCTCGACATTTCTGCTTATTGATTCAGACTTGTGTCTATTTTGCCTAGACTACTGCAAATACACTTTATAGGGCCTCCCATGCTTTTATGTGCCCACATCTCACCCCATTTCCTTCAATCCTCTGATCCTGTCCCCTCTACTTAAAAACCCTCCATGGCTTTCCAAAACTAAGTTCACCAGTTCTGTGTACTTTCAAGCAGCCAGGACGAAATACTCACAGATGATGGGCAATTGGTAGCATCACATTGTAGGTCAATCAACTCATTCGTTTGTTCTCAATAGAAGGATTCTCTTTTCCATGTTGAGAAGACCCATGTTCTTTCTACCAGCCTCCCTCCTTCCATTGCCATTTCCCTTTTTCTCTAATTTCAATATGCTCAATCTTGTCTGATCCCTTAGACAGAAAAAAACTGTTTTGCAAACTCTGGCACTTAGGACTTTGAATGCTTTTGAAAGTAAGGTGTTTGGCATGTCACTGGCTGAGAAAAGGGATGAGAGAAATGCATAGAAACATCCACTGCAGAACCTAACAACCATAACCCAGCTACAGCAGGATGTGGAAGTGAAATGAAATGGCCCAATATGAAAGTATGTAGAAGGTCAAATTGGCAAGCCTTAAGGATAAATCAGAGATTTTACATAACTGCTGAGGGAGAAGGAGGTACAAAGAGAGACTTCTGGACTTCTGAGTAAACCACAGGGCCCTGGATGGCTGGTGGTATGTGAACTGAAGGAGCCACAGGATACAAGACCAGATTTGCTGGGAAAAGAGGGAGGAAGACATAAATTCACTTTGGAACATATAAATTTGGTAGTTTTTTTTTTTGGCGGGGGGAGACTGATGAGAATTGGAATAAATTAAAGAATGAGAAAGGAGTGAAGAAATAAAAATAAGGCATGTAAGCAAAACTTCCAAGAAGTTGGGCTATGGAAAAGGAGAAGACAGGGCAGAGGTGCAGGTGGATATGGGGCAAGAAAGGGTTGTTTTAAGAGAGAAAAGACACTCACTTTAGTTAGCCTGCTTTAATCTGTTCCCTGTATTTCATCTGTGCAGTGAGGCTCTCTTCTTTAACAATGATTAGCCCTGCATCTTTTTATATACTATTGCCAGTACTAGATTTGGAAAGCCATAAATGATTAAGTCCACATAGCAATTAAATAACTTTTGTGATATTCAGTGTTTAAAAACTAAAAACTATGCATGTACTCTAACAATTAAATCTTTCATAAACTGTCCCTAATCTGATGGCTTTGTTTTATCTTTCAAGGAAGTCCTTTCTCTACTAGTGAATATCTTTACCACTGTGACCTTATTTCAAGATCCAGATCAAAGATCACATTCCCATCTTCTTAGGCCTCTCCTTTACCCTATAGTATGTTATTCACCTTCCTAGTACAGGATTTGTCATACTCCATTTTCATGAGAAGTGTGTGTGTGTGTGTGTGTGTGTGTGTGTGTGATCTTCTGATGGGTCTGCTTGGAAAACAGCAACTGTGTCTAATTGAAGATGGTTATGCATAAAAACCCAGTGTTTTAAAGTTGCTTACATAAGACTTCCATGCTGGGGGTATACTACTCCCTTCTCCCACCCATTCGGGACCTGCTTACTGAGCACTGATTGGACAGAACCCTTCCAATTCCAAGTAGTCCCAACTCGTGAGTTAGCTCAGAAACTTCTTAGTAACATTGCGCAGTTATTTCATGTAATCAAAGATAGCTAGGGAAAGTGAATTTGTCCTTAAAGGTAGAAAAACTCAAAAAATAAAAATATTCATTTTTGATGAGTGTGTCACTAAACAGTTATTTTCATGCAATATTTTGAGGTCACAAATTGATACAATATATTTTGGAAATACATTTTGTTGCATGTAATAGGAGCCTTGAAATATTGATTCATGTTGTTGTTATAATTCTATATAAAATAATTTACATTTAAGTAAACATGTGAAATAAAATTTAAAACTTTAAGCCACAAAATATGAACATGCACACACATATACACATGCTATAATTTTGGAAGCAAACGGCTCATAATGGGGAAAAGAAAAGTATAATGTAGCTTTAAATTAGAATAAGTGAACAAATTATTTCCTTCCTTCATTTTAGCAATGAAGAACTTGAGACTTGCTCTGTTCAGTAAATACTTACCAAGAATTTATCTGTGGAAGAATATTTGTAGCATTCTGTTGCAGCACTTAACCAGAAAGACAAGAATTTTTGTCCTTAAGTAAATCACAACATCATCGTGAAGGACAGATGGTAAACAAAATAAAATACCTACACCATGCCATGTTCTCTATTAGAGAACTCTCTTTTCTTACTCTATTTTTTATACTCTATTTTTCTTATAGTCACAACAACATTGGGAAGTGGAAACTGAGGCTTATAGTGAATAAGTAATTTGTCCAAAATGACACCGTCAAGAAGTTCCAGGGCTAGGATTCAAACTTCCATTTATTGGATTTTTAAAGCCAACAATTTTTCCAGTCAGATTTGGGATTATTAGGCCATTTTCAGTTCTCCTTGTAAAACTCACCTTTGGGATAGCAATCCAATTCACAGTTGCTACAGAACTGATTGTTTAAATTAATGATTTTTGTAGGATGTGGGGTTTCTTTTTTATATATTTAATTATGTTTTTAAAGTTGTAAAATTGACCTTAAGGCCTTAGCCTGGGAATAGATATGCCAACCTTTGGAAAGGTTGTGTTGGAATGAAATAAAACAGTTCTCTAGCAGAGTGGTAGAGTTGCAACAAAATGAGAACATTTATATAAGCTTTTGGAGTGAACTCAGCCCTCACTGGAAACCTACTGTATTCTGCTTTTGCTTTCAATACACACTAATAACTCAGAGTTCCCCTAGGAGAGCTTGAGAATGTGGTGTAAAATAAATAATATGGGATTAGTTTATCTGGATTCATTCCTGATTGTCATAGCTGAGAAATTATTGATCTTGAGAATTATTTATCAGAGGTAAAGTTGGCAGAAAAAAATAAAAATATGCCATTATTCAAAATTTAATGATGTAAACAGCTAGATTTATTTCAGTCTCACCAGGCTAACTTGCTAGTGTACAGCCTGCCCCAATCATAATAAGCAAAGCTGACCTTCTGCCAAAAGCTGAGGCTATTACAAGGTTTCCATTCTATAATTTTGTATTAGATTGCTCTACTCTTTTCCCCATGTAAACAAATGGATTTTTTTTTATGCATGAGGTATATTAAGTTCAGTGATTGAATTGGATAAGCACTTGGCTTAGATTGTTTGACTGTTTATACTCTGAATAGAGACAAGTTAAAGACATAAGTGCTCTTTTTGAAAGGTTGTGATCAAATTTTTCATCTAAAAATGTTTCTTTATTGATGTAAAATACACATAAATAATTTATCATCTTTACTATTTTAAGTGTATAGTTCAGTGGTAGTAAATACATTTATATTTTTTTCCTTCATCCTCCCTCCCACCCTTTTTATTATGGCTTTGATCTCTTTACTCATTACTGGTTTAAGAATTGGGTAAATTTCTCAATACATATAACCTACCAAGGTTGAGCTAAGAAGAAAGAAAAATGTTTACTTGACAACAATATAGCCTAAGATTTTGACATTAACTTTTCAACAGCTAACAAGAGAAAGCCTCCTTCCAAATTCACCAGTGTAAAGTATAGAGACAAGTAGAGAAGAATGATTCATCACAAAGGACTCATCTTTTTTAACTTTCAAATTTAGGTAGAAATCATCCTATAAGAAAAACAATATAACTCAGAAATATCAAGAGAGGACATTAATGTCTACAAATTCTGTTTCTTCTAGTAATTTTGTCTTGGGGGATTAACTCTGGTCTAGGAGCTGATCTTCAGCTTTATAGATTTCTTTTTTCCAAAATTATACAACACAGATGATCAGATTTATATAAATCTGTATAATATTCTAGTAGTAAACTAATGAACAAATTTTAATTTTCTAATTTATAATGCCATACTAGCCATTGGGACATTTATTTCTGTAAAAAAGATAGCCCTTTCAAGCACCAACTAAGTGCCTAAGAAACAAAATGAGTAAACATAGGGTTACTTATTGAATATGGAATTCAAACAAATGAGACAGAATGCTCTGGAGGATTGTTTTACTCTCATTAGGGTCGAGTCTATAGAATTATCTTTGATCCACTGTCAAGTACAGCATTTTAATTTTAAGAATGCATGTGTTTTCCAGATAGTGCTTCATGTTGTTGCATTAGGGTGAGTAAATTCTGACAGTTTTTAATATCCAACATTTTAAATAGGAACTGAACGTTTCAAAGAACATAAAATACTGCTTTCTCTATATTTATTATATGCACATATTTCTTTTCCAAAAATGAATTCACAAGGAGTTAAAATTTTTCTTCATCTATTCCAGAAAGAAACAGGTTATATGTGGTTAGTGATCTCAACTCATATTTCAAAATTTGGTCCAAAGGCAAATGTTTAATTATTAGTGTCAGAATAGCTCCTAAACTCAGCCAAGAAAAATTGTATATTACTTAATTTTACTCATGTGACCAGAAAATATTTACAACTTGATTCATTTCAATTCAGTTCAACAAATATTTACTGAAACAGCTACTACATACCAACCATTGTGCTAGCCACTGCAGTGTGAAAGCACAAAGATGAATTTATTATTCCTGCCGTTAAAAGGCGCCTAGCAGTGTGAACAAATTTAAGGTTAAAAAACTACAGATTTTGCTGCACTATCTTATTATCATAAAAAAAGTATGTTTTCTAGAATGTTTTTAAGATACATGAAAGAATAAATTTAAATATAAAAACTTCCAAATAGAAAGATTAATTATGCATTGTATAAAAATGTTTATTTTTTCCAAACAAGTCAAAATTAGAGAACAAAATAAAATATAAAGTAGAAAAAACATGATATAAAATTGCTATTGTCACTCAAACTGAAATATGAAATTTCAAAAATTTAATCTAATTAGGCTAAAAGTATAAATTATATATAAACATTGAACAAGTATTATGTCTGTAATTTGAATGGCTCTTCTTAAAAATATTTCCTAACTTAAATACATTCTATACATTAAGAGCAAATAGAATAAAAAATTTGTTTTCAGTGTGAGCATTTCCGTGGGGGGTTATATACAGCATTAAAAAACTGGTATAAAAGTAGCTGTGCGCGGTGACTCATGCCTGTAATCCCAGCACTTTGGGAGGCTGAGGCGAGTGGATCACAAGGTCGGAAGATCGAGACCATCCTGGCTAACACAGTGAAACCCCGTCTCTACTAAAAATACAAAAAGAAATTAGCCGGGCGTGGTGGCGTGCGCCCGGCTACTGGGGAGGCTGAGGCAGGAGAATGGCGTGAAACTGGGAGGCGGAGCTTACAGTCAGCTGAGATCGTGCTACTGCACTCCAGCCTGGGTGACAGAGCGAGACTCCGTCTCAAAAAAAAAAAAAGAAAAGAAAAAAGAAAAAAAAAACTGGTAAAAGTTTGGGACCACATACACATTAAATTCTATATACCATTTTTATGGGCTTCTCCACATCTCTCCATGAACCTCTATGGATTATGAACCCTGCTTCAGACATTAATTACATAATGTTTACTTTGCCATGAAACTATAATACCCAATACCTGCTTACAAACTTCTTCGATATAGTCATTTCAATATTCCCCATTGGTAACTTTATTTCATTATTGGGGCATACAGCCTTCTGTGGGCCGCCCAATGCCGCCAATTTGCCTTAGAAAGACTTGTCTCACTCCAATCATCTCAATATCACGTTCTATCTTCAGCGATTTTACATCACTCCTCTGCCCCTCAAACTCATTCTGTAGCTCAAACCACTTTGATATTTCTCATTACGGCTAATATTTCCATTCTGCGTCCTTTGGAGGTGTTATAATGATCATAAATTTGTATTTGAGAGATGGCAATGGTAAGAGTGACAAATTGATTGGATGGAGGACAAAGTGAAGGCAAGGAGACTGGAACTCTATTTCCATTAACAATTGAAAGACAATCAGGGCTTGAGCTAGGGCGACTCTGATCTCTGAATTGTTGACTCTTTCCTCCTGCAATCATAATATTGCTGTCTGCTAGCCTTTATCTCCCATTTCCATCTCTTTTACTCTACTGTTTGATGTACCAGATTTTGAGTCTTAATATGGTAAGAATGCAAAGCCTTAGTTTACTTTCCCTCATTTTCATTAACTTTTTTCATCATCCTGTAATTTTTGCTCAATTTTGGGCTTATCCACTTTCTTTCTAGTCCAATTTAAATTGTCTTGAAAAGTACTGATTACCAATTGTGTATAATGGCTCTGATGAAATAAACAGCAGTAAAATTGTTTATATTATAATTTTGCGTAAAGAGAACACCTGAATTTCCTTTACTTTATTCTAAATATAAATTTCCCAATTTTAAGAGATAACCCTTGTGAAGTGGACTATGGCAGCTATTGTATCCACCCAAGATTTCCCATCATTCTGCTTCTCTTAGAAAAAGTAAGACCTTTCTTTTGGAGAACTGCTCCCACATTCCATGAGGTTTAGGTGGAGCTGTCAATCATGGTAATATGCCTTCCATCTCCCAGCAGCCATAAGAATGGCCTAGTTACCTAATCTGGCCAGCTAGAGTAGCCCAGCTCAGAAATGGTCATTGACTACAAGTCTACCCAACTCTTGATCCCCTGAGAACTTTTCTACTAGAAATAGCAGGGAGGGCTCTTTTTATCTTGGGGTCAATATGCTGAAAGAAATAAGCCCAACATTGTTTGCTGACATCTCACTCTGCTGTGAGATAACAAGAGGGAATTAGGGCAATTTACAAAGAGCAGCATAGGCAAGTAAATATAAGAGATGAATAAAAAGTGATTAAAATTATCTTTTGAGACTAGGTTCAGTGTTGGAACAAACATAGGGTTTAGATTAGAATGTCTAGATTTCTATTTAATTTTGATAAAATTCAAGACATATTTATGTGCAAAGAACAGTTATATATTTGTGTGAGGAAAGTTGCAATTAAATTGGTTCCAAGATCCCATTGCCTGAATGCTCCCAAAGTAGGCACATTTTCTTTCCAAGCTTCAAGCCAAGTCACAAACTTAAGTGGAGATTCGTGAGCCACTCCTTCTGAGATGACTACTATAAACTCAAACAGTCTCTATTTGGGACACTAACCACTCCTAGATTAATTAGTCCCCCAACCACAGATCCTGATAGACTCCTGGATTTGGAAAAACTTCATATCCTTCAAATCTATGTCCAGTTTCCACTGCTCATCATCCATGAAAAGATGTCAAAACAGAGAACTCCATCACTGTGCTAAAACAACATCTTTCCTATCAGTGGAAAGACCTTTTCACTTTTCTAGCCTTGTCTCACTCGCCTTCTCCATCAAAAAATCCCTGCTTAATAGCACTAATAGCTTCTAACCTATGCTACTTCTCCAGGAGCCCTAAAACATTGGCAGCTAGTCAAAAACCAAGGAAAATGTAGGTCACTCCGAATTATTTTTGGAAAATTAGCAGGGAGGGGCAAATGCCACATAATAAGCACATTTGTTGGCATAAGACCCATTGGAAGACATGTAGGTGGAAGGTACCCTCTAACTTTTCTTTGTGTTGCATGTGTAATTCAACCAACGGGAAGAGGGGAATGACCTCCCAGGTGTTTTCATTGTGATGGAGGCCATTCTCCCACAGTTTTCTTGCTTCCAAAGCCTCTATCCAAGAAAATCCGCTAGATATTTTAACTCTTCGTCTTGCTCTTAGCCTCCTGAGACCATACTCTTTCCTCTGAATGCTAGTCATCTTTCTGGAAGGTCAAACTGAGGGAACCTCTGTAAAACATTCTCTCGTTCTGTTGCTAACATATTGCCTATCCCACTGGGAAGGGCCTGGCCCAGAGCAGCAGTTGTGGTAACAGGCTTCCTGTCTTGAGAATGATGCCAAGTGTATTAGAATTCACCAATCTGAGGAAATATGACCCCACTCAATTCATGAAACAAGTTCTGTACTACTAAACTGTTCTTAATAACATCCTCCCGATTCAGAGATGCACCCCAGGCAACCCAAGAAAAAAAAAAAAGCCTGTCTGTCCAGTGCATTTCACTCGGTTTTGTCCTGAATCAGAGGCTGTCCTCTTGCTTCAGAACTTGTCTCTTTGCTTGTCCTGTTTTGGATTCCAGAGTCATGTAGACTACACATTTTCTTATTAAGGACACGTCCGTTTATATTTTCAGCTTGTGCTCATATTCAAAAGGTCAATGTCACTCTATCCCTACACCCCAGCCAAGTAAACACCACTGGACCACCTACCTGCTCCAAAGAAGAGAAGTATGTAAGTTTAAAAGAAATGCTGTTTCACATTTCCAAAAAGATCTCTAATGCAACTGAACTGAATGAGGATTTAAGAGAAAGATTCCTACCACTGACTTCTTGGAGTCAATGACTATGATTGTGTCCATATTTCTTTGTATGAAAACTAAATACATACAATAAACTTCATAGGATTAGAAGTGTAATTGGTAATAAAGCAGGCCTGGAAAATTCAAACATTGCCAGGTCGTTTCCAGAGATGGTGTGTCACTATTGCTCATTCCATTCTCATATCCAAAAATCCAAAGAAAAGTGGGGATTACCTCACACTCACAGAGAACATATCTGTATTCTCCCAACCACTTGTGGTGTTGAGTTGATTGACATATTTAAATATAAAAATACTCCTAATATCCAATCTATTAAGAATAAATATTCTGGTTAGCCTATAGATGCATATATTCATGATCACTCATTTCATATGTAGGTAGATAAACAGGTTCAGAGCAAAATAATTGACCCTGGGTTCACTCAAAGTCAGTATTGTTTTCCGGCTTGTAAGTCTTGCACATGAGGTAAATTGGAGATTACTGATTTTGGAGGCACATATATAACCAGCAACCAATGTGAAAATGTCATTCAGGGAGGGAGAAAAACACTTAATTATGTGTTCTAGGCAAATCAAGCCACCCACCAGTGTATTTTCTGGACATGGTGATATTTTTGCTGGCATGGCATAGCTACATGAGGTTATTTTCCTAAGTTAATATATTTTTCTGAACAAAAGTTTGACCAAAGAAGTTGGCAAAAGTCAGATTTTATTTTTCAGTTTAAGGGGTGGTTTAGAAGGGGCATAGCTTTGGAGGTGTCATGTATGAATGGCTGTAGATTCTTAAATTGGCTAAAATGGCACTACTAGAGTAGTATTAAGAATCCTTGGGTGAAAACAGTGAAAAGCTGGTGAAATCTAAAAAGCTCTCAGGGGAAACTGACACCGTTTCATAAGCCATTCCATTACTATTGATGATTAGCTCATTTTCCTAAGGGGGAAAAATGTTCCAGATGGCCAGTGATAAAAATAAATAATTGCCAACACGAAACATATTAGACAGTGAGAGTCAATAACGTGGTTAGTATTGTGTAAGCGTTGTCAACAGTATAGAAGAATTAAGACGTGATCACTATCAAGAAACTTATGATCAAAATAGAAGAGAGAAGCCTAAAATATGTATCAAGAAACACACAAGATGGTCTGTAATTTTAGACCGTACAATAATGTTCTTTCTTGCCATCTTTGCTTGGCTGACTTGTATTTATCTTCTAAGATCCATTTTACACATAAGCTCCTATGAGAAGCATGCCCCAGTCAGCCCCACCTCCATCTCCCTAGCCCCATACTGCTCTGGTTGGTATTTTATTGCACTCTATGCCTATGTCTAGCCTCAGGGGGTCACACTGTGTCATCACTGTTTCTCCAGCTAGGCAGTGAGCTATTGAGGGCCATGTATTTTTATCTTTGTTTTCCCAGTATGTGGCACCACCAGCCAGTGAGTAGAAGCTCAATAAATGTTTGGATGACATCAGTGGGGAAAGATAATTAGGAGGGCTAAAAACATAAGGAAAAAGTATGAAGTGGATGTGGATTTTAAGCTGAGTCTTTGGGGATGCAAAAGATTATAATGAACAACTCTCTCCACTCTGCCTAGTACTCCCTCTTTCCAGAGCAGAACTGCCCCTCCCTCATCCCATGTGATCCTGGGATGCACTCTCTAAACCATAGCCATGTGTCTCAATTCATGTATAGAAGTCATTCAAAGAATTGGACACATAACTCAATTACAGCTGATCAGAACCTTTTCTTGAAATGTGCCACATAGATGGGGGGTGAGAAAGGCTGTTTCTTCCTTTTAGATCTCAGACTAAGCCTGTCAGCTTAATTTTCCAAGCCACTACCTTGTCCTCCATGTGGGGAGAGCATTTGTGAAGCAGGAGAGAACACAGCCAACAGGAGAGGCAAATGCAAGCATCAGACCCAGGTGTGCCACGCCCGGGCTTCCCATGCATATTCTGTTTTGTTTCAGTTAGAAGAACATGTATTCTATCCCTTGGATCCCAAAGGCCCCATCTAATGCAATAAATCTACATTAAAGTGTATAGTTCTTCCATATACATTCTCTTTTGAATCCCAGGATCACCCCTTGTTATTGGCAGTATTAATACTGCAGTTTTAAAGAGGAAGAAATTGAGGCTCAAAGAGATAAAAGACCCTGCTTAAGATCTCATAGGGAAAATATGGCTAATTTACCTGAATGCTCTGATTTCCAGTGTAACATTCTTTTTCACCATACACTTTTTCTTTGTTGCTAGGTTGGAGTTAAGACTGTATCTCAAATTTACAAAAGTACAAAACATGCTATTATAAAAATGTATAGCAGGGTGACCTAGGTTGAGCCTAGCCAGAGAATAATGAGGACGGGAGAACAATAACTGTCCTCATTTCTGTGCAGAGTACAGAATGGCTTCTGCGCAGAGGAGAGCATAGCTTCACCAAATATGCAGGCCTTTGCTCATGAGTATATTTCTGGGACACCTCAGAAATGTGGGGATGGGGATTAATGGCTTAGAATGCTTGGTAAACTGAAGGGATAATAAACAAGGAAAATTTGTTCATAGAGGCTTATTTGTACCTACAATTTTGTGAAGTTTGAGCACATTCGGGTTAAATTTGTCTTCCTTCAATAACATGTTCAAGTTTTAGAAACTAAGCAAAGATGGAAATATACTTGTATTTACTTAAAAATGCTTTTATCTATTGATGTTTTTAATGGAGGATTCTATCTGGAACAGAAAAGATGTTAGCAAGACAAGTTGTACATGTAGAAAGACTGATTTTTGTTGCTATTGTTAAATTGTTATTTAGAGACAGGAGAATGTGAATGAAGTTCAAAATGCGAGATAAACTGACCGTATAATCTTGATAAACCTCTTTAAATATCATTTTCCTTGCTTGTGAAGCAATGACACGAATAATTACCTCACCATATATTTGCCAAGATTGAATAAGTTAATATCCACAAATGAGTATAATAAATGTTAGGATATTACAAATGTTAACTATTTTAACCTTGCTTATGATATCACATTCAATATGATCTCACTTAAACACACCTCAGATTGAAATATTTTTTCTAAGTTAAAAAATACTTTTAGGATTCCAGCTTCATCCATGTCCCTACAAAGGACATGAACTCATCATTTTTTATGGCTGCATAGTATTCCATGGTGTATATGTGCCACATTTTCTTAATCCAGTCTATCATTGCTGGACATTTGGGTTGGTTCCAAGTCTTTGCTATTGTGAATAGTGCCGCAATAAACATACATGTGCATGTGTCTTTATAGCAGCGTGATTTCTAATCCTTTGGGTATATACCCAGTAATGGGATGGCTGAGTCAAATGGTATTTCTAGTTCTAGATCCCTGAGAAATCGCCACACTGACTTCCACAATGGTTGAACTAGTTTACAGTCCCACCAACAATGTAAAAGTGTTCCTATTTCTCCACATCCTCTCCAGCACCTGTTGTTTCCTGACTTTTTAAAGATCGCCATTCTAACTGGTGTGAGATGGTATCTCATTGTGGTTTTGATTTGCATTTCTCTGATGGCCAGTGATGATGAGCATTTTTTCATGTGTCTTTTGGCTGCATAAATGTCTCAGCAAACTATCGCAAGGACAAAAAACCAAACACCGCATGTTCTTACACATAGGTGGGAATTGAACAATGAGAACACATGGACACAGGAAGGGGAACATCACACACTGGGGCCTGTTGTGGGGTGGGGGGAGCGGGGAGGGATAGCATTAGGAGATATACCTAATGTTAAGTGACGAGTTAATGGGTGCAGCACACCAACATGGCACATGTATGCATATGTAACAAACCTGCATGTTGTGCACATGTACCCTAAAACTTAAAGTATAATAAAAAATAAATTAAATTAAAAAATACTTTTAGGAACTGTTTCTTTTAGAGCTTCAAACAGGAACAACTTTGCCTAAAGACAACTTTGTTGGGGTAAATTTATATTTTCCCACGTATACGTATATCACACTCTAAAGACATGTACACTACCTGAATTGAATAAAAGGAATAAAAGGCCGTGTTTTTTTTTTTTTTTTTTTTTTTTGAGACGGAGTCTTGCTCTGTCACCCAGGCTGGAGTGCAGTGGTGCAATCTCGGCTCACCGCAACCTCTGCCTCCTGGGTTCAAGCAATTCTCCTGCCTCAGCCTCCTGAGTAGCTGGGATCACAGGCCCGTTTCACCATGCCCAGCTAAATTTTTTTGAATTAATTTTTATTTTTATTTTTATTTTTAGTAGAGACGCAGTTTTAACACGTTATCCAGGCTGGTCTTGAACTTCTGACCTCAGGTGATCCTCCTGTCTCAGGCTCCCAAGTGCTGGGATTATTAAGAAAGCTCTTTCCTTTCAAATGTCTACTTTTATATGTAGTGAAAAAAAATATCTACTTAGTCACTGGTTAGCCTGCGTTTGCATTTAGGAAACAATCTCATATACATCTGTAAGTCTCTACCTCCTCATTTTGGTGAGACTACAAGAAATGAAATTCTTCAACCTGCAGGCAAAAGCTCTGCTCAGAACATGAACCAAAATAATTCAGCATATCAGTGCAAAATGACCTGCATGCTCTCTCTAACAGGTAAAGTGTGGCACTGAGATCTACCATCTGGTGAGGTTGCTGTGGCTCCTTGGTCTTGTTTTAACTTCCAGTTTTGCAGTCCTCCATACCTGTTTTCCCATTACCTTTCCCCCACACCTCGAAATGTTTGTCTGAACCTTGAGATTGTGCCACCTTCTGGAGTTGGAGGCCTGCCCTAAATCCATGGTTTGCACTGAGCAGTGCTCATCATCTCTGTATCCTCTATCATTTCACTCTCCCCCTCCCCCTCCCTCTCTTAGGATGCATTATCCTATTGCCTGCCTGTCCTACAAATCACTGGTTTGGATACCACTTTCACTCAAAGAGACTTGCCTGGAGTCAGGACTGTGTCAAATGTGTAGTTATTAGTATTACTGCAGCTCAGAACTCCTGCTACCTTAAACAAAATTAGGAACCAGTGTCTATCAATCTCAGCCCTGTTCAAATGGGAGTTTCCTACAGTCCCATGCATATTATGAGTCGGACTTCTTACCACTTCAATGGGAGTCAATCCTACACCATATGTATCTCCTCTTGTGCTAGGAAAACAGATTATTTCTTCTATTTTGGTTGGCTTACTGTTAAGGTCCCTGCAAGACGCAAAGCCGAGAATACACAGATTTTGAAACGATCCACACCAAATAGAATGTCTAAAAATAAATTTTTTTCATCAGCAAACTAAGATTTAATGTTTCTGTTTGCTATTTCTCCCATATTATAGAAAAATATAAATCATTTTTAATGTTCTGTCTTTTAATAAAGACAGAAAATGTCAAAAATACAGAAGAGTCTAAAGAAGAAAAAAGCCTCATTATATTTATCAAGTGCATAAAATTATTCTTTATACCAGTTCAGAGAATATAAATATTCATATGAAAACACATATGTGTACATTACATTTTTCAATGTAATGCTTAATAAATCTTAACATATCTACCTATGAATTTGTTAGGTCCTCATGTTGTTTTGGTTTGTAACAAACATTTGACAAAAGAAAATAATAACCGGCCATATTAAGTGTGGATGCCAATAAGCCCAGAATAAAGAGAGAGAAAATCTGAGTTTAGTCCTTATTCTGTTGCCAGAACTTACTGTGTGAACTTGGAAAATGTGTTTAGTCTCTTTGGACCTTAGTCACTTATAATGGAGTGGAGCTTAATGTCCTCTAAGGCCTGGCATACATGTAAAGAACTAAGGTGCCATAGGCTTGTGACTTTCTGTTAAATTGTAAAATGCTAAAAAGTATTAGCTGAAGCTATAATAAAATAGATACCAAGAGCAAAAGTAAATTATGAAACAGAGCAACTAACTATAAACAAAATGAGTAGAAAGTGAGTAGAATAGTGAGTAGAAATGTTGTGATTGGTTTTACTAGCAAACAGCATAAGATTTTTTTTCTTATTATTTTATAATATAAGGAACCATAAATGCTGGGTCAAAAAGTTTTAATTCAATTTCATACACACTAAGCAGTCATTTATGTTTTTTGACAAAGCCTGTGGATGTAACTGGAGTTGTATGTAAGGAAGATAAATCTAAATTCCATTTCCACATTTGTCTTTTTGTAGGGGGGTGCATTTTATTTTGTTATTGTTGAGCATGGAAGTATACAGGAGTGATCTTTCATTGTGGCTTTGTCACTTTTTAATGACAGTGTTTGGTGGATACCCAACACTTGTATCCGCCAGTGTTGTGTTTGTGTGTGTGTTTGTGTGTCTATGTCTCTATGTTGGGCCCTGACTAAGAACTTTTATTTGTAAAATTGACAGCAGTCCCTGTATCTATTTTAATGCCTTCACCACAAGAATCCAAGATCAATGTTATAATTAGGAATCCAGTATGATTTTCTACTAGCATTTAAACAATTTTGTTGATTTTTATAATCTCTCTTACTAATGGTTTTCTTTCATATTTTAAAAATTCTAATTAGAATCGAATTCAACTACTCTAGAAGCCAAGGACATACTATCCATCAGCTTAATCTTTCAGTAAATAGTTCTTGACAAAATATATTTTCTCCAAATTTTACATTGCCTGTCACGTTGATAAAGGTACACTTGTTATGTGATTTATGTCAAACAATGAGACAATTTCTTCTTGCGTTGTTTTTTTCAAATCTTAGCTAATAATTTTCTCTCTGAATTCTGGACTGGAAAATATATATTTCCCTTTAGTTCCCTAGCTTGTTTTATTTCCAATAGGCGTTTGTTTTTCTTTTTAAAAAAATGTTTGTTTCTCCCTTGCCCGCCGGCCTTTCAGCAGCCCTATATGAAGTCCGTCATATTAGCCAATGTTATATGCTGTTTCAGCATCCAATGTACTCCACCCTGGAGAGATCATATTTCAGGAATGACGTGATTTGTATGCATAAGTTTGGGGGATGGGAAGGCAAGGAGAAGAGGGAAAGGCTGTATGTACATATATTCATATAAGGAATTGGGGCTTCCTTTGGCTTTAAATACTATACAGACACACTATTGTTAGTAAAATTGAAGACCTTGTGAAACTGGAAAACCAGAGAGAAGAAAGACTTTTTGTTTTTAAATATGGAAACAGAAGAGCCATAACTGAAAATAAAGTGGGGTTCCTGGATAGTCAGTCTTCTGTGTTTTTGGTTGGTAAAAGTCAATGGAATCCTTTCATAGCAAGCAAAAGTTGGCCACAGGGGCAGCTGACATTGGAAACACAGCACAGAGCTCATGTTTTGTAGAGCTTATTGACTGCTTCCAAAACAGAAGAAATAAACAGAGGACTGGTTTTTTAATTTTAGGATCTATTTGCACCCTATTAAATTAGAGAACCGAAATGACGTCTGCCCAGAGGAACTCCTGGCTACACCAGTGCTTTCCTCCCTAGCTTGACAAAAGGTGATTCAGTTCTAAGTGGGCACGTATCACTCCCTTCTCCAGGAGTACCAGTCACTGGGATGAAACACAAAAATAATGCTGTTGCCTTTGTGTCTAATAATGTCACATCATTGAGTTTCAGTTCAATGTTAAGAGGTTTATGCCAAAAACAAGTTGTGTATTGAAAGTCATTCACTGTTAAGTTTGCTAAATCGTGGCTTGAACTGGGGGTCTACAGCTTCTCCCTCAAAATGAGACCAGTTTAATTTTTATTTTGAAAGTTGTTTTTCAACACTTTTAGAACATATTCCAAATTCATTTTCTTCTAATCTAGTTTAGATAGTTTGTTAATTTATTTTTTATCTTCTATCATTAGAATGAGAACACAAAAAGAGTAAAAAGCTTTTATGTATTTATAGGGAATAAGAGAATGCCTACACATAATAATTGCAGAATAAACACTTTCATAAAAAGGAAGAGCTGTACACATAGACACACACACCTATGCAAACTGGAGTGCTTGACTTCAGAATAATAAATTTTTAACAATAGTTTTGCTCTGAATTGACTTATGCATTCCATGAAATTAATGAATTATCAATACAAAGACGTAACCTGACATCTGTGAAGCAGCAAGAGGCAATCAACTATGATTTTTTTTCTTCTTTTCAAAGAAGAAAATAAGGCTAAATTGTACAAGATTTAATATAGTTGTATATACTTAACAGCTTCCAGTTTATCAGAATGCAGCCTTAAATATATGGCTTACTCTAACCAAAAATAAATCTTAATCAGAAGACAGACAATAATTCTTAGAATTTTTTGTTGTTGTTGCTTGTTTGTTTTTTGAGAGAGGGTCTCATTCTGCTGCCTAGGCTGGAGTACAGTGGCACTATCTTGGCTCCTTGCAGCCTCCCACCTCAACCTCCAGAGTAGCTGGGACTATAGGCACGCACCACCACACCTAGCTAATTTTTTTTCTTTTTTTTGGAGGAGATGGGGTTTCACCATGTTGCCCCGGCTGGTCTCGAACTCCTGGGCTCAAAGGGTCCACCAGCCTCAGCCTCCAAAGTTCTGGGATTACAAGCCTTGGATTTTTTTTTAAAGCTAAAGATTTCTACTAATGTAATGTTGAAACAGAATAATGTTAATATTTCAAAATCATTTTCTTTTCTTTAGCAGTAACTTAAAAGTTAGAAATTAATAAGAAACTTTAAAGAGACTTTTATTGCCATCTCAGCAAGGTTCTGTATAATTCAACGAAGTCAGCTAATTGCTCTTCCAAACTATAATTCACAAATCTTTCTCCTTCCCAAAATTGAAGCTTGCAAAAAACTAGACTTAATTAAAATTAATGTTTTCAAGACAGTGAAAAAAAACAGAATAGAATGGGATAAAGTATTGGCAAATCATATATCTGATAAGAGTCTAGCACCCAGAATACATAGAGAACTACTACAATTCAACAACCAAAAGACAAATAATCCAATTAAAATATGAGCAAAATACTTGAATAGACATTTTCCCAAAGAATATATATGAATGGCCAATGAGCACAGGAAAAGTTACTCAGCACCATTGGTCATTCGGGAAATGTAAATAAAAACCCCTTCGCATTCAATAAGATGATTACATTCAGAAAAACAAAAACATTGCATGATTGGCAAAAATGTGATAAATTGGAACCGCTGGGCATTGCTGGAGGAAATATAAAATGGCACAGCTTCTGTGGAAAATATTTTATCAGTTCCTCAGAAAATTAGATACAGAATTGCCACATAATCCATAAATTTCATTGTTAGGCATATACCTTAAAGAATTGAAAACAGGTACTCAAACAAATACTTGTACACGCATGTTCATAGCAGGACTATTAAAACAGCAAAAAGACAGAAATGCCTAAGTGTACACGCATGTTCATAGCAGGACTATTAAAATAGCAAAAAGACAGAAATAGCCTAAGTATGTATACACACACACACACACACACACACACACACACAGAGTAGAATTTATTTAGCCACAAAAAGGAATGAAATGCTGATACATGCTACAGGCTACAGTGCGGATGAACCTTGAAAAGGCTGTGCTGAGTGAAAGAAACAGACATAAAAGATCATATGTTGTACGATTCAATTTACATGAACTATCTAGAATAAGTGAATTCCTAGAGACAAAAGCGGATTGGTGCTTGCCTGAGGGGAGAACTGAGGGTAAAGGCTAATATGGAGAACCGGTTTAATGTATTCAGGATTTTATTTTGGAGTAATGAAAATGTTTTGGAACTGGATACAGGCGGTGGTTTCACAACACTGTGAATGTACTAAGTGTCACTAAACTGTTCACTTTTAAATGGTTAATTTTATGTTACATGTCTTCGAACACAAATTTTAAAACTTACTTTAGAAAATTTAGTTTTAAATATTAATTGAAAAGAGTATTTATGCTTTGATGTGTGCTTTTATAAAACAGCTCTATTGATAATTTCCTCATCTATCAGATCAATTTAGAAACAGAAATCAGACATTTCTATTTAACAAAAATTGTATTTGTTTATATGCTTTGTTATTAGAAAAAATATAGGACAAAGATGTGGATTTAAGTTTTGTGCCCAAACTTACTAATCTTAGAAAAGCAGTAGCATCTTTGCATCTCAGTGTCCTTACTTGCAAACTAAAATAATATTACCTATTCTATCTGCCCCAAAGGGTACATATGATGACTTAATTAAAACTAATTTACATCAGAATTCTTTTAGAACTCTGAAGTAGCATATAAATAAAAGGTGTTCTTGTATTCAGTCATACAATTGAACAGATATTATACAGCAAGTTTTTGAATAACCTTAAGAAGGAACACTTTTAGGAAGAGGCAGCAACTAGTTTAAATTAAATTTAACTTAAAAAATGTATTGAGTGCCACTACACATCAGACAATATTCAAACAGTTGAAATACAGTGAACAAAACACACAGAATGCCCTGCCTTCAAGAAGTTTACCATCTTGCTCAGAGATATTTCAGAAGGTGTGTGTTTAGAGAGAAGGTATGTCTAAGGGTGTGGAGAGAGGAGATTATTCTGAATCCTAAATCGACTGTTTCCCCTCCACAATTTTATGAGGCCTGGCTAATTCATAGCAAATGGAATGTATACCTCTGGACTTTCATATACAGAGATTTTTCAGAGAAAGAATAAAAATGGGTCTAAACTTTAAAACCTTCAAGTTCATTTTGTTCAACTAAGTTGACTGATGAAAAGTCATTTTTTGATCAAGAATTATGTGGAAAGAGTGTAAAGCAAAATGGCTAGTACTGAAGTCCATGGAGAAAAAGATACATATTGAGGAGTTCAAGTGATGGGGTACCTAAAAGACTATTAAATAATAGGAACTTAAGATCACTTTTTAATGATTTCTGTTGTTTCACGTTAAATGCTTTTTTAAAATTAACCTAGACTAAAATAAGGTCTGCTACACAAATGGTTGGGTTTTGGAAAACTCAAGTAAAGTGATTTTATTCTATGTCTGTATTGGTATGGCACAAAGAGACGAGAGTAGTCTTGGGAAGAGAGACTTATTATTCACTAGAACCAGATACTGGGATCAAGTGTCACCATAAAAAAAATAAGACCCAAGGAATGCACAGTAATCTAAGCGAAAGCACTAAAACACTGCCCCCTCCCCTCCACATTACACATGCCAAAACAGAATATAGGTCTGTGAGCTTGAGCCAAGTTTATTCAAATCTCATGTAGTTTTACGTGGGTTACTTTGATTAGTAGAGTTTGAGGTTTGTTTGTTGTTTATTCCAGTGGAAGAAAAAAAAATTTTTTTTTTTTTTTGAGACAGAGTCTTGCTCTGTCTCCCAGGCTGGAGTGCAGTGGCGCGATCTCTGCTCACTGCAAGCTCCGCCTCCTGGGTTCACGCCATTCTCCTGCCTCAGCCTCCCGAGTAGCTGGGACTACAGGCGCCCGCCAGCACGCCCGGCCAATTTTTTGTATTTTTAGTAGAGACGACGTTTCACCATGTTAGACAGGATGGTCTCGATCTCCTGACCTCATGATCCGCCCGCCTCGGCCTCCCAAAGTGCTGGGATTACAGGCGTGAGCGACAGCGCCCGGCTTCCAGTGGAAGAAAATTTTTAAAGCAACAGGCAGAGATACAGAGGTAAAAAGCATCATGCAAACTGTAGGGATCTGTAGGTCCTTCAGTGTTGTTGGACTGTAAATTCCAAGAACAGAGTAGCAAGTGATGAGGCTGATTGAGGAGGAGAATCAATTTCATGGAAATGAAAAGCTTTCTGTGGGTTAAGAGGGAGCTTGATCCATCCCATAGGCAATAGAGAGACATAGACTTAAGCAAGAAAGTGACAGATCAGCTTTATGACTCAGTAAGACCATTTGGCATTGTGGATAACACAGCTATGAAAGGATCAGGTACATAGTTAAAAAGGTTACTCATGAGTCAGTTCAGTAACAGGATTAGTTATCTAATACCTGACCAATTTCATTCAAGATTTTCTTCAGAGGCCTAGCATTCTTGCCAGTGTAAAGTACTCAGGAGCAAGAAACTGTTGCCTAGAAAAATGGAAATTCGGATTCAAGTTAAAAAGACAAAACCACAGAAGGATGACTTTGGTATTTTCTTTTAACTAATGAAAACATCAGAAATTGCTAATGCCCACAGTTTTCCAGGAAGAAAGATTTGCTTTGCATGGGGCTTTCTTGCCAAAGTTCTCCCCACAACCCCCACTTTTTAAAAGAGAGCCTTTGGGGAAGCCCACAATCTATAAATTCGTATTTGAATAATTGCTTGGTTTTGCTTTTGGAATTTTGTTATAGAAATTAAATTTTCTTATAAAAATGTTTTTGGAGGTTGATAATTGAGAAAGCCAGACAATAAGAATGAAAAAATAATGTGGTTCAATGTATTCAAAAGATAGAAAGAAGAATCTTTAAACAATGATAATCTGAAAAAGAAATCACAAATAAATAAGAATATTGTGGACAAAATTGAGCACAGAAACAGAAAAAGATGAGTTCTTAAAATTCCCTATGCAAAAGAGAGCTTTTAAATCACATTTAAAGAGATAAGAGAAACAAGAAGAGGAAATGCCTACTAGTTCAAGAAGTTTAAACACTACTTTCTTTCAACTTATCTATCTAAGTAGATAGAAAAAATGATTAAGAGGAAATTGGAACCCAAGATCAGTGAAAAGGTGCTAAGAGGACTTAGCCATTTCAAATCATTTCAAGTGTGTGGGCCCAGAAAAATTAGATTTTACAGAACTGAAAGAAAATTCAGAGGTGATCATAAAACCATCATCAGTGATGTTTGTGTAATTGTACCAGTTGTAAGTGGTTTTGATTGCAGGAAATATTATAGAAGACTTGAATAATGTTGGCATATGAAATAAAGACTTTTAAAACTTTGGAGATAGGAAGTTGAGTTATGATTCTATAACTCAACAAAATTATTGAACTCCTGCATTCCTACTTTTTTTTTTCCATTTTGCCATCCTTAACATATTAGCTTCATTAAAATAAATACTTGTCACTTGCTAGTCACATAATGAAAATCACAGCTCCAAACCATTGTATCCTCACACAACTTTGTCTAAGGTAAAAGGGTATCTATTCTTCTATCTTTTTTTTTTCATTTATGGAGCAAAATTCTTGCCAGAACCAGCCTGTCCCCAAGCAGATGCCTCTTTAAATGTCTTTGTTCATAACTGAATTGCCTTCCTAACCCTATAAAATCTGTGGTGGAATGAATATGGTGACCATGATTAGGTCAGCTAGCTATGCTTTATCCCCTAGGGAGTAGGGATAGTCCTGTTTTTGTTGAGCATTCTGGCTCCTAAAAATTGAGGTTCTTTAAGATAATCAGGACTATTGGATAGGTTTAATGGTATCATTTGGCAGAGTATACATGAAACATAGGCTATCAGAAGACAAAGATAAACAGTATGTATTTTTAAATTACTTTTTAAAGTTTTATTATGAAAAGCTCATATTTAAAGTGAATAAATCAATGACTCCCCCTGCCCAGTATCAACCTACCAACTTTCACAATTTTCAATATTTTGCCAATCTTTTTTCACCTATACATTCACCCTTTTTGTGGGATTATTTAAAGGAATTGAAAAATCATAAAATTTCATCCTGAAATATTTGTCTTTTTATAAGTGAAGATATTCAAAAGCCTAACAATACTCTTATGGCATTACAAATTATATATTAAAAACATAAATATCACCAACTTGTACCAAAATTTTTAATGGTCATGAAATGTCTTTAGATTTTTATTTTAAAATAATCTTTAGATTTACAGCACAGTTGCAAAAATAAGACAGAGAAGTTCCTGTGTACTCTGTACCCAGCTTCCTCTAATGCTAATGTCTAACATAACTGCAGTGTAATAATAAAAACTAAGAAATTAACATTGACAAACTACTATTAACTGAACTCTAGACTTCATTTGCATTTCCCAAATTTTTTCACCAATGTCCATTTTCTGTTCTAGGATCTAATCCAGGATATGACATTCTGTTACGATGTCTCATTAGTCTCCTCAACCTGTGACAGTTGTGTAGAATTTCTTAGTACCTTCTTATAGGAAAAAAAAAAGATTTTTCTACAAAATATAATAAAATATGGTAAAATTTCAACAGCCGTACAGTAAGATTATCATTTAAACACATTGCCATTATTCACTCAGACCTTTTTATTCATTCAACAAATATTATTGAACACATAGTACCTTCTATGTATTGGGGATACAGTAGCAAACAAATGACAAAGTTCTCTGCCCTCATGAAACTAATATTCTATGATAAATAGCAATAAAACTCTAAAGTAAAAATAAATATGTGCATATTTGGAGACAGGAAGTAATCAAAGAACCAAGAGAAATTATTTCATAGCATAGGGATTTTTAGAGAACTCCTATATAACTGGAAAGGTAGAAATAACTCAAGTAAGGAATGAAAAGTTGACTGAAAGTCTTGTGATCTATGGGAAAAAAATAAGGAAACTCCTTGGGAATTTGTCCTCATTCGTGAAATGACCTCTGCATTTTAATTAGGAAAAGAAACTTGCTTGGCCATACTGCATTGAAAGTCAACCTAAAGGATTATTTCCTCCAAAATAAAAACATAGTTTACAGTTTACAATGCCAAAAGTCCAACCCTTAAATCCCAGAGCAATTTCCTGTTTTTATTTTAATCAATAACTTGAATAATGAGGTAGACTATTATTGTTCAACAATACCTGGTACCCTTCTTGGGGAAAGATTATATTTCCTTCCCTCCTTGAAAATAAACTTGGCCAATGACCTTGGCTAATGAAATATGATAGAAGAAACACTAGTCACTTGTAGCTAGAAGTGCAAAAAGTCAGTTATGTCCCTACATTTTCTTTTCCCTCAAGCAAAATCAGCAGCTATGTTCCATATACTGACCTGTCAGCCTGGGCCCCAGAATGAATACCACGATGATGTGGAGGATGGGAGCATCTCTCTATGTACTTATGTCATTCATTTCCGTCAGCAATATTTTGTGTAGCTTTCAGTGTGCAGGAGGTTAGTATGCTCATCTTCTGCATTAGCTTTTTGCAGAGTTTTTTTGTTGTTGTTGTTGTTTACGTAGAAGTTGACTGCTGTGAATAAAGATGGTTTTACTTTTTCTCTCCAAATATAATCCCTTCTATACCCTTTTCTTTCCTTATTTTATTCTGGAAGCTACAGTGTAATGCTTAATGGATGTGGTGAGAGCAGATATCATTGCCTCGCTCCTCACTATAGGAAAAAGATTGCATTTTTTTTTTACCAAATATAATTTTGAATGTATGTTTTTTTCTTTACCATTAGATCAGTTTTTGTTTCATATATTTTGAACTCTGTTATTAGGTGAATGCATAATTAAGATTTCTATATTATCTCCATGAATTTACCCTTTATCAGCATGAAATGTCTTTTCTATCCCATATGAATACTGATATCCCTTGTTCAAAGGCTTACTTTGTCTGATATTAATGTAACCATTTTAGCTATCTTTTAATTAGTGTTTATGTAACATATCATTTTCCATTCTTTTACTTTTAATATATTTGTGAATTTACATTTAAAGTGGGTTGCACTCACCTGCATCATGGACATCCTTTTAATTTTTTTATTTTTCTATTAATCCTAATTTCTTCCTGTTATGTATCATCTTGCTAATTTTTCACATGACACATTCAGCTATTCTAAATATATAAACCTTTATTTGAACAATTGATACTTGTGAAAATGTATAATCTATTCTCTCCTATTTAACATCTTTATAGAAAAATCTGGGTGAAAGGTTGTTATCAGTGAGTTTTTTATTTGTTCTCCATTCGTAAATGTCTAGCCATCTGTCAATACTGCAAGACAGTGGCTCATTGCTCTATCCTTACACAAATTCAATTACCTATATACATTCTATCTATAGAAGGGGCTTGCTTAAAAATGACTGCAGGATAGTAAATATGATGACATTATCTTAAATATTTTGCTTGTAGTTATTTTCAGTGGCGCACCTGAAAGTATATGTTTCTTGAAAGGAATTAATTATTTGATCTTGATCCTCAATTCTCTCTTTCAAAAAATAAAATTATTTAGCTTTCATCTATCTTATCATGTAAAGAATAGAATAATTTATATGCATGTAGAACATAATACTCAATAAATTTTATTTATTATTAGAACATTCATGCTATGGTCATATTGTTTTTTAGAATTCAATTGTGCTTTATTTAGGTTATTATCCTATAATTAAATATTCTCAATACAAGCTAATTTAAATCCTTGTTTTTTAAAATTAATGCATAGGTTTTCTTTCATTTCTTCTATGCCTATCAGGGTTTCAAAGACAGAAAAAAAATATTCTTCAACATTTCTTGAACTATCACGTCTCCGTGTGACACTTTTTAGCAAGGTTAAATAAGAAATTTAATTCTCATATAGGTATAAAAGGAAATCATGGCCAGTATAGATTTATCTGTGGTCATCTGAGGAAGACTCAGAAGAACTTGAACTTATCTGCTAAGATCTAGCTGCAAACTAATGAGAACAAAAACAGCACTTCCTTGTCTTTCATGGCGACATTTTTCTCTAGAAGTAAATGTTTATCTTGCTTTTGCATTAAGAATTGTGTTTCTTCATGAAAAAATGCTCACCATCACTGGCCATCAGAAAAACGCAAATGAAAACCACAATGAGATACCATCTCACACCAGTTAGAATGGCAATCAATCATTAAAAAGTCAGGAAACAACAGGTGCTGGAGAGGATGTGGAGAAATAGGAACACTTTTACACTGTTGGTGGGACTGTAAACTAGTTCAACCATTGTGGAAGTCAGTGTGGCGATTCCTCAGGGATCTAGAACTAGAAATACCATTTGACCCAGCCATCCCGTTACTGGGTGTATACCCAAAGGACTATAAATCATGCTGCTATAAAGACACATGCACACGTATGTTTATTGTGGCACTATTCACAATAGCAAAGACTTGGAACCAACCCAAATGTCCAACAATGATAGACTGGATTAAGAAAATGTGGCACATATACACCATCGAATACTATGCAGCCATAAAAAATAATGAGTTCATGTCCTTTGTAGGGACATGGATGAAATTGGAAATCATCATTCTCAGTAAACTATTGCAAGAACAAAAAACCAAACACCGCAGATTCTCACTCGTAGGTGGGAATTGAACAGTGAGAACACATGGACACAGGAAGGGGAACATCACACTCTGGGGACTGTTGTGGGGTGGGGGGAGGGGGGAGGCATAGCATTAGGAGATATACCTAATGCTAAATGACGAGTTAATGGGTGCAGCACACCAGCATGGCACATGTATACATATGTAACTAACCTGCACATTGTGCACATGTACCCTAAAACTTAAAGTATGATAATAAAAAAAAAGAATTCTGTTTCTTTTAAATGTAAAGAAATTATAAGTCAATATTGTGGACACTTTTATCTAAACACTTTTTTAGTTATATTGCATTGTTTTCAAAATCCATAGAGGCAACAGATGAGTAGCTGTAAAATATGTATGAACACTTCTCACCTTCATTCATCATTCTAAAAATTCCTACTTTTTATTTTTAAGGAAAAAAACTCTCAAATCCTTTCCCCATGTTTTTTTTTTTTCTGAACTTTTCCATTTCTCTACTTTTATCCTAGCCCAGGTTTTCACATCTATATCTGTTTCTCCTTTCCAGTTGAGTGCTCCAACCAGTGAGCAAGGCTGCCAGTAAGTAAAGATTTACTCAGCGTGTGAGGACGTGGAGGAGTATTTGGCTGGTGCATGCCTAGGCTAGCTTTCTCTGGCAGGGCTACACTGAAGACTACTGTCAAACAGAACTTCATATTGACCAAAAGACCTGGGGAAGAGCCATTAGAACCAGCGGAAATTATCTGTGGGTTGGTCTACTTTTTTTTTTTTTCACTGTGAAGGAATATTCCTTCTTTCCTTTCAGGATTGCTATATTTCTTCAATTGACTTAAGAAAAATGTTTAAATGTTTAAACGAGATGGCATGTATAAAGAAGGAAAAACAATGCAACATATCCAATAAAGTTTATTATTTAGTTATGCCTGTTAGTAAAAATCACATAAAGAATTTCAAATTCATATTCAAGTATTTAAATGTTTGCAAAGGCCTCACATTTATTGTATGACATGCCAAATGCTGTAATTTTAGCACTTTATCATTGGTGGTATTGCAAGGGAATAGAGCGGGTGAATATGAAAGTAAATACTGCATATATAAGAAATTATTTGCCTAGTGATCCTATGTAAATGGTTCTTAATATGTTCAAACTATATGTGTATGTATTCTTGGACATAAATTACAAAATGCACAAGTATTTGTGGACAATGTCTTCTTTTAAAAATTATTTTAGAGACAGGGTCTCGCTTCATCACCTATGCTGGAGCGTAGTGGTGTAATCATAGCCTCAAACTCCTGGGCTCAAGCGATCCTCTTGCCTCAGCCTCCCAAGTAGTTAGGATTACTGGAGTGCACTGAATGCTTGGTTAATTTTTTATTTTTATCTTTTGTAGAGATGAGGTCTCTCTCTGTTGGCCAGGCTGGTCTTGACCTCCTGGCCTCAAGTGATCCTCCTGTCTTGGCCTCTCAAAACACTGGATTACAGGTGTGGACCACTACACCCAGCCAATAAGCTGCATTATAGGCATAAGCCACCACACCCAGCCAGACAATATCTTGTAAATAAATAAAAAAAATTAAATGATTAAAATATATCATTATTCAAAGACATGGTTTATAATGCAACAAGTCTCTTAAAAACTGTAACAAATTCAAAGTAGATCTTGCATTGCAATGAACCAATATTCCTTTGAGATGACCTTAGGTGGGTTCCACACCAGAACACATGAATTACTCCTTTTTAATTTAAAACAATTAGAAGGTCAGACATTTCAGTTGATTATATTATTTCAACAAAAGAAAGGTGTAGAAATAAACTCTCTTATAATAATGTACCCAATATGCACATTAATACCATTATCTTTGTTATATCTATCCTACACAAGCCTCCAGGGTAACTATACCTCTCAGATTTATTTGACATTACAAATACCTCTGTCTAGACTTAATTCCTTCTGCATTGTCATTGTTTTTTATTTGTTCTATTAACTTTAGATATTCTAGACTCCAGCCTAATTTGTCAACCAAGAACTGATTCTCACCATTTTTTTTTTTCTTCCAAATTTTGGTTTTGCCCAATGCCCTGACAACATGAAAGTGCTCAACTCTTAATTTGTTGCCAGAAAAACTTCATGGCTGACTAACTGATTCTATCGTAAGGGTCTAGGTGTCTAGCTAGGTATCTACAATAGTCCAGTGTTTCAGTCTGGCATGGACTAAATGAATAAAGGATTACCCTCCAAGCATAGATGATGCTTAACATAGTATCCTATTATAAATCTGAAAAACCAGATATTCTAAGAGTCCTTTGTCTTTCAGTTATTTATAAAAGTATTCTTTTCTAATTCTCTTCCCCTCTCTTTTCTCCAAAGTTGTCTTCTGCTAATTTTTTATTCACAATTTTCATTTAACCATTTGTGGGTAAAATATTTCTAATAACTCTATATAATAGGCATAAAATAAAATTTGAACTAGGATCTCATATAAACTTTTTGCCTACATGATAATGTTTTGGAACATAAGTCAAGACCAGAAATTTTATCCAAAGTTGAACATCAATTTTTAAAATTATATGTTAGAAATTTCTCCTTAATAAGTTGTTTGATATTTCAAATAAAATATTAAACGATAGAAAGATTTAGTTTTCCCTCGTGGAATACATGATCATAACACCTTTCCATGTCCTTGTGATGATCGGCAATTTATTCTACGGATGTGAAAAATTTCATAGGCTTTAGATCGGAAAATCAAGTGATAATTTTGAACCTCCTGTCATAAGAAAATAGTCTGATATTAGCAATAGAAAAAATAATTGGTATGTCATTTTACATTTCAATTATGCTGGAAAAATCTTCTGCATTTCGGTATCACTTCCATAGCATCTCCATAAGTTTTTATTAAAATATTTTTTATTTAATAAATATTTTTCATAAAATACTTTATTAAAAATTGTTAACAATCATATTTCAAGCAATAATGTCTTATTTTCTTTTTTTATTTATACTTTAAGTTTTAGGGTACATGTGCACAATGTGCAGGTTAGTTACATATGTATACATGTGCCATGCTGGTGCGCTGCACCCACTAACTCGTCATCTAGCCTTAGGTATATCTCCCAATGCTATCCCTCCCCCCTCCCCCCACCCCACAACAGTCCCCAGAGTGTGATGTTCCCCTTCCTGTGTCCATGTGTTCTCATTGTTCAATTCCCACCTATGAGTGAGAATATGCGGTGTTTGGTTTTTTGTTCTTGCAATAGTTAACTGAGAATGATGATTTCCAATTTCATCCATGTCCCTACAAAGGACATGAACTCATCATTTTTATGGCTGCATAGTATTCCATGGTGTATATGTGCCACATTTTCTTAATCCAGTCTATCATTGTTGGACATTTGGGTTGGTTCCAAGTCTTTGCTATTGTGAATAATGCCGCGATAAACATACGTGTGCATGTGTCTTTATAGCAGCATGATTTACAGTCCTTTGGGTATATACCCAGTAATGGGATGGCTGGGTCAAATGGTATTTCTAGTTCTAGAACCCTGAGGAATCGCCACACTGACTTCCACAATGGTTGAACTAGTTTACAGTCCCACCAACAGTGTAAAAGTGTTCCTATTTCTCCACATCCTCTCCAGCACCTGTTGTTTCCTGACTTTTAATAATGTCTTATTTTCAAATTATTTTGGAGTATAGTGAATAGAGTGTGAGTCTAAAACAAATCATTTAACATCTCTTCCTTTTGTTTTTCCCAATTGTAAAATGGGAATATAAACACCTACTTCATGAAGTTTTTGTCAAACTCAAATTAAATACTCTATGTAAAATAAGTTTGTAAATTATAAGACATTTATTAGCACTTCAGGAATTATCATATGAATTTTTATCAGTAAAACAAAATTAGAATAATTTTGTATATTAAAACATAAAAGAAACGTGTTAATATCAAGTGAATATTTTAATATTCGTTGCTTTCAGAGAATAAAGGTTGAGATTATAATTTAAAAGATATGTGAGCCACAAAGCTCTTAAGGTTGAGGACATACATAATTGTGCAAAGAATTACTATTACAGTAATTTCTACACATTGAAAATTTGACTTTAGTTAACATAAATGACCAATTCTATTTGAACTGTAAACAATAAATTAGAGCTTCATTTAAAATATTATGCAAAAAGCAGCATTTTAACCTATTACTCTTGTTTCAATTTATCACTGAAGTAATATGTCTTGTGCTATATTTATTATTAAATTAAAACCTTAAAGCTTTTCTTCTAAAATCTTGGGAAAATTTCATGCAACTATGTGACAGAAAAATATAATTTTATGTTAATATAATACTTACAGTATTGGTTTATTTAGATTTTCCATTTCCTAGAAGTGCATGGTTTAGCTTATTTGTATAGCACAGTTAACAAAATCAACAAGTCAGTGTGTGATTTGACGTATTTGCTTTGAAGCCACTTATGTTAGAAGTTTCAAATAGGCTATGGATAAGTGATAGTCTTAACAACTTCAGTTACGTCAGTTCTTGTCAACTTACAAAGTGCTGTACCTCTCTGTATGTCTCTTGCTTACAACACATATAAAAGAATGTGAAAATATTTTTCTTTTCTTTTTTTAATTTAATTTAAATTTATTTTAAGTTCCAGAATACATGTGCAGAATGTGCAGGTTTGTTACATAGGTAAACGTGTGCTATGGTGGTTTGCTGCATCTATCAACCCATCACCTAGGTATTAAGCCCCACGTGCATTAGGTTTTTATCCTGATGCTCTCACTACCTCCTCTCCCCCAACAGACTCCAGTTTGTCTTGTTACCTTTCCTATGTTCATGTGTTTTTATTGTTTAGCTCCCATTTATAAGTGAGAACATGCAGTGTTTGGTTTTCTGTTCTTGTATTAGTTTGCTGAGGATGATGACTTTCAGCTCCATCCATGTCCCAGCAAACAACAGGATCTCGTTCCTTTTTATAGCTGCGTAGTGTTCCATGGTGTATATGTACCATATTTTCCTTTCTACCACTGATGGGCATTTGGGTTGATTTTGTGTCTTTGCTATTGTGAATAGTGCTGCAACGAACATACATGTGCCTGTATCTTCATAATAGAATGATTTATATTCCTTTGGGTATATACCCATTAATGGGATTGATGGATTAAAAGGTATTTCTGGTCCTAGGTCTTTGAGGAATCACCACACTGTCTTCCACAATGGTTGAACTAATTTTCATTCCCACCAACAATGTAAAACCATTGCTATTCCCCCACAGCCTCACCATCATCTGTTGTTTCTTGGCTTTTTAATAATTGCCATTCTTACTGGCATAAGATTATAGGTATCTCATTGTGGTTTTGATTTGCATTTCTCTAATGATCAATGATACTGAGCTTTTTTTCATATGTTTGTTGGTCACATAAATGTCTTTTTTTGAGAAGTGTCTTTTCATGTCCTTTGCCCACTTTTAATACAGTTTCTTTTTTCTTGTAAATTTAAGATCCTTGTAATCTCTGGATATTAGGCCTCTGTCAGATGGATAGGTTGCAAAAATTGTCTCCCATTCTGTAGGTTGTCTGTTCACTCTGATGATAGTTTCTTTTGCTGTGCAGAAGCTCTTTAGTTTAATTAGATTCCATTTGTCAATTTTTGCTTTTGTTCCAATTGTTTTTGATGTTTTTGTCATGAAATCTTTTCCTGTGCCTTGTCCTGAATGGTACTGCCTAGGTTTTCTTCTAGGGTTATTATACTTTTGGGTTTTACATTTAAGTCTTTAATCCATGGTGAGTTAATTTTTGTGTAATGTTTAAGGAAGGGGTCCAGTTTCAATTTTCTGTATATGCTAGCCAGTTCTCCCAGCCCCATTTATTAAATAGGGAATCCATTCTTCATTGCTTGTTTTTGCCAGGCTTGTGGAAGATCAGATGGTTGTAGATGTGCAGTCTTATTTCTGAGATCTCTGTTTTGTTTCATTGGTTTATGCATCTGTTTTTGTGTCAGTTCCATGCTGTTTTGGTTACCATAGCCTTGTAGCATAGTTTGAAGTCAGATAGCATGATGCCTCCAGTTTTATTCTTTTTGCTTAGAATTGTCTTGGCTATACAGGCTCTTTTTTGGTTGCAAAGAATTTTAAAGTAGGTTCTTTTTTTTTTTTTCTTGTGTGAAAAATCTCAATGCTAGTTTAATGGGAATAGCACTGAATCTATACACTACTTTGGGCAGTATGGTTATTTTCATTCACAGCATTGATTCTTCCTATCCATGAGCATGGAATGCTTTTCTATTTGTTTGTGTCCTCTCTTATTTCCTTGAGCAGTGATTTGTAATTCTCCTTGAAGAGGTCCTTCACGTCCCTTTTTAGCTGTATTCCTAGGCATTTTATTCTCTTTGTAGCAATTGTGAATGGGAGTTCATTAAAGATTTGGTTCTCTGCTTGTCTGTTGTTGGTGTATAGGAATGCTTGTGATTTTTGCACAATGATTTATGTATCCTGAGACTTTGCTGAAGTCACTTATCAGTTTAAGGAGCTTTTGGGCTAAGACAATGGTGTTTTCTAGATATAGGATTATGTTGTCTGGAAACAGAGACAGTTCAACTTCCTCTATTCCTATTTGAATAGCATTTATTTCTTAATCTTGCCTGATTGCCCTGGCCAGAACTCCCAATACTGTGTTGAATAGGAGTTGTGTGAGAGGGCATCCTTGTCATGTGCCATTTTTCAAAGGGGAGTGCTTCCAGTTTTGGCCATTCAGTATGATATTGGCTGTGGGTTTGTCATAAATGGCTCTTATTATTTTGAGGTATGTTCCATCAATACCTAGTTTATTGAGAGTTTTTAACATGAAGGGATATTGAATTTTACTGAAGGCCTTTTCTATATCTATTGAGATAATCATGTGATTTTTGTTTTTATTTCTGTTTATGTGATGAATTACACTTATTGATTTGCATATGTTAAACCAGCCTTGCATCCTGGAGATGAAGCCAACTTGATCGTTGATTTGAGCTTTTTGACGTGCTGCTTGATTCGATTTGCCAGTGTTTTATTGAGCATTTCACACCAGTGTTCATCAGGGATATTGGCCTGAAGTTTTGTTGTTGTATCAATGCCAGGTTTTGGTATCAGGATGATGCTGGCTTCATAAAATGAGTGAGGGAGAAGTCTCTTCTTTTCAATTGTTTTGGAATAATTTCAGAATAAATGGTACCAGCTCTTCCTTGTACTGCTAGTAGAATTTAGCTGTAAATCTGTCTTGTTGGTGGGCTATTTATTACTGCCTCAATTTCAGAATTTGTTATTAGTCTATTCAGGGATTCAACTTCTCCCTGGTTTATTCTTGCATAGAGGTGTTTACAGTATAGTGTTCTCTGATGGTTGTTTGTATTTCTGTGGGGTCAGTGGTGATAACCCCTTTATCATTTTTTATTGTGTTTATTTGATTCTTTTCTCTTTTCTTCTTTATTAGTTTAGCTATCCATCTATCTATTTTATTTTATTTTATTTTATTTTATTTTATTTATTTTATTTTTTCAAAAAACAAGCTCCCAGATTCATTGATTTTTTTGAGGTCTTTTTTCACCATCTCTATTTCCTTCCATTCCTCTCTGATTTTGGTTATTTCTTGTCTTCTGCTAGCTTTTGGGTTTGCTTGCTCTTGGTTCTCTAGTTCTTTTGGTTGTGGTGTTAGGATGTTGATTTGAGATCTTTCTAGCTTTTTGATGTGGGCATTTGGTGCTATCAATTTTTCTCTTAACACTGCTTTAGCTGCATCCCAGTGATTCTGGTATGTTGCCTCTGTTCTCATTGGTTTCAAAGAACTTCTTGATTTCTACCTTAATTTCATTATTTACCCAGGAGTCATTCAGTAGCAGGTTGTTTCCTTTCTATGTAGTTGTGTGGTTTTGAGCGAGTTCCTTAATTTTGAGTTCTAATTTGATTGTGCTGTGTTCTGAGAGACTGTTATAATTTTGGTTCTTTTGCATTTGCTGAGGAGTATTTTATTTCCAATTATGTGATCGATTTTATAGTAAGTGCCATGTGGCACTGAGAAGAATGTATATTCTGTTGTTTTTAGGTGGCGATTTCTGTAGATGTCTATTATGTCCACTTGATACAGAGCTGAATTCAAGTCCTGAATGTCCTTATTAATTTTCTGTCTGATGATCTGTCTACTATTAAATTTTCCCACTATTATTGTGTGGGAGTCTAAGTGTCTTTGTAGGTCTCTAAGAATTTATTTTATGAATCTTGATGCTCCTTATTGAATGAATATATATTTAGGATAGTTAGCTCTTCCTGTTGAATTGATCCCTATACCATTATTTAATGCCTTTCTTTGTCTTTTTTGATCTTTGCTGGTTCAAAGTCTGTTTTGTCAGAAACTAGGATTGCAACCCCTTTTTTTTTCCTGGTTTCAATTTGCTTGGTAAATTTCCCTCCTTCCCTTTATTCTGAGTCTGTATGTGTCTTTGCATGTGAGATCAGTCTCTTGAATACAGCACACCTATGGGTCTTGACTCTATCCAGCTTGACATTCTATGTCTTTTAACTGTGGCATTTAACCCATTTACATTTAAGGTTAATATTTTTATGTGTGAATTTGATCCTGTCATCATGATGCTAGCTGGTTATTTTTCAGATTTGTTCATGTAGTTGCTTCGTAATGTCATTGGTATTTGCACTTAAGCGGAGGTAGTGGTTTTTCCTTTCCATATTTATTCATATTTATTATTTTCCTTTTTTTTTAAGTCACACATGAGTTTTTATTAAAGTCATATACTTACATTTTTAAAGCAAATATATTGACTAGTTCTTCTGAAAAATTGCTTGAAAAATGTAATTTTTTTTTTTTTTTTTTTTTACTCCACCAAATATTCTAGTTAATTTTTTTTTTCTATATTTCTTTCAGGAGCTCTTGCAAGGCAGGCCTAGTGGTGATGAATTCCCTCAGCATTTGCTTGTCTGAAAAAGATTTTACTTCTCCTTCACTTATGAACCTTAGTTTGTCTGGATATAAAATTCTGGGTTGGAAATTCTTTTCTTTAAGAATGTTGAATATTGGCCCCCACTCTCTTCTGGCTTGTAGGGTTTCTGCTGAGAGGTCCACTGTTAGTCTGATGGGCTTCCCTTTGTAGGTGACCTGGCCTTTCTGGCTGCCCTTAACATTATTTTCTTCATTTTGACCATGGAGAATTTGATGATTATGTGTCTTGGGGTTTATCGTCTCATGGAGTATCTTACTAGGGTTCTCTGGGTTTCCTGAACTTGAATGTTAGCCTGTCTTGTTAGGTTGAGGAAGTTCTCCTGGATTATATATTAAAGTATGTTTTCCAGCTTGGTTTTGTTCTCCCCATCTCTTTCAGGTACCCCAATTAGTCATAGGTTAGGTCTTTTTACTTAATCCCATAGTTCTCAGAGGTTTTGTTCATTCATTTTCATTCTTTTTTCTTTAATCTTGTCTGCCTGTCAGACAAGATTTCAGCAAGATAGTCTTCAAACTCTGAAATTCTTTCCTCTGCTTGGTCTATTCAGTTATTGATACTTATGGTTGCATTGTGAAGTTCTTGTGTTGTGATTTTTGGCTCCATCAGGTCATTTATGTTTCTCTCTAAACTGGTTATTCTGGTTAAGAGCTCCTGTAATGTTTTATCATGGTTCTTAGCTTCTTTGCATTGTGTTAGAACATACTTCTTTAGCTCAGCAAAGTTTTTTATTATCCACCTTCTGAAGCCTACTTCTGTCAATTCATCCATCTCAGCCTCAGCCCAGTTTTGTGCCCTTGCTGGAGAGGTTTTGTGATCATTTGGAGGAGAAGACACACTCTGGGTTTTTGAGTTTTCAGTGTTTTTTTTTCATTGATTCTTTCTCATATTCATGAGTGTGTCTAACTTCTATCTTTGAGGCTGCTGAACTTTGCATGGGCTTTTGTAATTGTAATAGGCCCTGAAGATACCACTGATCTGATTTAATGAAAAGTATAAAAATTATGGAGGTAGAAACTATAGTTATAACCAAAGGCAAAAGTATAGAACACCTAATATCACACCTGTTTTTCAAACTGGACTATTTAACTAACAAAAAAAAAACTTTACACTTTATATGGAAATATAAACATGTGTGACTAGCTAGAAAATTTGTTAGAAACATAAGTAATAAGCTGCATCAAGCGCTAAAATATATCACAAAGCAAATCAATAAAAAATGTTAGTATTGGATGAGTAACAAATCAGTGAATCAGAAAACAGGTCCAATAATTATATCAAATATTTCTGAAAATTTAGCTCAAATGTGGCAACATTTTCAAATTTATTTGGAAAAGTTAGATTATTCAAAAAATACTGTTAGGAAAAATGGGCAGTCACTTGGAAAAATATAGTTGAATTTCTCCTTCCCTCAGTCCTTCTACCAAAATAAGTTTTAGATTGGGTTAACATTTGAACATAATCAATACAAACTTTAAAGTACTTTTAAAAAATTGAAGATTTTTTAAAGCATGCTTGGAGTAAGAATGGTCGTAAATAAGACAAAATTCAGAAATTACCTTTTAAAATATTTGCTAGTTAACAACATACAGATACAAAATTAAAAGTGAGAAGAAAAATGACTGGGAAAAGTGCTTGAAATTAATATGCAAGTATTTATTTTTTAACTAGATAGTGTAGCATAATAGTTAAGAGTTCATACGTGTGTTTGCACACCTTCACAAACACATGCAAAGATATGCGTATGTGTGATTGTAAATGCATACCAAAGAAAGAAAGAAAGAAAGAAAAAGAAAGAAAGAACAGAAAAGAAAACAACCAAATACAAACCACTTAGTAAGAAATAGCATGTGAAAAAATTAAAATGCCAAAGCAGAGATGGCAGTAGCCACATGGTTGTTGGAAGAGAAGCTGGAGTTCAGCCCCAGCCACATGGGTGCCTTTGCTAAGTACCTAAGGCTTTCAGGCCCACAAAGGCTATGCTCTAATAATAAGGCTAAACCCTGGGAATAAGAACAAAAGTAAAATATATAGCCCTAACAAAGCCTGAAAGCCTTAATAGCACCAAAGTCATATATTGGTGCTCAATCTCTTTTCCACAAGAAAATTTAGCCCACCCAGAGGAAGATGACATCATTTAAAATCTCTGTGATTTTTCCTCCAATCCAAACATATAAGGCATAAAAAAGAAAAGAAAAAAATGTGAAAAAAAATCAAGAGATAAAATAAACAATATAGAGAAATCTACAAGTTAATTTAATATTTTAAGTACCAGTTAGTTATCAGTCAGGTTGGCAAAAACTAAAGATAAAGAGAAAATTTTAAGAGCAGCTAAAGAAAATGACAGTTTGTGTCCAAATAGATAATTTTTCCATGGACAGGGGACAGTTGAGGGGAAGATGGTTGGGGGATGAAATTTTCACCTCAGATCATCAGGCATTAGATTCTCACAAGGAGCCACATGAGCAGTTGGATCCCTCACATGAACAGTTCACAATAGGGTTCATGCTTCTATGAAAACTAATGCCACTGCTGATCTCATAAAATGTGGAGCTCAGGAGGTAATGCTTGCTGGCCCGCTGCTCACCTCCTGCTGTGCAGCCCTGTTTCTAACAAGCCACGGACCAGTACTGGTCTCCTACCTTATACTTATTCTAAAAAGCATATTGTCATAGAGAGTTGATGCACCTTAGATTAGGCTGTCTATATATCTAATGAAAAAGATGCTGTCTGTGGGACAGGAAATGATTAAATAAGAAAACAGAGTCTACAGTCATATTTCTAGAGTTCAAATCCTAGCTCCAATATTTATTTTCTGGGTGGATTTGAGGAAGTTACTTAACTCCTCTTACCATCTATAAAATGAACATGACAGTAACAATACTTTTCTCATTGAGTTGTGTGGATTGTGTGAATTTGTGTATGAACTGCCTAGGACAGTGCCTGGCACACAATAAGAACAATATGAAAACAGCTATAATTAGTATTACTTATAATCACATTTGATAGACTTATGAGTATTTCACACAGACACAGTTTTCTGGCAGCTTTTTAGTATCTTAGTGACAATGTATATGTTAAGATAATTTTTACTTTTTAGAAAATAACTTCTTATGAAACAAGCAAATGTTTCTAAATTGATACATTAAGCTATCTGATTAAGTATTTCTTATTAATGAGGTGCACACCATTATATTTAGACTGCTTATACTCTAATCACTGATTTTTGATACTTTTTGAAGTTTGTGAAGATGTACTAAAAACATTGAGGTATCAGGACTCTAACATTTGGTTTTATGTCTTATTCTTGGCTTTATCTCAAGGACATATAAAATATGATTGGAAGTCTAAATAAATTATTTTTTATTAGTCACAGCTCTATGTAATTTTGGCAAAAACAGGGCATCTTCAACTTTTTTGATTCTGCAAACCAAGGGAATGAAAGGCAGATTAGATGAACACTAAAAGATTTTTTTCATACACTTTCAATCTATGAGAAATGTAAATTTATACACTTATTGAAACTCACACACAACATATACAGAGGTTGTCCAGCTATAGTTCTCAAAGTATCTGAAGATTTTAGTTTTGTATTGTCAATTAAAGCCATATCAAAGTTATGAGATGATTTCTAGCACATCTGTTCTGGGTAATACTATCATAATTTTTCCCTCTATTAAACATTATTTCCACAGTGCCAGAGCAATCAGTCAACTAGGAGCAAAAATTCTATTATTAAGCAGTTATAACAGCCTTTAATTCTTTTCTTCCTCTGATATATGATAATTGAAGTCAGTTATTTTAAGACTTCTGGTAGGTATCTTTAAGTTTAAAACAAAGCCTGTTTGTATTTAATACCTATAAATAAACACCTCTCAGTTAAGTGCAAATACATGATTTTACTTACTTTGATTATTGCACATACATTTGCGATAGTTTCCATTCCCATTAACTAGTGAAAAACTACCTTTACACCAATACAATCCTTTCAATTCTACATAATAACTTTTCAGGCAATCCTTCAATTTTCAAAACTGTTAAATGTATGTTATATATATATATATGTTTTATACGCTGTTAAAATGGGGATGTTATGGGAGCTTCCAAATTGGGTGTTTATCAGATGCTTTATATGCAGAATTTACAAAACATGTATCGTGAACAATTTCCACAACACTTACGATGTAGATCAAAGATATAAAATCAAGTCAGAGCAAGGAAGAGTCAGAAGATTTAGTGAAGGGATGCCATTAGAGAGAGTGTGGTCATACTGGGAGTTCCCACCACTTTGCTGCAGTAGGTGAAGAGGTAAAGCCCTGAATTCCCAGAATTTGTCAGTATAAGGGATGTGTGGCCTGCAGGAAATATCTAAATTCTTTCTCCCTTAGATATAAAATTATCTCAAGGGCTGTGAGAGTACTTGTAAAAAGATTCCTGATTCTGAGATGAAAAAGGAGTCCTCGTCTTATTCTATTTACTAGAATAAATATGTACTTATTTAAACACATTTATAAAAGAGACCCCAAAGAAAGAGAAACTATAGGATACACAAAAAAGAATCACCCCTAATGGGGTTGGAAACAACTGCTCGAAAGTAGGATAAGAAGTAAGTCGAAAGACCAGAAGATAACCACAGATATAAAGTTGGGTAGTCACCAACTACTGGTGTTTGCATATGAGAGAGAAAGGAAAATTCTTACCTTTGGATGAACATTGACTAACATTTAGGTAATTTCTAAACACCTTCTATTTTTTTAAAATTAAGTCCTTGCTTACAACTTAAAATAAGCATTAACTATTTATTTCTGAAGACTGAGCAGAAAAATCATGAACTCTTCCCGTTTCTATCCACAGGCAGGGGAAATTACCCCACTGAACACATTTTAAAGAAATGGTCATAGAACAAAAGTTATGTTTCAATTACATGGCATCGTGTGCTGGTTTAACATGATTAGGTATTTTCTTGCATCAATATATCATATTCAGTTTTTATTATTGATAATGGCCTGAATCAATATCTCCATCTCAAGCCTTCCTGTAGCTTCTTACATAAGTGGATGTACTTTACATGGAGTAAGTCACTTTTACTTGGAAAAGGGAAATGCCATGGATGATCCAGTTACTTCTGTGCTGACTATTGCTGCTAAAATACTTAGCCATTCTGATATCTACAACTTGGGGCAGACACAAGTAGCATCATGTGGTCAATCTGCTTATAAACCTATTTACTAAATCTTAACTTCAGTTATTACATTGTTGCAGAGAATAGCCACCTGATTACCTTTTACAGATTCTAGTTCTCTGGTGAAATTCTCCATCTTGTCATCTATTTTTTTTTAGCATGTTAATCACAGTTCTTCTATGTCTAATTATTCTATTAACTGAGTCACCTGTGTGTCTGCAGTGTGTCTGTCTTTCTCTTTTTATTCTATTTCTTTTCTTTTTTTTTATAATTCATTTATTTTTGAGATGGAGTCTCGCTCTGTCGCCCAGGCTGGAGTGCAGTGGTGTGATCTCTGCTCACTGCAAGCTCCGCCTCCTGGGTTCACGCCATTCTTCTGCCTCAGCCTCCCAAGTAGCTGGGACTGCAGGTGCCTGCCACCACACCCAGCTATTTTATTTTATTTTATTTTATTTTATTTTATTTTATTTTATTTTATTTTATTTTATTTTTTAAGTAGAGATGGGGTTTCATTGTGTTAGCCAGGATGGTCTCGATCTCCTGACCTCGTGATCTGCCCACCTCAGCCTCCCAAAGTGCTGGGATTACAGGCCTGAGCCACCGCACCCAGCCCTATTTCTTTTCATGGCTTGTCATTTTTGTTGTTGTTGTTGTTAAGTGCTGGGTATTGTGCATTAAAATTATAGAGGTTGTTGATGTTTTTACTTCCTTTCAGAAATGATTCACCATATCCTCTGGCAATGAGCAGAAAGGCAGATCATTTCAAACCTGTCAGGGACTGTCTCCATCAGCCTCACACCACCTCTGGTTTATCTCCACTCCTAGGATGGAGCATTTTTGGTGTGTCAAATTTTCCTAAGGACCTCATTATTGGCAAATCTTGACTCCCATTGTCTATCACTGTGATATTGCCAAAAGCTTTTTTCTTTCTAGTTATTCTGTGTTTGGCTTTTCTGCATCTTGTCTTTCAGAGTATAATCAGCAAATTCCCTGACCTCAAGGGGAATACTATTCAGGGCTTACTACTACTTTGTGCTTTTCTTCTCTGTGACACATGACGCCTCAGATTTTGGCTGCTTTTGCAGCTGTAAGCCTGAAATTTTCTCTTCAATGAGTAAAAAACTCATTGTTAGTTTGTGTCTCTCAACACTCACTCTCTGCCTAGCTGTCCAGCTTTGTATTCAACATGAAAGTTGGGACTTGTCATGTGAGAAAAAGGAATATGTGTAAAGTTTGTCTTACTTCAGTAATCTTTCTTTTCCCATGAAGTCTGGCCTTTTGTATCTTAGCTGCCTTAGCAATTCTAATCTGTCTTCAAACAGATTGGTTGTTAAAAATGTTATCTGACTATTCTAATTCTTGGTAAGCATTGTGTCACTATTATAGTCAGAAGTGGAAGTTCTACATTGAGTCTTGAAGGGCAAATTGGGGTTGGCAAGTTGTAAAAAGGGTATAGTATTACAGGCAAGAAACTAGTATTATAAAAGCACAAAGTGGATAGAAACTATGCTGTGTCTTCTGAACATAGAATTCTAAGAACAGATGTAGGACGAGATTGAAGAGGGATGAGTTTAGAGAGAGATTCTGGGTCCAGGTAAGCAAATACTTTATCTTTCTAAGTAACTTATATTTTTATCCTACAGATACTGGGGTGCCATTAATGAATTTTGGCATAGAAATTATATAAGATACATATTGTAAAAAATAACTCCTATGATATTGTAAAGAATGAATTTGGAAGTGGCAAGACTAGCAAGAAGATCATTTAGGTTGGTGCTGCTATAATTCAAGCAAGAAAGCCTGAGGATTTAAAGTAAGACAGCAGCAGTGACAATAGAGAGAAGAATAACGTAGAGTCAATGAAATTTTCTGGTGGATGAAACATAATAAAGGAAAAGACTGATTCAGAAATAACTCAAGTTTTTTGCTGAAGGAAAGTATTACCATTCAGCTGTATATGGAATACAGACAACACAAATTTGTTAGGGAACAGAAGAATATATTTGATTTGTTGACTTTAAGATGCCCCAACTATGTGAAGATATACAGTAGTTGGTTGTACTTATGTTCCTGGATATTATTGCAGAGATCTTGGCCAGAAACAGATTAGGATGTCATTGTGGGCTAGGTAATAGTCATGAAAGTGGATAGGATCTCCTAGGAAAAACTTGGCCCTTGTTTCCCACTAGCAATCTAGCTTAGTTACAGCTTATCATTCCTTCCCAATGAAATCAAGATAAAACCAAGGAAGAGTGCTTCTAGAAGTTGTTATAAATTTGTTTGGACTGTAACACATTTTAAGGTTGCCAAAGTTCTTTGCCAAGACCAGCTCGGTCGGGGAGACCCTAACCCAGCGGCGCTGGAGGAAATAAAGACACACACACAGAAATATAGTGTGTGGAGTGGGAAATCAGGGGACTCACAGCCTTCAGAGCTGAGAGCCCTGAACAGGGATTTACCCACATATTTATTGACAGCAAGCCAGTGATAAACATTGTTTCTATAGATTATAGATTAACTAAAAGTATTCCTTATGGGAAACAAAGGGTTGGGCCAAAGCAAAGGGATGAGTTTGGCTAGTTATCTGCAGCAGGAACATGTCCTTAAGGTACAGATTGCTCACGCTATTGTTTGTGGTTTAGGAATGCCTTTAAGCGGTTTTCCGCCCTGGGTGGTCCAGGTGTTCCTTGCCCTCATTCCAGTAAACCCACAACCTTCAGTGTGGGCATCATGGCCATCATGAACATGTCACAGTGCTGCAGAGATTTTGTTTATGGCCAGTTTTGGGGCCAGTTTATGGCCAGATTTGAGGGCCTATCCCCAGCATGTCCCCTTTCTTGTTTTTGCAAGGCAATAAAAGCAAAGGCGGCTTTATCACAGTGACCTATTTGTCGCAGGAGTTGGGATCTGCATCTGCGGACTATACAAAGACAAACAACACATATTAATAACGCAATCATCATTGAAATCACAGAGCCTCCAAGTGTTTTTATCTATTTTAATGGGTTACTAGCTGCTAATCCATCCACAGCTCCTTCAAGCACTCCAGTTCCTGTAAGGTCAGGTGTGCCTGGGATGCTTTAAATATTTGTTCTTTTAATTTTGCAACATCCAAAGACAAGTTTGTAGAGTGTCCTTCTACATGCTTTTTTATTCTTTCCCAAATTTTGATCTTATTAAGAGCCATTAATGGTTTCCACAAATTCTTATGTTTAGCTCCTACAGCAGGCCATATCATTTGAGGTTGAGGTGCCACTATAACACCATGTTTCCAGATAACAGGAACTCTAGCCATATTTCTTACTATTTCTACCATCTGACCATTTTGTTTAGACCAGCTGAACATAGTGTGGCCATGGCATGCAGACTGAGAGGTGCAATTCAAGCTAAACATCCCCTTAGGGGACCAATCAATAATGATTCCATAGGAATCATTGTGCAGCACCTCTGCTTGTTCTGCAATGTAATCTTCCCAAATAAATACGTTCATTTTTTCTGGCCAGGTCCAATTCTGTTTACAAATAGATTTTTCAGGGTGGTATGCCTCAATTATAGGAGCAGATTTATTATGGTAAATACTGAGATCAGAAAGCATATGTAATTGTGTCATACAGTGATTACATCCAGGCATTACTGCCAGCCAAGATTGATAAATATGCCCAGTAAATATAATAGTTCTCTGTGTCAGCCCTTGTTGGTGGAATACTCATGGCAATGGTGATCACCGCTATCATAGCTATCATTAAATTACTCATTAAATTACTGGTTGTCCTGCTTTCCTCAGGTTTTCTTCCACCTTCTGTGACAGCTTCTTAATCTGTCCCCAGGTAGGTGGCTGTGTTTGACAGGTGTTGCTCATGATAGTTGGGGTCCTCCTCAGCATCAGTCTAGACATGGCTGCAACCAGGGGGTCCCCAGGATCTGGCTGGCTCATGACAAGGTTTTAGGTGTCTTGATGGTATCCAAATTAACTGATGATTCTGGCCTGGAGAAACACAAGCATAACCTCTACCCCAGGTTATTATATTTTTACCTATTTCCCAACTATTTGTTATTGGATCTCTCCACCAAACCAGTTGTTCTGCTACTGTCTTTGCAGCTGGTTTCTGTAGATGTTGTTCAGCTGCTGATAGCATCTGGCCTTTAGGCAGGCTCAAAAAATTTAAAGTCAATAATGCTATATTCAATTGCATATGTGGTGTTCCGTAGTCCCTGTTTCCCGCTTTCTGCTTTTGCAATTGTCGTTTTAGAGAGAGATGCATTCATTCTACAATGGCTTGTCCTTGAGAATTATATGGGATGCCAGTAATGTGTTTAATATTCCATATAGAGAAAAATGTAGCTACAGCTTGCCTAGTATAGCCTGAGGCATTGTCTGTTTTAATAGAAGCTGAAATGCTCGTCACCACAAAACACTGCAAAAGGTGATATTTAACACAGGCAGAAAACTCTCCTGATTGGCATGTAGCCCAGAAAAAGTGAGAAAAGGTGTCCACACATACATGTACATAAGCTAGTCTCCCAAATGAGGGAACATGTGTGGCATCTATTTGCCAAAGAGAATTAGGTTCCAATCCTCGAGGATTAACTCCTCCTGTGAATGATGAGGAATGTACCATTTGGCAAGTTGGGCATCACTGGATAATAGCTTTAGCTTCTTTCCAGGTAATGCTGTATCTGTGTTTGATACCAGAGGCATTAACATGGGTTAAATTGTGAAAGTGTCTAGCATTAGATATTGCAGTAGCAACTAGGTGATCAGCCATTTGATTCCCTTCAGTTAAAGGTTCTGGAAGAGGTGTATGAGCCCTAATGTAAGTGATGTAAAAAGGGTGCATTCTACTCCTGACTGCTTTTTGCAATTGGGTAAATAAAGTCATCAGTTGTTCATCTGTGTGAAATCATAATTGAGCATTTTTAACTAACTGTGTGGAATGAACCACATATGAAGAATCAGAAGTCACATTAATAGGCATATTAAAAGCAGTCAATACCTTAATTACAGCTACAAGCTCTGCTTTTTGAGCTGACATATAGGGCGTCTTAAAAACTTTACCTTTCGAGCCAGAATAAGAAGCTTTACTATTACTAGACCCATCTGTAAAAACATTCTCAGCACCTTTAATTGGTTTAAATTTAGAGATTTTAGGGAGAATCCAATTAGTTAATTTTAAAAATTGAAACAGCTTCATTTTAGGAAAATGATTATCAAGAATACCCACAAAGTTAGCTAAATGGGTTTGCCAAGTAAGACTATTTATAAAAGCTTGCTGTATTTATGCCTTCGTGATAGGGACAATACTTTTTCCAGGATCATATCCATGTAATTTATCAATCTGAGTTCTCCCATTTCCTATCATAGTAGAGATTTGATCCAAATAAGGAGTCAAAGTCCGTGAACTAGTATGTGGAAGAAAAAGCCCCTGTACAAGATCTTGCTCTTGAACAATAACACCAGTAGGTGAATGCTGAGTTGAAAAAATTAGCAAATCTAGAGTCTTTTTTGGATTTATTCTATTTATTTGAGCTTTATGGACTTGCTTCTCAATTAGCTGTAACTCTACCTCAGTCTCCTTTGTTAATTGCCGAGGGCTAATGAGACTAGGATCTCCTCTAAGGATAGAAAATAGATTACTCATGGCATAGGTAGGAATGCCTAGAGCAAGTCATATCCAATTAATGTCCCCTAGTAATTTTTGAAAGTCATTTGATGTTTTCAATTGATCCCTATGTGTAGTTACTTTTTGTGGCACAATGGTAGTGTCATTTACTAAGGTCCCTAAGTAGGAGTAAGGAGCAGTAGTCTGAATTTTGTCAGGAGCTGTAATTAAACCAGCATGAGAAATCAAATTTTGCAAATGATCATAACATTGGAGTAATATTTCTCGAGTGGGGGCAGCACAAAGTATATCATCCATATAATGAATAATGTAACACTGTGAAAATTTTTTACAAGTAGATTCAATTGCTTGCCCTAAATAAACCTGGCAAATTGTTGGACTGTTTAACATGCCTTGTGGCAACACTTTCCAATGAAAACACTTAGCAGGCTGCAGGTTGTTTACTGCAGGAATTGGAAATGCAAATCTTTCACAGTCTTGCTCAGCTAAGGGCATAGTAAAGAAACAGTCTTTTAAATCTATGACTATTAAAGGCCAATTTTTTGGAATCATAGCAGGAGAGGGCAATCCTGGCTGCAATGTCCCCATAGGTTGTATAAGTGAATTAATGGCTCTTAAGTCAGTTAACATTCTCCATTTACCTGATTTTTTCTTAATTATGAAAACTGGAGAATTCCAAGGGGAAAATGTTGGAGCTATGTGTCCTTTTTCTAATTGTTCAGTAACTAAGTTCTCTAAAGCTTCCAGTTTCTCTTTACTCATTGGCCATTGTTCCATCCAAATTGGCTTATCTGTTAACCATTTTAAAGGTATAGATTCTGGAGGCTTAACAATGACTGCCATCAAAAATGATATCCTAAACCTAGGCGGGAACTTTGTCTTTCCACTTGAAGCAGTTCCTTGAAACCTTGCAAATTTTTTCTAGTCCCATACCAGGGACTTACCCCATTTCATGCATCATGTGTTGACTTTGAGGGCTATATAATTGCTCTGGAATTAGAGCTTGTCCTCCCCATTGTTGTAATAAATCTCTCCCCCATAAATTTATAGGTACAGAAGTTATTATTGGTTGAATAGTCCCAGGTTGTCCATCAGGCCCTTCACAATCCAAAATATAACTACTCTGATATACTTCACGGGCTTTACCAACTCCATCTATGTTAAATTGAGTGGGTTGAATTGGCCACGCAGATGGCCAGTGCTGTAGAGAAATGATTGAAATGTCCGCTCCTGTATCTACCAAACCTTTAAATTTCTTCCCCTGAATAGTTATTTCACAGGTAGGATGTTTATCAGTAATTTGATTCACCCAATAAGCTGCTTTGCCTTGTTTATTCGTGCTTCCAAATCCTCCTGTTTGTTTAATTTCACTTTTCCCCATTTCCACATGTGGCATAATGAGGAGCTGTGCTATATGCTCTCCTGGCTCGCTTTCCAGGGAACCAAAGCAGACATAACAATTTGAATTTCCCCATTGTAATCTGAATCAATGACTCCTGTTTGTACTTGCACTCCTTTTAAATTTAAACTAGATCTACCTAGAAATAATCCTATCGTCCCTGCTGGCAACATCTGACTGGAGACAGCAACATTCTTTACAGTCCCATTACAAAAGAGGAACCTGGTCCATAGTGATTAATAGCTTGTTTAAATTCTTTGAGTAATTTAAAAGGAAAAGGCTCAAATGTAGCTATAATATTTCCCTGTTGATCTGGGGGGTGTATTCTAACAGAGAACTGCCAAGCCTCTATATCACCCTCATGTCTAGCTTGCTGGATTCCTGCCTGAATAGAACTGAGAGTGGTTGCTTGAGGCACTGCTTAAACAGTCACTGGAGCAACTACTTTTCACCCAGTGTCCTCCAGAAAAGAAAGATCTGGAGGGTCAGGCCACTCTTTTTCTTCATAGTAAGGAGGGGGTGCAGAAGGGTAGAGATGAACCTCTTCCTCCTTTGCCACTTTAGATTTGGCTGGCAAACAAACCTGCTCTGTTACCTCTTCTGTTACTTCATTATACTTTCCTTTTTCCTTATCATCAGTGTGAAAAGGTTCCAAGGTGGAACAAGCCAGAGCCCACACTTGTCCCATTGTTATCCTGATGCTTCCGAGCTCCCCTTCTTACTCACCACAGGGATTGCTTAAGAGTACTCAGGTGTCCTCCAGCTTAGTTCCATGTTCTCCAACCATTGCTCCAGCAACCCTTCCACCTGAGTTTGAGCCCCACTTATGGACACCACTTGCTGAGACCAGCTTGGTTGGGGAGACCCTAACCCAGCAGCACTAGAGGAATTAAAGACACACAAACACAAATATAGCATGTGGAGTGGGAAATCAGGGGACTCACAGCCTTCAAAGCTGAGTCTCGAACAGAGATTTACCCGCATATTTATTGACAGCAAGTCAGTGATAAACATTGTTTCTATAGATTATAGATTAAAAGTATTCATTATGGGAAACAAAGGGATGGGCCGAAACAAAGGGATGGCCTCTGGCTAGTTAGCTGCAGCAGGAACATGTCCTTAAGGTCATGTTCCCATAGCAGATCACTCATGCTGTTGTTTGTAGTTTAGGAACACCTTTAAGCAGTTTTCTGCCTTGGGTGGGCCAGGTGTTCCTTGCCCTCATTCCAGTAAACCCACAACCTCCAGCGTGGGCATCATGGCCATCATGAACATGTCACAGTGCTGCAGAGATTTTGTTTATGGCCAGTTTTGGGGTCAGTTTATGGTCAGATTTGGGGGCCTATCCCCAGCTGTTCTTCATAGTCTTGATTCTATAGTTGCTTTATGAGGTCTTTGGGCTATGTATTTAAGTAGTTTTCTTCATGTGTTATCAGGTTTTATTCTTTCATTTCCATGTTTAGAACTCCCTGAAGGATCTATTGTAAAGCTGGTCTAGTGGTAACAAATTCCCTTAGTAGTTGCTTCTCTGGAAAAGACTTTATTTCTCCTGTGTTTATGCAGCTTAGTCTGGTTGCATCTGAAATACTTGGTTGGCTTTTTTTTTTTCTTTAAAAAAACAAAATAGGTCCCCAGTTTCTTCTGACTTGTAAGGTTTCATTTGAGAAGTTCACTGTTAGCCTGATGGGGTTTCTTTTGTGAGTGATCTGACCTTTTTCCCTAGCTGCCTTTAAGATTTTTTTCTTTAATGTTGACCTTGGACAGTCTGGTGACTATATGCCTTGGTAATAATGTTCTTCACATGAACTATCCAATTTGGTCTATGTTTCCAGTGCATAGATAACTGTGAAATTTTGCAGAAGTGTTATTATTCTGTAGATATAATATTATTACTAGAGGCTTATAGAAAATAATTAGGCAGACTTCTAGAGAATATTTGGTGTGGATTCTTTTTCCTATTCATTTGGGAAGTCATTCTTGAAAAATAAAGCTTTTCATTAAAAGTAGAGAACTCTATTATTTGAAGATATTTTCCAGATTATAAGAAAAAAAATCCTCCTGGCAAACATAACTCATCTGGAATATATTAAATTGTCCTATTATTATCCTAGGAATTAGATCATATGTTTACCCATTCTGATACCATTTACATAGAAAAAAATAAAAAACCTAAAATTGGGTAAATTCTTACAAGATTAAAAAGGTACATTATCAGCATTACTTGGAAAGACATTAATATATCTATAGTATCAAATATTCAAGATGGTGTTATAAAGGAATAATACTGTAAATGTCAAAAACATATTACAGAAATCAGCTCAACTTCTAAGCTCTTAAAATAACCCTATCTAATATATTTTAGCTTTTTTTAGTTTTGCCCTTTTCATTTTTTCTATTTCAGGATTATAATATTTCAAAGCATTTGTGGTTCACAGCTTATGCCTTTAGCTTATTTGTAGAGCAACATTTTTGATTGTTTAGAGGTCAAATTATCATGTTTAGCATACTTTTTGTGTTCTTCCAAACTTTTAAGCCTCCAGCATGCATTCCTGCTTTTCTTATCAAAATATTGGATCTAATAAGCTTGTGATTTCTGTGAGAAGCCACTAACATTTGAGCGGAACTAGGAATCCACATATTTGAAATAATACCAAAACTTCTTGCAAATCATACTATTTTTCAAAGATAATCTGGACACTCTTGTTTAATTTTTTTAAGCTAATCAAAGTGAAAAATACGAGAGTTTCTCTTAGATTATCTTTCTTTTTATTAAAAAACCTGAAGATTTCTGTTTTTACTATAGTGAAATAACAAGGATCAAACTTCTCTTCCCAACATACATATATATGAAGGAGGGAAATATATATGATAAAACTGTTTTCAGATATTGGTCACCAGGCAACACTTGTAGTGCCTAAGAGAAAGGAAACAAGCAAAGTGATCCCCATGATTACCTGTCTGTGGGTCTTGAGAATCATTCCACATGTAGTCCAGAGAGGAAGTTCCCAAGCAGAGCACCATTGTGTGAGTTGAGCAGACAAAGAATTAAGTTCAAGAATGCTGAGACTATCAGAAGTTGCAATGCAGAGTTTTGGAAAAGAGGAGGCTATTCAAAGAAAGAAGTCCAAACATTTGCATGAGGTCACCTTCAGTTTTTGCTGAATACCAGGAAATCGAAGCATAATGTAATACTCCAAACGACTGACAAAGAGTAATAAGAGAAGAATAAACAGAACCACTTTTAGAGCTCATCCCAGACTAGGAGACAACCTAGCTCTGATCAACAAGAGTGGAGATTCCTGGCTCATCACCTGAAACAGTTAATAGAGATCTTAATATGAGAGTAAACTATCTCTAGATTATGATAAAGTGACAGTCCTCAAAGCTGCTAAAGTAAAAAGAACCATTTCTAGAGATAAATACATAATAGAATGACTACAGATATCTCTTCAGAAAATACATAAGCGAGAAGACAATGAAATAACATCTTTAAAGTGCTAAAAGCATACAACTATCAACCTAGAATCCTATATACAGTGAAAATATTTCCCAAAAGTGAAAGCAAAATAAAAACCTTTGAAGAAAACCTGTAATAATAAGTTTGTGTGTAAATATATTTTATCATTTAAAATTTCAGATACGCTTGACTGTTTCAACAAACATAATAATAAATTGTGAAATTTATAATAATGCAAAAGTAAAATTATGACACAAGTAGCCCAAAGAATGAAAAGGGGTAAATGGAAGTATTTTGTTTTAAGGCTTTTATGTTACATACAAATAGAACAATACGTTTTGCAGAATAACTACTATTACTTAAACATGCATATGATAAGCCTTAGAGAAATTGTCAGAAGCATTTGAATCAGAGGGACTCCATCTTGTATGGGAGCCAAATTAAATAAGGCTGAGACCTACTGGGCTGCATTCTCAGGAGGTTAGGCATTCTTAGTCACAGGCTGAGGTAGGAGGTCAGCACAATATACAGGTCACAAAGACCCTGATGATAAAGCAGGATGCAGTAAAGAAGCCCTCCAAAACCCACCAAAACCAAGATGGCAATGAAATGAACTCTGATTGTCTTCACTGCTCATTATACATTAATTATAACGCATTAGCATGCTAAAAGACACTCCCACCAACACGATGACAGTTTACAAATGTCATGGCAATGTTCAGAAGTTACCCTATATGGTCTTAAATGGGGAAAACCCTCAGTTTCAGAAAATCCCTGCCCCTTTCTTGGAAAACTCATGAATAATCCACCCCTTGCTTAGCATATAACCAATAAATAACTATAGGTATACTAAATTGAGTAGCCTATGCCACTGCTCTGCCTATAGAGTAGCCATTCTTTTATTCCTTTACTTTCTTAATAACCTTGCTTTCACTTAACTCTATGGGCTTCTCCTGAATTCTTTCTTGCATGAGGTCCAAGAACCCTCTCTTGGTATCTGGATCTGGGCCCCTTTCAAGTAACAAAATCACTAAAAAATTAAAACAAATAGACTTGCAAATGAGCAAGAAGCAGAGATAAAATGGAATATTTAAAAATTTCAATTAATCCAGAAAAATACAGGAAAGAGTTAAAGCGGGTAAAAAGCAAATAGCAAGCTGAGAGATTTAAGCCTTATCATTTCAATATTATATTTAATGTAAATGACATAAATATTTAATTTAACAGGATAAATTGTCAGACAGGATTTAAAAAAAGGCCCATCTCTGCTACCTACAAGAAAACTATGTTAAATATAAAGAAATGATAAGATTAAAAGTAAGTCTTTAACAATGAGATCCCACTGCACACCTATTAGAATGTTAATAGTACATGCTAGCAAGGATGCGAAGAACCTTCAGATGTTGCTGGGAGGAATGCAAAATATGGTACAACCACATTGGAATATTGGTGTTTTTTAAAGTTAGGCATACAATGTCCCTTATAAGGGAATCCTTGCAAAGCTTTATTTATGATCACCAAAATCTGAAATTAATCTAAATGCTTTTCAACTGGTAAATGAATGATGTAATATGGTACATCCACATTATGGAATACTACTCGGAAGAAGAATGCAATGTACCACTGACACACAACAGCATGAATGAATCTCTAATCATTTGTGCTGAGTGAAAGAAGCCAGACTTAAAATATTACACTGATTTTATTTTTTATGAAATTCTGAAAGAGGTAAAACTATCTGACAAAACAGAACAGGGGTTACAGGGACTGAGAACAGGAGACAGCATGGAAGACAATGGGGCACCAAAGAATTTTTGAATTGATTGTGTTGCTTGCTAGATGACTGTATGCATGTGCCAATAGTCTGAGAATAACACTGCAAGTTATGCAATGTATACACCAAAATGCATAAAAATTGGGTCTCAAAAAAAAGTAAGTGGATGGATGGAAATTATTCAGTGGCTGTCATGTGAATCCTGGTGTGGCAAGATTAATATCAGTCTTCAGAACAAAATTATTACCAAATATTTTTATACAAATTATATGTTAAACAATATTTTGGATATGATAGATCAAATAAAATGTATTATTCACATGAATTTTTTTTTTACTAATGTAGTTATTCAACAATTTAAGATCACATGTGTGGCTCATATTAAATTTCTATTGGTTGGTGCTGGAATAGTGTGTCCAAGGATAGATCCATATACTAGTGATCAATTGATTTCTTTAACAGACAGTAATGGTAGTTCAATAGGATAGCATCATCTTTTCAACAAATGGTACTTGAAAAATTGAATATCCATATGGAAAAAAATAAACCTCCACCTTTACCTCACACTATGCACAAAAGTTAGCTCAAGTGGATCACAGACTTTATAAAACTCTTAGAGAAAACCATATTAAAAAATTCTTGCAACTTGGTGATAGCAAAGATTTCTTAGATATGACACAAAAAGTGTAAATCCCCCCAAAGAAAAAAAAAAAGGTAAACTGTACTTCATCAAAATTTAAAACTTTTGTTCTTCAAAAGATGTCATTAAAAAAGGGTTAAGCCACTAACTGGAAGAAAATATTCAAACTTTCTATATATAGTTCATCTATATATATATATAAACTTTCAAAAAGATATACATATATATTTATATATGTACTTATGTATATCTAAATATAAAAAGATAACCAATTTTTAATGGGAAAAATATTTGAACAGGTATTTCACAAAGTAGATATACAAATGACACATAAAAAGATGCTCAATGGTATTATTCATCAGGTAAATGCCAAATAAAACTCCAATAAGATAGCATTACACACCAGTTGAATCACTAAAATCAAAAATATCAAATAGAATTAATTTATTTATATTATTTTAATAGATATAAAAGATTAATTAAAATAGAAAAACAATGAGTTTGCCAACATGTGGAGCAAATGAAAGCTCTGTTACATTTACTGTGAGAATGTAAAATGGCACAACCACTTTGAAAAACAGTTCAGCAAAATCTTTTAATTGTATATTTACCATATGACCCAGAAATTCTACTTATTTACTCTAAAAATGAAAATATATGTATACCCAAAGACTTGTACATGAATGTTTCTAACAGCTCTACTTGTATTAAATAAAGGATGGAGCAATTATAGTGTCTGTTAATAGGTGAAAGATAAGACAATTGATGGATATTCATATAATAAAATACCACTTAATCATAAAAAGAAGAAAATTACTGCTAAATGTAACAATATGAACAAATCTCAAAAACATGCTGAGCAAGAAAGGCAAGGCAGAAGACAGTAATACTATATATTAATATAAAACTCTAGAAAAGACATCTTTTTTATTTAAATTATACCTCAATAAATTTGATTTAAAATGATTGAACATGGTTCATGAAAATCTGAAATAAAATCCGCACAACCTCTGAGAAAATGCAATATGCATATGGAACTATCATTTAGTTAGTGTTCGGCAAGTGCTAGGTAATTTCAGCTATGTTCTATTATTTAATTTAATTCTGTTATCAACCCTGTGGGGAAGTAATTATAATTCCCATATTACATATGAGCAAACTATGCTTAAGCAAAGTTTAGTGAAATTTGAATGGCATTAGCCAACTAGAAAGAAGCAAAGTTGACATGGAAACAACATTTTTCAGTAGAAATGCATTGTTACGTCACAGTTTATGCCTAATTTTACATAATTATTAACAATATCTAATGTTATCATGTATGTGGGTATCTATATGCATTTTGTATTTTTATCTTTAACAAGAAATTTTGTTATGTTTTCCACTTCAATGCTTCTCCCAGAATTCCTACATTCTAGGCACAACCACCAAGCATGTTATCATTCTTGCTTCCTGAAGTCCAATGGCTAAGTCTTAACTACTTTAATGTCTTCCAAAATATGGTTTTCTTATTCTTTAATGGTTTCTTTTCTATATTAGTCTGTTCTTGTTTTACGGGTGTACTGTATCCCCTGAGGATATTGATGGTAAGATTTTAAGAGGTACTTTTGTTTTCTCTGAAACATCTGCTGCTTCTGGTGTCAGTTGATGTGATGCTTGCTTTTCTGTGCTTATGTCTGACAGTTCATTTTGTCTGTTTTTATATCTGTTTGAAGAACTGGATTGATTAAAGTAGGTATCTCTTTGCCAACCTGTCACCTGGATAAGAGAAGTCTGACTTAAAGTTCTTTATGTGTATCATGGCATGTTAATTTGGCGGACTCATTTGAGGGTATGTGGGCAGGGTGGGGTTGAAGGGTAGAGTGAAATCCAGGAGCCCACCTGAATGAAAATCAGAAGGCAGATTCTTCAATCACTTTGCTTTATGGCTGTACCATAAAGAGAAGCCTTCTCCTCAACTGCACCCTTCTCTTGGGTGGGCTCTGAGCTGAGGCACCATGTGTTCTGAATTGTCAATATGATTTCAACTGCCATCCACTTTCAGGATATCCATGCTTTTATGAGCATAACATTTTTATTTGTCTTTATTTCCCTTTTTATGAATTGGTGAAAGGGAAGTAATTCAGTCTATTTTCTTGAAAAAGTAGTTTACTAATTCAAAATCTATGGAACACAAACCTCATCCTTTCCTGGTGTTCCCTGAATCAATATTCTTTTTAAAATTTTTTATAGTCTACTTTTAAAGAAAGCTAAATCTCTACTCCTCTTCTACAGATCTTTCTACATCTAACAAATGTATGGCATATTCAAAGATTACAGAATTCTGTTTAAGAGTATTTCTAAACCTGATGTAAGGAGAGCTAGTGAAATTATTCCCTGTCCCCATGGAAATGTCCAGCAGAAGTGATCCAGTAGCAAGAGATGGGCTTTAGATTTAGAGAGATGGAGACATGAATCACATTTCCCAAACTCAAGGCCCTAGACAGTGTTGCTTAACCTTTTAGAATCTACATTCTGAGACATAAGAATGGGAAAATAATATTGTCTCACAGTTTGTTGTGAGAACCAAATACATTAAATGTATAGCAATGTTTCTAAAATATTGTTGGTTCTCAATACACGTCATCCTTCTTCCTGCTCTCAATCATCTTCAATCCATTGCTTATAGACATATTAATCATGTAAGAATCAAACTCTAGATCCCAGGAGTATTAAATAACCTTATTGTAAAGGGCTATAAAACTCTAAGTTTGTTATTAATACAGAATGTATCTCATACTTTGCTCCTGTGCTCAAACTCTGAATTCCTGAGTGGCTTTTGAGTATACTACTATGTGTCATGTCATAGTGTTATTCATGTTGGGCATCTGTTAGAGCACCAACAGTGCATTTTAACCCTAAAGAGATTCTTTCAACCTTTCTCTGCTCCCCCGCTTACGTGTCCAGACTCACGTACAGCATGCCTTCAGCTTTTTGTTGCTGTTGTTTCTAGACTATTCCTGCCATAAGGTATTTTGCATTGTGTTTATTTATGTAAGAAATTATTCCCCTTCCAAGTTACTTCTACTCATCCTTAAGTTCTTCTAAACTTTATGTCAGTTCCTCAGGAAAGTCATCTTTACTCTTCCCGCAAGGTTAAGTCCTACTTTTCAATACTGCCATGGTACCATAAATATTTTCTTTGTAGTAACAAAGTTCTATAATCTCCATGGTTTCGTATATTTATTCATGTGATTATCTAATTAGTATGTGTTCCTCACAAGAATCTAATTTCCTGAGGGCATTTTTGTTTATAAACATATCTACAGTGATCAGCACAAATCTATAGCAGATTGTAGGAACTCAGTAATTTTTGCATGAATGAAAGCAGAAAGCTTCAGAAGGGGCTATTTGTTTTTTGTTATATTGTACCTAATCATGCTGCTCTCATATCATTTTGTAAAAAATTCTTATCTCTCTTAGCATAAGGACTCAATCAGGCTAGGCTTTTTAAAAGCATTTCTAATTAATTTTTTTTTTTTTGAGACCAGGTCTTGCTCTGTTGCCCAGGCTGGAGTGCAGTGGTGCAATCACGGCTCACTGTAGCCTCAACTTCCTGGGCTCAGGTGGTCCTCCCATCTCAGCCTCCCAAGTAGCTGGGACTAGAGGCAGGCGCCGCCACACCTGGCTAATTTATGTAGAGATGGGGTTTCATCATGCACAGACTGGTCTCAAACTCCTGGGCTCAACTGATCTGCTCACCTCGGCCCCACAAAGTGCTGGGACCACAGGCTTAAGCCACCACATCCAGCCCCTAATGATATTTGCAATCAGTTCATGCCTTTTAAATAAGTATCTCTAATTTCTACTTCATCTTCTGTACACGTTTTTTTTTTTTTTTAAACTGAGCTTATCAGATACAGTCATTTGTAGGCCCTCTGCTTTTCATCTTCTTCATCAGTATAGTGGTAAACATAATTGCCAATTCACTATGGTTTTAATCAGAAAATATTTGTTAGTAATCATTGGAAAATTAGTTTTCATAACTTAATGGTCTAGTGCAAGGATGTTTGCTTACCAGCATTGTTTCACGTTCTGATAATTCCGTGCAAGGTGACATAAGGATTGGGGGATAAAAGGAAGTAGAGAATATCTAATTATTAAGTATAAGAGCAGTGTTCTAAAGAGTTTGCCTGCCTTTTTTAAATCTCAAACTGATGATATAATTTCGACTTAATTACAACAAATTAATAAAAGAGGATCAGATTATTTCACTAAACTATTTCTTCAGCTCCTGAATATTATGGTGCCAGGGTAGAGATGTCACCTCAGATAAGTTTTTAAAATCAACTCCAACAATGTAATTCTTTGTGCAATGAATTAGCTTAAAGTCCAAATCTGAAATTTGGTATGTTTGCAAAAATGATAGCTGTTTCTTTGCTTGACTCACCATGCTATTTAGAAGAGTTTACATTTCTTTAAAAACATTTTAGAACAGCAAGAGAACAGTCAAGATTTTAGAGGACAGTATTGAAAAGTGGACCCTGTAATATGCAAATTATCTAAGGTTAGGAGAGTAATTTATTTTCATAATACTATGCTTAAAATACAAAATTATTTTTTGATATATGAAAAGTATTAAAGTAACACATGGTCTGGTAAACTTTAAATGCTAAAATAATGACATTAATACTATTCTACAAGCATTGATCTGTTTTAAATCCACGTCTATCAATAAACTATTTTCACTAGCTATAGCACTTTGTGTTGACCTCACACTATAATGTGGAAAAAATATTCATTTTCATCAAAAATAAAATTAGGAATTGTTGGAATGCTCACTCAACAATACTGATATACCATTTGTAGAGTCCAAGGAAGTAAAACTCAGAGGTAATTGTGCTCTTGGGTAGAGAGATGAGTAAGAGTATTACCATTCTCAAAGAGCTTATCTTTTAAAGAATATAATAAAACAAATTAAATAATTACAATGGTCAAATTAAAGGGATATCATATTAGAGAGCATTTAATTCTTACAAGGAGAATCACAGGAAAATTCCTGGAGGATTTCACATTTATTTAAGTGCCAAAGGATCAATAGTATATGACAGATGAATAGTTTCCCCAAATTAGATAACAAAAATGATTATAACAGAAAATGGCGTCCACTGACCTCATATTATGCATTTATTATTCCTTTAAGTACATCACACATAATGTGTCAATTAATTCGTAGAGCAATCTTAAGGAGATATTATTTGTTCCATTTTACAGGTAAGGTAAATTGAAGTTAAATAACTTACCCAAGGACACGCCTTGTGTAGAAGATAGGTAAACAATATGAACAAGACTATGGAAGTTCTTAAATGTTTTTACAAGAATGTTTGGTTTTTCTTCAGCAATGAAAACTCATGGAAGAGTTAATTTCAAGGGTTCTGGGGCTGGGAAATACGAATGTATTAAAAAGGAATGGAGAAAGACACAGGCTCCAGCTGAAGGTATTACAATAGTAAGTGGAATTGATGATGGAGATCTAAACTAAGGGCAAATAGAAGAAAACCTTATACTGACAGAACTGATCGGGCTTCCCTGTTGTGGGAGGAGCAGTAAGGACCAGAAAAAGAGTCTATGTAAAGTCATACTATTTAAGAAGGTGGTCATGTATCCTTTCGAAAAAAGTTCCCATAAAAATCTGCTTTTAAGTTTTGCAATCTTTAACGTATACATCATTGTTTTAATTACCAGTATTTGGAACCACTTAGCTGTAAGCCAGTACTTATTATATGATCAAAAATGTTGATGTCTTTATAATTTGCACTCCAGAAGCTATTTATGTGAACCTTCTTCTTTTTCTTTTGTATTATCTGCTCTCTTGCTTTCCTTGATCATTGCATGGAATTTATCTCGTTTATCCCTCCTAAACTCCTACTCATTTACTTCCTAAAAGTATTTGAAGTATTTATTGTCCTGTCAATTCTTTTATAATCACTTTGTATCTTTCAGATTCTTTTTTTCCTACTTTATAAATTCATCTCTCTCTTTATTCAAAATCTCCCTTGCTGTGTTTCTAAATATGTGTTTCTCTTTCACATACAAATACCTAAATAATCAGGTCGATTTTGTAGACATCTGGTATTGTATGTTATTTATACTAACGTCAATAAACCAAGTTTAGAAGACTTACAATAATTTTGTTCATTTATCTTAAAGTGATTTCTAAATCAAAATAGGCATGCAAAAGGAACTGAAAATAAAACTTTGAAACATGATTAATTTTAATGTTTATCCACCAGCAGAAAAAATTTAATATGTAAATCCACCAGCAGAAAAAAAATTACCAAAACTAACATTTTACAGATTTTTAGTATCAAAGCACAATACATTTTTCATAGAAACAAATATATCACCATTATAGGTACCATGATATGGCAATATTTATATACAAGGTCATTTACCATTTAAAAAAAAATCAGTGGCAATGGTAATGTAATACATTAGTTCATCTTTGTTCAACTTTTTGCTATTATACTTCCTGGCCTGCAGGAGTATTTGCCAGGATACAAAAGAAAATATGTGACCTCAATTTTAACAGTACATAGAAAGCTCTGGCTGTCCATGCTTAACCCTACATTTACTACATGATCACTAGGAATGTTTTCATACCACCACTCTGACTTTATTACATTTATTTTTAAGGCCATTCCCAAGGAATCAAACATTTTAACAGATTCATTTGGATATTAAAGGATTATTTTATATAAAATAAGAAGTGCAATATCAGAATTTAATATTCTATATGCCTAAATTAACAGAAAAAAACTTTACAGTTATTAAGTGGAAAATTATTTGAGATTATTTGGAGTTGGTAATGGCATAGCATTGAACTGGGGAAAATGTGATAAGGTTTCTTTCAGTTTTAGAGTCGATTATTTTTAAATGCACTAGATGATTTTCTGAGGGCCATTCACATTCAATGTTTAGATTCATTTTATTAGTGGCATATACAAAGCACCATATAATATATGAAACGTAGAACAATCATGACTATGTAATTAACTGTAGAAATAACTGCTAAGAAAATATAGCAATATTTAACACAGGATTTCTAAAACCATTATATTTTCATTACTTTTCCCAAAGCTAATGTCCCATGTTTTATTTTATAGACTTTGTTTATCAAGATTTATATGCATTTGGCACCTTTTTGGGCTGAAAATAGTTGATGTACTCTGTACAGTAATGTTACAGTTTTATACAAAATTCAGAAATATTGCATTTGGAATAGTCTTTATGGTCCTCTTCCAAGTATTCAGTTTCACACAACAGCAAACACTCTGAATGCCTTTCCTCCTGGAGGATTCTGTAAACTGCAAAAAAAAAAAATATATGAAAAGTATATTGATGTCATCTCTATACATAATCCTTCTTACAAATCATGCTTTCTTATGACAGTCAAGAAAGCAGCTCTATGAATCCAGATGGTCAACTTTCTTAGGCTACTATAATTTATAGTTATTGGAAAGCTCGAATGAGGATGACATAACTCTTAACTCTTGGTTCTATGCTGGGCTGCAAGTTTACTAATAACATTTAAGATGTGTAATGGTAATAATAGTAGTCTCCACAGAACTTCACAGATTCTAGATCATGTTTTCCTATATTACCTCCTTTCATTCTAATACAGCAGAGTTCAGCAGCTGTTATTCAATTTTAATGGGGAATACTGAGACTCAGATTTACAACTGATATGCACGGTTACAAGCTAAAAAGATAGCTGATACTTAGGCAATACTCTAGAGCGCTAGCTTATTATCATTGCCCAAGTCTGACAAAATTTAAATTACATTGCTATCATACAGATTAATACTCTTAACATCTATAATTTCAAGGAAAATGTTAGTAAGGATATTTAATGGTCAAATCTGAAAGACCTAAGAATATCTTCACTGAAATGAAAAAATACACACACACACACACACACACACACACAGAGCATTCAATCTCATTTTGAAAGTACTTTTAAATAGAAGTTAAAAGTAATGCAGACTCATAAATTTTACTCTTTATTAAATTGTTTATATTTATTTAGCAACGTAAATCAAGGTATGTTTTGTTTAAATGTCTAAAAGTTAAAACAGATTGGTAGTACCATTAATCATTATTTATTCAAATCAACTGTAAGCTTTTGAAGCTTTTACATAAAGTTTTATTTTCTTAATAATTACAAAAGACTTTTGGAGATCAATAAAATAAATACTAAGAAAGAGACAAAGTGAACTATGTTTTATATATTTATTCATACAAGAAAAAAGGGAGAGAATTTGAGTGAGCAAAAATAAGGGTATCACAAGTGCGCACACACAACATATACACACATGTGCATGCATGTATGCCAGGTTTTTCATGCAAGTAGATGGCCAATCCAAAGCCATTTTATTTATGAGAAACAAACTGACTGAGTGCCTTAGGAAATGAATGTGTTTGGTGTGTTTCCTTTTTGTACACAGTTAAATACTGGAATAACACATATCTCTGAGCCTACAGACTGAATCTGAGCTTTGAGATTTACAAGTTATATGAACTTGAGCACATCATTTAACCCCTCAGAGTCTCAGTTAACATATATATATGTATATGTGTATATATATGTATGTATATGTGTATATAGAAGTGTATATACGTATCTATATGTGTGTGTATATATACATTCACATATATACACAGAAACACATATATACATACACATACACATATGCATACTCACACATATATACAGTCACACACATATACATATACACACATATATACACACACTCATACATATATACACAGACACACACACATACATATACACACACACACACACACACACACACATATATCTCCGGGTATAGGCCTGACATTTCAGGGCTGTCGAAGCTGAGCTAACATACTTAGAGTGCTCAGGAGCATCTAACATCTGGAATATTCATAGTAGGTACTCAAAAATAATTATTATACTGTTTTATTAGGATATCACCTATCGTTTTATAGTTTTAAAATAAATCTAAGAATTACGAGGCATACATAAAACCATATCACTCAGTTTAGCTTATAAAATTGCATATCCAATTTTATAACTCAAAGATCCATTTTATATATTATTCTGTTTAAGGAGGCCATGAGCAGGTTGTAGAAATGTCACTTTCTCAACACTTACCTCTTGATATAGTCTAATATGAAAACAGATAATGCAGATTTGTATTTTTGTGAGGATGACACCCAGATGGTTATGTTGAAGGTAATCTAGATACCCCGTATGACACATCCTTTGGTGTACATGTGTGTGTTCTCCATTAGCAATTTTGAAGAATCCAGGAAATATCTAAAAGTTAGGGATTTTTCTATATACAAATAAATAGGACTTTTAATATTACTTTTATAAGTAATAATGATTTTAAAAATCACCATTGCTTCATTTATTTTAATATTTATTGATACCTGATAAAGTGAGTTACATGAATTTTCTCAAATCACCAAAATATATGACACTAGTGGGTGGGTTAAATAATATGAAAAATGACCTGAAAGAGTTCATTTATATCACACTAGGCATCCAACTTCAAATCAATAAGAGAATTTGGTTCTAGGGAAAATCAGACATTGTTTTTGTCAAATACTTTATCAGATAACTGGATTAGAGAAATATTCTGTGCCTTGCTCACCTAGAAAGAATTAAATATAAAACTAATCTAGAAAATCCAAAAGAGGATGAAAGAAAGTTCCTAATTATAAGACTAATTAACAAAAGAGTAGTTCTGACTTGTAATCCGATTTTCATGTTGATTTTTATAAGCCTGCAGGAGACAGGCACCTCTGGTACTACAGCTTCTCCCATCCCTGGAAGGCTGACTGGTACACAAGTGTGCAAAGGAACACACTGGCTCTGCCACTTAACTTTGAAAAAAATTAAAAATATTCAAGTGGGTCAACTGTAAAGCAATCATGAATACAGTGATAGATGGTATTTAAAAGTATACATACATATGTTTTGTTTTTACCTTTCTGAGAAGATTCCATTCTGAAAAGAAGCAATGTAGGTCTTTCTTTTGTCCACAGGCATTACATCAACATAACCACCGTGATTTCGAACCACTCCAGCATGTACTGCTGCTCTGCAGATACTGGACAGCTGAGAAGGTAAAGAAACAAACTGCCATTATTGGAAATTCCTGCTGGACTTGTCCAGCCTATTCTTCTATTATTAATAGACTGAAGTCGCTGACATCCTGATGTCATGGATAGCCAGTGAGCAGCTACAGGATGAGGTTTTGTGCATAAAAGAGTGTTTGAAACGTCACAAAGTCAAAGCCAATTTGGAGCAAGTCTGAAGGCCAACCTTAAAGGTGACTGCAACGGTAAGACCCCTCCCCAATCTAATCTAGCAAATACCTGTTCTGTCCAAACAGTAGGCTTTAGAGTATCAAAGCAATAAAAAGCAAATTAGCTTCTTTTATCTCTTCTAGGTCCTGTTTGTCATTCTTAAATGTTAGCCTTTGTTCTATACTGGGCTCACTCTGACCAAATGTTCATAGGTTAGATTATTCATCCCTCATGTATGTTCACTTTTGCCTAATACAAACTCCACCATAGTTCTGCATATGACTATGGCCCCTCTTCCAAAATACAAGAAATGGGGCAGTTTTTTTCTTAGTAAATAATATAATCTACACAGAGAAACTTTGCCTAAAAGAATAACCCTAAAAAGAAAAAAATGAAGAATCATCATAGCTTCTACCTAGATTTGTAATGCCTGTCAACTTAGTTTGAATGGTCTGACATGAAATACTAGGAAAGTCCTATGATTACATTGCACTAGTCATATAATCTGAATTGAATGGGATTTCTATGGAGAAGAAAATTGTTGTTTCAGGTCCAATACTTTTGAATTTTTAAAACTACTGAATTCTAAAAGTCAGATCATTTCTTTTGGCCCATTAAAATCTTCTCAAGATTTTAACATTTGCTTTAGTCCAAATGTTTTACCAAAATTTGTCAACAACTAAGTACAATCCAAGGAAATCCAACCAAAGACAATATTTGAACTGTTTCAGTATAAAGCAATCCATGTCAAATGCCCATGGGTCTTTTCTGATCCCAGTGGTGTGTTCTTTTCTTATCTCTATGCACATGTGAGTGATTTAATATGCTTTTTAAAATAAGCATGTATATCTTACATGACCTTGCATTATTACTGTGTTGTGAACTCTAGAGCATCAGTCAGTATTTACTAGATCAGAGTCTGAATGCCAAGCTGTTTAATCCTTTCCATGCTTTTGCTGTATCGCAAAATACCATGTATCTAAAACCTGCATCCTTACTCAAAGACATTTTCTTCAACACTTAAAGTCCCATTGAATTATATTTGCCTCCAATATGGTTCTTAACAGATGGAATTAAAAATAATTCCGTGCACATTTCAGTATTTGTTCTGTTAAAAGGATATTAATCAGCATTTTTCCCAAGGCAACAAAAGTGCTTAGATATAACATTTACTAAGTCCAAGTATTTAATATGTTTTGAGACTATTGTATTGCCTGCAATTATAGATTCAGCAGGCATCCCTATTTGAGTTCAAAGGTCAGAAGACATTTTCTTTTCATACTCAGACTTTTTAAAAACTAATATATGATGAAAAGAATTATCTGTAAAAATAGAATTTTTTTAATGAATGCAGAAATATATAATAAACTAAAAGTTCAAAGAAACAGAATGTACAAGGTCTAGCTCTATAAATGGAAGGAAAGAAAGAGAAGGGAAGGAGGGAGGGAGTCTGGCTGATTGATTCTCACATTTCCATCCTTTATTTGGAGAGATAATGTATTTTGTAGGGCCAGGAAGACTGGCTATTAACGATTGGATCTCTGATTTCATACTTGCTATTTGACAGTAATCTTTATATTTCCAACTTACTCTTCAAAGGACCTATATAAGACACATATTATGCAGCCATTTCACTGAGGGTAGAAAGATAAAATGATCTCAAGATATGAGTTCCAACAAAACCTTAACTCTAGCAAATAGATGACTTTAAAGACATAGAAGTATACAGGATATTTTGAAAGACTTTCACTAGACGTGACTAAAATTAAAAGTTCTCCTGCTTAAAGGGAAAATCTGAAAAGTATGATTTCTTTGGAAATCTCTGTTGAGTTCAGATATGCATATTCCTATATATTTATTAATCTACTTGTTTCAACAAATACTTATGTGCAAGGTACTTGGTTAATACCTGACGTAGCTATGTGCTCTAAGCCCTGTTCAGGCAGAACATGCCTGTCTTGTTCACAGCTTGGCAGACATCAAATTAGTGATCACAAAATGATGAATGAATAACCCAGCTGCTGCCCTTGAGAAACTTACAAACTAATAAAAGAGATACGGTAATAATCATAATACCCAATACAACAGGCTAAGTGCCAAAAGGAAAAAATGAAGTTATAGGGGTTGAAATAAGGGCAACTTCATACTTGGGTTGGAAGGTCCAGCAACGCACCCTCACAGAGAAAGTGGCAATAATTTAGGTTTTGAAAAATGACCACAGTTTTGACATAAAATTTGCAAAAATACTGTATTTCAACAGAGGCAAGAATATAAGCACAAATGTGAAGACTAGTACATTCAAGATACCAGCAGGACTTTTCAGTGGCACATAAGACCAGTGCAAATCTGGAGCTTGAGAGAGACTCAGAATTGGAAAATAACTGCAAAGGTAAAGCTGAACTGAAAAAAATCTTGGTAAGTAAGCTCACCAAGAGAAATAGGTGGTAATGTACATATTCAGGCCTCTTTACATGATCAAATTCCCTTAATATTCTATTGAATATGTGCATAAGACATTTCCTAAATTTGCATTTGTAACTCTCTGGCTTAGAAATCTGTAATGGTTTCTAAGTGTTTGCCTCATAAAACGTAAACTCATCAGCATGCACTTTCAGACTTTGTCTACACACTGATGTGAGCTGGATTCCTCTCTCTCTCAGACTAACTTGGTTGAAGCCCCTTTTCGTTCCGATTTTCAGCAGCTTAGAGACAAAGCTATCTGCTAGTCTGATGTACAGCTCATTGACTCTTAACTCCGTTACTTTGTAAATGTCACTTATCCCACTAGAACACGTTCCCTGATCCTCTTTAGCAACCAACACTAAAAACCTGGCTCAACAAGCACTTAACAGGCCTGGCACCTTGGAAGGCCAAGGCAGGAGGACTGCTTGAGGCCACACCAGCCTGGGCAACACAGTGAGACCCCATCTCTACAACAATAGAAAAAGAGCCAGGCATGGTGTCATGTATTTGTTCTTCTAGTTACTTGGGAGGCTGAGGCAGGAGGATCACTTGAGCCCGAGTTTGAGGTTAAACTGAGATATGATCATGCCACTGAACTCCAGCCTGGGCCATCACAGCTCACATTCCTTGTCCAACCCACTAAAGTCATCTCTTACAACATCCCCTCAACTAGTTCTCTTTTGCATATATTTCAATGTAGCATCTCTATGACTCTATGCTACATTTTAAATGGCCGTTTGGCAGTGAAGATATTGTTTCAACTTTTGACAAATTCTTAATTATCCAGTTCAGACTTCAAATACTAAAGAATCAAAAGAAAAACAAAACACATTTTCCTTCCCAACAATAACTACAGACTATTTCATTATGTGTCTTATATAAAACATATGGGGAGAAAGTGAAGAAAAATTTTGTCAAATAATTATACACTCTTATTGTACATATGGATATTAATTTTTCAGTGATATGGATGTTTAACTCTTCTGAGAACACACATTAACAAAGTCTGTTTCTTCGCTCTGTATATAAATGTACATATACACATTTAAATGTGTCTATACATTTATATATATACATGAATGTTGACAGCTGTATAAATTAGGATACTTACATCAGAATAAACTCGAGTTCCAATTACACGAGCATAATGTGGATTTGCTTGCATACAGTTACGAGGACAGTATACTCTGAAAAAAATAATATATTATATATATATTAAGTAAGCTGGTTACTTAAGTCTTTCTTATTAGTAAAACCACAGATATGCATACACAAAGTAAGCTCAACATTCTAAACCCTACTCATTTTTTCTCCTGAAATAGGTCAATTGTACAAGCCCAAGCAGTAGACACAATTGCTTCTGTTTATCTATCTTTTGGCATAAATGTCATTTAAAAAAAATTAGTTAGGAAGCTTTCTAATGTGGGGATTTGAAGCCAAAAGAAACATCAGAAAGCATCTCAATGTATCTGAGAAGTTGGTACCCAATGTATCTGTAGAATTTAGTAAACCAATAACTTGGAAAATCTGAATCATTGTCTGCCTCATACATCTCATAGATTCTCTTCTTTATATTCACATCTTTGGAATCTCATCCAATTTCATAGTTTTAATTATCATCTTTAAATGGCTAATTTCCAAATTTACATTTCCAGTTGGGAGATCTCTTAATTCCATACTTGAATATCCTACTGCTTATTCAACATCTCCACTTAGCTATAATAAACATCTCAAACTTACCATGTATGAAACCAAATTCCTAATCTCCTTCTCTAGTTCCCAAATCTGTTTCTTTCCGTAGGCTTCCCATTGCAATAAATGGCACCTCCATGATTCCAAGTGCTCAGGCCAGAAACCTTTCTATCCTCAATCCCTCCCTTAATCTCACACCTTACATTCAACCCATCAGCAATTTCCATTGGCTGTACATGAAAACATATCCAAGATCAGAGCATCCCCAAGCACCTCAATCATGGTAACTCTGGGCTCTATCATCTACTGTCTAACTTACTGCAATAGGCTCTTCTATGCTTCTTCTATGGTCTCCCTGCTTCCAATTTGGCCCTCTCCAATCTGTTTTCCATACTTATATTAAAACGTACAAGTCCAGCCAGGCGCAGTGGCTCATGCCTGTAATCCCAGCACTCTGGGAGGCCGAGGTGGGTGGATCGCCTGAGGTCAGGAGTTTGTGACCAGCCTGGCCAACAAGGTGAAACCCCGTCTCTGCTAAAAATACAAAAATTAGCCGGGCATGGTCCTGGGTGCCTGTAATCCCACTACTTGGGAGGCTGATGGAGGAGAATTGTTGGAACCTGGGAGGCGGAGGTTGCAGTGAGCTGAGATCATGCCACTGCACTCCAGCCTGGGCAACACAGCAAGACTCCATCTCAAAACAAAACAAAACAACAACAACAAATGTACAAGTCCAAACACATCATTCCTCTGCTCCAAATATTCCAGTGGCTTCCATCACATTCAGAGTAAATGACAAGAGCCTCAGGAAGGTCAATAAGCCCTGCATCTTCTATCCTCACTGCCTTTCCAACTTTATATCTTACTCCTTTCCCACTTTCTCACCCTGCTCCAGTCACATGGGCCTAATGGTTATTCCTCAAACACACACAATAGGCTTCTGCCTTAGAGCCTTTGCATTTATCTTCCTCTCTGCATGGAATGCACTTCCTCCAGAAATCCTACTGCCTTACTGATATCTGGTTGGCTTAGCTCACTTCAAAGACATTTCCAAACACTTTTTTTGTTGTTCAGGCTCTAATACAATATGACCAAAAGCTTTTTATTTAAACGTAGGATCCAATTATCAATATTTAATCAATCACATGATATTTTAAAAAATCTACTCTCAAAGTTCAAGAAACTGTCAAATGGCACTTTACTTTTAATCAAGTGGCTCGTCTGCATTCACACACACACACACACACACGCACTCATCACTAAAAGGAAACACAAACTAAAACTGGAAAACACACAATTTTAAGTAGTAAATGAGACTGTTAACATAACTACATGATAATCATTAGTGGATGATAGCATCAACAATTTTCCTAAAAGTATTCTAAATATACTTCAGTTGAAACTACCCTTGCCAATTGAAGCAGATCTTCCTTAACATAGGAAGATCTTAGAATATAACATTTCTAAGAAATAGTTATAGTTTTTATTTCTAAAATTTGTATAACACTGTATATTCTAGAGTGTATATACTTCACATAACATGGAAACCAGAACCATTTAAATATAATAAATCCATCTGAGTTTCTATAACTTTGAATTAAAGGCTTGATTGTTATAAAAGATGCTGTTTGGGGTTTCTGCAGGAAGAAGGGTGTCCCCTTTGACTGGAAACTGATCTTACTGTATTTGAGAACTGCTAGGCATTCACCGTCATCCTTATGGCTGTTAAAATCACTTGCTCTGCATGCTCTGCAAACTTTATCTTGCCCATATTCAGCTGCTGGTTTGTGGAATGCCAAAGTCAGTAGTCCAAGTTGAGTTAGTTTCTACTTAGATGAGTTCAGGTAAAACAAAGATTGGGGGAAGTTTTTTGCTTGTTTGTATTCCAATCTGTTTTTAACAGCTTGTTACATACTACTGAGAAGGTAGGTACTGGTCCGGTAAACTTTTTTTTTTTTTTTTTTTTTACCTACAATTTGCCGGTAAACTTTGAATGAAAATGCTGACATACTTTAATATCTACTTTTACATCTTGAGCATTCAATAAATTTTAAAGATCTAATTGTTTGTAGGTATATGTAAAACTGGATAACATTTCTTATAATTTTTATAAGACACTAAGTAATAATTACTACATAGCCACCAAATGGTTACTAAATAATAGTTAGATAGTTTATTTTGAATTGTTCTACCAGACATGGAAACTTTCAAGGACATGACTTGCAGGAATCTTGTTTCTTCAAGGTCTTCTTGAGCTAATTTCATTAATTTATTTATTGTCATTTTTTCTCCAGAATAGACTATGCCTCAGCCTACTTAAGTCATATGAAATTCTAAAAGAAATATACCAACTACATGGTTCCCTAAAAGTTATAACCTGTCATATAAATAATATCATTATAACCCAGTTTATGAAACTATTACAATTTTTTTTCTTTTTTTTTTTTTTTTCTGAGACAGAGTCTCGCTCTTTCGCCCAGGCTGGAGTGCAGTGGCGCAATCTCAGCTCACTGCAAGCTCGGCCTCCCGGGTTCACGCCATTCTCCTGCTCAGCCTCTGGAGTAGCTGGGACTACAGGCACCCGCCCCCACGCCCGGCTAATTTTTGTTTGTATTTTTAGTAGAGATGGGGTATCATCGTGTTAGCCAGGATGGTCTCGATCTCCTGACCTCGTGATCCACCCACCTCAGCCTCCCAAAGTGCTGGGATTACAGGCGTGAGCCACCACGCCTGGCCAAAACTATTACAAATTTTACACAGGAGAAACAAATGACAATTTTGTTTCACTGAAATAAAAAAAAAGGGAGAAGCTTTTCAGACTACTTAAGGTCAATATTATGCATAAATTGTCATTTCTATGGATTTATTATGTTGGTAACAGTAAAGGCTAAAATGAATTTTAAAAATTTATATCATTTTCCTTATTTCGATGTTTTGCTTTCTGAAACAAGCCAAGAAATAGGGAGCTTGTTTATTAATGCTTTACTTGATTTATCCCTTTTGTAATAATATTGATATAGTTTGTTTTGTAGTTATAAAATTACCCTTTATTGAGCATCTACTAGTGAGAGCCTTTATGTTAGAATGCTCTACAGAGACCCTCCTTATTATTTGGTCCTCATAAACCTAGTCACATGGCTGACATAAGGCTAGGCATAATATTCGTACTTAGTAGGTATTTAATACATATTTATAAATTTAAATTCTAAAGTTCCTGGGTTTTTTTCACATATTATGATGCTAAAATTTACCAGCTTCACCTAGCAATACATCTTTACTTTTTTCTATAAAACTGCAATCTGTAAGTGTAGGGGTCTTGAGAATTCTGAAAAAAATATTTCTCCAAAATTGACTAAGACTACAGAGCAAACAATGATCTAATCAAATATGTGAGCCTTATAAGAGGATAATTAGTCAAGCTCTAGTAACAGGAGATTGTATTTTTATCACAAAAATATTCAGCATATAATTCATTGGTGGTCAAATGGTAAAAAGTATATGATGCACTTCACCCAGTAAGAGGTCCTCAAATTATCCTACATACTTGGTAATCTGCTGATTTCAGCAAACGCACAAGCTGAAGAATTTTAAAATTCTCAATTAGCATGCACCAAGTTAGCTGACCAAAAATATTACAACAGCACTCTTGCATTAGTAGAGACAAATGATTTGAAAGGAAACAGGCTATTTGTATGTGAGGACATTTATTGTTTATATCACATCTGTAACTTAGAAACTGACAGAAAATGAAGTACTCTGTTATATGAAGATCACAGTCTTCCGCTATAAAGATTCCGTTATATACCTTGTGAACAGCCAATCCCATTCTTTAAGTGAAACATTGCTTTCATTTCAAAAGGGTAAGTAATGATGTTTTTCCAAAGTAGATAAACTTTTCCATAAAAATTAAGCTCCTTAAGTTTTTAGACTAAAATGTTTTGTCAAATTACAATGATATCTTTAAATCTCATTACTAGTTTTTAAAAGTAGTGTGGATATTTGCATTAATGGAAATAGTGTGTGTAGAACTAAGACTGGATATATGGAGACATACTTTATTTTTCCTAGCTACTGATTATGGATTAAACCATAATACTTCTAACAGTTTTCATCTTAGCTTGGCCAAGATAAATAAAGCTTTTTTCATTATTTTATAGTATATAAATTCCATTATAATCTTGTAAAAGAGAATATTAAGAAACAAAAATAAAAGAAAGGTAAAGATGGGCTTTTTAACTTACCAAATGCAATCAGATTGATCTAATTTAAAAAACTGGATAATGATGTTAAAATATGAGTTATGCCACTTTAGTTTCTGTTGTAAGAAATTGTTATGAACTGAATGATTTTGTCCCTTCAAAGTTCATATGTTGAAGTCTCAATCCCCAATTTGACTAACTTGGAGACAGGGCCTTTATGAAGGTAATTAATGTTAAATGAGGTCATAAGGGTAGGGTCCTCATCCAATAGGATTAGTGTCCTTACAAGAAGGGATGTAAGAGAGTGAGCTCTCTTTCTCCCTCCACCATGTGAGGACACAGAGAAGGTGGCCATCTGTAGACCAGGAAGAGAGCCCTCATCAGGAACTGAATCAGCCAGCACCTTGATCTTGAACTTCTCAACCTCCAGAACTGTGAGAAATAAATTCCTCATGTTTACACCACCCAGTCTATGCTATTTTGTTACAGCAGCCACAGCAGACTAATAAGGCACTCTTTGTATCACAGATGAACATACAGATTACATGCATAAACCCTGACATTATGAAATAGCAGAGAATACTTTTGCATTTTGAGAAAGTACACTAGGCCTGCCTGGAGTGCATGTAGTTTATGATGTTTCATTGCTCCCTCCTGCTTAGAAGTTCAAGATTATACAACTTTTGAATCCCAGAGACATCAGAATTTCAGGCAAAAACAGTTATCACAGGGCCAAAGCCCCCTATGTGTACACTGGTTTACCTTGGGCAATGTGAAGCAGGCTTATGAAATGGACAGAGCTGTTCCACAGTTGTTTCACAAGTCACAGCCTGAACTGAAGAATTAAAACACAAAACAATGAGTGAATCCTTTGAAAGCAGTAACATACTACACAGTACTAAGAAAATAAGATGAAGAATGTGCTAACCTGTTACTTTAGAGACTGTGAAGGAATTAGCAGACTGATATTTGCTGAAGGTAAAAATACAGAAATGTTAATTATTTTCATATAGGCATCAGCAGCAGCATCATTTCTGGTATCTTTCAAGTCTATGAACACTTAATTTTCTTTTTAAACACTTACTAAAATAGACAAGTAGCAATATAAGAATACATCATCAGTTTTATGCTAAATCCATATTACCATCAGGTATTAACCAAATCAACACCATTCTTCCGGTAATCTCTTTTCATTATTGATCTCAAAAACATATAGATAATAGCATAGAACTATATATATATATAAAAAATATATTTGGTTCCTATCAAAATTAAAACCCTCACATACTAATTTCCTGCCTCCACGGGACCAAACTATTTAGTCTTTCACAACAGGAAATACAAGACAATGTTGTGAAAAGACTACAAAATAATAAGTAACTAAGGGAGCGTCCATTATTCCTTTTTTGTTCCCCCTAGTATCTAGCAAAATTATACAGTAAAATGAATAAACTTCTCCTCATCACATGCATTATTAAAAAGCTGAAATATAAGATTAGGCACATAATTATACATCAAAATTTTAATAGGTTTATATAACATCTATTGCAAAAGGTAAGGCTTATTTGTGATGGTACTTTAACATGGTACACTCTCTGAATACATTAGCTCAGAACTGAAGGTGTAAAGTTTCAACAATTCTTTATTTCCATCAGCTTCAAATTCTGTATTTAATATTCATCATCTATAACGTGTCCAAAAGAAATAACATTCTTTGAGGCATAAAATATACAATCTATTAAATATAGCCTTCAAGTTTCAAGAGAATTTCTATAATAGAGATAACTAAAAAGTAAGAGGAAAAGAAGTAAATAACAGGATAAATGTCCTTTAACAGAACACCCACTGCTTGGCTTACTAAAGCTAATAACTAATATTTATTACTTATTGAAAGTAATAAATGTTTTCCAAGTTAATAGGTTAATTAATGAATATTTCTATAGAACTTCAGGCCAAGTGTGGTGGCTCACGCCTGTAATCCTGGCACTATGGGAGGCTGAGGCTGGTGGATCACTTGAGGTCAGGAGTTTGAGACCAGCCTCGCCAACCTGATGAAACCCCATCTCTACTAAAAATAACAAAAATTAGTTGGACATGGTGGCACGTGCCTGTAGTCCCAGCTACTTGGGAGGCTGAGGCAGGAAAAGTTGAACTTGTGAGACTGTCTTTAAAAAAAATTTTTTTTTTGGCTAAAAAGAGTTATCACTAACAGCTAAAAACCACCCTTCAAGCCTTTTAATAAGACTGTATAAGCCAGATGTGGTGGCTCACACCTGTAATCCCAGTACTTTGTGAGGCTGAGGCGGGTGGATCACCTGAGGTCAGGAGTTCAAGACCAGCCTGGCCAACATGGTGAAACCTCGTCTCTACTAAAAATACAAAAATTAGCTGGGCATGGTGGCACGCACCTGTATTCCAGCTACTTGGGAGACTGAAGCAGGAGAATCGCTTGAGCCCAGAAGGTGGAGGTTGCAGTGACCTGAGATCACACCACTGCACTCCAGTCTGGGTGACACTGCACTCCAGTCTGGGTGACAAAAAACAAAACAAACAAACGAAAAACAACAATAAAAAAAAAAGACTGTATAGGAGATCATTCCACAAATTTTTGAGCGTTCCTAATAGTTTTTATAGTTATTAATTCTAACTTAACCCCACTGTGAAGTTTCATGCAACTGTATTGTAACAAAAGAGACAATGTCAAATTTCCTAAGAAAAGGAGTTCTGTATGAACTTCAGTAATGTTTACTGTTTTACTTAGAGGGAAAAAAAGACACTAAAGAGGTATTTCAAAAGCCCCCATTTTTCTACTTTCTATACGGTACATGTAAAAATGTACAGTGTTTTCGAATAAGGTATTTGGTACACCTAATAGGAGAAACATTAATAAAATTAAATGCTTTTATATTGGGATACTTTTAAATGGACAAAAGAAAGATGACATAGCATAATACATATTTAGAGAACTTTTCAAAATGCTCTTTTCTCTAATGTAATTTATCTTATCAACAAAGTTACTGTTGCATGAAATAAGCCATTTTCCCTAAATAGGACAGGAAGAATATGCAAATTACTTACCCTTCTCAGGGTATTTTCTGTCAAGCTAAAAAATGTATTGCTTTACACTGGGAATTAACTGTAAATTTATACATTTTTAATGAAACTCAAAAATTTGGAGTTTTAGCATGCCCATTAAAAGCAAAAGAGTTCAACTTTGACCTTAAATGCGTTATCTTCTTTTTGTCTAAGAAAACTACAAGCTAAAATGAACCTTGAAAATAACCAAATTCTTTCTTCTTAAATTATTCTATGCTTTGCTCTAAAAAAAAATGTGTTAGCTCACTGTTACAATTTAAAATTATCTGGTCCAAAAGATTATTTTGGTACTTACCCAATTGTTTGAATACCATTTCTATTGGACTTGATGAAATAATGCTTTCTTCCTTGTCTAGTGATATCTACCCAGCCACCATCATTGTCTATTATACCATAATGAATTGCAGCTCTACAGATGCTGGATTGCTTGGAAAAAAGGAGGAGATAAAAAGATGTTAAAAATATTAGAGTTCTGCATAAGTCCCAACTATTTACCACTTATGTGACTTTCAATTAAATAAACATTTCTGAGCAAAATATCTATACTTATGTAAGGTGTTATTTTGCACAATAAAAATCAAATATTACATGGAATGACTCTATCCTCAAATAATTACATTTATAACACTTACCATTTCATAATGTACACTGCCAATAACTTTAGCTTTACTATCCAAACAGCCAGCAGGACATTCGTACCTAAATAAAAGTAATTGGGCACAAAATTTAGTTTCTCTGAATGTCAGTACAAAATAAAAATATTTATTATATTCAATTAATTTTCAAAATAATAACAAATATTACCTATTGCAGGTTGTTCCTTTGCACTGATCTCTTAATCTTACTTCACAAGAAACAATTTGGGCTACAAAGAAAAAAATACCTAAATAACTTAAATAATATAAAAGCAGTTGTAGTTCATTATATATAGCCTAATGACAAAATTTTTTCCATTCTAAAAATGTTCAAATTAATAAAATCTTGATGGATATACCATTTATGTACTTTGAAAATTTTTATAAGTAATATGGAGGTCTTACACATTTGCTGTGCGCTTATGACTTCATTTCTGCTACTATCATCTGATCTTGTCCGGACATGGGTGTCATGGACTTGTGACTGCTGTCGTTCTATTTCATTTGTTTCCTCTTCTCGAGGGGGATAATACCTGTCTGACCCTTCTGTTAGAGAAAGCAGATTTAGGAAATATTAACCCTATTTTACATGTGCATGAATTATCAAATAATAATATACTTTAATACTCCTATTTAACATTTAGAACTAGAAAAATCAGTACTGTTTTTCTGCACAGGTTTTGGCTTAAGGTGGTGATCTTAGGTACTGCAGTGGAATAAATGAACACACATAAGCCTTTAAGTCCTTGATTCATTTATGTTAATGTTCGACTAATATTCAATGAAGCCACTTCTAAACTTTGCTTATATTTCAACATATCATTGTTTGATTTTCATAATGACACCATGAAATCTACACAGTGATCTAATAAGGTCATGGCTTAGCAAAATCAAATTTGTTTTCAATTAAAATCATATTCTTAATATTTTCAGGAGGATCACATTTAGACTTCTCCCAAATGGAAATGTGGCCTAAAGAAGGATTTACATGCCCTTATTATTTATGACAAAATCCATGTCCATAGAGTTTTTTTCCTTTAGAAGAAAATTCAATATGCAGAAATTTAAACTTGAGTATGGAGAGTAATTTCAAACTTTGAATTTAATGTTTATTTCCAGACTGGCCTTTATCAAAGGCTTGACAATGGCACATTTTGGAGAGGTGTATAATTTTGATGCATGCCCAAGAACTCAGAACCTAAAAAAAAAGTATGAAGTCACAAGAAAGTCAGCTTTAAGTAAAAGATAATGGTCACCGGGGAAGAGGCAGGTAGGTTGGAGGTTTGGACACAGAGAATATGAAAAACACCCACACAAGGAAAAAATGCTGCAAACGCTTCTAGGAATTTTAAAATGGCTTACACAACAGAGGGACATATATGGGCACTTCTTGTCTACTCATTTTAGTTAATGCATCATTAAGGGAAAAAAAGACACGTGTCATTATGAGCACTAAAAAAGGGCTGCAATTGTTCAAATATTTCCTAATACACTTCGTCTACATTATTCCTCTTTTAGTCATCAAGAAAAAAGTACAAGGCAGTAAAAAATGTTCACTTGAATGCACAAGTGCATGACTTTTCACAAAGCTTTGTCATAACAGTTTATCTTTATGTGCTATAAACAGGACACCATATTTACTTTTTAAGATATCAAATGCATTTGACAGTACTACTTTTATAGTAGTTTTATGTTACTATTATACTTTTCTTATTATTTTAGCATGACAAATTGAATAGTGTGCAGTGAGAAGTGAAAAATCAACATAATTCATTGAGCATGGTTCAATAAGATACACAAAGGGGTATTTTGTTAAAAATGTTTAAAGCGCTAAAAATAAATTGTGTTAAATTGCTAAATCCTTTAAAAAAAGATGACAGTTATGGAAATAACTCTAGTCAACCATACATCAAGATGACTCTTTTTAAGAATATAAATATACTTGTCATTCTGGGGTAATTTCAAAGTAGAATCAGAAATAGTTACCTGAAATAACCATGGAACTTTAAAAATTTCATATAACAAACTTATTAGTAATATAAATATTTGTAAAAGATTTCTTCAAAATATTTGAAATAGAGTTCTAGATACTTTTCGTGTGATCATTAAGTGCACTTCTGGCTTTTTTAAACATAAGTAATGCAGGAGCTGGATTAAAATATAAATCAACATGAATACCACAACACAATAGCACTTACCTTTGTAGCACAGATTTTCTCTACAGCCCCCTCCAAAACTAGGTGGGCAAGCAGAACAGGGCCGCCCATGTTTGTAAGGGGCATGGCCCCACCAGTTTCCCCTTTAAGAGATGATACGCTCTATTAAAAAGTAGTCTAATGGCATAATTTATAAAACATTGTGAAACATCACTATATATGAACATTCTAAGTAATTATTTTGGCGTATAGATTTAAGACATTCATATAATTTATTATAGAGCCCTTCTGGTTACTAGGTTTAAATATAAATTACTGCCTCATTTTGAAAATTTACAAAGTAATTTATAACACATATTGTTAAAAATTACAAAATCAAACTTTTGCAGAAAGCCAAACTCTGCCATGGAATATTCACTATATTCCATTTACTTTAATAAAAACACATTATTAAACTTGAATTTGACCCTAAATATGATTGTGTCACATTGTTAACATAATCCCTTAAATGGTCTTTACACAGATGAAAATACATTTCTCAATTAATGTATAGCTGTTAATCTCTAATAAATAACAATTATTCAATATTTATGGATAGTATAGTGAGTAAAACCAAAGACATAAAAATATGGTTCCCATATTCACAAAGATTATACTTTCATATTTCATATCCCCCTTTATGCATTTATTTTATGCATTAGGCAACTACAATTGTTGCCATATTAAATAAACAGAATTAAAATAATACACTTCAGTGATACACACTGAAAATGGGGAACAATCAGGAACGTAAAGGTATTTTCATTTTGTTAAGAAAAATGTACATCTGAACGTAGTGTTTTGTCTACTCACTTTGGGGAGTAATTGCACACCAGGTAGACAGCTTTGGGCCATATCTGCCCCCAGATGTTCATGTTATGACACAAATTAATGGCACAACCGATTCTGTTACTAGTTGCCCACACGACCTATGTTAGAAAAATGAAAGGCTCAGAAAAAGCAGGCTGAAATGAAATAGGACAACACTTCTGAGAGAAAAATGCATAAAATTTGAATGTGAGAAGCCAACGTTTATCATTCAAAATGAACTGAGATCAAATCAAAAAGGGTCTTTTTCCTGAGACCTTGAGTAATACCTAATTCAATTTTAAAAACAGAGCTACAGAAAAATAACTGTGTCTGGTTATAAAATGCAAGCATTTTCAAATGCAAATTTAGTAAATAATTCAAAAGTTACATCCTCACAAACCTAATGTCATATTAACATTTCTATGAAGAAACTTTTCTGACAAAGGAACAGAAAATCACATCCTAAACAGCAAATACTGGAGCAAAAATTTACATGTTCAGATTTCTTATACAACATGATCTTTTCATCATGCCACTGGTTATCAGGTAGTTTGATGCTGGTCAATCTTATCACATGCAAAAGCATACAGAACAATCAATCTGCTTTATATTCACTGATAATAAGTCTGATCAGCAGTGAGCTTTATCAATCTGCCTTTAGTTGTTTGATTTGGAAGTTTAGAACATACCAATTGTGAACACGAAATATAAATATATATATATATGTTGCACATGTAAATATTGAATGTCATTGGTAAATAAAACTATATTTTTATTCCTTGAGATAAAACTTTGACATTGAAGATGGTAAATTTCCCCCCATATTACTGGGGCTATATTAAAAATGTTTGATATGCAAAATCACTGAAATAATGTCTTTTTAAGTAGATGTTTGGACTTTTTTGTGTGATAATTATTTTCATTGTTTATAGAACTTTGTAAGCCAATTCAACATAATCAATATCCATATAAATTTTTTTAATAACCATATTAAATAAGAAAGACAAGTTCACTAGCCTAATTTCTTTCATAGTTACATTAACTCAATTTGGGGGAATTAAGTATAATACCCCCCAAACATACCTGTGTATAATGTGTACATACAGGGCCAGAACACCTGAATGGACAATATGGGTTGCATTCATGTTCATATGGGTAGCTAAAGTCTTTCACTTCATCATACCACGATTGTACATGAAACGTCGGGGGCCTATATCTATTAGAAAGAAAATAGTCACAGAGGGCAAGCAAAGTTGGAGAAAATACAAAACTAAATATTGCAAAATACATTGGTATAATTTGGTAGAAAGACACTTTGGCGTAAACTATTAAACTTAAATTTTTATGCCCCTTACATTACTAATAAATTGATGATTTACATTAAAGTCTAAAAAACTGCTGATTGTTCTGGTGTGGCATTTATTTTTTGTTACTTGTTTCGTGATTACTTTTCTTTCAGGCACCAAGTCTTTGAAAAATTGTACTGATGAATTAATAAGGACTTCATTTTAAACACTTATTTTTTCATAAAGAAAAAGTTGTGCTTTAAGATACCTTCCCCAGTGTGCTCCCAAATTCTGTCCAATTGATGGAAGCAAGCTTGCAGGTCCATGTTCCCACAAGCAACTTTCAGCCCAGGATTCTGCAGATCTTTCCAGCTCTACATCCCATGTCTACAGTTTAAAACAAAAGCAAAATGTGCACATGTAGCATTTGGACACTTCTGCAGAACACAGTGTTGAGCAGTTCTTACATTTTCTTCTTTCTTTCTTTACAAAGTCAACATCATAGTCTGGATTCTCATCAGACTCAAAAGTCATCTAAGTTTTTGCACTGGCCTCCAAATCAATCTCCCCGTCTCTACCTCTTAACCCTCCAAATTGCCCCATACGTCTTTACAATTACTTAAGTGAACACGAATATGCTGAAGTGATTCCTCTGTCTAAACACATAAAACAAATCCCCATATACATAAAGTCCAAGGTCCGGGGTCCCACTCTTCCCTATCATTAAGCATACAAGTCCTTGCTCTTGCTGACATTGTTTCCCCTCCCTAAGCAACCTTCTCCCAGTTATTTGTCAGACAAGTCCCTACTCTTTCTTCCTTCACAATCCAGCTTTATAAAATACTTTTTCTGTGACATCGTATCAATTCTCTTAGATGTAAGCTATCCCTTTAGGACTCCTAAGGCTTTGTTACATTCCTTTGTTTAGCACTTATTACATTGTAATATCAGTATCTGCTTACATATCTATCTTTTTCATGAGACTGTAAATTGAATGGGACAGTGCTGCTGCTATCTTTGGTCTATTTCTAGTGTCTATCATCTGGACAAGGTGATTAATAAATGCTTGTTAAATACATGAATGATTAACAAATCTGATTCTCATAAAATATATGTAGACATAAAATTAAAATTAAATAATGACAAATTCTTTTAAAATAATTTAAAAAGAAATAATTTAAATCACCGATTAAGTTATTTTAGTGAAATGATTACTGAAATAATTTTCCAAGTCCTGGGTTTAGTATTCAACTTATTAATTTGAAAAATATGCAGTATAGTATGTGTGCTGGTAAAAACACCAAGTTAGGTAGACCTAGGTTCAATCTTAGCACTACAATTACAGACTCCGGGCATGTTACGAAAACGGGAAAACAAATCTGGGAATGGAACCTGAGGACACAACCCAAGTGACAGTGATGAAGCTGAAAAGAGTAGACAGTGAAATGATGTTTAGAAATTTAAAGATGGGAATTGAACAATGAGAACACATGGACACAGGAAGGGGAACATCACACTCTGGGGACTGTTGTGGGGTGGGGGGAGGGGGGAGGCATAGCATTAGGAGATATACCTAATGCTAAATGACGAGTTAATGGGTGCAGCACACCAGCATGGCACATGTATACATATGTAACTAACCTGCACATTGTGCACATGTACCCTAAAACTTAAAGTATAATAATAATAATAATAAAGATACAAAAAAAAAGAAATTTAAACTCCTAGAACTTGATAAATGGCTGGAGTAGGTGGTAAGCGAAAGAAAAGGTAAGACCGATGATACTACTAAATTGGAAGAAAGGAAATAGGGAAAGAGAAATAGATGGTTGTAATACAAGTGTGTGTCTAGGTATTTCCATGCATATTTCAATGGTGATGTATGAGGGCACATATGCCAAGTAGAGAGCAGAACTACATGACTGGGGGTCCAGAGGAAAAATGTGCTCTGAGGATATGAATCTTGAAGTTATTCACCCAGAGATAAATTTATTCGGGAATATTATATAGAATGAGAAGACGAATAAAAAAGAAAATTCTGGGGTTATCAAAATCTAAAAGGAAAAAACTCTAACAAGATAACAAAAGAAGCCAGGCAAGACAGGATAAAAGAGGTTACAGAAAAACTAATTAATATGAAATTATAAAGCAATGAGAGAGAGAAGATATTTTTGGGAGTAGAGAATGGGTAACAAGTGTGAATGACAGAAAACCAAGATTTCCTAAGTACTAATTCATGACTAAAAGCAACTTCAGATCAATGATGGGTGAAGAAATCAGAACACAGAGCATTAATAAGTGAAGAGAAAGAAAGAAGTACAGAAAACAAATGTGAGTTACTTTCTCAATACTTTAGAGAGGAAGAGAAATGTGGCAGAAGCTATAGATGAGATGCCAGAGTCTAGAGAGAATTTGTTCACTTGCTTTGATTTTTAAAGGATACAGGGAATCTAATCATGTCAATACGCCAAAAGGAAAACACCCTAGGGACAAAGAGGCATGTAAAAAGAAATGTATGTTTGAGGAGAAGAAGATTCCTAATTCATTCATATAATTTTTCATTGGTGAATATTCCTCCCCATTCCATTGTGGCTCTGAAATATGGATCAAATCACAAAGGGAAATTTATACAAAATTAGAATAAGTTTATTATCATCATTAGTGTATCTTAATTTTCTAGCAAAAATACAAAAATAGTGTATATGCGACTAAAAATACAAGAGCAGCAAGAGTTGCTGCTTTTCATAAAAGTTTTAATTTTACTTTCAATTAGTGTCAAATATTCAAGATGAATGGTTTTAAGACATGGACATCAGAAACAAATGCTATAAACAAGTATTATCAGGTAAGCACTTTATTTGCCAATTACAGGCATATTATTAATTAACTTTACCATTTAACTTTGACCTAATTTTATAATTATATATAATGTTTATTATACAAAAGTATAATTCAAGTTGTGGTCACTATTTGTCCAAAGAAGAATTAAGTAAGAAACACTGAATTTGGTTGAAGTCCCAGAAAATGGGCAAAATGTTGATTTCCTTTTGTATCTAGAAAGTTGGAGAAGTAATCGTCTCTCAAAAGTAAGCAGGTTTCCAGATGGAGTCCCTAAAGACATAGGTTGTCCTTAGGGGACAAATCATTGTCTGCAATCCAGGAAATCAGATTCTTGCAGAGTACTCTAGTTATACATAGGACATAACTACACTTATCTGTAGGTTTTTTTTTTTTAATATATCAATCTCATATTCAAAGAGCAGCCAGAAAACAGAGGAAAAATAGAAACAGTTCCTGGAAGTCTAAAAATAATTGCTTTGAAACAATTGTGATGGTTTTAAAATACCCTTTCCACCAAAGGTGGAGTTGAATTCCCCCCTCTTCCCTTGAATTTGAGCTAAATAGTGACTCACTTCTAATAAACAGAAAGAGGCTGGGAGACTTCGGTAGCTAGGTTAGGAAACAAAGCTTCTTTTTTTTTTCTTTTTTTTTCCTGTTAAGACACATCGTGACAGACTTAAGCCAATGAATTAGGAGTCCAGTTACCATGAATAGGTAGCTGGAAAGAAAATATGGAGAGAACTCCAGAGATGTGAGTTCTTCCAGCCGAGGCATGTGACCTGTGAGTTTGCCAGCCCTCAGATGACAGCAACTCAAGTCAGGGCAATCATGAGACACCTCAAGTGAGGACTATCCAGCTGAGCTCTTAGAAGAATCCTCATGGCCTCTACTCAAGTTCAATTTACTCTTGTTTCACACACGATTCTACAATCTTAGGTGTCAGTTTTCCCTATGAAATTGAAAATGGATCCTTTTTAGAAAAGATATACAACTAGTTCCTAACTAGTTTAATATACTACAGTGTATTTAAGTGTTTCAAGTTTGCTTATATTTCTGTTGTATAGAAATCGGAATAAAACGTAAAACATATTATTCAAATACTTTAAGCTAATTTTTCTTATTTGTAAATTTGTTAGCTGAAATAGAAGGTAACTCCGATCACTTTGAGGACTAAAATTCAATGTTGAATATATACAATGCATAAGCTGTATTTAAGGTATGACTTATGATTTTATTTAATCCATTAAAAATACTGGGAAAAGCATACTGAATAAACTATAATATTGCTAAAATAATAGCATACAGTATTTTAATATAAGTGCTGAAGCAGAGGGGCATGCAACTAAAATTTAGTTCTTTATCAATATTAATATTAGTGACTAAAAGTAATTATCTATTCACAGAATCGAATAAAGCATACCTGTTTAGGTCAAGTTCAATAATACAAATCAAGTCTTAAAAACTTATTGGAAGAAATTCTATCATGACTTAACAATAAGCATGGTACATATTTGTTAAAGCTACAACATATTATTTCACGTTTTAAAACTGCCAGTAAGTTCTACCCACCCCATTAAGTGTAGGTTAGTGCCTACACATTTCTATTTAAAATCAGGTTTACAAATTAAATCAAGATGGCCCAAAGAGCTTCTTTTTTAATTCCTCTGAACTATTCACCCAGCACTAATTTAAAGACAAACCACACTACAATTGCCACTTCTCTATAAAATGAGTACTTGGGTACCCATTTCTATACACTTGAGGTGTGCAAAAATGAAAACAACTCTATTTCCCAACTACATCTGAAAGTTGTTCCTTCTTAGAGCATAGTTACGCCTTCAATGAAGTTTTATTACTTAAGGAAATATTTAGAATACTATTGACATTCTTTGTCTCCAATGATATTTTTAAACTAGTTCAGCATGAAGGCTTTCTCATCTCAAGTGTGTGTATGAGAAATTTTAAACTTTTTGACAGATAACTTTCAAAATTAAACCAGGCCAAGTATAGTGGCTCATGCCCATATTCCCAGCACTTTGCGGGAGGCGAGGGTGGTAGGATCACTTGAGGCCAGGAGTTCCAGACCAGCCTGGGCAATATGTGGAGACCTGTCTTTACAAAAAGTAAAAAATGAAAAATTTAGCTGGTACGGTGTCACGTGCCTGTAGTCCCAACAAGCTGGGAGGCTAAGTTGTAAGGATCAAGGGAGTTTGAGGCTGCAGTGAGCTATGAGAGCTATGATCATACTACTGCACTCTAGCCTGGGCCACAATGTAAGAACTTGTCTCTTTAAAAAAAAAAAAAAAAAAAAAAAAGTCGATGGTTCACGTCTGTAATCCCAAGATCGCGCCACTGCACTCCAGCCTGGGTGACAGAGCGGGACTCAGTCTCAAAAAAACAAACAAACAAACAATAACTGAAAACTGGTAAACCTACAAATACATAGTAACTTTAGTACTAAAATATCATAGAAATGAGAAATTATGCAGCTATCTAGATACATAAAAATTTGCTATCCTTTGTGAAACATGAGTTGAGCTCCCACTGGAACACCTGCTATGGTGCTCGAATAAGAGTCAATGACAGCTGGAAATCATTCAAGAATGTAATTTAGGCCAGCAGTATTGCTTACCAGTAGGTTGCATCACTGTATATTATGCAAAAACAGTAATTAGTGATACAACTTTTTCATTCTCTTTGACACAGTTTTTTTCTCTTAAAAAGATTTAAGGATTTTCAAATATATCTTCTTGACCATAGTAAATTAATACTCTTTCCAGATTTACATAATATGAAAATTCATTTCCTGGGGCTTGTTTACTCTTTATAACTTCAAAATTATTATAGTACTACATTAAACAAGAGTTGAAGACCAATAATTAATAACTAAGAATTTGTCTGAAGAGAGTATTTTCTGATAATTGAGGTTTCAAGAATGTTAATGAAAAACTAAAATGGAAGGTGTTATTTTTCAAATAAATATCAAACATTAATTTCACAAAGAAGATCTAATGTTAAATGTTTTGCATTAATTAGCATTGTTTTGGATTACATTAAAGGATATAAAGTTTTATGAGATTATATGCTTGATGCAAATTTGTGTAATCAGACTTTCACATATAAATTACCCCCAAAGATTAGTGGGGTGGAGGTGATGGGCCTTCATTTATCCACAAAGTTGTTTGGTAAGTTGTAATTAGTCTACCACAGAGACCAGGATGACACTGAATTTGTTAAGTAGTTTTACAGAATTCTTTAGATTCCTCAATAAATAAAATAAATTAGTAAATAATGAAATTTTAATAAAAAGTTGACCAGCATGGATAGCTTAACACCCTAACCGCTACACAGAAATAATTATTGACTAGAAACTCTTACATAACTTCATAATTGTTAAATGCTAGTCCCTATATAAAGAAATAGGATTGCAAGATTTTTGGCTACTGTAGAAACTTTCACCAAACTGGATGAAGCTACAATGAGACTTTTAAAGACATGCTGAGAAAAATGTCTTAAATAGATAACATAAACCTTTCTCAAAAAAACTGGAAAATAGCAACAATTGTAATTAATCATCTAAAAATTTTACATAGTATAGATAATATAGAAATGATTGAATTTGTTGTACAACTTTTTGCAAAACTGATGTAGCCTTAATGGACTTCCAAGATAAATGCCAAAAAGAATTCCTAATTGGATTATTATACCGTTAAGTAGCCTAATTAGATGACAAATACTGGCCCATGATATAATTCACAATATGGACTTTTAAAATTGCATTAGCTCAGACACAAAAAGTCAAATACTGCATGCTCTCACTTATAAGTGGGGGTTAAACAGTGGGCACATGCATGGACATACAGAGGAAAATAATAGGCACTGGGGACTCCAAAAGGGAGGAATATGGGAAGGATAAGGAATGAAAAATCACCTACTGGTAATTGGGTACAATGTTCACTATTTGGATGATGGGCACACTAGAAGCCCAAGATATCTATTATACAAGATATCCATGTAACAAACCTGCACCTGTACCCCCTGAATCTACAAAGCAAAATAAAGTATGCATTTCTCTCTGGCAAAGTAATAATCTAATGGAAATATGGTGGCATTGCAAAGGCAGTTATGCTGGAAGTCCGGATCTAGGCTGGAGGCTCTAAAGTCTTACCTTTCCACTAGTGAAAGCTGAAAATAATGATAAAATTATTTTTAAAACTGTCTTAGCATTTGCAATAAGTTTTGAACAATAAATTCCCCAAACATCCTTCTTTAGAGACACATAAATGTGCATGCTTAACTCAGAAAAGCACTCCAATATCTCTAATCCTACCTATCCCAGTTCTGAGCAGTCAAGGGCTGACAGAAGTAATGATAGAATTATGCTCAATGGTGCTGAAAATACCCCTTCTTTAGTGCTGTGTGTTCTGGACCTATATAAGTCAAGGGCATTCGTGATCAATTTTCTTCTTCTTTTATTATACAGACAGATACAAAAGTATGCATTGTTCAAATGACTCAAACCATAAAATACATGAAACACCCTGGAAGAGTTCTCTTTCCCATTTAAATTATTTCCAAATTTATATCTTTGATTATATCAAGTTTGGTTTCTATTTCCTTATCTCTAACATTACGGAGCTGAAATAAGTCTTTCCGAATTCTTTTGTACTTAAATCGAAAAGACTTAGCTTTCCAATTCCATTGTTTGTACTTCACAGTCTCTTAGATGATACCCTGTATTGCTTGTAGTATCCCATAAGAATTAGCTGTAAAATAACATTTCTGGTGACAAATAAAGGCATCTGATGACAATTAAAATGACAATGAAGAGCATCTCAATTACCTAAGAAGCAAAAGCTGTTCTCAAACTGCTGTTTGAGAAGCCGTTTTGTGATAACCAAGGAGATTTCAGATTTTCTAATTATAAGCCCATGAGAGCAGAGCTCAATTTCTTCGAAGTATTTTTGATATTGTTAATAACAGATAAATACAACATAGAACCTTCAATAAAACTTTCCATTTAGTTGAGTAAGAAGATAATCTTAATAAAAAGTTAAAAACAGGCCTCTCTTCAGTTTAGTCCTGAAAATATGATGGTAAAACATTTAAATAAAGCACAGACTTCTAAATATAATTTTTTGCACAGCTATCAGGAACACCGGAATTTTTCAAGCTCATGAATGCAGAAGTGATTTGAGAAAATCAAAGACATACAGAATTATCTTTTTAAAAATACTGCTTTAAAATATAATTCTTACTATGCTACCACTTCTGAAATAAAACAGGTTTGTAAATCATCCATCTTATTTCGATCCCTCCCCAAATCTTTTGTGTTTTCCTATTTAAATCAGAAACTACAATCCAAGAATCTGATAAAGTTGTCAACGTGATCCTAACTACAGCAATAACCTAACTTCCAAGATACCCCAATAGTTTGTTAGTCTATGAAAATATCACACTGGACAGTTCAGAATACATCAGATTCAAATTTCAAATATAATGACTCATTATAAAATCTGTAAAGCTATGTAATTTTCTCCCAGACGTCAATGAAATAAATAAGTAAATAAATCTGTGCTGAAAGAGTGTGAGATGCTTTTGTGACTAAATCATCTGGTATTAAATGCACTATGGCAAGCAGCTGTATTGCATTCCTTACAATTCAATTACTCCAGGTATTTTAAGTGTTGTGCTTCACCCATTCTGAATAGACTTTGTAGTTATAGGGAAAATGCACGAGGCTCAGATTTCAAAGGAAACACTTGTGTTACAGGGCACAGTGACTTTGCCAACTACTGAGAAAGAAGCATTACCTTAAGGCAATGCACAAATTAGGGTCTCCTGCAAATTCAGAGATGTGAGGCATGTGTGGTAGTGTTTCACTTAAAATCTAAAACAAAGGCTTAAAACCTTAAAAAAGTAGCAAGCTAACAGTTTAGGAAACTCCTCTACATTTTATTAAAATTAAAATAACTTTTGTAATGAAAACTTAATATGCAGATATACTCACAAGATTATTTCAATTAAACCCATTGTATCAATATATAAATATATCACATTTAATATTACATCAGATGCATGACATAGGGCTTATTGTCTTTGTGGGATAGCAAAGCCATTAATTTTCTATAGAATTACAATCCTTACATTTTCTATAGAATTTCTACTGATTAAGCTCATCTCATCTCAGTGTCAAGGTCCCCTGCCCCAAGTTTGGCCATACCTTACCTAACTCACTTATCAAGAAAATCTTTAGTAATTGCAAATGTATCATATAATTGATGGTACTTTAAGTCTTGATCTATACATATTCTTTACTTCTTGATCTTTAAGTCTTGATCTATAGACATTAGGCCATTTTGTAAGAATAAACATCTGTGTTTAGTTTATTCACAACCCAGTATATTTTATATAGATGCAGGATTGATCTAAAAGTCTATAAAAATGCATGATAGGAAAACTCATTAAAAAATCCCTCTACAGTATGTACTTATGAATTAGTTTATGTTTTATATTCACATATCAAAATAACCATAACTTAGGTTTTGAAAGTAAATAAAAAATAATTGCTTTTGTGTATTTATGTGGGGACACCAAATTTTCAAAATGAAATAAAAAAAGATCTAAAAAGTGAAAAACTTCTTGGACAAAAGAAGAAAGTTTATGGACACAATGAAACTGAAATCTACAATTTGACATCCAAACTTGAATTTAAACCAAAGATGACTAATATAAGAAACATTCAAATGTATATTTACATACTTTTAATGAAACTGCTATGTTACGTTGCTCAGTGTCTCTATATTGCTATATTAACAATTCTGTGATAAGTTTCCACTAATAATTCCTGCCTCAAGAATGATAAATTGCTGTGCCTGCAAACAGGCAGTGAGAGCTACAAACAACATACGGTTTCCTGTTTTCCTTGAATGCCATGAAGCTCAAAGCTGGTTTAAGAACCACAGCATTCTCAATCAGATTTTTAGACATTCCTCAGGAATATGACTATAGCATTATTTTCCTCAATATTAAAACAATGACTAAAAGGATGATTTTTTAAAGAATGGTTTTCAAAAGTCCTTATTTAGAACTCTGAGAAAGAAGATGGTGTTAAATATTCATTTACCCCACACAGCCATCTCAGCACCTTCCTGCCAAGTTCTATGTCTCACGAGATAGCTCCACATACTGAGTTACCTCAGGCTCTCCTGCCCCCTGGCTCCTGGTTAGATTTGGCCAAGGAAACACACAAACAGGAATTCCGAGGGTGGGAGGTGAATTTCAGAACGTGTTGCCCCTCTGAGTCCTCTTGGCCTCACCGTGATGGAGACTGGGTCCTCTCACACAACCCTGCTTCCAGGCACCTGTCTTCACCAGCCTGTGTCAGGACCACAAAAGCCTGGGCACCCTGCCACACCCCATGGCTTGCCTTAATCCTGCCCACAACTCTGCATATAGGCCCTTCATCATTATTATTATTTTTTTTTTTACTGTTGAACCCTAGTTATTGTGGCATTTGTTTCCTGCTGAGAAACAAATATTTGAAAATATAAATCTTTCACAGAATTTTGATTAGCAAACTGCCTAACAACCTGTTACCTGACACATACTAGATCTTAATGAATTTTCTCTTCTTCCCCTGTTCCTATAAGAATCTGCTTGATTTGCTGTAATTAATGTATCCTGTCTCTTCACATTGGGAACATTGCTGGTATTTATATGGGTAAGAGAGAAATTAAAATTCAAAATTTTGAATGACTGAAAAATAAGATAATCACTGCTATCTAAAGTTCCAATGAGAGAGTAAATAATCTTATAATTCATATTTAAGACAACATGAATTACAAAACAAAGGTTGGAGTATGTTACTCCTAGCTTTGCTGTAAATTCTTACACAATTAACTAATTTAAGACCTTTGTTAAAAACAAATCTGAGATTCATTTCCAACTGAAGCCTCCAAGTACCCCTGAAGTTCAGGTTTCACTAACATACATATATATGTAAAACATTTTTTAGGTCAAGAAAGGTCAAGAAACTCAAAGTTTGGAAATAATTTGTAATAAATGTTTCGCTTTAAAAAGTTAGACTAATACGGTCATATTACCTCAAATAAAACGTTTCATCATAAGTAAGCAGATAAGAAAATGGAATAGTGCTATGATGCTCAAGTCTGCCATGATTCACACTTGACAGAACAAGGTTGTTTCCACCATTTGGGAAAATCTGACCAAGCCTAAATATCTCCATAATTGAGGCTTAAATCAATTCACACAGATTGTGACTGCCATTTCCTCCCCATTGAATCAGCTGGACACATATTGTCACAACAATCCCTTACTGATAAGGGTCTCACCATATTCCCTTCCACACAATGACGGTAACTTCTACCAAATACTATTTCAAAACATACCTCTTTTAAGAAGCTTTACTGTTCACTGCTTTACTCTGAAATTCTTCATGATTTATATGCAGTTTAAAATATACTACTTTGTACTTCTTACCATACTGTGACTTACATCTTGAAAACAGTTCATCAAGAGTCTTGGCATTCTGATCACTGTATCTCCTGGAAGATCCTATCCTGAACTTCAGAGGGGTTCTGGCCACCCCCAAATCATGAGACAGAGATGTCAGTAACCCAGTGCAACTCAGAAAGTCACTGAAATCCAGTGATAATTTAGCCACCTGTCATGTTTATTAAAGAATGAGTTTGCACTAACCCAAAATGAATGTTTGCCCTAAGCCAAAAGGTATTCTACTATTTAAAAACACAAAATTTTGTTTTATATAAAATTGTGTTTTATGTAAAATTGTTTTGCATAAAATAATTTATGTTTAAAATACACAAAATTGTTTTACATGACTTTATATTTTTATTATGTTTTACATAATTTTATATTTTTCAATAGAGTACTTCAGGATATGTAAAATATTTTACATATCACATCAAACTTGCAATGATATGTAATTATGTAAAATATTTTAGTGAAAAGCTTTCACTAAAAAGAATGTTTTTGCAATTTTCTAATAAAACTATTTTGTCAAGACAGAATTCAATCCTTTTTATTCTGTCCACTTTAAATTGTTGTTGAAAATCTAGTCATCTTTTCATTTTTTTTCATTCATCCCATTTTGTTTTCCTTCCAGCTAACATAAACTGAGCTTAGGGCATGTGTCAGCCACACAACTGGGGAATGCAAAGATTACCATGGCACAGTCCCTTCCTACAAAGGAATGTGAGGCTAGAGAAAGAGACAAGGATGTAAACACTGCAAGCAGAGGCATGTAAATGAGGCTATGGAAGTCAGAGAACTGAGTCTGGGGGCACCTAACTCTGTATGGAGGGTTTAGACAAAAGCAGGTTAGGCTCTAAGTGAGTCTTAAAGGAAGCAGAAAGGAGAAATTCATTACAAAGAAAACAGGGAGGGCAATAGGCATTCTCACATCTGCAAAGGGCAGCAGGCTTGGCAAGATTTGTTCAGCATCAAAAATCTCAAGGCATACGGAATAACATGGTAGATGTTCATGTGAGATAGCACTGCTTTGTATTTGTTCAGGTTGTACTCACTTATTCACAGTACTCTTGATTTAGCAGACCTCTTGGCCTTTTCTTTCCACACAGGAGTTTCCATGTTCTTATTCCATCTTCCTTCAAGAGCTGCCCCTCTCTCAACACTTTTATCATTTGATTTTCCTTCTCTGGACAACATCTGATCTCATTCATTCACTATTTCAGATACAGATTTGACACGTCTTGACCAAGCATAAGATATAGTTTCATGTTTTATTACCAGCAGCACCTTTACTGGATTGTCCAGCGTTCTGGTGGTTACTTTGTATTGTTTGAGTTGCTATGACATACAGGGGACATTCCAGAAACAGTAACTCCCATGTTCACTCCTGGTCTTGCCTAATAGCTCATTATCCTTGTATCTAGTTGCTGCCTTCCAACCCCTCATACTTACTCAACTGAAATTCTACTTCCTCCCTTCTTACTCATATGGCCTTTAAGGTTTATTCTGTCGGTGGCTGTATTTCACTTTCACTATCCAGCAGAATTTTGTCATTAACTAATTTTGAGATTCATTTCCCATTTCTCTTCCAATTAGATTGACTTCAACATTTGGCCTTAGAGGAGAGAAAATTATTGTTCAAACTTCTCCAACATTGTGTATTATAAGTACTTTGTAAAAAAAAAAAAAGAAAAGAAAAAGAAATTTCATTTTCCTGCCTTAATAGTTACAGTTACTACCTTATAAAAAGGGAGGCGAATGTGATAGTTGAGGAGGGAGAAAATAAAGAACCTGTATTTTACAATTATTCATGTCCCAATTCAAACCCCACTTCCTCCAGGAAGGCTAAAGCCTTCTACTTAAAATGAGGTTGCTAGAACAGCGGCCACCACATCACCTGGGGTCTTGTTAGAAATGCAGAATATTGGGGTTCCCAAAACTACTGAATCAAAATATGTATTTTAACAAGATTCCCAGGGGATTCATAGGCACATTAAAGTTTGAGTAGTATTAGACTAAAGCACACCTTATTTCTACCCTCCAAAATCATACCTACTTGCTTTGCCATGACAAAAATATGCTTTCTATCTTTAATATCCTGCTAATTTCAAAATACTTTTTGGCTTAAAACTTAAAATATAAAGCATGCATGGCTTACTAAATAGACTGTGTCCTTGTTCAAATGTTTGCCTTGAGGTTTATGAGCTGCCAATATAGAAAATCTGCTGTCTTTTATGTATGTATGTATAAGTAGTTGACTTAATCACACCTTATTGATTCTGTTAACAAGTCAAAAGAAGAAAAAAGTAACCTTTGCCAGATCAGTTTCAGGTTCTTATTTTTAGCCAGTTTAATAACCCAGTAATCCAAGTTACATATTTGGGTCAACAGTTAAATAATTTTCATTATTTAGATTCCTGTACAACCATCTGTACTTAGCATTCAATCTGCAATATGAGCCCCAAACATGCTATTTGGTATGTATCTGTACTTGATCCATATTATCTAACATCTGAATACTTAAAAAGTTAATCCGTTACTAACATGTCTTTGATTATCTCGTTCTAGTCTCCAGATGTTGCCTAGTCAAATGTCTCCAAAGGGCAAGCAGGAGACACCATGTAAAGTGGCTGGACAGAGTGGTGTGACCAATGGCAAATCAGAGAAGAAACCACTACTTTAAATCTCTGATTCCTGGCAATACCTTGAAATAATATAGTAAACTTCTTCACTGCTATTAAACCTTTGAACTTTACTTTTTTTTTTTTTTTTTTTTTTTGAGATGGAGTCTCTCTGTTGCCCAGGCAGGAGTGCAGTGGCACGATCTTGGCTCACTAAAACCTCCGTCTCCCAGGTTCAAGCAATTCTCCTGCCTCAGCCTTCCCAGTAGCTGAGACTACAGGCATGCACCACCATACTTGGCTAATTTTTCTATTTTTAATAGAGACGGCATTTCACCATGTTGAAGGACTGGTCTCGAACTCCTGACCTCAGGTGATCCACCTGCCTCAGCAACCAAGGGCTGATATTACCGGCCGTGGTATGAGCCACGGCGCTGGACTAAACCTAAGAACTTCAAAGCATGGTAAAACAGGTTAATTTAAAGCACTTAAAAACTTCCCATACATTTGATTCCACAAATATCCTTAAGGCAATTTCTCCAAAACTACTATTTTTTCATAATGTCCTATCCTCAAACCCCCTTCTTTCCTGCCCTCTCAACTCAGCTGATGATCTTGACAGTTCACTGTGTCTGGACAAAAGAGAAGCTTTCACATAATTCCCTTCTGTTTTCTTCATTAAACGCTCCAAACTACCTGCTTCTATACGAACAACCTCAGCTTTTCCTGTTAGAATAAGTTATATTTTCTTCTCCTATGCCAAGTGCTTTCTCAACCTATTTATTCCCAGCAACCTGCAAACATGCTCTCTAAAAAACAAAAAAGCAAAAGCTTTCCCTTATGTCCCTCTAGCTTTATCCCATTTTTCTGATCTCTTCACAGCAACATCATCTTGAGATAGTTACTTCTCTACTTCCTCGCCTCCCATTCTCTTCTTATCTGCTTAACAAGACTTCTGAGCATTCCTCACCACTGAAATTACTCTCAGAAAGGTCATCAGTGACCTCAATATTGACAAAACCATTGTAGACTTTCCTTCTTCATCTCATTCTCAGCAATAGTGAAAAAGGTTAACTTTTTCCTGTTGAACTCTCCTCCTGGCTTCTGGGACACCAGCCTATCCTATCCTTTCCTCTTACCTTGCTGACCACTGGTTCTCAGCTAACTTCTTTCGGCTCAACCTCTATATAGCTGCATGCCCCGCGGCTCAGTCTAAGGCATTCAACCCTTGTCTATAAAAAACCTTCTTCTTGGGTGATCTTATTCAGTCAGTTCAGAGAGTTCCTAATAGCTACATTATTTCCATATTTTTTACCTGTGTCCCACCACTCAACTGACCACTAAACATAACTAAGGATGACATGCATCTCAAACTTCAGCCAAAAAGAAATTACTGATTTCATCTTCACTTTCTCCTGTTTCTCCTCCTGTGTCAGCAAATGCTTCAACTATCCACCAAAGAGCTTTGTAAAAACCTAAGAACATCCCAGATTCCTCCTTATCCTTCACCCTTCACATTATTTTCAGCAAAACCCATCGGGAATCCCATCAGAACATACCGTGGAACCACTCACCTTCTCCATCTTTACCCCTATCACCCTGATCCAAGTAACCACCATCTCTCACACAGAATATAGCAATAGCCTCTTAACTCTCTGCATTCAGTCTTTCTCCTCCTTCAGATGATTCCCTATAAGGTAGACAGTAATTTTTTGAAACTGGAAATAAGAGCAAGTCAGTCCCTTGTGAGAAACTGTCCAGTGCTTTTCCATTTCATTCAAAATAAAACAAATTTTTATTCACTTAAAAGGCCAAAAAGGATTCTGGGGCCAGGCACAGTGGCTCTCGCCTATAATCCCTGCACTTCAGGAGGCCGAGGCAGGAGGATCACTTGAGCCCATGAGTTCAAGACCAGCCTCGGAAACACAGCAAGACCAATCTCTACAAAAAATTTAAAAATTAGCTGGGTGTGGTGGTATGTGCCTGTAGTCTCAGCTACTCAGGAGGCTGAGGTGGAGGATTGCTTGGGCCCAGAAATTTGATGCTGCAGTGAGCCATCATTGCGCCACTGCACTACAGCCTGGGTGACAGAGCAAGATCCTATCTCAAAAAAAAAAAAAAAAAAAAAAAAAAAGATTCTGGCTCATGCTGGTATGTCTACCTTATTTTCTAATACTTACCCTGTTATGGAATAAAATTCAGTCCCACAGTCCTTCTTTGTTAAATTCCAACCTTATTCCTGACTTAAAGACTTTGTGCCTAGTATTTCTCCTGCCTAGAATGATGGGTCTCTGTATCTTTCCTTAGCTGACTCCTTGTAATTCACCAATTCAGAAAAGCCTTCTCCAACTACCCAATATGATTAGCTCCACCTCCCTCATTCTCTATCACCTCACTCTACTTATTTTCATTAACTTTTCAAACTTTTTATACACTAATGCATTCCTCAGCATTAAGAACAGTGTGTCACATAAGTGCTCAATCAATATTTGTTGATTTAAATGCCTTTTTAAACATAAATTTATCAATAATAACAAATCACTTTAATCAATTATAAAAGCCTTACAAGCAGCTTTTAAAAATTATGAAGGCAACAAATATTTAGGAAAGTAAGAACATGGTTAGACATAAATACTGTAATATCTTCACCAGATAATTCATTACCACTTGAATTTTCACATTTTTCTGTAAACTAAATATCACACATATACATGTATTACATATGCATATATGTATAAACATCCATGATGTATGTGCATGTATATATATATAAAACACATGCGTATTTATATATATATATATATATATAAAGCAATGACCCATTGCCATTTTTATAAACACTTGGCTTCGAGTTAGTAAAAATCATTAAAAATATGAGAATTTAAGTTTTAAAGCATGTGCAATAATTTGGTGTATAAATTCCCGTAAGGAATATGTGAGAGAGCACAGCCTGAACAATAGCAAAGAGAGAATTTTCCTGAACTAAATGTAATTCTTAATCGGTATTATATGATTAATTAATATTTCCATTTTTAAATAAAGGCATCCATTTTAAATAGAGGCATAATTTGCAAAAAAATTATGCAAAGAAATTACATTTTCCTATTTATCATCATAAAAATTGAGATATGTTCCCTAATTGAATTATCTCTTCTAAAACTAAGTTGAAAACTTCAGGCTGGAAGAGAGTTAAGACTGTGTATTAGCTGGGCCTAGTGGCACATTGCTGTAGTCACAGCTACTCAGGAGGCTGAAGTAGAAGGATGGCTTGAGCCCTGGAGGTCAAGGCTGCAGTGTGCTGTGATCGTGCCACTGCACTCCATCCTAGGGGACAGAGACCCTGACTCAAAACAAAGGACTGTGGGAACTACCTGACCCACAGGAGATGTTGCATGTTTGATAAATAAGTAATGAATTAATTTTTCTGATCCCATTCTTGAACCAGTCTGGGACCACTATGACTTCACCCAGACTGTATTATCAGATTTCTGTAGCCTCTACATTGTCAAATATGTTATAAAATTGTCATATCTGCATTTTACTTGAGCTTTATAAGCAGCCTTTGACAGAGCTGATCACCCTTTCTGCTTTTCATTTGAATTCCAGGTCATCATGTTCTTCTAGTTTTCTTCCTAATTCTCAATTTTCTTTGTGTTTTTCCTTCTCACCTTCCCTGCCTTTACACTTTAAAGTGTGTCAATAACTCATGTCTTGAACATCTCTATCTATACTCATTCCCTTGATGATCTCATCTCTCCTCATGAGTTTAAATACCACTTAAATGGTGGTGGGTCCTAATTTCATGTTCAAGATTGGCCTCCATATATTAACTGCCTTGTATCTAATGGCATACCTGACACATTCATTTGGATATCTAAGCTAAATCTCAATTTTAATATGTCTCACACTGCGCCCCATCTTTCTCTACCTAAAGCTGGTCTATCCATATTCTTCCCCATCTTAGAAAAAATAACAACTACAATGCTTCCAAGTTCTAATGGCGCAAACTGTACAGCTATACCCCATATGCAAAATCTATCTGCACTGCCTCCAAAATGAAATAAAATCCCAAAGACATTCCCCATGATAGTGCAATTAATAATGATTGCTGGGCAGAAACTGGACAGTTTCCTGTTCTACTTCTCATGTAAAAGTTCTCATTTTCTGTTTTTAAGGAGGGAGGAAGCAGATTGCGTTTTGAGAGGGAAGGCAGACTAGGTGAGGAAACAGCAGGCGTATCTATCCCAGGAAGGGAGGAGACAGAGGTTGGGTTCCACCTCCTCTAATCTCTTGAAATTGTGTGGGTAAAATGGGTGACCAGAGATTTCTGGAATCTCTGCAACCATTCCAGAAGTCCTTGCAAGTTGAAGGATCCAGAATCTTCTCCACTGATATTCAAACCAGAGTGGAAACTGCCATCAGTTTTCAAAACACAGTAGCCAAGGCTTGGATGGATTTAGATCTTGCATCAAATGCAGGAAATCCCAGCCTACTGGCTGGCTGGCCAACCAAGTCAATTTCATTCATCTTGCAACAAGGCCTCCTTGAATTTTTCAAGATTAATTTTATGATCACATAGGGATTTATATTCATACTCTTTCCATTTCTTACTACCTTCGTGGCTGCCACCCCACTCCTAGCCACCATCAACTGTTGTACGATTACTGCAATTGCCTTGTCTTCCTGTTCACAGCTGTGCTCCTCCCACCATCTAAAGTCCTCTTCGCACTGCCTAAAGTATGTTCTCAACAAAGCCAGAATGATCCTGAGTAATTGTAAGTAAGATCATGCTATTCATATGTCGAAATGCCTCAAATGGCTTCTTATCACTCAGCTAAAAGAAAGTCTTTACGATGATCTGCATCCTTCCCCAGTTAAATCTGTAACCTCATCTCCTACCACACTTCTCATGCTCCCTCTGTCTGCCACATGGGCACCCTGGCTGTCTGGAGACTCACATCTATTCCATGCAAGGAAGAATGTTTGTTCTGTTTACTACTAGAACCCTAGATAGTGCCTGGCATTTAGTAAACTCCCAATACATGCTGAATAAAGGAATGAATAAAAGCACAATTCCAAAATTTTGTGGCATATCTCAGGCTCTGGATGCTCCATTCTCCTATTGAAACTACTTTTCTTCTCTTGTCTTTCTAAACCCCTAGATATGTTGCTAACATTTAAGGGAGAATAGAACTGGGTTGTAATGTCACTTTTTTTTCTATAGGTATTGTCATCTATGGTGCAATTTTCAAAAAGAAAAATACATTCACTTTAAAGGTCGAAGTCTTAAAAATATTCAAATTAAGGTTTTGTAAACTTCAAAATTCTGTAGAAAATGATACTTAAAACAACTTATTGTATCTCAGTAATACTATTAAAGCAAAAACACCTTAGGAAAATTAAATAAGCTATTTTAAATTCAGAATAAGGGAACTTTAGTAATTTTAAGTAATAATGATATTCTTTAAACAGAAATTTCATACACCTTTAGGTATGTGCAGATACTATATGTCAGAGATAAAAATATTTAACTTTTGAAAATGACCAGTCAAGCAACAGTATACAGAGAGAAAACTCTTATTTTAGGAATCAAGAATTGCAATAACCTTAATTGCCATTAAACCTTAATTGCAATAAAATATTCATTGCAATCAATTCCTGGCACTTGTACCAAGATTAGGAAACAAGCTATGGGTAAATAAGTTATAAGGCCATCATTTCTTTATCTACATTTATTCTGGACATATACCGCTGATAGCAAATAATGTTAGAAAATATGAATTTATAAGAGTAAATGAAGCAATTCACAAGCTAAAGATCACTTTTGCATATTCCAGATTAGCATCACCCTGTTCAACAAACTAGGTTGTCCCATGTCCAGTTTCTGGAGTTATCTTCTATACTGAAGCACAGAAGGAAAAAAAAAAAAAAAAAAAAACCATAATTTCTAATTTTAAGCATGGCCTTAGAAAGAACATAAGTAACCAATTGAAACCAAGACATTGTTTGCATCAACATACACCCAGGACTGAAAGTACCACCAGTTATTTGGCCCCTGGGTTCTGGTTGCCTAGCGAAAGGAGAGGTATTCAGATGTGTTTCGTCTTACAGTTAGAAAAGTGTCATGAGAAGGTTCTGCCCCTAGCCTCTCCAATACATGAGGGCAGAGGAGGCATGCATAGCAATCAACCCCCCAGTAGAGGGTCTGCCAACACTTCTCATAAAAACAGGGAAACAGTAATAACAGCAAGAAACAGTTTACATAGTTGACCCATGTGTCCTTTTTAGGTCAGGTGCCCTCCCTGGTTGCTGAAGTACATTCTACACTTAGACACACTTTGTATAGTAGCAAACTATTTTGAACTTTATCTATAATGTTTTAGAGACTCTATGTTAAAAATATGTAACAAGGGGTAAGTACTCATCAATCTGTTTTATTATTTAAATTCCAAAACATTTCAATACCTTTACTAATAGTTTAGTAGCTCTATGTTATAGGACAATTTTTAGCAGCTCATGAAAATTTGAAAAACTAGGGAAAAAATCCTGAATTATTTGAAGCATTTATACCTTGTTCTCAAGTGTTTCCAATTTCCCACATCGATATCTCTGGTTTTGGTGATATCCTACCTTCCAGAACTTTTATTATTTTAATTTCTCTGTCTTACCTGTCCTCCATATTTGTTTCATATAATCTTACCTATTCATCCATCCATCCCCTCATTCAACAAGTATTTATTGAGCATTCAACAATATTCAATCAATGAATGTTTACTGAGTAGCCCTTCTATTCACCAAGCTTAGTTATAAAGATAAATAAGGTATGATACTTACCCTTCTAGCAATTCAGTCTTAGAAAGGAAAACAAATATGATATTTCACTGCAAAAGAAATAGGCTTTAATACTATAAATAGGCTTAAATAAGTAGGAATGAAGCAGTGGAATGGCGAGAGCAGAGGGAGCTTTATAGGAAAGACAAGGTTTAAGCTGAGTTTGGAGGGAAAAGTAAGAGTTTGTGGCCGGGTCTGGTGGCTCACACCTGTCCAGCACTTTGGGAGGCTGAGGTGGGTGGATCACCTGAGGTGAGGAGTTCGAGACCAGCCTAGCCAACACAGTGAAACCCCATCTTTACTAAAAATAAAAAATTAGCCAGGCAAAGTGACACACGCCCACCATTTCAGCTACTCAGGAGGCTGAGGCAGAAGAATCTCTTGAGCCTGGGAGGCGGACATTGCAGTGAGCCGAGACAGTACCATTGCGCTCCAGCCCAGCACAAGGGCATAAGGAGTTATGCCCATCTTCAAGAACATTGAGTAATTCAATGTGAACACAGGTTCAAATAAACACAAGGGAGTTGACCACTCTGGGGCAGACTGGACAACATGCTTCCCTTTATAAGCTAATCATGGTGGGCTTTAAATTGTGAGCAGCCAGAAGTCAACAGAACTTTTGTGCAACTAAGCAACCAGCGCAGATTGGTTTGAGGGAAAAGTCACCTTTACTAATGGTGAGGAGAGTGAGATAAATTAGAAGTAAAGTAGGTACAAAGACTGGCATGGTGGCTCACATCTGTAATGCCAGCACTGTAGGAGGCCAAGGTGGGCAGATCACTTCAGACCAGGAGTTTGGGACCAGCCTGCCCAACATGATGAAACTCCATCTCTATTATTAAAAATATAAAAATTAGCTGGCAGTGGTGGTGCGCACCTGTAATCTTAGGTACTTGGGAGGCTAAGGCAGGAGAATCGCTTAAACTTTGGAGGTGGAGGTTGCACTGAGCTGAGATTGTGCCACTGCCCTTCAGCCTGGCTGACAGAGTGAGATTCCATCTCGAAAAAAAAAAAAATAGGATTGGTATAGTCTGCTAGGTGGGCATCTGTGGTACCAATGTAGGTATAAAAAGAGCAAAGATTAGAATGAAATAGAAGAGAGGGATTCGAAAGACATTTGAGACAGAACCTACACAATTTGGCAAGTAATGGTGTATTGATGTTTGTGTGTGTGTGATATATGGAAATGTATGGTAAAAAGTTAACGATGTGCCCAATTTTCTGGTTTTTTTTTTTTTTTGTATGTTTCTTAGAAAGTACTGAGAAGATGTTAGTGATATTAATCAACAACAAAGAGACTGGCGGGTGAGGGTGGAGGAAAAGGATAAGGCAGTTTTTTTGTTTTTGTTTTGACACTTGCAGTGTGCAGTATTATATCTGTGGAGTAACAGTACATGGAATGGTCCAATGGGCAGTAGGAAACATAAAAATGAAGCTCAAAGACAAGGCTGTCAGCTGGAGATACAGGACATGGAGCCACAAACATAGGATATTTAAAGTCAAAGGAGTAGAGAAGTCCCTGTAGAACGGGAAAAGGACAGAAATGAAAAGTTGGGAAACAAACTTTTCAGAGATGTGTGGGAAATAAGAGCATGGGGATATGGAAGAACCAAGCAATGGGATCTTAAAACCCATACGGCAAACACTTGAAGAAAGCAAAGCTATTCCACAGAAGCAAATGTCTTATCTCACTACAACCTATCAGGTTTGTTTTCTTTTTTTTTTTTTAAATAGACTTAAGGAGTATAAGTGCGGTTTTGTTACATTGATGTATTGTGTAGTGATGAAGTCTGTAATTTTAGTGTAACTACCACCCAAATAGTGTACAATATACACATTACATAATTACATGTATTACATAATGTAATATACACGTTACATAATTTCTCATCTCTTGCCACCCTTCCCACCTTTCCAAGTCTCCGGTGTTTATCAGTCCACTTCCTATGTCCATGTGCACATAGTATTTAAGCTCCCACATGTAAGTGAGAACATAGGAGATTTGACTTTCTGTTTCTGAGTGATTTCACTTAAGGATCTCCAGTCCCATTCACATTGCTGCAAAAGACATGATTTCATTCTTTTTTATGGCTGAGCGACACTGCATGATTTATGAATTAAAGACTTACATGTAAGACCTGAAACTATAAAAACTGTACAAGAAAACCCAGGGAAAACTCTTCTAGACACTGGCCCAGGCAAAGAATTTATGACAAAGACCTCAAACGCAAATGCAACTAACACAAAAATAGACCAATGGTGCTTAAACTAAAAAGTTTCTGCACAGCAAGAAATAACCACAGAGTAAACAGACAACCTATAGAATGGAAGAGAATATTTGTAAACTACGCATCTGACAAAGGACTAGTATCTGGAATCTACAAGGAACTCAACTCAATGAGAAAAAAAACAACCCCACTAACAAGTGTGCAAAGGACATGTACAGACATTTTTCAAATAAAAAAAAAAAACATAAAAATGGCCAATAAACATATAAGGTTTATATTCTTTCATTTTGCCAATGAGAAGAACAACGCCTAGAATGGTTGCTGACTATCAGGGTTCATGTGCCAATAAGCAGGAGAAGCAAAATGTGAACCTGCTGAAATCTAGATCCAAAGCCGTATTTTTTCCTCCAAAATCTACTACCACTTCAACAACAGTATCACTGAATGACCTAAAAGTTCCAGTTTCTCCATTTACCCCAAATTAAATGTAGGTAATCTCCTTCCTTAGGATTACTGGTTTCTATCACCAATAACTTATTTCTCCCCTTCCTGACTCTGCCACAAGGTCTGTGCTTTCATCAACTAATCTGCTTCCATGAACTTAATCTGCTTCCAGTTCCCCACAACCAGCCTGCCAATTCCTGCCACCCTGCATTTTTCTCTTCCTCTTCCTCTAATTGATGTATACCCCCAACTCTTGCCTACGATTCATGTTTCTGACCACCTTCAGAAACAGTATGTACCTCATCTCACCCACTGATTAGCTCTCAAAGTTAGAAATGTTCCATTTGTTCTGTGCTCCTCTGGCATTACTTACAGACATGAACAAAGAATTCTTGTGTCCTTGCTTATGAGCAAATTTTCAAATGAGTCTATTTCTTTATTCTCAACGCCAATGAGCTCTTTAAAAGAAAATAAGGCTTTCCAGACTCAAGTTTTTTTTGTTTGTTTTAAGGCAGTGTCTCGCTGTCACCCAGGGTGGAGTGCAGTGGTGTGATCTCAGCTTACTACAACCTTCCCCTCCTGGGTTCAAGCGATTCTGGTGCCTCAACCTCCCCAGCACCTGGAATTACCAGCACATGCCACCATGCTTGGCTAATTTTTTGTATTTTTAGTAGAGACGGGGTTTCACCATGTTGGCCAGGCTGGTCTGGAACTCCTGACCTCAAGTGATCCTCCCACCTCTGCCTCCAAGTGTTGGAATTACAGATGTGAACCACTGTGCCCAGCCCAGACTCAATTTTTAACCCTAAAAGTTAAATGAGTAAAAGAATAGGGGTAGAAATGTAATATTAATAATGTCTGGATATAGCCTGGCTCCCATAGGTTTAAAGACAAAGAGTTAACTAAAATATGAACCAATAGGTAACTGGTTAGTCAAACATTTAACATGAAATGACAGACACATAGGGTATAAGGGGCCAAAATCAGCAGTACTTATCATAGGACACTAGAGATTTTACAGGAAATAGCTCTTTAGCCAGTTTAAAGGTTTGTTTTCTCAGAATAAATACATTTTAAATAACGATTTGAATAAATTGGATTTTTATAAGAATGATCTACATCTCATTTACATTGTTTTAAAATGCCTAACTCGACAGTATTTCAAATAAAATAGTATTTTAGACTTCGCCTTAAATGTGTACTCTAGAAAATGTGTATTACAGTTGGGCAATGCACTTCTCTGCAGCCCAGTTAATGGCCAAGACACAGTTCCAGTGCTAATAGTATCTAAGGGCAACACAACATAAACCCTGGCTGGTTTCTGAATCTACATTTCAAGGATAGACTGAAACCAGTGAAACTAAAAAGAAACTCATATAAACATCCCAGACCAGACATCATACAATAGGCAGTTATTATTATTATTTTTTTTGGAAGCCAGACATGAAAACGAATCACAGAACTGTTCTTTCATGATTTCCATATTACTTAAAACATACACAAATATTCTCAGATTTCATTTTGTGGGTTTGAACTCCCAAGTCTTCCTTATTTTAAGTAAAAAGCAACTGAATACCTATTCACATGGAATAAGCATACAGTAGCCTAGTTGGAGGGGCTCCAGAACTGGCTACTCTGTTTGAAGTCTCACAGATGAAGAAGTCATAGAATTTTTCACTTTAGACAAACACTATACAAGAAGCAGAAATATGAGACATTACAGATGTCATATCCTGCACAGTATTTTGAGAAGAGCTAACAATTTCCTTAGATATTATATTTAAACCATATAAGGAAACATAAAATTAGTTATATATGTCTTGGTAACATTTACTGAGATCTTGAAGTATGTTTGCTAATGAGCTAAACTTTGTCCAGGTTATCTCCTTCTATCTTCACAATAATCCTTTGAGGTGAGTATATAATACTAGACACCAGGAAACCAAAGTAGAGAGAAATTAGCAAGCGCCCAATGTCACATAGCTAGTGCGTGTCAGTGCCAGAAGTTTAACCCAGACAGCCTCACTCCTGAGTCTCAATTCTTAATCCCTGATTAGTCTCTTGAGTGCCACCTACTTTCTTTAGGGTAAAATAATTTTTTCTGGTAAAAGTTAAAATAGTGTAATGCCATACTTTATAACGGGCAATAGGAACTTAGAACTTCCATGCTTCATGAAAATTATCTAAATAAAGAATATCCACCAAAACTAAGGTAAATACAGAAAAAAACTAGAATGTATGAAAATTAACTGCAATGAAAATGCCATTTCCAATGTTTGTTAAATAAGTTTTGCCATCACCAATAACTATTTATTATCAGGCTTTGCTAGTGCATTCCTCATTCATGGAAGGAATATAATAGATTTTTGAAAAGTTTTCTAAATGTTTAGGGTATGAAATGGCAGTATACTCATGAGTTATATGCTAGTAGTCTTAAAGTAATTATGTCCCTTAAAGTTGCAAATTTACTCAGAGTAAATATAAGGTTGTTAAGGATAAGCTGAATATTTTAAATTAATCCTTTGCCAAGGCTTATTTTCATGCTTCAAGTTCACAAATAATAAATCCAAGGGGAGAAAAAAGCCATTGCCAAAGCACTCTTCAACATAAAGCAACCATAAAAATGTATCCTTTACAATGTCATTTACATGTTTATAAGAAACAAAGACCCATTAGGAACAATATATTTCAGCAATCCAGAAAGTTTCTTCCGATTATTAGTCTGAATTTTTCAGATCCACCATTCATAAAAAGGTTCTATCAGGAATTAGGAAGTAAATTTTCAGCTAAGTCAATTAACAGCAAATATACCAGCTGTTTTGCATTTTCACTATATTAACCTTCCTGGTGAGAGTAGAATTTACAGCACTTAGTAGGAACATTGCATCTAAAGGCATTTCGTCCTACTCTGAATGTCAAGAGCTCTTAGAAACAAAAGGAACATTAATAAACGAATATGCAGAGGAAAATACCCTCAAAGAAAATCTTTTTTCAACTTCATATAAAATAAATGATTAAAGAACAGCATGAAGACTGCTGACTGAAAGCATGAATAAACATTTCTTTTGTACATACCACTTGAAAAATGTCCTTACCATATACTCCATATTAGAGGCTGTTGGATACACCTGACTTCGTAATTTATTATGAAGGTCCAAAATACTCTGCATGTCATTGTCTGTGATGGCCCTTTTCCCTCGTTGTTTGGCTATCCACCACTCACCATCCTCATCCATGTATTTTTCCAAAAGTTTCTCCAATAAAGTGGCATTGGGAACCACCATGGCTGGAATTGCTCTAGCCATGAACAGCACTGTGGTTACTCTGAGCCACTCCCGCGCGGTACACTTCATAATGAATGACCTCAGGATTTCCCCAGGAAAATCTCCAAGACAGGCTCTTCCACTCCTTTTGGCTATAACGACATGTCATGTGATTAAGATGAAAATTCCAGCAGATATGAATTTTCTAATAACACGAGCAAAACAACAGTTACAAAGGAAGTGTGCCAGTTTGATTTGTCTATTTAACAGCAGAAAATGGACACTCACATTTTGAAATAACTTATCTCCAACCCATTTTTTTTCTTCCAGAGGACTTTTCACAATGCAATTTCCACAAACTAGACAACTGTATTATCCAAGATAATACCCCTGAGGCCAAAAGTAAATGGCAAAAGTAGCCTAGAAGAGTCAAAGCTTGAAAATACTATGTGAATTGCAAGACTTTAAGTGGCTATACATTACATATACCCTGCAAAGGATGTTATATCTACCTAGAACGTTTGATTTCAATCTAGAGGTTCATGTTTCTCTATGAAGAGTTTTAAGGTGTGAATATTTTATTTGGTATTATTTTATTCCAGTGGCCCATCTCTGTTTCACACTCAGAATGTCCACAGCATTCTAAAATTGAGAGTGAATGTTTCAAAGAAATACAAAAGGCTATTCATATATGCATCCATGGCTACATCTAGGGGGCCCCGTGAACTACTGCAAATGAATGGTTTGGGTTCCTGGGGTAAGTCTCTTCCTATTCAGGCTCAGGTCAAGAACTCAATCTTTATTTCCTGGAAAGTCTGTGACTAATCTGTGGCCTGCACCCGAAGAAGCCAGCAGCTCCCCGGCAACTTGAGAGCTTTTCCTCTCAAGTGTGAAGGCACACACTGTTCTTTCTCTGAACTCAAATGGAAAGCGCGCGACAGAGAAAGTAGGTGAAACCAACAAAGTCACTTACAAGAACTAGAGCTCCCGCTAATTTCTATCGTCGCTGCTTTCCGGGTAGCCCACCCACCCATCGCGCCCAACCACTCTGTACAGTTGGCTTTTTTTTTTTTTTAAGTACAGTTTAAGAAGGCAAAGGGAGATAGGAAAGGGTGGCAGCTTGACGACTCAGCGATGCATTTTAGAATCGCCCTTACCTCTCCAGTGTGAAGTTTCCTGGGAGAGGTGAGCCAAACCGGACGGCCGGCCTCTGCAGCCGCCCAGAGCCTTCACAAGGGACCGCAGACGGAGAGCCCCGCTCGCGAAGGGCCTGAGCACCGAGCGTCCGGGGGCGACGTGGGTGCTGACTGCAGGAATACGCGAGCCTCCGCCTCTGCGGCTCCCTCAACCTGGAAGAAATGGCAGGCAAAGCGTCCAAAATTAGACCTGCAGTTGGGGTGGGAAGGGAGCTGCTTCGTTAGTCTGCCAGGGTGGGCGCCCCAGCGTTTCTGAGCAGTAGCTGCAGGAGCGAGGGGCGGGGACACGAACGAGGCTCGGCGGCGGAGGCTGGCGGCGACCTCTTGCTCCTGCTCCGTACAGCCAGTACGCGCAGAACCAGGCGCCTAGCGCTTCCGTCGCTCTCTCGCGTTCGCGAGCATTTATTGCGGCCCCAGCGCGGGCACGTGACTTGAGCGCCCCTCCTCGCCCACCCCCACCTCCAACCAGCCGTGGCCAGAGGCCCGCCAGATCCGGGAGAAGCAGCCCGCCCTGCTTCTCCGGAACGCAGCGAAGCCAGGGCGCTCGGCCTTTGTGGGCGTGCTTTGGGCTCCCGAGACCCAAGCCCGGAAGGTCTGGCCCCTGGTGGGAGATGTGTGCAAGGAGGGCCCCAACCCCCCTCAGTCCTCCCAGCTCCCCTGCATTCAAAGATCCTCCTCCCAGTCAGTTCCTTTCTGCTGAGATGCTGAAATGCCTTTAAGGGTCCTTACAGACGAGGGGCTGCCCCATAGAGCATGGAGTGGGTGGGGGATGGGGATAACACCTTCAATCTTGGAGGCACAAAAGGGGAAATAGGGGACGAAATGGAAAAATACTTTTCCTTTTATTTTTCCCAGGGGTCCGCATCCTTGATGAGGACCAGATGGGGAAGATGTTCAATAGAATTTGGGGTCAATATGTGACTCAGAATGGCCTGACAGTTGAGACCCCCTCTTTATTCATAAAATATGAGGCATTGTCTTCTCAAGGTGGCCATAGCACTTTTTTTTCTGATGATGTATACATTTAAGGAGTTGATATAAAGGGTACCATTAATTTATCAGGGATTGTTGACAGGAATTGAAACCCCAGCGCTAGAATAGGTAGTGAAAGGAGAGGCCGTTCCTTTGTTCATGTTGTAATCTGGGGTAAGAAAATTACTAATTTTAAATTCACAACAGCTTACCCTACCAAGTGTGGGGCTGTTTTTTATTTTTATTTTTAATTATTTAATCCATCTATGTTTGCTTCCCTAATGTGGTGAATCATAGTCTCAATTTTCCTTCTTTCTAAATGCTAGAGTATCTAGCATATGATCAAATAAAGTACAATATTATGGTAGTAACTCAAATCATCCCAAGCTGTTGCCTGTCTCTTTCCACCATTCAACTACACCATATCTATCAAACCTAAAAACTCAACTCTAAGCCTCAGCTGGAGGTGAGACCTTGCTTCCTGTCACAAAGAAAAGGGAAGCATCACTTATTAGAAAGGTGCAGAAGGTGAAAAGTTTTGATGCACATAAGACTTTTATAGAAGTGTAATTTTGCAATTTTTTAGCAGTTTTAAGTACAAAAAAGTTCTTAACTTTGTATTTTTCAAATAACTATTCATAATTTCCATGCACAGGGTTGAGAAAACTGGCTTTCCCTCTTAGAAACTGATAGAAAACCTCCAAAGTTTATGGTAAAAGAACTATCATTTGTTACAGCAGATGAAGACTATGTTTTTATACTGCAATGTCCATGTGGCATTGAAAAGTATACTGAATATTGAATAAAGAGCCATGAAAGTAATAATATTACTTGAAACATTTGCAAAGAGAATTCAAATTAGGAAGAAGGGAATTAAAATGATAGGGAAGTGAAGTTAAATGAATTTGTAACTCTTGAATATTTCAGTTATAAACATTCTTACACAATGTATGAATCCAACACCTAAAGGCTCACATTAAAGAAAATAAAAATTGTTTTAGGTCTTTAATTCCAAATCTTTCTCTAAACAAGGAAAAAAATCCTTTGACTCAGCATTTCTTTTGGCTTCCAATTTGGGTACTGCAGGTGATTTAAGCATTCATCATGTTAGCATTTCAATAATACATCTTGTCATTCCTGATTGAGTATATATGTTGGAAATGCCATTTTGAACAGTAAAATCAAACACAATATTCTTGAATACTCAAAGATGATACTGTTCACGTTTTTTATTTGTAGTTGAGAAATCTGTGTGTAGACATAAGAAAATGTCTTCTTCACACAGAATTCACGTAAAAGTGGCACTTTGGTTTGTGGCTAAGGCTGTTACTTGTAAAGCCCTGGTTGTTTTTAGCATTACTACTTTCTTGTGGCAAACACTGGTGGTTGCCTAACCAACAACCAGCCTTCCACCCCTTTCTTCCTTCCAAGCCCATAGCCTCCAATTTACCGGGGATATCCACCCTCTCACATGCTGTCAAACTGGCATCTTCAAGAGGCGAATGTTGATTAGTCAAAGCCAGTCATCACAATCTATCCCTGCCACCAGTGACTGATTTAGCATGGGCATGTCATGCAGCCCTAGCTGTTGAAAGGAAGACTTGGGGGTAAGGAGGAGGGTTGGCAAGGGTTTTCTTCTGTAATAAAAAGAGATGCAAAAAGAGAAAATGTCTCCTTAGGTACCAGTGTGTAAGTCTGTGAAACTGAAAGATGCAGCTCTTACTTTGCAAAGAAGACAGACAAGCCTGAGGGCAGAAACCCATTACCCTGGCCAAACAAAAAGACCAACTGGGCCTGACTCTCCCTGCCATTGACCAATCACTGCAACACCTATCTTCCATTTTTCTTGCTAAAATAAATAATGAATGTTTAAATCACAGTGACTAGGGTATTCAGTTACGTGCACCACAAAGCATTCTAACAAGATACATTTCTACAAAGAGGATACATTTTTCTGTCAATATCATATTTTTTCCATGTGGCTATTATTGTCTGCTTATGTGCATAGTTATCTTTAAATCTATTCTTATGTGTTTTCCTATCCTTGAATTTGCAAAAGTGAGTATATATAGACATTTTGTTCACTGTTATAATTTCATGACTCCATGTCTGTTCTATCACCACTTTTTTGGTAAGTACATCCTCTACTGGGGAGGTGTAAGAATAGAATTCCTGTTGTGTTAGGAGGTAGAATCAGTGTAGGGCAATGTTTTAAAACATGGAATTTAAATTAAGCTGCCTAAATTAGATTCATGAAGTGCCACTAGTCAGTGGACTTTGTGCAGCCCTGAATCCTTTCTCTTTAAAAGGAAATAATAGTAGCTATCTCATCTGTTACTTTTGTATTAAGATGAGTTAATGCATGAAAGTGCTTAAAACGTAACAGTAAGTAGAAAGTACTCAAATAGGGTGAATGTTATTTAAGTCCAGAAACGGGCCTTAGAAGACCCAAATATGGAATCAAGGTTGTGGAGTGTCCCATCTCAGGAAGGAATGCTGAAAAATTGATTTGCATCCTTGTTGCCTCTGGACAGACCTCCAGATGGCCCATTACTCAAGATAATCATCACAACCACAGATGCTGACCTGCATCCGGTACCCCTCACAAGGTTTGCCCAACCTAGCCCGCATAATTTCTTACACATGATGTCAATTCTCTTGCTCTGCCTAATTAAAAAAATCCACACCAGGTTTTTCAGGGAGTCAGCTGGAGGATTCTTTTGCTTCTGCTGTCTCCCTTACACTCAAGCACAAGCCCCAAATAAAAGCCTTGTCTGGGAAATCTGTTTGGCCCGTGTTAACTTTCATTACATTGGAAGCCAAAGAGTCTGTGGTCTATAAAAATTCCATTGTCTGGCTTCTTTTGTGTCTATTTTCTTTTATTTCAATATTTTTGTGAGGTTTATTCCTGTTGTTGTATGTAGCTATATATACAATAGCTATATGACCAATTTTAAAAAAACTTTGGCTGGGTGCGGTGGTTCATGACTGTACTCTCAGCACTTTGGGAGGCCGAGGCGGGTGGATCATTTGAGGTCAGGAGTTCGTGACTCACCTGGGCATGGTGAAACCTCATCTCTACTAAAACTAAAAAATAAAAATTAAAAATAAAAAAAGAGCCAGGCGTAGTGGCGCATGCCTGTAATCCCAGCTACTTGGGAGGCTGAAGTAGGAGAATCGCTTGAACCTGAGAGGCAGAGGTTGCAGTGAGCTGAGATCGCATCATTACACTCCAAGCTCGGTATAAATAAATAAATAAATAAATAAAAACAACTTTAAAACTTCATTTTTATGTGTTTTTCACCACCCTTGCTTCCCTCTATGCAGCTGGAAAAAAAAAGTCAGTAATTTCTATATGTACTTCTGTGCTTTTACTTTGATGAACATACCACAATTTATTTGTCCATTCTGTTGTTGAATATTAGGATTGCTTCCAGTTTAGGACTATTAAAAATAGTACTGCCAAGAGCAATCTCACATATGTCTTTTTGTGCACATATTTACACTTTTTGAAAAATTGGCTATGTAGTTTCGAGCAGAACTACTGGGACCTAAGGTATGCTTCTGCACAACTCAGGTAGATAAACTAGGTTGTATACCTTCTTATTATTAATTTGTAAGGTTTTTTTTTTGTTTTTGGTATATGTCCTTTTTAGACATAAAGTATATCATACATTTATTATTCCTCTCCTTGCTTTGTCTTTTCAGTTTCTTAATCCTATCTGCTGATGAACAGAACGTCCTAATTTTAATTAAGTCCAGTTTATAGTCTGGACTTTATAGTCTTTTCCTTTATAGTCTGTGGGACCTTTAGAGAAATATTTGCTTATCCTAGAATCATGGAAAAAAGTCTCCTGTGTTATCTTCTGGCATTATTATTTTACATTTTACAGTTAGATCTTTGATCTATCTGAAATAGGTTTTTGTGTTATAATGTGAAGAAGGAATAATTTAAGATTACAATGATTACATATAAAGCTTACATTTCTTGTCAACACTATTAAAACAATTCATGAATTTGTTCTGGAGAACATTCAAGTTTCAGAAATAAGAGAGAGAAAAAATGCCATTGTTCTTTAAATCTAGAATTATTATGATGTTTCAATTGGATTATTTAAAAATATAACTGCTGAAATATGGATGAAACTGGAGGCCATTATTCTAAGTGAAATAACTCAGAAACGGAAAGTCAAATACTACATGACCTCACTTATAAGTGGGGCATAAGCAGTGGGAACACATGTACATACGGAGTGTAATGATAGACACTGGAGACTCCGACAGGTGGGAGGGTGGGAGGAGGTTCAGGGATGGAAAATTACCTGTTGGGTATAATGTTCACTATCCGATGACTTCACCACTACACAATATATCCATGTAACAAAACTACACTAAATCCATGAAATTTTTGAAAAGAAAAAAGTATATTACTGCTAAGGCCTATATTAATGCCATAATCTGAAAACTCCTTATTTCTTGATTGTGGAAAAGTAATCATTTTAAGCTTATTTTTAGATTTGCAGACCCACTTCGTCATCTGTTCTTTGAAGTTTGACTGATCTTCAATCACTAAATGTAATAATTCATTTTTAATTTTCTTCTGCAGCTTTACTGTCCTTTGTGCATCTGAAAGAAATGTCAATAATTTCTCTATGTGTTTCTGTGCTTTTCTTGATACTGTTTTCACAGCTTGAAGTCTCTTCCATGTATTTTTTCTGAGTATGAACACCCTTACCATCCCCATTGCAAAGATGTTAATTGTTCTAGCCAGCCATTTTTTTCTGGTACTTCTCATTTCTCTAAATCTAATCACTTTCTATTCTGTAAATTATAGCTATTCATATACTTGTTGTATTTCTCCCACAATGCTAAAATCTTGCGAAGAGAGATTATGATGATATGATCTTTGTATTTCTTGCCATGTGTGTTTAATGAACAAATAAATTTGGATTTTTGGAATATTTAGTATTTCTTAGAAAAGTACACACATGTCCCTGGATGTACCAGACATAGCATAATTGCTCCCTACAATATCTGCAGACCCACTACCATGAACAGCTTTTCAGTAAGCAGTTAAGAAGTACTGCCCCAGTCATTCACTGAGATTAAAATGTATATATGTAAATATTTCTTTTAAAGAAGGAGAGAGGGAAATGCAATCCATTTCTAGACCATTCACCCTTTTCAATATACTCTTCCTAACATCCACAGAAAAATGTTTTCTTGAGAGAGGACTCAAATATTTATTAAGAATTGTATTTCAGAATGATGCTCTGTTTAACTGATACTCTACTATGTATATTTTATCAGTTGATGGTTTATATTTCTGTAAATCTCTTTATCACTTATATGAAAATCTGGTGTATTCAGAGTGTTAGCATCTGAGCGTCGTAAGAGTGTCGTGAGTCACAGCAGGAGCCGTAGTTGTAAACCAAAAAAGAGCAATTCACTAATGTAAAACTGTTTGTCTAGATTGGAGCACTGTATTTTAATTTCTTTATATCACGCAATATCCAGAATAGTGGATACTATTAAAAAGTTTTAAAATTAAAGAAGTATTTCTGAAGTACATTCAGTGTGGCATGAGAAATCTAGCTGCAGCTTCATCTTTTGCTGATTTCTTATCTCTCTAGATCTGTAGAAGTACTTCACAATGTGCCTGGCTTAGAGGTTGCCTTTCAGGTTTACCAGGAGGGGCAGTTGAAAGGCAAGCATCGTAAAAGGAAAAGTATTCACCCATCTATCTACAGAATTAACGTCAGAGACAGGCTTTTCATCCTAATATAAGGAGGATGAAAGCTTTCTCAATTGTTGTTAGCCCATGAGGAAATAGTTGGCAAAAACCTTGCAGTCCACTTTTAATGGTAATTTAAAGATTCATATTTTACAGAAGTAAAACAATTAAAATCCCTGGATTCATCAAATACATACAAATAAATGCATTAAAAATAGTATATGTGTGCCTATGTATGTAGCGTTTGAATGTTAAATACATTATTTCACTAGATAGTGAAAGAGAGATTTAAAAAATTAATCAGATAATTTGCAGGGAAAACACGGGAAATATGGAAGAAAATATGCAACTTTTTATTTGTAATGTAACATCTAACTAGTCTCCTGAGAATAAGCCCAAGAATTAACGCAGATTTAGAAATGCTTTCTGTTTAAATAGAAAAATAGAATAATGATGAAATAAAAAATAAAGGTTTCATTAAATAATGACTTTATAAACAATAAACCGAGCACAAAGATAGAAAATATGCTTAAATAACCAGCTTTCACACACAGATCTAAAACATTCATAACCTCTATTATATGTAATTGCATTGTTCACAGAAGGTGCCTTTTGCTTTTGCTTCTATCTTGCTTCATGCTGTGCTCTTAACTCGGGTACCCATTCTTGGCACTTCCCTGCCTCTAAATATTTTTGTCCTTGTGTCATTTGACCAAATTATTCCCCAAATTATAACATCTCTCAATTGCTACCTGTCTCTCTCTTCTCCTTCCTTTCAAGTTTTATCCCAAATCCTAAATCTTCCAATAACTTCTAATCATCCTCATACAGAAGTATTCTACCCACAATATAAAATCTACACATATTCTCAAATACTCAAAGAAAGAAAAGTTCAACTGGAAAAACATGTCTTTTAGACTTAAGAAAATCCTCTTTTCTAAGTGGAAGTTTTAATGACACTGGTGATCCAGATATTAGGATCATTAAAATATATACTATTTCATTTAAAATATTATTTAGCTATCTAAACTCATAATAAGAAAAATTAAATTTAATATGTACTTGCTAGAATTTAGGTGCAAAAATGCAACTAGTCAAGGAAGTGGCTTTTTTTCTTTTAAAAAAAAGCACCATTTATTGATAACTAAGCATATTCCATGTAGTGATAGATTGAATTATTTGCCTACAAATCTTTCTCTTGTCACTGATTTTGGGCTGGGCCATGTAACTTGCCTTGCTAAATAGAATGTGGGTGTGGGTGACAGCGTGCCTATATCAAGCTAAGACTTTTGGGGGCATCGCAGTTTCTGCCTGCCCTCTTTGAACTTCTACCTTCTGCCATCAGAACAGCATACCCAGGTAGCTGTTGCTCTTTAGTTTGAGTATGTCTGAATTGACCTAAACCCTGGAGTCTAACCTAGTCCTGCTGAGGCCAGCCAAGACCGCAGCCAATCTGCCAGATGTACAAATACCCAGTAAACGTTTCTATAAGCCCCCCAAGTTTTTTTTAATGTATTACTGGGTTTCTTTCATTATAGATTCCTCTATTTTTTCACACCTCTCACTGACTAGATCAGAGAAACAGTAAGTAAATTGCAGTGATAAAGTGGTAATTGTTACTTAAGATTTGCATCTGTCTAAAATATAAATTACTCCTTTTTATTGATACACAGAATAATTGTACATATTTATAGGATACATGAGATATTTTGTTTGATACATGCATATAATGTGTAATAATCAGAGTATCTAGAACTGTCAGTTGCACAAACAGACATGAATGCCCAATAGATGTTTCTGTAAGTCCTTATAGAAACATTAAATTTTTTTTGTTTATTTTTTTGAGACGGAGTCTCACTTTGTCATCCAGGCTGGAGTGCAGTGATGTGATCTCGGCTCACTGCAACCTCCGCCTCCCAGGTTCCAGGTTCCAGTGATTCTCCTGCCTCAGCCTCCTGAGTAGCTGGGATCACAGGTGCTCACCACCACACCCAGCTAGTTTTTGTATTTTTAGTAGAGATGGGGTTTCACCATGTTGGCCAGGCTGGTCTTGAACTCCTGACCTCAGGTGATCCGCCCGCCTTAGCCTCCCAAAGTGCTGGGATTACAGCTGCAAGCCACCGCGCCAGGCCGAAATATTAATATTTTAAAGTCTGTTGAACAAAACTATCACATCAAAAGACTGATAAATACTTTTATATTTAATGTACCAATCTTATAAAAACTGTGTGAAATAAATATTATTGAAGTTCACAGAGATTGTGACCTGAACAGAATTTATTTTTGTTTGCTCATTTAATTTTTAAGTTCGAGGATACATGCGCAAGTTTATTATATAGGTAAACTTGTGTCATGAGAGTTTGTTTTACAGATTATTTCATCACCCGGGAATTAAGCCTAGTACCCATTAGTTATTTTTCCTGATCCTCTCCCTCCTCCCATCCTCCATGCTCCTACTGGATCCAGTGTCTGTTGTTTTCCTCTATGTGTCCGTGTTTTCTCATCAATTAACTCCCACTTATAAATGAGAACATGAGGTATTTGGTTTTCTGTTCCCATGTTAGTTTGGAAGGATAATGGCCTCCAGCTCCAACAAAGTTCCTGCAAAGGACGTGACCTTGCTCTTTTTTGTGGTTGCATAGTATTCCATAGTGTTTATGTACCACATTTTCTTTAACCATTCTACCACTGATGGGCATTTAGGTTGATTCCATGTCTTTGCTATTGTGAATAGTCTGAACAGAGTTTGATAATAATCTTTTTTCTCAAAGCTCCTGTGCTTGCCACACCCTCCCTCTTCTTGCTACCAAGCCTGTCTCACCTTCGATCCTTTGTTTTTCAGGTAAAAGCATATTTTGAAAATATAAAAATGGTCTTGGAAGTAGGGAACAGTAGATAAGAAATAGCAAACTAATAGAGAAGATGCAGGCCGAGCATTCTGTTTTGAAGTTTCTAGATATTACTAATAGCTAGTACCCTCATTAGTGACTTAACTTTTGACAACTTTTATTGTGAGTCTTCGCAATATGCTGATTTAGTCAATCATAATCTAACGTTATATTTTGAGAAATAAGCCACGTGATTTAAAAAAAAAAAAACGGCCTTGAAAGAGTGGTTCAAACTAAGTGGGATTCTTGAGTTTGGAAGGGTCTGGTAGTACAAAAAGGCACGTCCACTTGACTGAAGATGAACAACAGAAAGCATATAGTCTCAAATCCAGGGTAAGACATATTTCTTGATAATAGAAAAGGAAAAATGAAGTTCAAAGGCTTTCTGTCCTGAACAATATTATATAAAGGAATTCATGTTCTAAAATGTAGGGTCACGCTTGTGCCAGGGAGGAAGAAGTAGGTGTGTGTGTTTTGAGAAGTGAAGAGTGGCTTATAGCCAGATGGCAGACAGAATGGGTGAAGAAAGAATCAGAAGAATTCAAGACACATTTCTTGGTTTGCCAAAGCAGCAGTCTGTCCAAGTTTATTCAAGATTTAATACTTTAAATTGAGGTGAAACAGTACCTTTAATTATACATTTGGAACATTTAAAAATTAAGATTGCCTGTAGTTATAAAAAGAACATCAGGAAAGGAGCATGTAAGAAAAACCTTTACTCCTGCAAATCCCATAAGATAGATTCAATTTCTATTTTAAATTAATAGCTTATCTGTTAGTAACGATTCAGCTCACAGACCATCTATTAACAAGATGAAGCGTTGGTCCCACATGTTGAAAAAATTGCCTTTATCAAACCAGGTTTCCTGTTCCACTTCTGGCTTCTCACAATTTGTTTAAGGTCTGCCCTTAACTCACTTTGTTAAACCAAGGGATGGGAATAGAATTAAAGAAATGCAACCATGAAAGAAAAGAATATAAAGTTATATAATATACTCTTTCTTTTACTGTTACACCTTTTACTATTCTATCCACAATCCCCCTCTCTTACTGTCTTAAAAGACAAAGTTTTGTTTGTGATGCTCCACTTTACTTTTAATACTAATATGTTTATATCTTAAAAATCTATGTAACTAAAAATTATTTTCTGAAAAAAAGTTTTTAGCTATTTAATTTGGTAAAATATACCTTGCTACTGATCTTCAGTTTGTGGCATAACCCTGGCGTCACTGTACTACTGTGGCCGTCTAAGGGAGAATATAATATCCTTAGACAGAGGCAGCTCTGTTTTGGTATTTCATGAATACTCAGTAATTATGTCTTACTGATTCATAAGTCTACATGACTTTGGTTTCTTTTCATTGGTAATCAACACCATGAAAATACCTGCAGAAAGTTTCAACAAACCTCTAGAAATGTATTTTATTCATCAATTTAGTTTTCACTTACTCATCCATTTCATAAACACAGGGTAAAAACCTTTGGATGATTATAAAAAGGAGCAACTTCAAGTTATTATTAATACAATTATAGATAAAAGGTATATTAAAAGAAAATTATCTTTACTCATGTTTGTGGAAAAGTAAGCAAGCACAAGTAAAAAAATCCATGACTACATTCATGTATAAAATTTACTAAGCCAAATTATTGGCAAAACATTGTCAATTTTTAAAATTAAAACTGCCCTAATTTTAAGAGGTTTCTGCCAAGAAAGTGTCATAATTTGGTTTGACTCTCTCTGTTCTCAAATGTAAGGATCATGTCTTTCATAACTATGAGAGAATAGTGAAAGCCAAAGGTTGGTCTAGTCTTGAAGTTTAACCACAGGAGATAATATCTCAAAAAAAAAAAGTGCTCAAGATATCAATTTCATTATTATATGCATTTAATTTTGGCAAACTTGAAGGCCATCATGCCTGCTAAGGACAACTAACAACATTGGTTCCATATTCTGAGAAATTATTCCCACCTATTTTGCCAGCTTCACCAACACTATTTTCTTTTTAATTCATTGTTATTTCAAGATTTCCAGTACAAGAAATAACCTTTGTTTCTGGACTTAAGTCTGATAGAATCATAGTTTAACCAATATAACTTAACAAATTCAAAAGAATGGAGGACTCAAAACTCATGGATATTTTCTATGTTCTTTCCTATGTTTTTATAGCCAAATTATTCCTTTTCTAAATAGAATAATAAGTTTACAAATAAAATTCAGCCAATTAACTTTGTATTTATTGCATCTAAAAGTTGAGTATTTAGAACTCTAATGAAAGAACCTTCCACTTGATTGGGCTCCCAGTGGAATTGTTACACTACTTCGGATGAAATTTGTGGATTTGTTCCTGAAGCTGCATGAGATGAGGTTCTCAGGAGTCTTCACAGAGTGATGGTCTTTTGACCACTATCAAGACCAACTGCTTCACCTGCCACAGGTGCTAATAGAATAAAGGGAAAGAAGGAAAAAATCACCAGGGAAATGCAACTTTTGATGAGATGAATGATTTAACTGTCTGATTATAAAACCGGACCCACCCCATTGCTCTATCTAGGTGGAAGATTTCCACATACATTTTTATTGTTTTTTACTGATTCTAGTTTATGGGGGTAAAAATTTTATAATGTATGATGTGATTTCAATTCTTTCCATATATCAAAGTCATATTCTTTTCAACCTCTGAGGCCAAAACCGGACAAAGTCATTCTAGATAGACACCAACTCTCATTCTTTCTATGACTGACCTGGTCGAACTTTGAAGAAATGAAAGGATTCTAATTCCACATTCAGAAAAGTTTTGAATTTTTGATTTTGGAAAAAGTAGAAAACAAAATCATTAACAAAAGTAGGTCACTTGAATGAGGTCTTCTCCTTTGGTCAAGACACAGAATGATAAGCTATTAGGAAAAGAGTGCTTATACCACAGATTGTACCATGGTTGGCAAGGGTTGGTGGAATTTGTTTTATTAAGGGACACTTCCAGCAGATTTTCTAAGACTCTATTTCTCCAAGATCAGCTTTTTAAAGGAATCAGATCTATAACTGAGCACCATGACCAGCAAGATCATTTTCATGTGTCTTTTTAGAGAAGTTTATTGTCCTTTGAAGTGTTCAACAAGTTAAGAATGCAGCAGTAAGTTGGCAGGAAGCCACTCTGTAGATAGCATCCCATGATGATTTCTGCACAATTAAAGATGGTAGCTAAAGGCCCTTAGAGTGTGACCTGAAGAAAAAATAGCCAATACTGTCCCATGTGCTTGGCTGCATTTTATTAGCAATGTTCTCTCTCTACCTGCTTGGTATATAATAGATGTGGCATTTTTTTAAAGTAGTAGACTGGCCCATTCTTAAATGATGCTGTGAGTAATTGCCTTCATTGCAGAAAAACAGAATTATAGATTTATTTCATACCACAAACAAAAATAATACCAATTCCATTAAAGATCCTCATGAAGGAGTGCTGAGAACTTGTAGGACTAATGTAGGAAGAATATCTTTTTACTATCAGGAAACAAAAGAATTTCTTAAACAAGATGAAAAAAACACAATATTCCAAATAAAATGATATATTTAGCAATGATAAAAATAAATAGCTTTGGTATAATAAAAGAAATCAAAAACAAAATTAAAAGACAAACCACAGATTAAAATAATAAAAGATTAAAAGATAACATATCAATGACTGGTTTGCATTCACAATCAGCAAGGTACCTCAAAAATCATTAAGCAAAACACAAATGAGCCAACAGGTGAAATTGGGCAAAGAATAGAAGGAGAAAATTGAATGGCAACAAACTTATGAAATGTACCACCTCATTAGTAATGAGAGAAATTCAAATTAAAATAATGAATACCAATATCAATTTCTGGCCAGGATGTAGAGAAATATGGACTCCCATTCTGACATTACTGGGACTTGCCATATGCTGGGAATCGGCAAAGCACATCCCATTACTCATAGACAGTTGTATATGAGTAAATAAACTGTAACACATGCAAGAGACAAATATACATCAGCATAAACTGGAGGTTGCCTTTAGGAAGGATAATAGAGTGATATAGGCATATAAACAGTGGAGACAGTGACAAAGAAGCTTTGTCTGCATCTGATACCTTTTAAATTGAGAGACAGACACAGAGAGACAGAGAGATCTGAACCATGAGTATAGCTGTTAGATTGTGCATCTTCTTCAGCCTTCTTACCACTACCCTTTAGTAGTCTCCTCGCAGAACTCATGTCCTACTATATGTATAAATGTTCAAACCAAGTTGGGGTAATGATTATTATTCCTTTTAACATACAATGAAACAAAGTGGGAGCCATTAATTGACTTGCCCAAAGCTAGCAATTGAGGCAGTTGGAATTAGAACCCAGACTTGATATGTCACAAGAACATTTTCTGTCAAGGCATCCTACCAGCTACATCTAATGATGAACCTAGGGAGGGACTGGCAAGCAGCATCTGTGGCTCAGAGGGAAGGCAGTGGTGTGCATCCAGACAGGAGGTCCAGTCCAAGCTCTGCCATATATACTCTCATGGACTCAAAAAGTTACATGAGCCCTCTAAGTCTTAGTTTACCCATCTCTAAAAGAGATCCAGTAACACCTGCAGAATGGTATTGTAAGGGTCAAATGTGATGCTAAATATAATGTACTTTATCAATGCATGACTACAGACAAATTATTTTAGAAGAATGTCTTACGGTTCTCCAGAGGCACAGAACTAATAGGATGTTTGTGTATATGAAAGGGTGTTTATTAGGGGCCCAGCGCAGTGGCTCACACCTGTCATCCCAGCACTTTGGGGGGCTGAGGTGGGGGGATGGGTTGAGGTCAGGAGTTTGAGACCAGCCTGCCCAACATGGTGAAACACCATCTCTACCAAAAATACAAAACTTAACCAGGAGTGGTGGTGCGCATCTGTAATCCTAGCTACTGGGGAGGCTGAGGCACGAGAATCGCTTGAACCCAAGAGACGTAGGTTTCAGTGAGCAGAGATTGCACCACTTCACTCCAGCCTGAGTGACAGAGGGAAACTGTCTCAGAAAATAAACAATAAAATGGGAGTTTATTAGGGAGAATTAGCTCATATGATCACAAGACGAAGTCCCACGATAGGCTGTCTGCAAGCTCAGCCCCAGTCCAAAAGCCTCAAATGCAGGGAAACCAACAGTGCAGCCTTTTGTCTATAACTGAAGGCCAGAGAGCCCCTGGCAAACTACTGGTGTAAGTCCAATAGTCCAAAGGCTGAGGAATCTGGAGTCTGATGTCCAAGGGCAGGAGGAACAGAAGGAAACATCCAGCATGGGAGACAGATGAAAGCCAGAAGTCCCACTAAGACTTAGCCCTCTTTCTTCCAACTACTTTGTTATAGCCACGCTGGCAGCCAATTTGATGGTGCCCACCCACATTGAGGGTGAGTCTTCCTCTCCCAGTCCACTGACTAAAACACCCTCACAGACATACCCAGAAACAATACTTTACCAGCTATCTAGGTATCCTTCAGTCCAATCAAGTTGACACATAAAAATAGCCATCGCAAAGAGGAAGTAATCTCTTCTGATTAGGAATTAGCAATCCTAAAATCCCCATTACCTAGCACAGTGCCTTGCACCTAATAAGTATTCAATAAATATTTGTTGATGGTGATGTTGACCTTGTCCACACAGAACACTAGAAGTCAACCAGATCTGGCAGTTCTCTATCAAAGTCCCATACAAATACATTACCCTACAAAGTAGTAAAAGATCCCAGGCTAGTACAGAAAAATAATGTAATGCATTAATCTGTCACTGCATGAAATTTTTCTATGATACCTGGTCTTTTAGTCTTTGGATGAGTACGCCTCCTTATATGGCAACAACATTGTAATATTTTCTAAAGGGATGAAAGATACTGTTTGTCCCTCAGCATCAAAGAAGCCATTCCTAAGGCAGACAGCTAACAATAACTTGACTATATTTAGAAGAGATTGCTAACTAAACATATTCCTCTAATTCTAAACTTGACAATTAGCTGCCCAGCTCCATTCCTCTTTACCCAGTAATCTCTAGCGCTACTTCAGTATCACTGGACGAGGGGAAAAGTGTGAGGAATGGAGGAGAAGCATACAAAGAGTCAGAGTTCTTAATTGGCTGTTATCAAAATATGGTATTTTGCAAAGTTTGTGAAAACATAAGACCAGGTGAACATATCGTTAATTCCTTTCCTGGGGTCCTGGAAAGGGCTTGGGCAGGTGATGGGCCCTGAAGCTTCATTTCATCAGCCTCAGGATTAATCTGCCTCCATCTCTCTTCCAAGCAGCACTCTCCATTGTGTGTCCCCCAAGTGCCGAGATACTCCAAGGGAGAGGCAAAGTAGCTGGTAATAAAGAGGAGGAGCTTCCCTCCCTGTCCCACAGGTGAGTTTCTATTGGCCTAGTAATAATCTTGGTTGACAAGCCTGCCTGAAAATTGGCGAGAATTTCAAGTCTCCTCTCCAGTGGAAACTGTAGAAGAGAACACTCCCTTCCTGCCAAAGCTCATGCTCTTCCACTGTTAAAGAAATTAAAATCCAAATGCCATCTCATTGATGTTTAAAGTAAATGAGCCTGACAGAAATGGCTTCTATTGTTTTTTGAAGAGAATTTCATGACTCCATGACAATGCATTAGATATTTCAGAAAATGCTTCAACACTCTGAGGCTAGAGAGGCCCTGCTGGCACTAGTAAAGCTGTGTGTTACTACCCTGGGCACTAAAGGGAAGGTATGGATTCAACGCAGGTGAATTAGCTTTCCTGTTGAGTCTCCATGAACGGATCCTTCCATGTGCTACACGGAACCTGGCGGCTTAAAGAATCACTGCATGCCTAGAGCAAAATAACATATATGTGATTATAACCAGCGAGTATATTTGGCACAGAGAGAAATAGGGCTCAGCATGAAATCCAGCTCTCCTTTGCCTTTCCATCTATGCCACAAGGAAGAGGGAACTGGAGGTTCACACAGGGACAGCTTCACAGAGAAAGCAACTTAAAAAAAAAAAAAAAGCCCTTAAAACCAAACCACAACCATTCTCACACTAACCTGGCCCTGTAGAGCCCTAATTCCAGTAACACCCTTGGATTGCATCCACTCTTCCCAAGGCTCTCTCCCAAGACGGAGCAAGCTGAGGAGTGCCTTTTTGCTCAAAAGAGACACTGAAGAACAGCATTCAGCAACGTGGTTCTTGCAGGCAGATGAGCCAAGTAAACAACTCCGATGAGCAGACTAGTTCTTTCTAATTCACTAATTAACTGGCCTCAGATTTATAGGATACCATGCCACAGAGGCACCAAAATTTGCCTTCTCCCAATATAGCCTCTGAAAAAAAAGAATGGTTCTATACTTAAATATAACAGGTGCATTCTAACTTACACCTGTATATTTATGATTCCATATTTCATATATTTTCCATGATTCTAATATTTAATGTAATCAGGCAATTCATTATTTAAAGGACATACACAGAGAAATGCAACAACCTCAGTAAGCATCATATCTACCATGGAAATGAGCCCAGGCATGAGGCAGACCATGCTGAAATCAACATTTTCCTCATGGTTTAAATTGAAGAATAATCACAGATACATTTTTGGATGAAGTCATTTAAGATAACATGCTGTATAATTGGTAATAAAAGTGAAACAATCAGAAAAATGTATATGCCACATTATCTCTTTCCTCCATTCAGGTGACAATTCCAACATATTTGCATATTGGCCGTAAGTGGATTTACACGTGTTATATTTATTAAGATATTGTAAAAGCCAGAGGGAAACATTCATAAACATCACTCAATAACACTTAATCTTTTTAATGGTTAAATGGTCAAAATGGCATCAGTGCAATGGAAAAAAAGAAATTAGTAACAATAAGTTGAAGCCATTAAACTACCTTCTAACTAACATTCTCTTTCTTCTATGGTTTTATCTCAACTACATCAACAGTTCACTTAATTTCTTCAGGAAAGGAAGGTAATTTAAAAAGCTATTTGGTTCTGAAATATTTACTGCCCTTACTTAATGCAATTTAGAAATCTTAATATCTCTTACCTTTATTTATATAAATACAAAGTAAAACTTTGAAATGCCAAAAAACACATTCACATAAAACTGTAGGTAGTTTTCAAACATTTTATGTTTATACAATTTTTTAAAAGATAAACAGATCAAGTAAACAGAGACTAGATGGATTGCTCCCTCTTCTGGTAAATCTATGTATTTTAAAACAAAAAGCATTTAGAAATGAAGCACTTAGTTCACAGTAGATTTAATCATCCAAGGATATAAATGTCGCTATAAACTATTTAAAATAGACTATAGTTATTAATAGAGCCCCCAAAGTGGGACCTTAGAGAATAGCTTTAAAATCGGATCTTTGAGGGCTAAAGTTAAGTTTTCTTGCCTTTGTTAAGTAGTGAAATTTTTTTACCCAAAGAACACAAGAAGCATTCCCTTGACCACTATACTTGCATATAATTATGATTCAGATTAAAATTCAAGATATTTGGGAAGCAGTAGATGCGTGCTGTGGGGGGAGCAGAGGGAAAGGGAGTAAACTACTGAAGTAAAAATATGCTTTTCTACTCATTTATAAAGAAGTTGAAAGAAATATATTACCACGACTCACTTTCCCCTGAAGTTTTGTTTATTTAACTTTGCCTCTTGCTCAGCAAGGCAGATTAGGAATGAAGATAACCTGACGTAATATGTTATAACCAAAGGAAAGAAACCAGGCACTTTGGAAGAAATGATGAAAATTGATATTTTGTTATTTTTTCTCCTCTATCTTGTATTGACTGTTGGTTATTACTGAGGGCCATTCATTTATGAAGGAATGATGGCCTAAAGCAAATTTGTAAATCATTGATTTAGAATTTGTGTGTGTGTGTTTTCTAGAGAATTAAGATTGTAAATGGTGGTGTGTGTCTTTGCTAGTTCTTAAACAGTCAAATAAACATGTACCAGAATAGAAAAAATGATCACTTTGCTGCTTTGTATAGTCATTTAGGGAAATGCTTTGACAGACTACTTTGGAGGAGGTATTGCAGTAGCCGTGAGGATTTAGTCCACAAAGAAACCTGAACTGCCAGATTAGAAGTGTGCCATGTGTTGCGTAATAGGTAAGGAACTGGGAGAGTGATAAGAGAAAGCCCGTGCATTATAGCAGAAGAGCAGAAGCTGGAGGAAAGATGGGCAAAGTGACTGCCCCAAGTCAAATAAATAAAGAACTTCTAAGAATAATGATGTCTTGTTTTGTAAAATCCCTTTATTTTCCCCAGCCTTGATTTAAAATAGCAGGAGAGCTGGCGCCCCCTAGAGGACCATTTTTGAAATTTGTTAGGGTTTGTGGTGTGGGGTATTATTTATCTTCATCGTTTGGTTGTGAGGTGGAGAAGAAGCTCTTGGCCTAGTGTGGCTAGTGGCCAAGGATGCCAGACAACAGGAATGTCCTTATTCCAAGTGAGCTCCCGAGGTATTTTCCTAAACAAAACATGCTTTTCCTTCCAGATGTAAAAACATTTTCTTCAAACAGCTACATTTAATATATCTGCATGTTAATTCATCTTTTAAATCTGATTTAAGAAACTTACTATTTGTGACTTTGTTTCTAAAAACCAAAACCAAACAAAAAAGAGAGATAAAGAAACAAGAAGAAATAAATACAGATTCTCTCCGTGTGTGTATGTGTGTATATATGCCTAAAATATGTCTTTGGCCATAATTTTCAATTGTTAAATATAAAAATGTGATAAGAATATTTAATTGAATGTTTGAGAGTAGACTTTAAAACTTAGCTCACAAATGAAGGTTCACAGTTTATTGTGAGCTAAGTTTTAAAATCGTTACTTTTTTTCTGTTACTTTTTAATCTTGACAAAGAAACCTGTCAAGATTAAACATTCTACAAAAAAACAGTTTTAAAGTTGGCAAAAAATATATATGGCACTTTTAAGATTTTTAATGAAAAATTTGAAAATTGTAAGCACACTGAGTGGAGTATTTTGAAAAATCTCATTAAAAGAAGAAAGTTCTAGTTGACAATTATAGAACAGCACAAATAACAAATTGTAGTGAGCCCCATACTGCTGGAGAAAATTTAATATTATAATAATCCAAGACATTATTAGGACATCTTAGGATGGAGGGAAATACAAATTATATAATTTCTGTGCCTCTGTTATGATATTTTGTTCAATATTTGATATTATATAGATTTTTGATTTAATTAAGAAACAGAGGGCCGGGCGCGGTGGCTCACGCCTGTAATCCCAGCACTTTGGGAGGCCGAGGCGGGTGGATCATGAGGTCAGGAGATCGAGACCATCCTGGCTAACAAGGTGAAACCCCGTCTCTACTAAAAATACAAAAAATTAGCCGGGCGCGGTGGCGGGCGCCTGTAGTCCCAGCTACTCGGGAGGCTGAGGCAGGAGAATGGCGTGAACCCGGGAAGCGGAGCTTGCAGTGAGCCGAGATTGCGCCACTGCAGTCCGCAGTCCGACCTGGGCGACAGAGCAAGACTCCGTCTCAAAAAAAAAAAAAAAAAAAAAAAAAAAAAGAAACAGAATTAATATGTGAAATTGTTTGACAAAGGTTTTTATGTATTAAAATATATCAATAGTTTCTTTTAAATGTGTAATGATATGCAGATTTTCTTAAAGTGAAGAAAATTACCACTGGTTTATCAATAAAGTTGTTACTTTAAAAATGTCTGTCTGACCTAGAATTTGTATAGGTTTTTTTAGAAAATTAGATGTGATAAATTTATAAATATTGGATAGTAAATAATATGTTCTCATGTGGAGGCTATTAAAAAATATGATCTTTGTACTTAAAGATCCATATGAACTTAAATAGGAGGTTAGGATATTAATTAATTTGAAATAGAGTTGGAACATACTAGCCAACTTTTACAGAAAGTGTTAATCGAGCTAAAAGATACCCTTGAGAGCAAAGTTGAATTATCAAACATTTGAATCTAGTGAAGGCTTTCATATACACATTTTTGGAAAAAAAGTAGCATTTTTATTCTTACAGTAGCTGACAAGTTTTTCACAGATGTACTGCAGCTACGGCAAAACAGATGAAACCAACTATATATGGATAACAGAGGTGACCGGAGACTCTTTCCATCATGTGAATGAAATATTAAATCCAGGGATCTCATGAAATTTCATTAATGAGGCTAATAAATGTTTTAAAATGTTTCATATCATTATCATACTAAATATCTGAAATGTATTATAGCACAATGGTAAGTAATATATTTTGCTACAACTATATATTTAAGACACATTTTTGTGTTGTGCACTATTTTTTAATCTTTCTCTAATATGGTCCCTAGAGGTTTAGAACATAGGCTCTTTTATCATTTTATCTTTGTTCCAACCTAATGTCTGTTTCCTATCAAATACTGAATATACAGTGTTTAGGTTATTTTTAAGAACTAAAGACTGAATGATTGCCTTGACACATGGTGTGATTTTAGACAAAAATATTTGCTATCAAAAGCTTGTCTCGTAACATAATGTCAAGAATTTGATGCTTAAATTTGAAAATAAAGTCCAGTATATTTGCAAGAATATTATACTTCCTTGTTTCTCCCCTTCAGCAGCTATTAATTTTCTTGGAACAATAGTCTTACCCCAATTATTTTCATTTTTCTCTTATTACATACAAATTACTTTGCTTTGTTAATACTTTTTCTGACACTTTCACTTTTCTTCTAATTGTTGTTATTCTCTTCATCCCAAATGTTTTATTATAAATATGTTCAACAATCATCGAAACACTTCATTTTTTCTCCTGGTGTAGTCAATTCAGAGTATTAACTGACAGAAATGCAGTTTTTTTGTTGTTTGTTTGTTTGTGTGGTTTTTTTTGGTTTTTTTTGTTTTTTTTTTTTTTTGAGACGGAGTCTCGCTCTGTCGCCCAGGCCGGACTGCGGACTGCAGTGGCGCAATCTCGGCTCACTGTAAGCTCCGCTTCCCGGGTTCACGCCATTCTCCTGCCTCAGCCTCCCGAGTAGCTGGGACTACAGGCGCCCGCCACCGCGCCCGGCTAATTTTTTGTATTTTTAGTAGAGACGGGGTTTCACCTTGTTAGCCAGGATGGTCTCGATCTCCTGACCTCATGATCCACCCGCCTCGGCCTCCCAAAGTGCTGGGATTACAGGCGTGAGCCACCGCGCCCGGCCTGTTTGTGTGTTTTAAGACGGAGTCTTGCTCTGTCTCCCAGGCTGGAGTGCAGTGGCGCGATCTCGCTTCACTGCAAGCTCCGCCTCCCGGGTTCACGCTATTCTCCTGCCTCAGCCTCCCGAGTAGCTGGGACTACAGCCACCCGCCACCACGCCCGGATGATTTTTTTGTATTTTTAGTAGAGTTGGGGTTTCACCGTGGTCTCGATCTCCTGATCTCGTAATCCGCCCGCCTCGGCCTTCCAAAGTGTTGGGATTACAGGCGTGAGCCACCGCGCCCGGCCTCAGAAATGCAGTTTTATTATAAATTACTTTCCTTTCCTTGTTCCTTGCTATTATAATGAGGATGCCATATTGATTAACTATTAAATACTCAAGATAAAATTCAGTGGTTTGGGATACTAAGCAGCAAAAAGAAACAAACTATCAATTCACACAAAAACATCATTAAAAACGTAAACAATGCTTTGTTAAGTTTTAACCAAAACCTTTCCTCATTTTATGTGGTAGTTGCATCCCTGGAAAAATTCAGTGTATATTAAAACTGTATAAAAATATTCTGTTTTCATCAAAGAGACAGATTCTAGTTCACATAATTATAAGCATAGTTTTCACTTGAGTGAAAGTCTAACAAGACATTTGAAACATATGCATGATCTGAAAAAATTATTCACTGTGAAGGATGGCGAACCTTTGAGACTTTATATCAAACTTATTTTCCACTTTTTAAGCTAATTTTCATACCCATGATATTTAAGTTTAATGCCTATATCTGCTATAGACAATTATGACACAGTAATTTGCATAAAATGTTAGTTACTACTTCAAATTTAAAAATTGACAACGTTAACAAGACAATTGATGTGAAATTTCCCAACTATTAGTTTAGTTTCAGACACAGGAATCTATGACACCTAATTAAACTATTTTACTTTTCAAATCTAGTTTTGGAATATGCCTCAAACAACTGGGTGCAACTAGACATGTCTATAAAATGTTAGAGATAAGAAAGCTGGGCCCCTGTTTACACATCTTTGAGATTTCTTGCAGTGTTTCAGGGATTAAAAATATGTTGGAAGTATTTACTGCTGTGCCTGACTTATAAAAAGGCACAATCAAGCAGTAAATTATTACTGAAGATAATTTGTTTCAGCAGGCATAAACTCCGAGTGTATATGAAGTTATTCCTGAAATATAGTAAAAATCATTTTTTTGTTATCCAAAGCCAGAATAATTTGAGAAAGAAAAGAAATAAAGTAGATGTGGATAGACTCAATTTATAAAATAAATATCCCCAAGTCCATACTCATATAAAGTTTGAATAAATAAATAAATGAGGGAGACATTTATTATATTAGACAAATATCGCATGCAGAAAAATTACAAATAATTCATGTAGATACTCTGCCCCCAAGGAGGTAGAATACAACTTTCCACTTCTTAAGTGTGGGCTGCAGACAGTATCTATCTTCCAAAGACGACAGTATGGAAAGAAGTATAGGAAGAGTAGCTTTAACCTGGAGAAACCTGACAAGTACTGCCTCAACCATGTGATCTAGGCCAACATCAACAATGACAAATCACGTTGACCCCACGTGCCCTTGATAAGATGTGATGAAAATGGCACCCCACCTCTGTGGTCTTCTTTTCAGAATCATATCACCCCAGGATAATCAATAGGAAAATATCAGACAAATCTTTAAAAGGGACATCCCGCAAAACATCTGACCCAGTATTCCTAAAACCTGTCAAGGTCACCGAAAATAACAAAAGCCTGAAAAACTGTTGCAGCCTACATAGGAGCCTACGAAGACATGATGCTAAATGTAAAGTAATTATCTCAGATGTGACCCTGGAACAGAAAAGGACACTGGATAACTCAGGAAATCTGATTAAGTACAGACTTTAGTTAATCCTAATGTAGCAATATTTGTTCATTAATTATAATAAATATAATTTGTTAAAAATACAGGAAACTATGTACAGGGTATATGGGAACTCTTTGTACTACCATCACATTTTCTTTTTGTAAATCTAACACTGTTCTGAAGTAAAATGTTTATTTTAAAATGTCTTAAATTACAGATTTTTTTTCCAAATGACATAATCCGATGAAATGAACCAGGGCATCTTGGAGAATTGACATATTAAAGACCAGAAAATATTAAATGTATGATGAACTTGAAGCGTTTGTTTTGACAGAAAGTTACAAAACAACCACCACCACACAAAATATGGACGGGAGCATGTCAGAACATAGGAGCCAACCTGAAAGAGCTTCTAATGGCCAAAGCTACAACGATTTTAGCAACAAATGAATAATAATAGTATTGGAGCCAAAGAATTAGACCAAAAAATTAAAATCAATATGCACAATTACACAATTGTTATAAGTAAATTTTTGAACAAATAAATAAATGGGGTGGGGAGGGGAAAATCATTCTTACAGAAGAATTTCAAATAATACATTTCAATAATTTTCATTTCTGGGTGGTAAAGCTTAATTCTCCTCTTCCTGAGTGTGAGCTGGAATTAATGACTTACTTCCAAATAATAGAATATGGAAAGGGAAAAATACTAACTTAACAGTGGAGAAACTTGGCAGACATCACCTTAACACCTAAGTGATCAGGGTTAACACCACAAGCAATAAGTCATGTTGATTTTAGGTACCCAAGTACCCTTTCCTATGATGTAAAGAGAGGGGCGCTTTACTCCTGTGGTGTTTTTCCCCTAAACCATAGTACTATGTAATCATAAGAAAACATCGGACGAACTCAAATACAGAGACATCCTACAAAATACCTGACTAGTACTCTTCAAAACACTCAAAAATCACACAAAAAAGGAAAAGGCTAAAAAGGTTACAGTTCAAAGGAGAAAAAGGAGATATGTTGAGTAAATGCAACATGGTATCCTGGATAAGATCCTGGAACAGAAAAGGGACATTACAGGAAAACCGATGAAATCCAAATGCAGTCTGTAGTTTAACCAATAGTATTGTATCAATGATATTTTCATAATTTTGAGAAATGTACTGAAGATATGTAAGATGTCTACATTGGGGGAAAATCAGTGGTATATGAGATATATGAGAAGTTATATGAGAATTCCACATATCATCTTTGAAAACTATCTGTAAATCTAAAACTGTTCCATAATGGCCGTCTTTTCAAAATAATCACACATATCAATGAAACTATTGACATTTTGAATTCAGACATGAAGAAATCAATAAAGAGGTGCAGTGGCTTTGCTTTTTGCCTCAAAACTATCTTGACAAAAAAGAAACTTCCCAAAATGACACTTGCTTTCTGAAATGTCAGCAAAATCTTAGAAAAGCAGATAGAGAAATATTCAAAACAACTGTCCACACACATGTGGTTTTGTTATTAATGGGTGAAATTAAAAGTTCAAATGTTTACTTAGAACAAGTCAAAAATTTAGCTACTATGGTAGACTCCAGATTTATGTAGTTGGTCGATTCTCATGAGATTTTTTAAAGTGTAACTTTATCTAAGAATTACTCATATAAAAGCTTCTGCAGAAATTTACTCCAATTCTTCAGAAGGAAAAAAAAGAGTAAATTATTTTTAGAACTCTCTACACCTCAAGAAAATTGTCACATAAGAATTATTTTAATTTGTAGTTAAACTAACGAATCCTGCATGTAGATGTACTTATCCAGCAATGAACACTAACAAAGAATCTGTAAACTATCCTTTTCACTCATGACCAGTATAAATACAGCTTGCAGTATCTTTTACCTGCTGCACAAACATCCACAGATTCAAGCCAAAATCATATACTAACATACTTTTCTCATCATTGCTTTTCATGTTCACGTATTTCCAAAGCCTATTTGTTGTCCTTTCCTAAATTACTCATCAAATTTAGGGAATTGTTTTGACAACATGTGCATTTAGGAAAAATTTTAGAGTTTTGAAAAAAATAACTAGACCCATAAATTTACTAGGTAGGCACTGGAGTAATGCTTTACCTCTTCAACAGAGAGAAGCAAGAAATTTACAATAGAAAATGTGTTGCACATTTTTTTCAAAAAGACAGGGACCGGGTGCGATCTCACTATTGCAGCACCATATATTAACATTTGCCATTAACGTGTATATATATATATATTATTGCAGCACCATATATTAACATTTGCCATTAACGTGTATATATATATATGGCAAATTCTCTTTTTCTCTTTGTGAAGAAAGAAGTTAGAACACTTTGACCCTGTTAGATTGAGAATTGCCTCCCTTACATAAAGACAATTAGGTTGCCTTGGTTTGCTTCAATCCATGGAAGAAAAGTCCTATCAGTCCACTCTCTTTGGTCAATAAAAGGCACCTCTTGCTTTTAGGTTGAGAGATGATAATGAGAGCAATTGGAATGGGGCCACACATGGTAAATCAACAGGCAGCCGTAGAACCACTATTTTTTCACTGCTGTGATCCCAATCAGAGTAAGTACAAATTTGAAGTATTACAAAGGCATGCCCTTGGCAGAAAATATGGACACAATAAGCTTCTTTGTGCTACAAATATGACATTTTCTTACATAAAATTGTCACCATCTGCTTACCTCACAGGTATTAAATGATGGGATGGTGTGATTGAAAAGCTTGTATTGCTAAAAAGCTTTGAAGACTTCTGCTTCATTCTTCATGTTGATATCTTTAATCATTTAATTTTCCAAGCTATGTTTAAATAAGGTATTCTTTTCCCAAATTATATGAAGAGATCACTAGCTTCAGATTTTAGAGCATTTTTTAAAATCTTTTTTTATTTTATTTTTTTATGAGACGAAGTCTCGCTCTGTTGCTCAGGCTGGAGTTTAGTGGCCCATCTCAGCTCACTGCAAGCTCCGCCTCCCGGGTTTACGCCATTCTCCTGCCTCAGCCTCCCAAGTAGCTGGGACTGCAGGTGCCCACCACTGCGCCCGGCTAATTTTTTATACTTTTAGTAGAAACGGGGTTTCACCGTGTTAGCCAGGATAGTCTCGATCTCCCGACCTAGTGATCCGCCCGCCTTGGCCTCCCAAAGTGCTGGGATTATAGGCGTGAGCCACCGCGCCCAGCCCGAGAATCTTTGAGCAAATAAATTTTTGTTTAACAAATCTCAGGTTTGGGATAGAGTTAGAGTGGACTTCACCATGTGAACTGATCTATTATAGAACTTGCATATTATATAAAGAACCATGCATTGTCACTTTTTAATATATTTTGAAATGTATCAAACTAAAACTATTTTTTTTTTCGGCTAATTTTCAAACAGCCTGTAGAAATATATTCAAGAGACTACAGGAATAGTGATTTTGGCCCTGATTCATTTACTTCTTCAACAAATATTTACTGAGCATCTCCTCAGCTGATGAGTATTTGCCTTTCAGATTTGGTACTGCTATGTTGACACCAATTCTCTCACATTCATATGAAATGTAATGAGTTGTTTTCTGCTTCCACAGTGATTAGGAAGATTTTCATGTTCTGTTTATTATTGCCTTACCTTAAGGAATGAGAAAGGGAGAGTAGGAGTCAAGTTGTTATGAGGAATGCCCAAATAAATACTATTTATAATTGTCTCATTTAGGAAGAAGTCTAAACATGATTTAGTTCAGAATGTGTTGTTTTTAATAATTTTGTGTACATCATAGAGAACTGGCAATGGAATTGCTTTACTTTCTGGTCATAAATTCAGAAATTGAAGGAAAAGGAAAAAAAGTAGAATTTGTAAATAAGCAAATCAATTACAAAGTAGACAATTTTAGTGGAATCACGAAGGTCTAAAATTGGCTGAAAAGGTAGAGTATTTTAATAGCAAAGTGACTATAGGAGAAACTAAGGCTGTTGCCAAATACCTACCACTCCATGTCCACATAAAACATTGAGTCAAGATGACTTTAATGTAAAATTCTTTCAAACCTTCAAGGAATTCATGTTTATAACCTATTTTAAATGATCTGCAGAAAATAGAATAAATGTTTTTCTGAAGAAGTGCTGAGAAAACATAATAGAAATGCCTTAAAAATATATAAAGGAAGGAAAATAAACATGGAAAAATTAAGAACAATAGGTCAATATCATTGAAAATTTGAAAATCAAAATCAAAAATGTTATTTAGAAAACTGAATTCAGCAATATATTAAAGTAATTGTTCAGAACGGCCAGGAAAGTTTTATTCTAAAAGCTCGGTATGATTGGACATTGGATAATCTATGGATATAATTTGTTACAGAATAAGACAGTTTAAAAATTATATGATAATCTTGATATATTTCAAAAAGTTATTTCATAGATCTTCAGGTTGATTTTAGATTTATAAAGTTATTGATGGAATAAGAATTAAAGAGTGGTTTAGAAAATCCTACATATTTCAAACGAACAATCGAGATTTTGTTTAGGAGTTTAGATTAGTGTCATTTTGATTAAAATGGTGAAATAATTGGGATATGGTCATTGCTGTTACAGCCCCCAAATCTTAGTGGTTTATTCAACAAAAGTTGCTCACACTACTTTTCTATATGAGAGTTCTTGTTCTGGCAGTTCTGCTGGGCAGCTCTCCTCTAAGTGTTGACTCAAGATTCACTCTTTTTTTTATTTTGGCCTCAATATTCACCAAGGAATCAGAACTTTTGACCACTAGCTTCACATGGGAACAGAGAAAGTAAGGAAGATTACTTGGGAAGTTCCTAGGGAACAGGCTTGGGAGTGGTGTACATTACTTCTGCCCACATCCCATCCACTTCTATGGTCCCACCTTTGTGCAAAAGGGAATGGAAAACGTAGTCTAGCTGCATACTGAGAAGGAAAAGAAACTAGGGTTTGGGAGGTGCCTAGAAGTCTCTTCTCTAATGAGAAATAAACCAAGGCTGCCTTGGTTTATTTCACGACTTTGTATCATCATTCCAGAAATGATAGCTAATACAACATCTGATATAGTCACAGGTGGTAAAAATATTGGTAAAAGGTAGGAAAAATTGTGATTATTTACTGATGACTCCATATTACAAAGACAAAAGAATCAACTGAAATGCTGTTAGAAATTACGGCAGTTCAGTAAGTTTACTAGTCAAAAAATAATTGTAGAAAATCCAATCATTTTCTGATATAACAATAATAATTTAATAGTATAATGGCAAACATTTAGGAATGCACATGAAAAGAAATCCTTAGGCCAGACACGGTGGTTCACATCTGAAATCCCAGCACTTTGGGAGGCCACTGAAGGCAGATTACTTGGGTCCAGGAGTTCAAGAATGGCCTGGTCAACATGGTGAAACCCTGTCTCTTTAAAATAAAAAAATAAAATAAAAGAAATATTTGAGGCTTACAGCAGTAAGCCTTCAAAATTATACAAAAGCATGAGAGAAACCTTGAATCAGTGAAGAGACATGTTTCTCTAAATGAATATTTTATATACTAAACAGAACTATATTCCCTTAATTTAAACTATAAATTTAAATGCAACATTCAGAAAATTCTCATAATTTTAAATTTTATGATATAGTTTTAGAATTTTATGTGAAAGCACAAATATGTGAAAATTTTGAAAAAAGTTGGCAAACGAATATAAGTTTGCTATATCAGGCATTAGAATATATTCTAAAGCTGTAATATTCCAAGTGATGTATTATGGGCACCAGAGAACAGAACAAAAATGTTTTTAAAATATGAACACTAAAATAACTGTAAAATGTGAGATTGATGCTGGCAGGGGAAATTAGAGAGAAAAAAATCAGTTTTTGAAAAAATACTTTTTATTTGAAAAAATCAGTAAGGTCAAGTCACAATTTTAAATAACATATCAAAATATATTTCCTGTTAAAGAATTAAAGATATCATACAGTCAGTAAAAGTAGAATTCAATATTGTATACTAGGAAAGGTATTTTTAAGGACAATGCCAAAGTTAGAATCCATCTACAGATTTATTTATTTATTTTTTATTCCACAAATATTCACTCAGTGCCAAATATACACTGGACATTAATGACCAGTGGTGAACTATTTTTTTGTGTTTTTACAATGTAAATCATTACACAAATAATTAATGAAACTGTGAATGTCAATATGAAGGATAATGATGGGAAAATAGAAGAATGTGTAACATGAGGAAACAATCTACTTTGGAGTGTTAGGGAATAGTTCCTTGCAGCAGTGACATCAAAGATTAACTCAAAAGATAAATAGAATTTAGGCAGGCTATTGTGTGAACATAAATTCAAGATCGGCATGAGGGGAAGTGGGTAGAATTGCAGGTGAAATATGAAGATTTTAACTATGGTAATGATTGGTAGTGGCTGGAGAGATGGAGAGAGTAATTAGATTCACTATCTATTTTAGAGGAAGAATCCACCTACTAATGGTCACAGTAATGAATTAGATAATGGAAAAGAGAGGAAAATGTAAAAGATGACTCCTACACTTCAGATGACAACCATGTGTTGGCTTAAGGTCCCATTTCCTGACATAAAATATTCTGGAGGAGGAATTATTTCCATTAATGGGAGGTCAGGAGTTGAACTCTGAACATTTGAATTGAAGATCCCTATCTTAAATGAGGCATCTAATTAGATGTACTAAGTAGGATGCTAGATGAAAAGGTCTGCAGCTCAAGGTATTCTCACCTAGATTGGTTTCCAGTCTTGGGTATATTCAAATAGAACTGAAGTTTCAGGAATAAATGGCATGGTTTAAGAATAGAAATTTTTTATGGCTGCATAGTATTCCATGGTGTATATGTGCCACATTTTCTTAATCCAGTCTATCATCGTTGGACATTTGGGTTGGTTCCAAGTCTTTGCTATTGTGAATAGTGCCGCAATAAACATACGTGTGCATGTGTCTTTATAGCAGCATGATTTATAGTCCTTTGGGGGGAGGGGGGAGGGATAGCATTAGGAGATATACCTAATGCTAAATGAGGAGTTAATGGGTGCAGCACACCAGCATGGCACATGTATACATATGTAACTAACCTGCACATTGTGCACATGTGCCCTAAAACTTAAAGTATAATAATAATAAAAAATTAAAAAATTAAAAAAATAATAGAAATTTGAGAAGTATCAACAGTGTGTAAGGAAAATGAGAAGGAATAATGTCTATGACTCAATGCAGAGGAACGTCACCATTTAAATATCATGTAATGTGATTGCAAGATTAAGACTTTTGTACTTCTGAGACTTCAGCATGAGAACTTTATACATTCTAAGATAGAGAAATAAAAGGCTTAAGAAAGGAAAGAACAATATTCCATTTGGTTTTACTATTTCTCTTTTTTGTATTCCATTCTAAGTATGAAGAGAAGGTATTTTTTAAAGAGATGGGGTCTCCCACTGTTGCCCAGGCTGGAGTGAAGGGGTCATAGCTCACGGCAGCCTTGAACTCCTAGGCTCAAGTGATGCCCCTGCCTCCACCTCCCAAGCAGCTAGGACTATAGGTATGCACCACCATGCCTGGCTATTATTTTTTTGGTGGAAGTGAGGGTCTTCCTATGCTGCCCAGGCTAGTCTCAAACTCTTGGCCTCAAGTGATCTCCCATTTCAGCCTCCTGAAGTGCTGGTATTAAAGGTGTGAGTCATGGCACCCAGCCAAGAGATAGTATTTTTGACAAATTGAATGAATAACCCATTTATTCTCTGTAAATTTTGTTGTACAATAGATTTCTACTCATTGAATTAATGACATCCATGACTGCAGGGTTAGATGAATAAAGTCTAAAGCAATAGTTGAGCTAATGTTTCAAATTATATTGCTTTTAAGTTCACAGTCAGATGATCTTAAGTCATGATATGTAAGGTAAGCTTTTTGAATTTAGACAACTTCATTCTCAATAAAAAGCCTCGTCGAAAAAGGAGCAATGCAAAGGAAGTGTCACGTATTTGATTGTTAATTAGTACTGTATATAAATATGTTTACCACAATGCAACATGTTTCTGGAAGAAAATAATGGCTAAAATAATAGCAAATTTTATAACCATCTAATAGATAGAATTTCAGTTTTGCACATTCAAACGTAATTTATATCTACATCATCAAAGCAGCTTTATACACAAAGTATCCTTTTAAAATAACAATCATATATTCAGTCATTCATTTGTTCAGCAAATAATTTGCTAAGTATCTCCTATGTTGTAATAACCATGTCAGGTATTTGAAGTCTTGAGGTATTGATGCAAGAGGAAGTAACATCCAAGCAGAGACCTGCAATTTTAGCAAAATAAGAGCAGATGATGAGGGAAATGGGAATGAGAAGAGTATATCTAGCAAAGAGAATGACTCTTAAGAAGGCTAAGTGGTTAAAGAGGACCATACACTAAAAAAATAAAAACACTAGTGGAAAAAGCATAGAATAAGGCCAGAAAGCCAAGGGCCTTCTCAATTACTTGAAGTAATATGAACTATGTTGTAAGAGTAATTTGGAGCCATTGACTAGATGTTTTCAAAATTTCTTTGAGGTATATTCCACATGTCATAAAATTCACCCACTTCAAGTGTACAATTTAATGATTTTTTTGTAATCTTATCAAATGTAGTGGTGCAACCATCACCACAGCTTAGTTTTAGAATCTTTTATCCACACCCTCCACCCCAGTAAGATCCCTCATGCATAATCACTCCTCATTCCCATCACAACCCCACTAATCTACATTCTTTCTATGTACTTGTCTTTTCAGGATGATTCATGGAAATGAATTTATATAATGTGGTTTCTTGTGCATAGCTTCTTTCATTGAATATAATGTTTTTGAAGTTCATTCATGATGTAATGTGTCAATAATTTAAAGGCAATAATGAAAGGCAATCTAATAAATGTATTTGTTGAATCCCTACTATATGCTAGGTACTATTCTAGTCACTTAGGGATGTATCAATGAATGAAATGGATAACATTAACTTCTCTTGAGAATATTACATTCTAGAAGAAGTGACAGACAATAAATATTTAATGTAAGAAATAATTGGATTATGCAGTATTTGAGGCAAAGATGAAGGCTATGGGGAAAAAAGCATAATTCTGGGAAAGGAAGACTAGTTGTACTGCTCAGGGTGCAAGTTGCAAAGTTAAATAGGGTGAATAAAGTAGACCTCATCAAGAAGATGAAATTTGAGCAAAGAATTTAAAGAGTGAGGGACTAATCTAATGAACATTTGTGGAAAAGAACCAGGTATTGGAAACAATCGGAGAAAATGTCCCAGAGTATGCTGACAGGAGCATCAGAAGGAAGAAGTAGGACATGAATAAGAGAAGTAAAGAGAGGCCTGATAAAGAGGACCCTGTGAATCTTTGTAAGACTTTGGCTTTGCCCCAGGTGAAATGGGAAAACGTTGCAGCATTTTGAAAGAACTAATGTCATGTGGCTTAGATACTAGAAAGGTCCACTCCGGCTGCTGTATAAAAAAAGACTGTTAGTGGAAAAGGATAGACGCTAGAGGATACAGTAGGAAGCAACTGCAGAAATCCAACCCAAAGATAAATGGTGGCTTGGACAAATTTAGCAACAGCAGAGGTGACGAGAAGCAGTCAGATTTGGGATATATTTTAGTGGTAGTGTCAATAGATTTTCCTGGCATTTTAGAGGTAAGATGTGTGAGAAAGAGGAGTCCAGAAGAACTCCAAGGTTTCTGTTCTGAATAATTTCAATGATGAAGTCATCTGAGACTGGGAAAGTGAAAGGTAGAGCAACCCAAGGAGAACATTAGGAGCTCAGTTATAGAAATGCTAAATTTCAGATGTCCCATCCAAATGAAGGCAGTTGGATAGCTAAATCAGTTCAGAAGAGAATTCTAAGATGGAGATACAAATTTTGAGTTTACTAGGTTAGAGGTGACATTTAATACCATTCGTTTGTGAAGAGATCATCAAGACAGAATGCAGATGGAAAAGAGAAGATTACCAAAAAAATAAGCTCTATGGGCATATTACAGGAAGATAATTCCACAGTAGTAAATGTAATCTAGATGGCATGCTCAGTTAATACATTAAAGACTACAGATGCCTCTAGGGAGTTTTTACTCTTAAAGAAGTGAATAACCTAATTTTGAATCATTATAACCAAGATTGATCCCAAAAAGGAAGTCTTTAGCAGGCTGAGGTGATATGAGTTCATTAGGTCTTGGCCAAGGCCCTTTGAAGGGGAGACAAAAATGATAATAAGAGATTGGCCTGATTTATAGGCTGAATACCAGTTGAATAAAGATTATTCCCAAACAATTCTCAAGATGTTGTTACAGATGTGAAAGACTAACTTGTTTTGCATTTCTGCAGACATTTATGAATTAACTAAGTTCTTTAGTTCTTGTAAATATTTTATAATACAGCAATTACAGAAGGACATTCATACAGTGGCATAGGTGTAAAAACATCATTTACGCCAATGCTGTTTTCTTTGGCAGAAATTTTATGAGTTCCATTTTAACTTTAAAGAGTAGAAGTGTATATATGATTAATAATATCTCATAACATTTAATTTTCACCTCCATTTAGTAACCATTGTCATAAATGGGAGCTTTTAACTTTTCTTGGTAATGATTGAAGTCCAAGGGAATCAACTTTTTATTTTTTAGAATTTCACAGGAATTCTAATGATGTAACAACAGAGAAAGACAGAGAGAGACAGAGAGAGAGAGAGAGAGAGAGAGAGAGAGAGAGAGAGAGAGATGAGTGAGAAATTGAAATAGTTTTTTCATCTTCCTACTGCCGGCAAATCCTTTGGCCTTGGTGGGTCCCAACTTGCCTTCACAGAAATGTGTTATTGCAATCACGTGATAATTGGTTTTGTAAGGCGGTCTTGAGGGCACAGGGAGCTAGTAAAGAAGAACAATATATTTTTAGGCTTATTAGATATCTCTTGTGATGCCTTCAGTAAGAGAAACAAGAAAGTCCAGCAGACAGAAAAAATTAGAACCAGACATTTAAAAGGCCTATTCTGACAAATAGATCTGGAGTTGTGGGATTGACAAATAGATTTATTTTCTGAACAATTTGATTTCCTTTTTAAAATCAAAGGGCACATATTGTAACAATGTTTACCTAGATTTGCAAATTCTTGCCTAGGAGTTATCTTGTTCATTCAGCAACATATTATATATTCACATTGGTGTTTTTCAGAGTCCTTCCGGTTTCTCACATCTCTCCGCCAGCTGCTTTTCCCTCACCCCAGGCACAGCTGGTCTATTCATCTGCTTATGTTGATCAAGTTATTGAAAGACATGACCTTAGTTTGCCTTGTGAGACTTATTAGCAGTGGAAATCTGCTTTTGCCTCTGATTTCAGTTTACTCCATTAAAGTGAAAAATGAAAGAACACTGCTTCACTATGCAATTAAAACTGATTTTATTAAAATAGGAAGATTTTCTTTTTATCTTTTTTCCTTCTTTTGAAAAAAGCCTCACCGACTCTATTATTCCCTTCCTTCATTCCTCAAGGGTAACCACAATTCTAACATATAGCCTTGAATCCACGAGTTTTGTCCTTTACATACTTACATATGCATCTAATATGACGCATTTCATCTGTCAAATTTTTTGGAAGTGGCATTGTACTGCAGCCAGCTTTTGTTCACATATTATGTTCTTGATATCTCTCCATGCCAATACCTCCGTATGTATATGTATATAGGTGATTAGTAAATGCTGATAAGGAATTTTTCTAGGATTTGAACAAATTTATCCTCCCACCAGCAACGTATGGGAGTTCCCAGAAATCCATATTATTGAGGTATTTGTTATTACCAGTCCTTTTATTTAACTATTCTGGGGAAAGTGCAGTGGTACGCATTGTGGTTATAACTTGAATTTCACTGATTTTTTTGCACTTTAAAAAACTGAGATAAAATTCACATAACATAAAATTAACCATTTAAAAATATGTCAGTCAGTAGTTCTTAGTATATTTATAAGGTTGTACAATTATCATCAGGATTTAATTCCAGGAAATTTTCATCACCCCAAAAAGAAACACAACACTGTTAGCAGGCACTCCCAATTCCCCCCTCCGGCATACCCTGACAACCACTAATATACTTTCTGTCTCTATGAATTTGCCTATTTTAGACATTTTATGTGAATGTCATTGAACAATGTGTGACCTTTTGTGTCTGGCTCTTTCATTTAGCATAATGCTTTTAAGGCTTTTTTAATACCTGAATAATATTCCATTATATAAACACATCACATTTTATTTATGCATTCATCAGTTGAAGAACATTTGGTTTATTTCCACTTTTTGGAATATCATGAATAATACTGCCATGAACATTTTTGTACAAGTTTTTTTGTGGATATGCTTTGAACCCAATAAGAAATGAAACAATGGCTAGATTATACAATTCAACTTGTATATCAGTAATTACATTAAAAAGTTATTTTAGAAAACTCTATACCTGAGGGAGGAGCCAAAATGGCCGAACAGGAACAGCTCCGGTCTACAGCTCCCAGCGTGAGCGACCCAGAAGACGGGTGATTTCTGCATTTCCATCTGAGGTACCGGGTTCATCTCACTAGGGAGTGCCAGACAGTGGGCGCAGGCCAGTGGGTGCGCGCACCGTGCGCGAGCCGAAGCAGGGTGAGGCATTGCCTCACCTGGGAAGCGCAAGGGGTCAGGGAGTTCCCTTTCCGAGTCAAAGAAAGTGTTGACGGATGCACCTGGAAAAGCGGCTCACTCCCACCCGAATATTGCGCTTTTCAGACCGGCTTAAAAAACGGCAAACCACGAGACTATATCCCACACCTGGCTCGGAGGGTCCTACGCCCACGGAGTCTCGCTGATTGCTAGCACAGCAGTCTGAGATCAAACTGCAAGGCGGCAGCGAGGCTGGGGGAGGGGCGCCCGCCATTGCCCAGGCTTGCTTAGGTAAACAAAGCAGCTGGGAAGCTCCAACTGGGTGGAGCCCACCACAGCTCAAGGAGGCCTGCCTGCCTCTGTAGGCTCCACCTCTGGGGGCAGGGCACAGACAAACAAAAAGACAGCATTAACCTCTGCAGACTTAAATGTCCCTGTCTGACAGCTTTGAAGAGAGCAGTGGTTCTCCCAGCACGCAGCTGGAGATCTGAGAACGGGCAGACTGCCTCCTCAAGTGGGTCCCTGACCCCTGACCCCCGAGCAGCCTAACTGGGAGGCACCCCCCAGCAGGGGCACACTGACACCTCACACAGCAGGGTATTCCAACAGACCTGCAGCTGAGGGTCCTGTGTGTTAGAAGGAAAACCAACAAACAGAAAGGACATCCACACCAAAAACCCATCTGTACATCACCATCATCAAAGACCAAAAGTAGATAAAACCACAAAGATGGGGAAAAAACAGAACAGAAAAACTGGAAACTCTAAAAAGCAGAGCGCCTCTCCTCCTCCAAAGGAACGCAGTTCCTCACCAGCAACGGAACAAAGCTGGATGGAGAATGACTTTGATGAGCTGAGAGAAGAAGGCTTCAGACGATCAAATTACTCTGAGCTACGGGAGGACATTCAAACCAAAGGCAAAGAAGTTGAAAACTTTGAAAAAAATTTAGAAGAATGTATAACTAGAATAACCAATACAGAGAAGTGCTTAAAGGAGCTGATGGAGCTGAAAACCAAGGCTCGAGAACTACGTGAAGAATGCAGAAGCCTCAGGAGCCGATGTGAACAACTGGAAGAAAGGGTATCAGCAATGGAAGATGAAATGAATGAAATGAAGCAAGAAGGGAAGTTTAGAGAAAAAAGAATAAAAAGAAATGAGCAAAGCCTCCAAGAAATATGGGACTATGTGAAAAGACCAAATCTACGTCTGATTGGTGTACCTGAAAGTGATGGGGAGAATGGAACCAAGTTGGAAAACACTCTGCAGGATATTATCCAGGAGAACTTCCCCAATCTAGCAAGGCAGGCCAACGTTCAGATTCAGGAAATACAGAGAACACCACAAAGATACTCCTCAAGAAGAGCAACTCCAAGACACATAATTGTCAGATTCACTAAAGTTGAAATGAAGGAAAAAATGTTAAGGGCAGCCAGAGAGAAAGGTCGGGTTACCCTCAAAGGGAAGCCCATCAGGCTAACATTGGATCTCTCGGCAGAAACCCTACGAGCCAGAAGAGAGTGGGGGCCAATATTCAACATTCTTAAAGAAAAGAATTTTCAACCCAGAATTTCATATCCAGCCAAACTAAGCTTCATAAGTGAAGGAGAAATAAAATACTTTACAGACAAGCAAATGCTGAGAGATTTTGTCACCACCAGGCCTGCCCTAAAAGAGCTCCTGAAGGAAGCGCTAAACATGGAAAGGAACAACCGGTACCAGCCGCTGCAAAATGATGCCAAAATGTAAAGACCATCGAGACTAGGAAGAAACTGCATCAACTAACGAGAAAATCACCAGCCAACATCATAATGACAGGATCAAATTCACACATAACAATATTAACTTTAAATGTAAATGGACTAAATGCTCCAATTAAAAGACACAGACTGGCAAATTGGATAAAGAGTCAAGACCCATCAGTGTGCTGTATTCAGGAAACCCATCTCACATGCAGAGGCACACATAGGCTCAAAATAAAAGGATGGAGGAAGATCTACCAAGCAAATGGAAAACAAAAAAAGGCAGGGGTTGCAATCCTAGTCTCTGATAAAACAGACTTTAAACCAACAAAGATCAAAAGAGACAAAGTAGGCCATTACATAATAGTAAAGGGATCAATTCAACAAGAAGAGCTAACTATACTAAATATATATGCACCCAATATAGGAGCACCGAGATTCATAAAGCAAGTCCTGAGTGACCTACAAAGAGACTTAGACTCCCACACATTAATAATGGGAGACTTTAACACCCCACTGTCAACATTAGACAGATCAACGAGACAGAAAGTCAACAAGGATACCCAGGAATTGAACTCAGCTCTGCACCAAGCAGACCTAATAGACATCTACAGAACTCTCCACCCCAAATCAACAGAATATACATTTTTTTCAGCACCACACCACACCTATTCCAAAATTGACCACATACTTGGAAGTAAAGCTCTCCTCAGCAAATGTAAAAGAACAGAAATTATAACAAACTATCTCTCAGACCACAGTGCAATCAAACTAGAACTCAGGATTAAGAATCTCACTCAAAGCCGCTCAGCTACATGGAAACTGAACAACCTGCTCCTGAATGACTACTGGGTACATAACGAAATGAAGGCAGAAATAAAGATATTCTTTGAAACCAATGAGAACAAAGACACAACATACCAGAATCTCTGGGACGCATTCAAAGCAGTGTGTAGAGGGAAATTTATAGCACTAAATGCCCACAAGAGAAAGCAGGAAAAATCCAAAATTGACACCCTAACATCACAATTAAAAGAACTAGAAAAGCAAGAGCAAACACATTCAAAAGCTAGCAGAAGGCAAGAAATAACTAAAATCAGAGCAGAACTGAAGGAAATAGACACACAAAAAACCCTTCAAAAAATAAATGAATCCAGGAGCTGGTTTTTTGAAAGGATCAACAAAATTGATAGACCACTAGCAAGACTAATAAAGAAAAAAAGAGAGAAGAATCAAACAGACACAATAAAAAATTGTAAAGGGGATATCACCACTGATCCCACAGAAATACAAACTACCATCAGAGAATACTACAAACACCTCTACGCAAATAAACTAGAAAATCTAGAAGAAATGGATAAATTCCTCAACACATACACTCTCCCAAGACTAAACCAGGAAGAAGTTGAATCTCTGAATAGACCAATAACAGGAGCTGAAATTGTGGCAATAATCAGTAGTTTACCAACCAAAGAGTCCAGGACCGGATGGATTCACAGCCGAATTCTACCAGAGGTACAAGGAGGAACTGGTACCATTCCTTCTGAAACTATTCCAATCAATAGAAAAAGAGGGAATCCTCCCTAACTCATTTTATGAGGCCAGCATCATTCTGATACCAAAGCCGGGCAGAGACGCAACCAAAAAAGAGAATTTTAGACCAATATCCTTGATGAACATTGATGCAAAAATCCTCAATAAAATACTGGCAAAACGAATCCAGCAGCACATCAAAAAGCTTATCCACCATGATCAAGTGGGCTTCATCCCTGGGATGCAAGGCTGGTTCAATATACGCAAATCAATAAATGTAATCCAGCATATAAACAGAACCAAAGACAAAAACCACATGATTATCTCAATTGATGCAGAAAAAGCCTTTGACAAAATTCAACAACGCTTCCTGCTAAAAACTCTCAATAAATTAGGTATTGATGGGACATATTTCAAAATAATAAGAGCTATCTATGATAAACCCACAGCCAATATCATACTGAATGGGCAAAAACTGGAAGCATTCCCTTTGAAAACTGGCACAAGACAGGGATGCCCTCTCTCACCGCTCCTATTCAACATAGTGTTGGAAGTTCTGGCCAGGGCAATTAGGCAGGAGAAGGAAATAAAGGGTATTCAATTAGGAAAAGAGGAAGTCAAATTGTCCCTGTTTGCAGATGACATGATTGTATATCTAGAAAACCCCATTGTCTCAGCCCAAAATCTCCTTAAGCTGATAAGCAATTTCAGCAAAGTCTCAGGATACAAAATCAATGTACAAAAATCACAAGCATTCTTATACACCAACAACACACAAACAGAGAGCCAAATCATGAGTGAACTCCCATTCACAATTGCTTCAAAGAGAATAAAATACCTAGGAATCCAACTTACAAGGGATGTGAAGGACCTCTTCAAGGAGAACTACAAACCACTGCTCAAGGAAATAAAAGACGATACAAACAAATGGAAGAACATTCCATGCTCATGGGTAGGAAGAATCAATATCGTGAAAATGGCCATACTGCCCAAGGTAATTTATAGATTCAATGCCATCCCCATCAAGCTACCAATGCCTTTCTTCACAGAATTGGAAAAAAACTACTTTAAAGTTCATATGGAACCAAAAAAGAGCCCACATCACCAAGTCAATCCTAAGCCAAAAGAACAAAGCTGGAGGCATCACACTACCTGACTTCAAACTATACTACAAGGCTACAGTAACCAAAACAGCATGGTACTGGTACCAAAACAGAGATATAGATCAATGGAACAGAACAGAGCCCTCAGAAATAATGCTGCATACCTACAACTATCTGATCTTTGACAAACCTGAGAAAAACAAGCAATGGGGAAAGGATTCCCTATTTAATAAATGGTGCTGGGAAAACTGGCTAGCCATATGTAGAAAGCTGAAACTGGATCCCTTCCTTACACCTTATACAAAAATCAATTCAAAATGGATTAAAGACTTAAACGTTAGACCTAAAACCATAAAAACCCTAGAAGAAAACCTAGGCATTACCATTCAGGACATAGGCATGGGCAAGGACTTCATGTCCAAAACACCAAAAGCAATGGCAACAAAAGCCAAAATTGACAAATGGGATCTAATTAAACTAAAGAGCTTCTGCACGGCAAAAGAAGCTACCATCAGAGTGAACAGGCAACCTACAAAATGGGAGAAAATTTTCGCAACCTACTCATCTGACAAAGGGCTAATATCCAGAATCTACAATGAACTCAAACAAATTTACAAGAAAAAAACAAACAACCCCATCAAAAAGTGGGTGAAGGACATGAACAGACACTTTGCAAAAGAAGACATTTATGCAGCCAAAAAAGATGAAAAAATGCTCATCATCACCGGCCATCAGAGAAATGCAAATCAAAACCACTATGAGATACCATCTCACACCAGTTAGAATGGCAATCATTAAAAAGTCAGGAAACAACAGGTGCTGGAGAGGATGTGGAGAAATAGGAACACTTTTACACTGCTGGTGGGACTGTAAACTAGTTCAACCATTGTGGAAGTCAGTGTGGCGATTCCTCAGGGATCTAGAACTAGAAATACCATTTGACCCAGCCATCCCATTACTGGGTATATACCCAAATGACTATAAATCATGCTGCTATAAAGACACATGCACACGTATGTTTATCGCGGCATTATTCACAATAGCAAAGACTTGGAAGCAACCCAAATGTCCAACAATGACAGACTGGATTAAGAAAATGTGGCACATATACACCATGGAATACTATGCAGCCATAAAAAATGATGAGTTCATGTCCTTTGTAGGGACATGGATGAAATTGGAAATCATCATTCTCAGTAAACTATCGCAAGGACAAAAAACCAAACACCGCATATTCTCACTCATAGGTGGGAATTGAACAATGAGATCACATAGACACAGGAAGGGGAATATCACACTCTGGGGACTGTGGTGGGGTGGGGGGCGGGGGGAGGGATAGCATTGGGAGATATACCTAGTGCTAGATGATGAGTTAGTGGGTGCAGCGCACCAGCATGGCACATGTATACATATGTAACTAACCTGCACAATGTGCACATGTACCCTAAAACTTAAAGTATAATAAAAAATAAAATAAAATAAAATAAAAAAAGAAATGAAACATAAGAGAATATAACAGAATTGAATGTAAGGTAATTAAATATATTAAGCATATTGAATATGAAATAAATATATTGAAATATATATGCTTTCAATACCAAAGAGTTGAATTGCTGGGTCATATGCTAAATCTATGTTTAACTTTTGAGAAACTGCCAAATTTTTCCGCAGCAGCTGTCCCATTTTACTTCACCACCAGCAATGTTGAGGGTACCAGTTTCTCCACATCTTCACCAACATTTGTTGTTTCTCATTTTTTCCATTAAAGTCATTCTAGTGGGTGTGAAGTGGCATCTCAGTGTAGATTTTATTTGCATTTCCTTGATGACTAATGATTTTGAGCATCTCCTGATGTCGTTAATGACCGACCATCTGTAGATCTTTCTTGGGGAGCTTTGTTTATTTTTACATTGGGTTATCTGTTTTTTCTTCTTGAGTTGTAAATGTTCTTTATATATTCTGGATACTAGACCCTATAACATATAATTCGCAAATATAACTTTGCTCTAATCTGTGGGTAGTTTTTTATTTTCCTGATAGTAACTTTTTGATGTACAAACATTTTTAATTTTAATAAAGTCAAATTTATCTATTTTTCCATGGTCACTTGTGCTTTTAAAGCTACAGCTAAGAAATTACTGATTAATTCAAGATCATGAAAACTTAGACATGTATTTGATTATTAAAGTAGTTGTACTAGTCAGGGTCTTCCAGAAAAATAAAACCAATAGGATGGATAGAGAAGGAAAGAAGGAAGGAAGGAAGGAAGGAAGGAAGGAAAGAAGGAAAGAAGGAAGAAAGGAAGGAAGGAAAGAAAAGAAAGAAAGGAAGAAAGAAAGAAAAGAAAGAAAGGAAGAAAGAAAGAAAAGAAAGAAGGAAGGAAGGAAGGAATTTATTTGTTTTAAGGACTAGCTTAAGCAAAAGTGGTGCTGACAAGTTTAGAATCTATAGAGCAGATAGGATGAAAATTGAGGTAAGAGCTAATGCAATTTGAGTCCAAATCCATAAGACAAGCCAGCAGATTGGAAACTCAGGCAGGATTTCTACATTACAGACTTGAGGTATCTCTACAAGCCTGCAAGAGCCACAGTGTTACTGGGCTTGGGTTCTCCCCTAATGCAGATATAGCTGCATCAGCCGATGCCCGTGGAGGAAGCACTTAGACCAGTGCTAGCCAGAGGGGAATTGTTGATCCCAGTGGTTGGAACTGAGTTCTGGCAAGCCTCGCCACTGTGAGCTAAAGTACTCTGGGGCATATATGAACTTGAAAAGCAGTCTAGGCCACAGGGACTGCAATTCCTGGGCAAGTCCTGGTTCTGTGCTGGGTTTGAAGCCAGTGGCTTTGTGGGTAACATAGCCCAGTGAGAAACCAGCTGGAGTGGCCAAAGGAGTGTTTTCTCCACCCATCAGACAGCCCAGCCCAAGGAAGTGCATCTCACAGCTCCAAGAGACTCTATCCTTCCAGTTGAGGAGAGAAGAGGACTATGTCTTTCAACATGAATACCAGCTCAGCCATAGTAGGACAGGGAACTAGGCAAGTCCTGAGGCACTTATCCCAGGTCAAAGCTCCCAGATGACATTTCTTGACATATGCTGGGCCAGAAGAGAACCTGCTGGATTGAAGGGAAGGATTCAGTTTTGGCAAGAGTCAACACCTGCTGACTAAAGAGCCCTTGGACCCTGAATAAGCAGCAGAAGTAGCCAGGTAGCACAAGCCATGGGCCTTTGGTGAGACTCTGAGACATACTGTCTTCAGATGTGATCTAGCACATTCCCAGCTATGCTGCTTATGGGGAGAGACTCCTGCTTGAGAAAAGCAGAGGGAAGTGTAAAAGTGACTTTGTCTTGCAGCTTAAATACCAGCTTGGCCACAGTGGGGTAGAGCACCAAGTAGGCCCTTGGGGTACCTGATTCCAGGCCTTGCTTCTTGGACATCATTTCTGTATTTTCCCTGGATCAGAGGGGAGCCCACTTCCCTGAAAGGGGAGTCCCAGGTCTGACAGCATCCACCACAAGCTGACTGAAAAACCCTTGAGCCTTCAATGAGCATAGGTAGTAGTACTCTCTTCAGGCCTGCACTGGTGGTGGCCATGGGGAGAGAATCCTTGGCTAGTGGAAGAGGGAGGAAAGAGCACGGGGGACTTTGTCTTGTGATTGTAGCCAGCACAACCACAACAGAATAGAACACCACATATATTCTTAAAGTATTTGGCTCCAGGCCCTGGCCCCCAGACAGCATCTCTGGACCCACCCAGAGCTAAAGGAACTCAGCACCCTGAAGGAAAAAATAAAGCTTGGTTGGCTTTGTCACTTGCTAATTGCATAGCTCTAGGGCCTTGAATGAACATAGGCAGTAGCGACATAGTGGTTACAGTGGGCCTTGGGTGAGTCCCAGTGCTTTCCTGCCCTCTAGTCTGACCCAGTACAGTTCTAATGTTGGTGGCCCCAGAGGTGCTTATGGCCCCCCCATGTCCAGATCCAGGCAGCTCAGCACAGAGAGAGAGAGAGAGAGAGAGAGAGACCCCATTTGTTTGTGAGAAAGTAAGTGATGAGAATAAGAGTCTCTGCTTGGTAATCCAGATAATTCTTCTGGATCTTATTCAAGACCACCAATGTAGTATCTTTACAAGTATGCAAGAGCCAAAGTGTTACTGAGCTTGGGGTGTCCCCTCATGCAGATATGGCTGCAGTAATGAAAAACTTAGATCACAAGACCCAAGTCCCCTCAAATACGTGGAAAGTCTTCCTAAGGACAGGTAAAAATAAGCCCAGACTGTAAAAACTATAATAAATGCCTAACTCTTCAATGCTCAGACACTGATGATTATCCACAAGCATCACGACCATCCAGGAAAACAAGACCTCACCAAACAAACTACATAAGACTCCAGGGACCAATCCATGAGAGACACAGAAATGTGGCATTTCAGACACAGAATTCAAAATAGGTGTTTTGAGGAAACTCAATGAAATTCAAGATAAGACAGAGAAGGAATCCAGAATCCTATCAGATAAACTTAACAAAGAAATTAAATAATTAAAAGAATCAAGCAGAAATTCCAGAGTTGAAAAGCACAAATGACATAATGAAGAATGCATCACAGTCTCTCAATACCAGAATTGATAAAGCAGAAGAAAAAAATTAATGAGCTTGAAGAAAGGCTATTTGAAAATAAAAAGAGGAGATGAAAGCAAAAAGAGTAAGAAAGAATGAAGTATACCTATAAGATCTAGAAAATAGCCTCAAAAGGGCAAAACTAAGAGTTATTGCCCTTAAAGAGGAGGTAGAGAGAGAAATAGGGGTAGAAAGCTTATTCAAAGGAGTAATAACTGAGAACATCCCAAAACCTGGAGAAAGAACCAATATTCAAGTACAAGAAGGTTATAGAACACCAACTAGATTTAGCCCAAATAAGGCAACCTCAAGGCATTTAATAATCAAACTCCCAAAGGACAAAATAAAGAAAGGATCCTAAAAGCAGCAAGAAAAAAGAAACAAATAACATACAACAGAGCTCAAATATATCTGGCAGTAGACTTTTCAGAGGAAATCTTACAGACCAGGAGAGTGTGGCATCATGTATTTAAAGTGCTGAAGGGGCCAGGTGAGATGGCTCATGCCTAATCCTAGCACTTTTGGAGGCTGAGGAGGGTGGATCACTTGAGGTCAGGAGTTCAAAACCAGCCTGGCCAACATGGTGAAACCCGTTTCTACTAAAAATAGAAAAAAATAAGCCACGCCTGGTGGCGGGCGCCTGTAATCTCAGCTGCTTGGGAGGCTGAGACAGGAAAATTGCTTGAACTTGGGAAGTGGAGGCTGCAGTGAGCTGAGATCACACCACTGCACTCCAGCCTGGGTGACAGGGTGAGACTCCATCTCAAAAAAATAAAATAAAAATAAATAAATAAAATGTTGTGGGAAAATTTGTTTTATCATAACTTAGTATATCTGGTGAAAATATCCTTCAAACAGGAAGGCGAAATAAGACTTTCCCCAGCCAACAAAAGCTGAGAGATTTCATCAACACCAGACCTGTCCTACAAGAAATGATAGGAGTTCTTCAATGTGAAAGAGAAAGACATTAATGAGCAATAAGAAACCATCTGAAGGTACAAAACTCTCTGGTAATAGTAAGTACACAGAAAAGCACAGAATATTACAACACTGCAATTGTGGTGCATAAACTACTCATATCTTAAGTAGAAAGACTAAAAATGAGCCAATCAAAAATAATCCTTCAACTTTTTAAGACCTAGACAGTACAATAGAAACAACAAAAAGCTTAAAAGTGAGGGGACTAAGTGAAAGTGTAGAGTTTTTATTAATTTTCTCTGCTTATTTGTTGGTTTGTTTTTGCAATCAGTGTTACATTGTCATTAGCTTAAAATATTGGGTCATAAGATAGTATCTGCAAGCCTCATGGTAACCTCAAATAAAAAAGCATACAACAAACACACAAATGGGCAGCATGAGCAAGAAATTAAAACATACCAACAGAGAAAATCACCTTCACAAAAAGGAAGATAGGAAGAAAGGAAAAAGGGAAGAAGCAACCTCCAAACAACCAGAAAACAAATAACAAAATGGCAGCATTAAGTTCTTACTCATCAGATTAAGATCTTACTTGTCAATAGTAACACTGAATGTAAATGGACTAAACTCTCCAATCAAAACTCATAAACTAGCTGAATGAATAAAAATAGTGACCCAATGATCTGTTGCTTTCACAAAACATACTTGACCTATAAAGACACACATGATGAAAATAAAAGGATGGAAAAAGAAGTTCCATGCAAGCAAAAACCAAAAAAGAACAGGAGTAGCTATACTTGTATCAAACAAAATAGATTTCAAGACAAAAACTATGAAAAGAGATAAATAAGATCATTATATAATGATAAATAGTCAATTCAGCAAGAGAAAATAACAATTGCAAATATATATACACCCAAAACTGGGAACACCCAGATATATAAAGCAAATATCATTAGAGCTAAATAGAGAAATAGACCCTAATACAGTAATAGCTGGAGACTTCAACACCCCACTTCAGCATTGGACAGATCATCCAGACAAAAAACCGACAAAAAAATTGGACTTAACCTTCAGTATAGACCAAATGGACCTAATAGATAATTGCAGAACATTTCATCCAATGGCTACAGAATACACATTTTTCTCCTCAGCACATAAATCATTCTCAAGGATAGACCATATGTTAGGCTACAAAACAAGCCTTAACACAGTGAAAAATCAATTATTCTCTGACCACAGTGGAATACAATTAGAAATTGATAACAAGAAGAGTATTGGAAAGGTAAAAAGACATGGAAATTTAAACAATATGCTACTGAATGAGCCAGTGGGTCAATGAAGAAATTAAGAAAGAAATTTTAAAGTTTCTTGAAACAAATGATAATGGAAATACAACATACCAAAACCTATGAGATGCAGTGAAAACAGTAATAAGAGGGAGTACCTACATCAACAAAAAGAAAAACTTTTTGAAAATGATCTGATGATGCTTAAAGAACTAGAAAAGCAAGAGCAAGCCAAACCCAAAATTAGTAGAAGAAAAGAAACAATAAAGATGTGAGCAGAAATAAATTAAATAGAAATCAGGAAAATAATACAAGAGATCAATGGACTGAAAACTTCTTTTGATAAGATAAATAAAATTAACACACCTTTAGCCAGACTAAGAAAAAAAGAGAGAAGACCCAAATAAATAAAATTAAAGAGAAAAAAGGAGACATTACACACAATGCCATAGAAATTCAAAGGATCACTGGAGTCTACCGTAAGGTGCAAGTACATGCAAATAAATTGGAAAACCTAGAACAAATGTACAAATTCCTAGACACATACAAGCTACTAGAACAAATGTACAAATTTCTAGACACACACAAGCTACCACTATGCAGCCATGAGAAAATACAAAAGCTGAAGAGACCAACAACAAACAGCAATTAATAAGATCAATGCCATAAAAAAAGTCTCCCAGCAAAGAAAAGCCCAGGACCCAATGACGTCACTGCTGTATTTTACCAAACATTTAAAGAAAAAGTAATATTAATCCTACTCCAACTATTTCCAAAAATAGAGAAGGAGGGAATACTTTTTTTTTTTTTTTGAGATGAAGTCTTGCTCTTGTCCCCCAGGCTGGAGTGCGATGGCACGATCTCGGCTCACTGCAACCTCCACATCCCGGGTTCAAGCTATGAAGAAGGGGATACTTTCAAACTGATTTCAAACTGATTTCAACATTACCCTGATATCAAAATATGACAAAGACACATCAAAAAGAGAAAACTACAAGCCAATATCCCTGATAAACATGGATGCAAAAATCCTCAATAAAATACTAGAAATTGATTTCAACAGCACATTAAATGATCACTTATCATGACCAAGCGGAATTTATACCAGGGAAGCAAAGATTGTTAAACATACATAAATCAATCAATGTGGTACATCATATCAACAGAATGAAGGACAAAACCCATGTGATCATTTCAACTGATGCTGTAAAGGCATTTTATTAAATTCAACATTCCTTCATTATAAGAACCTCCAAAAAACTGGGTGTAGAATAAATATACCTCAACATAACAAAAGCCATATATGACAAACCCATGGCTAGTATCATACTGAATGGGGAAAACCTGAAAGCCTTTCCTCTAAAATCTGGAACATGACAAGGATGACCATTGTCACCACTGTTATTAGACGTAGTACTGGAAGTTCTAGCTACAGCAATCAGACAAGAGAAAGAAATAAAGGGCATCCAAATTGGAAAGGAAGAACTCAAATTAACTGTGTTTGCAGATGATATAATCTTATATTTGGGAAAACCTAAAGACTCCACCAAGAAACTATTAGAATTGATATACAAACTCAGTAAATTTGCAGGATACAAAATCAATGTACAAAAATCAGCAGCATTTCTATATGCCAGCAACAAACAATCTGAACAAGAAATCATGAAGTAATTCTATTTACAACAGCTACAAATAAAATTAAATACCTAGCAATGAACAAAAAAGTGAAACATTTCTATAATGAATACTATAAAACACTGATGCAGTCAATTGCAGAGGACACAAAAATATGGAAGGATATTCCATGTTCATGAATTTGAAGAATCAATATTGGTAAAATGTGCATACTACCCAAAGCCATATAAAAAGTCTTGCCATATAAAGAAATCAAATCGCAATGGATGAAAGACTTAAATCTAAGATCTCAAACTATGAAACAACTAAAAGAAAACATTGTAGAAACTCTCCAGGACATTGGACTGAGCAAAGATTTCTGAGGAATACCCCACAATTACAGTCAACAAAAGCAAATATAGACAAATGGGTTCATATTAAGTTAAAAAGTTTCTGCACAGCAAAGGAAACAATCAACAAAGTGAAGAGACAGCCCACAGAATGAGAGAAAATATTTGCAAACTATCTACTTGACAAGGGATTAATAATGAGAATATATAAGCAGCTCAGACAACTGTATAGGAAAAAATCAAATAATCTGATTAAAATGAGCAAACGATCTGAATAGACATTTCCCAGAAGAAAACATACAAATGACAAACAGGCATATGAAAAGGTGCTCAACACCACTGATCATCAGAGAAATTCAAATCAAAAAGACAATGAGATATGATGTCACCCCAGTAAAAATGTTTTCTTTAATCAAGAAGACAGGCAATAACAAATGCTGGTGAGGATGTGGGGAAAAGGAAACCTTCGTACACTGTTGGTGGGAATGTAAATTAGTACAACCACTATGGAGAACAGTTTGGAAGTTCCTCAAAAAACTAAAAATCAAGGTATTATAAAATTCAGCAATCCCACTGCTGGGTATATACCCCAAAGAAAGGAAACCAGTATATTGAAGAGATATCTGCACTCCCATGTTTATTGCAGCACTATTCATAATAACCAAGATTTGGAAGCAACCTAAGTGTGCATCAACAGACAAATATATAAAGAAAATGTAGTACATATACACAATGGAGTACTATTCAGCCATAAAAGAGATTGAGATCCTGTCATTTGCAACAACATCAATGGAACTGGAGGTCATGATGCTAAATGAAATATGCCAGGCAAAGAGAGACAAACTTTGCATGTTCTCACTTATTAGTGGGAGCTAAAAATTAAAGCAATTGAACTCATGAAGATAGAGAGTAGAAGGCTAGTCACCAGAGACTGGGAAGCATACTGGAGGGGTGGGCGCGGAGGGATGGGAGCAAGTGGGGATGGCTAATGGGTACAAAAAAATAGAAAGAATGAATAAGATATTCTATTTGATAAAACCACAGGATGACTATAGTCAATAAGTTAATTGTACATTTTAAGATAACTAAAAGAGTTTAAATTGGATTATTTGTAACACAAATAATAACTGCTTGAAACTAACACAGGAAGAGAAAACCAAGAAACACATCTTCTCACTTATAAGTGGGAGCCGAACAATGAGAACACATGGACACTGGGAGGGGGATAATACATGTGGGGGCCTGCGGTGGTGGTGGCGGGGGAGAGAGAGAGCATCAGGTTAAATAGCTAATGCATGCAGGGCTTAATACCTAGGTAATGGGTTGATAGGTGCAGCAAACCACCACAACACACATTTACCTGTGTAACAAACCTGCACATCCCACACATGTATCCCAGAACTTTAAATTAAATTAAATTAAAAAAAGAATAACTGCTTGAGGTGATGGATATCCCATTTACCCTGGTGTGAATATTATGCATTCTATGCCTGTATCAAAATATCTCATGCACTTCATAAATATATACACCTATTATATGCCCCAAAAAACTAAAAACTAAAAAAAAATTTAAAAAGAAAAGCCCTATCAGATTTTGGCATAAAGATAATTAGGCTTCCTAAATAATTTAGAAAACATTAGCACTTTAAAAAATCTTAATAAAATTGTGTTATATAGGTGTTATAGCTTAAAATCCACTGGTGAGTTTTCTTTTAGGAAAGCTTTTAATTCTGGGTTCCAATGTGTAGTACATATTGGACTATTTAACTTTCCCTTTTTATTTTGTTAATATAAGTAAGCTGTGATTTGTCTATTTCATTTAATTTTCAGGTTTATTGAAAAAGTTTTCTAAAATAGCCCCTCAGAATATTTTTAATATCTGGAGAAATTGTTTTAATCTTAACTTTGATCATTTTTGCCTTTTTTCTTCTTTCTATTTTTTCCAAGAGACTATCAAATAATTACTTTATTTGCAGAACATCTATCGGTTACACTAGTTATACATGCTTAAAATCAGCTTCCAATAGATATTGTTGCTTCTATTGTAGCCAGGTCTCACGGGCCTGTGAATCATGAGTGGAAACGGGAATGACTCTTCACTACTGCTTCAGCAGGCAACCTGCTTTGCTTAGCTCAGGTCATCCAGAAAGACAATATGCTGTGCTACAAAATAAGTCTAAATAAACTAAAAGCATCCAGAGTATGTCCTCCCAACACATTATAATTAAATATAAATAAATAAGTAATATAGAAAAAATACAATTTGGTTATGAAACAATGCACTTCTAAATAATCATAGTTGAAAGGAGAAATTACAAGGCAAAACTGAGTACTAATAAAAATACTACACATCATAATCATCAACAACAACAAAACCCAAAAGCTTACCAGGAACTAAAGGATAGGAAATCTCAGTTTGCAAGATTAATATACAGAAGTCAATGTTTTTCTATACATTATCAATTAACACTTGAAATTTGAAATATAAAAATACCATTCACAATAGCACCGAAAAAATAATTATGTATATAACAAACTATATATAGGATATTTATGTGGAAAACTATAAAACTCTGATGAAAGAAATCAAAGAGCTAAATAAATAGAAATGTGTTCCATGTTCATGCCTTGGAAGACTCAGTATTGTTAAGATAGAAATACTTTCTAACTTGATCTATAAATTCAACACAATCCCAATCAAAATCACAAAAAACTATTTTGCAGATATCAACAAATGGGTTTTTAGTATATATGAAAAGGCAAAAGATCTAGAATAGTCAACACAATACTGAAGAAAAACACAGAGTGCTGATACTATCCAACTTTAATAGTTCCTATAAAACTACAGTAGGCCAGGCGCGGTGGCTCAGGCCTGTAATCCCAGCAATTTGGGAGGCTGAAGTGGGCGAGTCACTTAAGGTAAGGAGTTCGAGACCAGTCTGACCAACATGCTGAAACTCCATCTCTACTAAAAATACAAAAAATAGCTGGATGTCATAATAGGCACCTGTAATCCCAGCTGTTTGGGAGGCTGAGGCATGAGAATCACTTGAACCCAAGAGGCAGAGGTTGCAGTGAGCTGAGACTGTACCACTGCACTCCAGCCTAGGTGACAGAGCTGGACCCTGTCTCAAAAAAAAAAAAAAAAACTACAATAAACAAAAAAAGTATAGTATTGGTGAAAAAAAAAGGGCACATACATCAACAGAACAGAATACACAATCTAGAATTGACACATATATAGTCAATGGACCTTTAACAAAAGAGCAAAAGCAATTCATGGAGCAAGGATATCTTTCTAAATGTGATGTGGAACAGTTAGATGTTTATATGCACAAAGAAAAAAGAGGGACTCCAGCCACAGGCCTCGCCTTTCATAAAATTAATTCAAAATAGATGAAGATTAAAATGTAAAATGAAAAACTTTAAAATTTCTAGAAGAAAACACAAAAAGATGTGTGTGACCTTGGGTTTGAGAAGATATTTGAGATACAATACCAAAATCATGATTCATGAAAAACACTAAATTAAACTATTTTAAAATTAAAATTTTCTGTTTTGCAAAAGAAACTGCAATGCAAATGAAAAGACAAGCCACAGGCTGAAAGAATTTGCACAGCACATATCTGATAAAGGACCTGATCTAAGTAACACCAAGAACACTTTAAGCAATAAGAAAACAAAAGTCTAAACGAGCAAAAGATTTGAATAGACACCTCACCAAAGAATATATACAGATGGTAAATAAGCATATGGAAAGATGCTCAACTCCATTTGCCACTAGAAAATTGCAAATTAGAACTACCAGAAAGCACTAGACACCTATTAGAATGGTTAAAATCCAAAACACTGACAATACCAAAGTCTGTCAAGGATGTGGAGAAACCAGAACCCTCATTCATTACTGGCAGGAAAGTAAAATGGTACAACTGCTTTGGAAGACAGTTAATCAGTTTCTTACAACTGTGAGCCAGAAATTGCATTCCTACATATTCACCCAGCTGATCTGAAAACTTTTGCCCACCAAAAAACCTGCATGTGAATATTTATAGCAGCATTATTCATAATCACCAAACACTGGAAGCAACTGAGATCTCCTTCAGTAGATAAATGGATAAACATACTGTAGCAGTCCATATAATGGAACAGTATTCAGTGATACAAAAAATGAACTTTCAAGTATGAAAAGGCATTTGAGGAAACTTAAATGCATATTACTAAGTAAAAAAAGAGAGCAATCTGAAAGGCTACACACTGTATGAGTCCACTTATATGATATTCTGTAAAAGACAACCAAAGAGATAGTAAAAAGATTAATGGTTGCTAGGGTTTAGGGGAAAGAGGCAAGGGTTAAATAGGTGAAACAAAAAGGATATTTTTAGGGTGGTGAGACTATTCTGCATAAAAATCTAATGGTGGGTATAAGGTATTATGCCCTGTCAAACTGCATAGAACTTTTGAAGCACAAAGAGCGAACTTTAATGTATTCAAATTTAAGAAAATAATTTATGAGATCAGTGGATCCCAGAAAGGAATGCAGATTATGACAAGAGACTTTAACTGTATTACAGATCTTAACAATCTTACTGAAGGGATGAGGGGAAAAATGATAATCCAAGTTACTTTGAAAATGAGTGGCATCTGTAAGACTAAAGGCAGAAAGAACTGCACATAAGAACTCTGTGTAGAGCACACAATACTCTAGTTCCTAAAGCTGTTGTCCATGGGGGTGTAGGTCAACAATTCTGATACTGCTATGCATGTACACTGAAAATGAACGATTAAGTCAATAGCTGGCAGATTGTGGGAGCTAGATTTCTCGCTATTGAAGTGGGAAGTTACAGATAAGAAAGGGGAGAAGGCTAGATGATCTATGTGGTAATGGATTAGAGTTGGAGACCACAGTATGAACTCATGTTATATTAATATAGACATAGTTGTATATTAGTATTCATAGATATGCATATATAAACAAGTTAATATTTAAACCCAGATATTTTCTTTTTCTGTTAGTTGTAAAGGCCTAAAATCGGTAGCAATTAACATACTTGATACCCCTAATAGCTATATCTTAATTTTTATTACTATTCTCCAGCTAAAAAAAACAGGGCACCTTAGAGAAATGGATGATTGTACAACTGGAGTGAAAAATACATAAGCTGAGCTGGAGCATCTTGTAAAGCCACAAAGAAAGGAAATGTTTAAAAAAATCCCACTTTGATGGAAATATAATGAAGGGCACAGGAGTCAAGTGAAAAAGCTCCAACAGCAAGACTGGAACAATTTGAACAGAAAAAATGAAATAGTATTGAATTATAACCCAAAGCACAAAGTAAATATCCCTGAGTTCATTCTCATATAAATAAATGATTTAATAAATTAATAAATGGGGGAGAAGTGACAAATGTCCTATATAGAAGAAATCCAAATATACTTGCCACTTTTATTCAGCATGGTCATAACTATACCAATAAAACAAGAAAAATAAATAATAACCATAGATATCAGAAAAAAGAGGAATAAAACTATGCAAAGCGAACTAATTATTTACATACAAAAATCCTATAACATACAAAAATCCTATAAGATCTACCGAACAACTACTAGAATGAATAAGTAAATTAGGAAAAATTGTAGGATACAAGGTTAACATACAGAAGTCAAATTTTGTCATAATGACAGCACAAAATGAGGGAGATAAATTTTAGAAAATAATTCAATTTAAAACAGCATGATAAGGAACAAAATTCCTAGAAAAAATATTTTAACAAAATAAGTGGAAGATTTATATGCTCAAAATTATAAAACATTACTGACAGGAATTAAAGAGGACAAATAAATGAAGACATATTAAAAGGTTGAAAATATGAGTATTATTAAAATGCCAATCCACAGTCACAATATATATGTAGATTTGGACATAATCCCAGTAATATACCTAGAGACTGTTTTGTAAAAATAGGGAAACTTATTCTGAAATTCATGTAAAAATGCAAAAGATCTAGAATATCCAAAGCAAACTTATAATAGAAGAACAAATTTGTAAGACATATTACTTGACTTCAACACATATAAAACTACAAACAGAAAGACAGTTATTCAATAAAATAGAGAAGAGGACTCAAAGTTGACTCACACTTGCAAAGTCATTTGATTGTAAACAAAGTTGCCAAAACATTCAATGGGGGAAAGTCTGTTAACAAATGGTACTCTACCAACTGGACGTACATTTAAAAAAAAAAAAAAGAACATGGATCTCTACCTGATTTTATACACAAAATTTAATTCAAATTAGATCATCAACCTAAATGTAAAGACTAAAATCATAAAGCTTTAGAGGTCATCATCCAACAATATCTTCATGACTTGGCAGTGGACAAGCGTCCTAGAGGGGTCCCAGATAGCAATGAAAATAAGGAAAGATATTTAAAATTGATTTTATCAAAATTTTGCTTCTCAGAGACTATTGTTTAGCTGAGCTTGGTGGTGTGTGCCTGTAGTCCCAGCTACTTGACAGACTGAAGCAGAAGAATTGCCTGAGCAGGGAGGTTGAGGCTACAGTGAGCTATGATTATGCCACTGCACTCCAGCCTGGGCAATAAGAGCAAGATCTGTCTGAAACAAACAAACAAACAAAAATTGAGTGAAAGAGAGAGAAAGAAAGAAAGAAAGAAAGAAAGAAAGAAAGAAAGAAAGAAAGAAAGAAAGAAAGAAAGAAAGGAAAGAAAGAAAAGAAAGAAAGAAAGAAAGAAAGAAAGAAAGAAAGAAAGAAAGAAAGAAAGAAAAGAAAGAAAGAAAGAAAGAAAGAAAGAAAGAAAGAAAGAAAGAAAGAAAGAAAGAAAGGAAGAAAGAGAGAGAAAAAAATTTAAACCATGTTTAGGGAGAAAATATCTGTAAAACAGATACATGACAAAGAACAGCATATTTTAAAAATAGTATATTTTATAAGCATATTTTATATAGTCTACATTTATATAGTATGTGTCATATAAAATAAAATGCATTTTTAAAATATCTACTACTTAACAACAGACAAATATCCCAGTTAAAAATGTGTAAAGGATTAGACCACACTTCACAAAGGAGATATATGAATAGTCAACCAATACATAAGTGATCAATATTATTAGTCATCCAGGAAATGACAAAATTAAACAAATATTAAACTCTATTTAATGATAAGAATGCAGAAGCATTTAGGGAAGAATGTACTGACGTCTACGTTAATAAAATGATAAAAACGAGATAGATTCATGATGGAAAGAATGATGGATTTGTGACACAGCAGATATAGTGAAATATTAATGGTTAAAACCAAGTTACAAGTTAATATTCACCATAAAAGTCTTACAATCAATATTTGAATTTTTCATAAGATGTTGGAAGAAGTTGATGCTGAATGTTAGCAACAATATATCTTCAATTAAGAATGAATTATTCTCAGAATGTATCAAAATTTTGAGAAATGTGCAGCAAGAAAATATAAAATAATTATGGTTTGTCTTCTGGCAGAGACTCCAAGTTACTGCTGCATACACTCTCAAACTGTGTGAAGATGGTCATTGGAGAATACTAGCATGTGTAAAAAAATACATTTAGTGTTTTTTAAAAATGGTTTCTCTCAAAATCTTGATCCTCTCCATTGTTGAAATTTCAGTCCTTACGCATATCTTCCCACAAAAATAAAAATCTATGCATCAGTATTGGCAAGTCTGCCTACATTATTATTAACTTCAATATATGAATACCTAATGAACACATTTCAGCTCAATCTTGACTTAGAAGATCCTTGGCTGATATTTTTAGTTTTCATAATCCTATCATTTGGCCTTAGTCCTTCCTGACAAATGAAACTTAACTTTTGCAGATAGTAGGAATACATGTTCCCAGATATATTTCCTAAATGGGATATTTAGTTATTTTAGTAGGCTTAGTTAGTCTTAAATGATAATAGGGAAAAATCTTATTTTGCTCAAAAGAGCACCTGCCTTCATTCCAAAGTGGGCAGGACTGTTTAATGTTGAATTGATCTCTATGGGAATAACCGAAAACATTTCGGATACAGCTGAAATCCAATAGATGGCAGTGAAATACAGAAAATTCACTGATTCCTGAATCCTTATGTGATTGCTTTCAGTGGTAAGCTGCTAGTCTGTTGCCAATTAGAAGCTCCCATAAAACTGTAGAATCTCTTTAGGATCATATTATATTTTTTAAACACTGTGAGGTCTTGGATAAAAAATATCTCCAAACCTACTGTGTCCGTGAGGATGCTGTGGCTTTGTGGGATTAAAGAACCTACTTGAGGTTATATAAGTAAGTTTTTGGTACATTCAAGTGTAGAATCAACATGACTCAGTGGTGCTTGTGTAAATTCTAAATCCATCTCACAGCTGGATGATGTTTTTTGGAATATTAAAGCTGTATTTTAATAACAGTAACAATCCATGGAGTGGAAATGAGGTCCAAGATGAGTCTGGAGATGGGCAGAGTTTAAGCTATGAAGGGCCATTGAGGATTAGCAATTGAAGGATTAGCAATATGAAGGATTAGCAATTTCCTTCTAAGTGCAACACATAATGAAATGAAGTTTAACTCTGGCTTTTTACAGGTATTATCTTTGAGGAGTTTTAAAAAACAAAAACACACCAATAGCCCATCTCTCTGCAAACTCCCAGAGATGCTGATTTAATTTTTCTCAGAATGTGTCTGTAAAATGAAGTTTAAAAATGCTTCCCAAAATGATTCTAATATGGAGCCAGGGCTGAGAACTCCTGTCACAGTAGTAAGGATCATGGGCTCTGGTATCAGAGAGACTTGAGATTTGATTTGTATTCCGTCCACTTCCTATCTCAGTAAACTATTATACATTATTTAATTTCTTTAAGCCTCAGTTTTCTCATATGTAAAATAGGTGATAATAGTATTATCTACTTCATAGGATTAGTTTCAGAATTACTTGTAAATCACTGGATTTTTAAAATAATTCTATAAATTCAATATATATATGACTGCTTTTGAACATGTGCTTTGATTCTTCATCTGTGGAATTCTATTTTACTTTTATTGTTGTGGTGGTATTTTATTTTCATATTGATTCATCAATTTCCTAGCTGACAATTGTATATTCATTCAAAGACAGTCATGATTACATGAATACTGGTTAGTATAATCAAATTGGAAAAAAAATACTATTGAATTACATGGTATTTTTCTAATAAAGTCATCATAAAATTATTGTTTACATCATAGGTATAAGGATTGCCATGTAGAAAGAGAATTTATCTTTACATCAGTTAGCTATGGCTGTCTAATAAACTACCTCAAAATTCAGTGGCTCAAAACAACAGTTTATTTAGCTCTCAATTCTGTGGATCAATTTAGGTTGGTCTCAGATGGGACAATTCTGGTTTTGGGTGATTGCCACTGCAATTCCTCACGTGTTGACATCAGCAACTGGGCCAGCTATGAGTTGATGATCTAGGGTGGGCAGAACTGGAATGACTTATCTCTGGTCCAGGTGGTCTCTCATCTTCCAGCACGCTAGTTTGTGTTTCTTCTCATGGCATGGCATGGGTTCCAAGAGAGTCAACCAAAGCAGGAAAAGCCTTTTGAAGCCAAAGCTCATAGTTGGTACCCAATCACATCTGGTCCTTTCTGTATGTCAAACTCAGTCACAAAACCAGCTCAGATTTAAGGGGGTGGGAAATGGTCCCCACTCCTTGATAGGCAGAGATGCAAGAGATATAGACACAGGAAAGTGTAACGATCAGAGGTATTTTTGCAGTCATACCATAGCCTTCTTTGGGATTTCTCCAGAAATAAAAACTCTAGTAAATTGTTGGGATTTACACAAAGACAGAAATCAACAAATCTATAAGAAGAACTTTATAATTGTTGAAATAATGAGCTCCCTGTCACTGCAAGCAACCAAGCCAAGGCCAGATGCCATTTTGCACATGTAATGTAGAAATGACTGACGCATTGTTTAGAAGCTTGATAAAGACTACTGATATGATGTTTGAATTCTAAAGTTTCACTCTGAGCTATTTTAATGTGGAATTTGAAGGGTGAGTAAAAAAATAAATTACAACTAGATAAGCAATCAAGGGCTTAAATATAAAAAGGCGATCTTAGAAACTTTTAGGCAAAATATAGGAGAATGTGTTTATGACAAAAATACTAACAGATGCTCAGCCTTATGATAATAAAAGATGTAGAATAATCGAGACTGCAAATTAAATGATAATGAAATACTATTATACACAGCAGATTGAAAAATTAATTAAGAATCTGTCAATATTAAGTGTGGATGAGACGAGAATTTATTAAATGTGGATCAAAGGTAACTCATGCACCACTTTGGGGAATACAAATTGAACTACCACTTAGGAAGCAATTTGGCATTATCAGGTAAAACAAAGGCATATACATCCTGTGACCAGCAATTTGACTCTTAGCTTACGAGGAAATATTTCACATGAACACAAGGAAGCATGTAAGAAAATACTCAGAGCAGCATTATTCTTCATAACCATAATAAAAAAGAAATAAGCCAAATGTCCATCATGGGAATGCATAAACAGGTGACAAAGTATTCCCAGCATGGTATGTGAAGCAACTGTGACATGGAAGGGATCATAGCTAGAGGCATCAACATGGATGAATCTTAAAAGCATAATGTTGACTAATAAAAATGCTCATAATGTTCAGCAAAAGAATTCATACTAAAGCATTTTCTTTACGTAAAGTAAAAAATTGGCAATGCAAAGGAGTTTATTGCTAAGAGATATATACATATGGTACATATAAGCAAATGAATTGTGAACAATTCAGGATAGAGGTGACCTCTGAATAATATTCTGTTTCTTAAGTTATTTCTTAAGGGTGGGGATAATAGGTGTTAGCACTTTTACTATTTAGACTATGCATGCATAAACACATGTATGTATATGTACAAAATGCACATAATATATACATTAATTTGTATGTATATTTCATATTGCTTCCTGGCCTCTTGGCTAAGATCAAGTGTGATATTTCACAATAAAGAAGGCTGAAAGTAATCCTTATGTTAAGTTTAAGGAAGAATTTGTTTTTTCCCCCCACTACAAGGAAGAAATTAGCTGCCTGCTTGGCCTCACTGGTGTACCTTTTCATCAGATTATATAAAGAGCTTTAATAATCTTCAGTTTTGAGAGACATAACTAAAGGTTATAACAATTCTTTAATGTCACTATTTTTTTTCTGAGAGATGTTCAGAAACTATTCCAGATCCTAGTCCCCTCATAGACTGGGATATTAAGACAGAAATTCAGTTTGAGGATACAAAGGAAGTTCATTCTGGGACAAATGCCTGGGATGATACGAAGGAGATTTCTCAGTCCTCTGCACCCTGGGGATGTCTGTTCCCTCTTGTTTGAGGTGTAATTACCCTCACCATGTCTTTTTGGGAGGGGAATTTTAAGTCACAGCTTCACCCAATCACTGTGGGAAGAGGACAGTTTATTTCTTCAAATCTGTTCATTTCCCACATCACATGCTTTTCTCATTCACTCATGGCCCCACTGTTGGACTTCCTAGCTCTAGCCCCAGTCCCAAACTTCTCCCCACCGCAACCATACTACTTAGTCAAAGAATAACAATCTCCCTCTGTGCACTTGCTTATGGTTGATTCTACAACAATCCTTTCGTGAGAGAAATATCAAGCCTCTGTGTTTGTCAGCCCTGGCCACCTGCAAATGATAATGACCATCTGGTTGAAGGCAGAGCACCGCTCTGATGTAAATCAGAGCTGATTAAATATGTGGGTCTCCTTTTTACTGCTGAAATGAGTCTGGAAATAGCGTGCTGTTTCTAGACCAAATATGTTTAGAGGGTAGTTGTGGCAACAAAGATTCAATCCCAGATTACCTGTGAGAGCATCAATTATAGCTTCTCTGCATGATCCATATTAATTTGGATCATTATGTCCTACTCAATTTCCACCTTCATTCCTAGTGTTGTTTATTTTAGATTTGGTTTGGAGTAGTGTCCAGGCCTAAGCCCCATCTCATAAGTAGATACACAGACCTCTCCCTCTGCTCCTCTTCCCTCTTTCCCTCGGGACTATTTCTAGTATTCTTCTCAGGAAGAGGTGCCAGAGCATCTGAACATGGCTAATCAATGAATCCTCCTGATACCACACCCTCTTCTCTCAAATCAGTAGCCCCAAGTAGCAACATCAGCTTGGGTTGGACTGAAATCCAAATGTGTTTCTTGGCCATACTGATTTAGACAGCTGCCTCCTTCCTGGAATGGATAACTTTCTTCCTTGCTGGTCACCTGTGATCCATGTATTCTGTCCCCTCAGATTTTGTCCACTTGCTCCCTGATAAGCACTCCCACCAAGCCTCATGGTAGTAGCCATGTGGCTTATAAAATTGATAATCTACCAGTTCTCTTTGACAGTAGCTTCATGATCCACTTCTTAATTTACTGACACCTGATAAGTTTTACCCTGAAAGATTAAATAATTCCATCTTCTACCTCCACTAATTATTATAGAAATCAGATTAAAAAAATATTTCCCTACAGAAATGATTCTGGCATTTCAAATGTTTTTATTCTCTCTTTTTCTGTCCCTTTGATATTATTCACTCTCAATTTTTCCTTTTTTTAAGGCCATGTCTCTGAGTGTACACACATGAGTGTGTGTTACATTTACCTATATGAATTGTGCCTTTAAAATAATGTCTCCTATTTGTAGGTGATGACAAGCAAAAGAATTAAATTTTAAAATGATAGTTATAAAGCAGTGAACAATAAAATTAAACTTATAAGCATACACAATTATTTTGAATATAATACCCTGCACACAGTAGGTACACTATAGATGTTGCTATTTTAAGACAAAACTGTTTTGGGGTGAATTGCTTTGAATATAGAGCTTCCTTGAACCACTTAATTCCCTTATCATCATTATAGCTGCATCCCTTTACCTGCTGACATCTTCTACATAATTGATTTTGCTAGTTGCCCAAGCTTAAAGTTAGATTTGTTAGTATTAAACAAGAAACAGTTCTAGCAAAGCTCCAAACAGAATGAAGCATATTAACAATGTGCAGCCTTGGTTTTCTCTGTAATCACTACTTCTAAAAAGCACTTCCTAATGAAAATATGGAACTAATCAAGTCTCTTTGAAGCTGCTGGACTTGACTGGAGAGGAAGAGAGGAGGGAGTGGAAAAGGAAATGGGAGAGAAGGAGGAGGAGGAAGAGGAGGAAGGAAATTAAAAACAAGGAAGAGAAGAACCTTAGAAAATGCCTAGGAGAGAGATTTATGGAAAGGATGTTAAAAACAATAGAAGAAAAAAGAAAATAGTAGTCATTGAAATAAAAACAATAAAATATGAAAAATAAACACATTTATTCATTGCCTAAGCTAACAGAAACCTTAATACACAAATGCAAAAGATGCTGTGAGACTTGATCTAGCCATTGTGGGGAGCATATCACTATTATGGGCTGGGAGGCAGGGGTATTGTTCCAATAACTTTCCTACCCTTTGTACCCATTTTAGCTCCATTTGGTAAATTAAAGAAGTTGTCAGAAGCCAATGGAAAGAAGGTTCAGAAAATAACAGGGCAAAAATATATGCTTTCATTAATTCAACTAACGAATGTTAGTTGCATTGAAAATAAGTTGAGCCCACCCACTAAGTGCCATAAACTTTCCCAGGCACTTGGGATATGTCAGTAAACAAAACCAACAAAAGTCCGTGTCCTTATGGAGTGTTTTGTAGTGGGAAACACATGCAATAACACACACTGCATCTCATTTTCACTATTTGTTTGTCTGGAAGAGCCCATTGTGCCTCAAGAAGGCAAACATTGGTGTGCTGTTGTTAAACAGCATTACATGATCATCAAATTGCCCTCGCTTTTAACTGTTTACTGCATCAAGCACTGCTATGCGTCAGGAACTGGTAGAGCCACAAAGAAGGCACTGCAATAGCTTCCTGCCAGGTCTGCTTCGGACACCCCTTACTGTTCATTCTCCACAGAGCAGTCAGAATGTTTACAAAATACACAAACAGGCAAAATGAAATGAAGGGAGGGAGAGAGACAGGAAGGGAGGGAGGGAAGGAAGGAAGGAAGGAAGGAAGGAAGGAAGGAAGGAAGAAAGGAAGAAAAGAAGGAAGGAAGGAAATTAAGAAAACAAATCTTATTACATCTTTACCCAGCTTAGACCCCTCAGAGGACTTCCCTTTACTCTTTTAATTTATTTTTTATTTATATTATTTAAATAAATAAAAAATAAAATGATGGATATCACTTATGGCATTAGGTTTTCTTTCTTTCTTTCTTTCTTTCTTTCTTTCTTTCTTTCTTTCTTTCTTTCTTTCTTTCCTTCCTTCTTTCTTTTCTTTCCTTTCCTTTCTTTCTTTTCTTTCTTTTTCTTTCTTTCTTTTTTTTTTTTTTGGCAGGGTCTTGTTCTGTCACTCAGGCACCCAGGTAGAAGTGCTGCAGTGACACGATCCCAGCTCACTACAGCCTTGACCTCCTGGGCTCAAGCAATCCTCCTGCCTTGGCCTCCCAAAATGCTGGGATTACAGTCATGAGCCAGCACACCTGGTACCATTCACTCTTAGAATAAAATGTAAACTCCTTATCTTGCCTTACAGCGCCCCGCATAATCTGATCCCTGTTAACCTCACACTTCATACTAGCTTAGCCTCCTTCTCATGGAGGTGCTCCAGCCAGAAGCTCTTTTTTTGTTTGTTTCCAATTCTTTACCACCAAGTGTGTTCCTGTAGAAGGCCTGGCAGGACAGGACTTGTTTCCCATCTAGAACCCTCTGCTTCAGGGTCTGTCTGGAGCTGGTTGATTTCTCCCATTCAGACTTCAGCTCCAGTATTACCACCTTGACCCTTTATAACATGTGACCCTTTGTCATGCCAACTTGTTTTCATTCTCTGTGAAGCACTTGCCAATACCTGACATATTTTTTCTTATTACTTTATCTGCTTAATTATAAATCCTCACTAGTATCTAAACTCCATGAGAACACAGATGTTGCTCATGTACCAAAAGATATGCAGATGTTTTCCTCCCTTCAAGGATCTTGGTACAATACAAGGAATGCACATAAACAATGTTATGTGTTGATGAAAGGAGAACATAACCATTTGAGAGGTACAGATAAAGTGCTGTGAGGTATAGAAAAATCATAAAAACAGGCCGGGCACTGTGGCTCACACCTGTAAACCCAGCACTTTGGGAGACTAAGGCAGGTGGATCACCTGAGGTCAGGAGTTCGAGACCAGCCTGGCCAACATGGCGAAACCCTGACTCTACTAACAAATACAAAAATTAGCCGGGTGTGGTCGTGGGTGACTGTAATCCCAGCTACCCGAGAGGATGAATTAGGAGAATCGCTTGAACAGAGGTGAGAGGTTGTGGTGAGGAGAATCGGGAGGCGGAGGTAGCAGTGAGCCGAGATCCGGCCACTGCACTACAGCCTGGGTGGCAGAGCAAGGCTGTTTCTCAAAAAAAAAAAAAAAAAAAAAAATTACAAAACAAAAATGACCTACATGGAGACTATCAGAAAAGACTTCCTGAAATCAGTTTTCAGTTAGATTTAAAGGAACAGTAGAATCTGAACAGAGGGAACTGGAAGAAATAGATTTTTCTGCGGCAGGGGTGTGGGTAGGAAAACAGGGAAAATCCCAAAGCTTGGCAAGGCTCACGGTACTGCTCCATGTCACAGAGCACAAGGCTCATGGGAGATTGCAGTGAGAGACCCTGTCATGCAGACTCCACTACTGCCCTGAGAGTGCCCCTCACAAGGAGAGACGTGGACTCTCCTTCACACCCTTCCAAACAAGTGGCATAGGCCAGGCACCCATTGGAAGCTTCTCTAGGGCAGCAGTGAGTATTTCTCATGACCTAGAAAACAAAATATGCTAAAATGAAGGATGTAAATAGTGAATCCACTAAGTGAGGTGGCTACTTATTGCTCCCAGTTTGTATTTACAATGTAGATTGTAAGGAGTATGCCAATGAAAATTTTTAAAAAATAAATAAACCTAGACAATGGAAGGGGGGTGAAGAAGCAAAGAGCTTGAGCTACTAAGTGGCAAATCAGTTTACTTATTGTTTTAAGAAATAATCGTGAAGCACCTACTATGTGCCAGAAGGTATTCTCTAGCAGTGAACAAAGCAGATAAAGTCTTTGCCATAGTGTTTCTATTTTGGAGCGTGGAAACGGGAAATACACATATAAACAAGTAAATACATAGTACGTGCTAGAGTGGTGAGTGCGATCGCAACTTTTCTGTCCCAGGACCAGGACTTGTTCCTCACAGAGCCAGCACCTGTGTATGCACCTCAAATTGAAATGATCAGAAACTCTGTGGACCTCTTCCTTAGACAAAGCTGAGAGACATGTTTTCTAAATTATAACTTTTCAAAATTTATCTCAAAATCTGATAAGAATCATTGTAATGTTTGAAATAATCTTACTGTTATACCTATTTATAGCTCAGGACTAGATATCCAAGTTTATCTCTGATTTCTCTTCAATATCCCCCTCTGCTACCATCATAGGCATAAGACATACCCTCAGGGAGTTTAAGAGTGTTTGTATAACAGTAGTTCGAGTTCCAGGCTAAGAACAGGAAAAGTGCCTGGCATGCTATCTTATATTTCTTTGCTTCTACTGTGTGTGTTTGGACTAGAGAGACTTTTGTTCCAAACCATAGCATTTCCAGCATTTATATGTCTTCTATGTTGAGTCTGGAGGTAGTATTCATGGGAAATAAGATTTTATTAGGAAGCTTATAAAGAACTTCCCTTATGTAGGACAAAAGAAGTTGGACCATGAACAATTAGACTTGAAGTAAAATTTGATTTCATATTCAAACAAAAAATATCCTATCTGAAAAAGATTCTGGAAAAGTATCAAGAGCTCTTGAAATGAAAGGAGAATGGTGGAAATGGATAAATGCATTTCCCCCCTATGAAAAAATTATTTCTGTATTTTCAGCCATGATTTTCCCAGTGATCTATAGCGTTTTTGTTGGGCATTGTGCTTTGCAGTGTAATAAGAAAATGAAATTTTCCAGTTTTCTCATTTTCTTGATGTTACTACCTCATTTTCAACTCCATTTGCTTTGTGATGATAAAGATGTAGTTTCCATAATTACCCATACTGAGAAATATGACAATGTGTAAGTTCTCATTTCATGCACATGTTCATTCTGAGAAATCCTGGAAAGAATAGAATATATTAAGAAAAAATGAAAATGTAAACATATTTCTCTTTCTCTGCAATCCTTAGATTTTTATGAGCTTTTGAAAATATTTTCTTCCTTGCTTGCTTCTTCCTTCCTTCCTTGCTTCCTTCCTTTCTTCCTTCCTTCCCTTCCCTTCCCTTCCTCCCTCCCTCTCTTCTTTTTCTTTTCTTTCTTTCTTTCTTTTCTTTCTTTCTTTCTCCCTTCTTTCTTCTCCAGAAATATACTATTTAAACTATGTTTAATAATGTTACTAACTATAAACTTTAATAAAGTTGGACATAAAGACATTATAGTTTTTGCAAATATTTTTTACTATAGGTCAGAACTATAGAACAGAACAAATGCAGCATCTCAGAGTTTCCCCTTACTCTTAATAATTCAATGGAAAAATAATTAAATGAAAATAATGACTGGATAATTAAAACTTCAGAAGAAGATGTTCCTTCAAAAAGAGCAGCATAGTGACAAGTGCTTAGTATTCTGTGGACATAACTTAATATCTTTTGTTTTCTTCATAAAGTTCAAGTCAACTCAATAGCTTCCACATCACTGTAAAGAACTACCCTAACCAAGAAACCACAAACTAATATTTGAAGGTGACTTTCCAGCTCTAAGAGCTGCCAGACCTCATAATTATTACTCCTACAAAATTTTGCTGAACAAGGCCACACTTGTTCATGTTTTCTTCTGCAAAGGATTGTTCTCAAAGAACAGACATAAGCTTTGGATAGCGATAAAAATCCAAAGATGTTTTCAAAAGATTAAACATGCAAAACCAATGGGCTTCACTCATGACCATCACTGAATATTGCTACATAAGCAGTGATAATGACAAATAAATAAAAAGAAAGAGAGACAGAGACACAGAAAGAGAAAGAGAGAAGAGAAAGGGAATGAATGAGAACTACGTCAAACTAACTGGCCCATGTAGATAGCATCCATGAGTAAGTGAACATGTTGTGGAGGGTTCTAAAATAGTGAGTTAAGTTTCACAAGGCTTTGAGAAAGAGTTGTTAGATTTGCATCACTTTTGTGCCCATACCAACAATAAATGTATTTTATCAAGGACAGTGAGTCCTTGATGAGTTCTGGTAGCAGAAGAAAAGAGAGACCTGGAGCCAGAAGAGCCAGTTCAAGTTCCACCTTGGCCACTACTTACTTGGCTTCATTCCCTTGTTTTCTGGTCTGTAACATGAAGACAATAAAACTGCATACACCTTGTTCCTACATCCCATTTATCCTGCTCCTCTGCAATCACACTGACATTCCTTTATTCATTTCCACCGAGTTTACATAATAGGTTTGTAATCGGCCTCTCTGCATATTTGCTATGTTCTCCACTAACTTTCTAAAGCAGAAATATGAGGGTGCTACACCCTCCATCATTCACTCCTGTCCAAAATGAAAATGTTATGCATTAGTGTGGATAAACCCTTATTATCTTAGGAGTTGACATCATATTAACTCTTAGAGACAGAAATTTCTTGCTTTGAAAAAGTACCTTGTTACACTAGTGGTTCTCAAACTTTCTGTCTCAAGAGCCCTTACAGACTTAAAAGAATTGAGGACCCCGATGGGCTTTTGTTCCTGTGGGTTGTATTTATTAATCTTTATTGTATTCGAAATTAAACTTGAAAAAAATTAAAAGCCAAGTCTATACAAGGAAACATTCAATTACCTGGCATCTCATGTCATGTAGCATCTGGACAACTTCCCTGTACACTAGTGAAACAATGAGAATGAAAAGGCACATGATTTTGTAGTAATACCATGAAAATAGTTTTGACCTTGCAGACTCACTGAAAGACTACATTGCAAAATTGCTGTTCTGAGAGAAAAAGAGCCCCAGGAATTCTCAGGAATCATGGAGACAGTTTTAGTCTCCCATGAGCCATGGAAGGAGCAGTCATCTGGGTATACTTACCAAGATCTTAAAGGCAAGGAAGCCCTCAGATGACATCTGGGCCTTGCTTATTGTATAATGATAATAAATTGGAAATGATACAACCACCACCAATTATGATGAAATAATTTTATGGTAACAATACATCAAAATGCTAAAGGTTATGGTTTCAACAAATATTTAATGGAAAATAAAATGCCAACATATTAAGATAATAGGGAAAATCTTAAAATGATTTAAATTATATTATAAATTTAATATAACTATATAAAAGTTAAACAGAATAACACACTCAAAGGAAGATATTTGAACATTGATATTTTTGGTGGATATAGGATAATTTTAATCTCTTTATAGCTTTCTGTATTTCCCAATATTTTCCCAATATTTATAAAATATTTCCACAGTAAATATTTTATAAATGAGAAAATTCAAATAATCAGAAAATGATGTTTAATACTCTTTCAACTGTTTTCATTTGCTTTCAGGATATAATTCAAACTCCTTAGCATTGTCCACCAGGCTATCCTGGTGATGCCCATCTCTCCATCCCTAACTCTCCCTACTCCCCCTTAATACACTCATCTTTAGCAAGGCTGACTGCTCAGAATTCATATGCCATGTCTCTTCATAGCTCTGTAGCTTTGCACATACTGCTGTAGATTTATGGAATACTTTTTCCCCTTTTTTCATGTAGTTAAACCCTACTGTTTAACATGTCCTTTTCCTTAAGAAGTTCCACCTCCACACTCTGTAAGCAACCTTCGCATTCATATGTGTCTTTGTAGTATAATTGTGTTTCAGATTTTCTGCCTCTCCTTCTAAATGAAAAATTCCTTATAGTCAAGAACTTTCTTTTTCCTTGTTTGTTTTAGTTGTTTGTTCGGTTTTCAGCTGTTTATTTTGCTGTACTCAGATATTGAGAAAATCTAGAGAAACATGTATTTCTCCAGAATACATTCTCCCAAGTACTGCCTTTTCAACAATATTTGCAGTAATATATTGACATCACTGTTGTTCAAACTGATTCAAAAAAATAGATGAGGCAGTATGATATCTGGAAGTTGAGATATGTAGAGAAGGAGTCAGAGGTTGAGGCTTTTGTATGTATTTGTGCATTTCCTACAAGACAATCTATGGTCTTCTCGCCCACCCCAATTCATGACTCACTTGTGATTTTTAAATCTGTTTGTACTTTGACCAAAAATGTATAAATCTTCATTAATGTTTCATTTGTTTTTGTTCTTAATGGCTAGATGATAAATGAATGAATGTGTGGTGAGAGGAATTTAAATTGTAATTGGGTAAACATTGTCGAAGCAAAGCCCACTGCAACAAAACTCATTCCGCATAGACATTTATGAATAATGCTAGGCAGGAGAGCTTCAGATAGTTGCTGTATCATAAAATAAAGTGGACCTTCAAATGTAAGGAAGATTGGGCAGGCAGAGAAGAAATATTGCTTTAAAAAAATGAAGCACAACTTCACATCTTGGGGCATACTTTAGGTTGGCTAGGAAACTGCAGCTGGATACCAACTAGCCCAGGATAGAGCAGACCAAGAATGAATAGCCCAGAAGATAAGTCAGAGCCACAAAAAATGCTAAGTTATGCAAATGGATAACTACTACAAGAAACCAGAGGACTCTCTTAACATTTTTTAGCATAGTGAAGAAAACATGTCTGAACAATGGAGAAATCATGGACAAAATCAACACATAAATCTCAGATGGAAAGAGCTATATAAAACAAATACATGTGTATGTCTGCAGATGATTAGAACTTTTATGCACCATCTCTTGTTTTAAAAATAATGATAGTTTATTTCTGCAGTGTAACTTTAGATAACACAGAGCTAAAATACCAATTATCAGCTTACATTCATTCTGGAAAGGAAATTCTTACCAATTGATTAAAATACTTAATATATATGTAGATAATTTATTGAGCATAATAGTACAATTGTGGTTCTTCATTTCAACTTGTATCTGGGTCACTTAGCCACTTTGGATCTCAGTTTTCTCATCTGTAAGTTGAGGGGGTTGGAATAGATGAGCTCTAAGGTAACTTCCAACTATAAACTCACTCCATGAGTAAATGATGGGTTCAGTTATTCCGAATTTTGTTTTGCCCTGACATGATAAAATGTGACCTCTTGGGGAAAAAATATAACTTTTAAATAACATCAGATTTGATGTAAAACCACCGACTCCAGGGCATTTATAATATATAAAATAACTGAATCTCTGTGTTTGTTCAATTGTTGTTTTATATTGATTGAGTGGTTGCTTCAAACTGTAAGCCTAATGGGGTTAATTAAGGACCTCAAATACAATTTCAAAATGTTTACAGACAGCACATTTTACATTGCCAATTCCATCTGTAGACACTGCTATATTAATGACACAATATTTGTTTTAGAGGTCATAGTGCTGTTTGCCAGGTTAAACATTTGTAATCTGGATCCAGCTTTAATATACCCTTTCAAAGAAAGCCACAGGCTGCTATACACTACATCAACAGTACTCTTCAATCGACTAGTTTGTCAGGATTACAGAGACAACTAAGCCAACAATAACAGGCACCTTCCATCTGGACGCTAATTAGAATGTTGACCTAGTAAAATCCCTTACTAGGGACAAGTTGGTGTTCAGTACTCACAAGCCAAGATCATACTGAAGGCATAGCTGTTAATAGAATTTGTCCCCAGAGTGACCAAAGGAGAGCACAAAGAGCTACAGCCTTGTGTATATCCCGTGGAGGTGGTGAGTGTGTGGGTGTAAGCTCCTGGCTGCACGCTGGCTTCTGATGACCACACAGTGGTTAATTTGTATTTTTCCTCTCAAATATCATTTTTAAAGGTCACTCTTCTGTTTACTAAACCTATACATAGGTAAGCAACGTCAAGTTAGAGACCTAAGTGTGCATCTGGGGTTTACTAACATCACCCTTTTTAAATGATTTCAAGAATCTATCAACTATATTGTAATTTTTGTAATATTCTAGGAGATCTTTGTGTTGTATAGTGTCTCATTTTTTTTGGAACTTAATTTTACATATCTTGCATTCATTTTTATTATTCCTGTGAGATTGAAAAGGGATTTTTTAAAAATGGACAATGATATAGAAAAAGAAGAATAGAAAGATATAACTACCAGGTTAGTTTTAATAGGATGTAGTAACAGTAGAACAGAAACAAAACGATAATGAAACAATATCAAAGGAGGTAAATAACTTTTAGAGTAGTGTATTCGTCTGTTCTCACAGTGCTGTAAAGAACTACCTGAGACTGGGTAATTTATAGAGAAAAGAGGTTTAATTGACTCACAGTTCCACAGGCTGTACAGGTCACATGGCTGGGGAGGCCTCCGGAAACTTACAGTCATGGTGGAAAGTGAAGGGGAAGCCAGCATGTCTTATATGGTGGAGCCAGGAGCAAGAGAGAGAGAGAAGGGGAAGTGCCACACACTTTCAAACAACCAGATCTCATGAGAACAGCAAGGGGGGAAGTCTGCTCCCATGATTCAATCACCTTCCACCAGGCCCCTCCTGCAACACTGGGAATTACAATTCAACATGAGATTTGGTTGGGACTCAAAGCCAAACGATATCAAGTAGGTCTACCAGATAACCTCTAGAAACTCAGAGCATATAAAGGCAACCAAACAACCAATCATTATCGGGCATTGATGCTGTCTCCAGCCTTACTTTCTCTGTATATCATTATCTTACTTACATTGAGAAATTCACCTTAATTGGGTATTCCCAAAGAGCATGAAGTGTAAAATGCCTTTCTTGTGATTGTCATGGAGCATGTTCTGTCTTTCACTGTCCCTGTGGTGACTAGACTCTAAGATAGTCCTAGATGACCCTGGTCTCCTAACATAATTCTTGTCTGATCTCCTCCCCTTGACTGTGCACTGGCCCAGCCACTTGCTTCAACAAGCAGACTACAGCAAAAGTAGCGGAATGTCACTTCTGGGATTAGATTACACAAAACAGTTACTTCCATGTTGCCAGCAGAGTCTCTCCCTTGCTGTGTTTGCTGAAGTAAGTCACCATCTGGAGAGGCTACATGAAACTGAGGGGGACCTCCAGCCAACAGCCAGCAAGGAAGTAAGGCCCTCAATTCAACAACCCTTGAGAAACTGAATCCTTCTAGCAGCCATGTAAGTTTGAAAGTAGATCTTTTCCCACTTGAGTCTTGATATGAGACCCCAGCCTAGCTGAAAATTTTGTTACAGCCTGTGAGAAACCCTGAAACAGAGAACCCAGCAAAGCCATGCCAGGACTCATGATCCACAGAAACTGCAGGATAAGAAATGTGTGTTGTTTTAAGCCACATAGTTTGTTGTGATTTGTTTGGCATCAGTAGATAATGAATACTATTCTCTGACTTAGGGAAAATGCATTTCAGGTTTGAGATTTATTATTTAATTCAAAGGGTACCTTGGTTTAATTATTGGCATAGGTTAACACACACACATTTCACACACTAATTATCCTTTGTAAATTACCAGATACTAGAATTTACTGCTCATCTTCATGTCTAAATTAAGTTCAGAATAATAAAATGTTACTTATTGTCAACACCACCAGGTGGTACATAAAATACGTTAAAACCTCCTTTATTCATTAGCCATTCACAGAAGCCTTTTCTGTATTGAAATAGCCGTTAAAGTAGAAAACTTAACTCGTGAAAAAATGATATTTTCCATTTTTATATCATGTAATAGTAGTAGAAATTACTGGTCATATCAGTCAATCATTCTAGGAATTGTTTCGGAAGAGTCAGGCTACACTTTATGATGTGAGATCTTAATCAAAATTAAATGGTTAAAAACCTCTGGGAAAGCCCATGGCACTGTTTGGGATACGAGGCTATCAATCTTATTAATTGCCATATAATATAACATAATATCCCTTAAATTTCGATCTAAATATAACCTCTGGAGCTTTACCCCAACTTTTCTTTTGCGGCCTTGGGGAAAATGTTGAATTTTAAGTTTTAAATTCCTTCTCTATAAAACAAAAATAGTAATTTTTGAAGAGCTATAGTAGGTGCAACGCAGAGGAAGATGATTGTTAACATTCAAAACTGAGAGGAAAAGAAGGAAGTGTGTCATTTCTTTCTAGATCAGTGGCCCCAAGCCTTTTTGGCACAGGGACTGGTTTTGTGGAAGAAAATTTTTCCATGGACCAGGGTGGGGTTATGGTTTCAATATGACTCAAGTGCATTACATTTATTGTGCCCTCTGTTTCTAGTACTATTACATTGTGATATATAATGAAATAATTATAAAACTCACCATAATGTAGAATCAGTGGGAGCCCTGAGCTTGTTTTCCTCCAACTAGATAGTCCCATCTGGAGGTGATAGGAAACAGTGACAAATCAATACAAATCACCAAACATTAGATTCTCATAAGGAGCATGCCACCTATTGTATGCACAGTTCACAATAGGGTTCAAGGGTTCAGGCTCCTATGAGAATCTAATGCCTTTGCTGATCTAACAGGAGGTGGAGCTCAGGTAGTAATACCAACGATGGGGAGTGGCTGTAAATGCAGATGAAGCTTCACTCACTGGCCTACTGCTCACCTCCTGCTGTGTGGCCTGGTTTCTAACAGGCCATGAACCAGAGGTTGGGAACCCCTGTTCTAGATGATGACTTTATCTTCCCCCATAGATACAAGAAAACAAAATTCTCAAGGGATAATTCGCCAGGAGGAAAACAAAGAGAAAGTTAAACTCCTCTGCACAAGAAAATAAATAGACATTTTGGAGTAAAGAAGAGCAGAGAAGAAAGAAGGTGAGTGTGTGGGAAGACAGGAGGGTCCAAGCACACAGGTGTAGGTGAAGGGATAGGTGGCCGTGAACTGTGCTGAAATGCCAGTGCTGAGAAATTGCCAGTGTTGGGTATTTCTAAAGAACAGTGAAGCAATGCAGAATAACTTCATTGCCTCAAAACTTAATAGATTCTCTTGCAGACAAAAATGCCACTGAGAATATTGTCTGGGGAAATAAAACCTAAGGGACAATTGGGACCACATCTGGTCTCGGGAAAAAAGAAAGTCCAGCTAATGGAATACAATGAGACTTACTTGAGAATGAGACCTTGGGGGAGACAGAAAGTCAGGGAGATGACGGACCTTGAAAAAGATCACAAGCTTCTGAGAATTTGGAGAGATCATCAAAAGGTCATCAAACACCCAGGGGGATATGGAAGAAAGAGTTTAAACTAATTGTCAGTCCCAAAGGACAGAGTGACTTCAGCTAACAGCGTACTAATTAAAGACGTAAAATATGTAGATCAGGGCCTATTATTAAAATACTCAGCACTGAATAAAACAAAATGTATTTTAGGCTCAGGGACTGTATAGGATTACTTTCCCAAGTAGCTGAAAATAATGCACATGAAATTAAAGAACCTGAATTATTAAAGAAATTCACCTGTTTGGATTTGAATGATTTCCAATCATACAGAAAATATGAATCAATTATAACAGCTTATTCATCAGTTATATTCAGTATTATAATATGTCTACATCTATGCATGCATAAATATTAAGCCACAAACTAAATACATTGAAATACTGTTGTTAGTATGTTTTTATCATGGGATTCCTAAAACACTCCAGCATGTGGGCACTAGCTGGAATGGCTTCTCTTCTTGCACACCTCTGTTAGAATCTCACCCTATAGGTGAGGCTTCCCCAAAAGCACTATTTAACATAGCAACACTCACCTTCCCAGCACATGCTGACCCTCATTCCTGCTTTATTTTTTTCCAAAGCATTCATTTTTCTCCAAAACATACTACATTTTTTACTCATTTATTTGTTATTTTTGACAGTTTTCTCTACATAAAACAAGCTACATGAAATCAGGTTTATTCCTTACCCATATAACAAACCTGTACATCTACCCCTGAACCTAAAATAAAAGTTAGAAAGGAAAAAAATAGAAAAAAATGTTAGACGCATACTTTGAGGATGATTTTTAAAATGTATTGTAGAGCTTCAACTGTGATGTGGTAAAAAGTGCATCACCCAATTTGTTCAAGAAGCCTGGTTTGCATCCTAGCTATGCTTTCCTGAGCTATTTCACTCCCTTGGGCAAACTCCTTAACCTCCTGGAGTCTGTTTCCCTGTCTATAAAACCAGGGACATGAACATCAACTGCTCAGGGTTGTCCTGAGTGCTAAATATGAAGATGGATGGATACATTAACTCATTGTATGTGTATGTTATGTCTGGAATTGTCTACAACTCTGTTCTGCTAACTTGTTAAATTTATTACATAGATAATATATCAAATCCCTTCCTGAAAAATGAAGTAAAAGTTAAAAATTAATTAGTCATTAACTAGTAGTAACATTAGGAAATTCCATACTATCTTTCTATCAGTCTTTTTTTTTAAATTGATGTCATAAGTCCGCAGTTGCTTCCTCACCTGACAACACCCTTTGCTGCACTCTTTACCTATTTGTGCTGTGAAATAAGGCCTTGTTACACACAAACAAACATTCTCATCATTTTCATCCACACTTATTTTAAATTCACATTTTAAAAACAAAGACTATTTGAGGATATCACTTTTTCTAAAATATGTTTTGTAATATGGTAATGTCTTCTTCTGTTCAGGCTGCTGTGACAAAATATCTTAGACTGGGTAATATATAAACCGTAGAAATTTATTGCTTACAGTTCTGGAAGCTGGGAAGTTCAAGATCAAGTTGCCAACAAATGCAATGTCTGGTGAGGGTTTGTACCTCACAGGTGATACCTTCTGTGTGTCCTCACATGGTAAAAGGGGCAAATCAGCTTTCTGGGGTCTCTCTTAAGAGGGTGCACATCCCATTAATGAGGGCTCCACCCTCATGACCTAATCACATCCCAAAGTCCCCACCTCTTTATGGTTAGCACTGAGGATTAGGTATCAGCATATGAATTTGGAGAGGAACATAAACATTCACACCATAGCTGGAGACAAAGATTTTTTTAAAAAACTAAGAAATAGCTGTAGTTACTCAAGTTGAACCACTTCATTGTTAAGCATTAGAGAATAACTTCTATGGCAGAGGAACACATTAGGGACTTACAGTGTCATTGATGCCCTTTCTGTAAGGAACTAATTCATTTTCCTTCTCCTCCTTGGGATTCTCGGATGCTGTCTTTGATGTCACTAAGCTGCTTTGACCACTAGGTCTTTCCTCTTGACAAGCTCCTGCACTCTGTGACGACTGCTCAGATGTCTCCTCCAGGCTCTTCTCTCTTCTATTATCAGGAGCACTGTGAAGTTAAAGGTTAAACATCAGGGACCTGCTTTGCACGGGCCCCATTGGAACCCTGTTCCTAATTTTATATTTATAGTTTCTGCAATGTTTTCCTAAAATCTCCCCCCAAAACCTCTGCCACTCCTATACGCTCATCAAATTGTGTAAGCTTCCGGACCCACAAACCAGATCTGCCCTCCTGGGCTCCATAGTACTTTGTAGAGCCAAAAGAATTTATCACACATTATCATACATATTATTTATATGTAGATTGTATTTACACAGAGTATGTCCTCCCAGAGCCCAGGGATCATGTCACGTTATCTTTCTATCCTGAGCATGTAACACGGAGTGCATAGTAGTCACTCAACAGGCTTCCGTGGAAACGATTTGTTGAGAAAAGCATGGTTCTACAGTTCCGCGACTCCACTGCCCTATTTTCTCACCCTATAACAAAGGGCTACTCATTTCCTTTCTACAACCTATTCAAAAGGTTTATTTTGGTTGGTAACTAGCTTAGGAAAGAGCAATTACATTTTTCATTCCACTTTTTCCAAGTCTAAGTTAAACTGGTTACATACTAAAAGAGAGCCTAGAATTACGGAAAGAGGGCTGAATTGTTTTTATCTTTATATCTGGATAAATCACCTATTTGTATTACCATAGAGAGATCATTTTCCATTTGTAAGCTTCAGTTTTCTTATTTATAAAAACAAACAAGCAAACAAACAAACCAAAGGTAAGGACAGTCCTGGGGGAAGAACAACTTTTGACCTGGCAATGTCTAAGCTATTTGGTAATTGGATGAAACTCTGTATATGAAAGTCCTGACACGACATGAATGTAAATTGTTAAAATTACTTTGAAAAGTTGGGGGATAAATTTATTTATATAACTTTGTTTATATATAAACATAGGTTAGAATTACTCTTTAGTTAAATGATTATTATCCCCCAGGTTCACAAATTTAAACTTCAGGGTCATGAAGTGATTCAAAGATCAAAAGAAAAAAATACATAAATGCACTCATAATTAAAATGTCATAATAATAAAGTTCACTTGCTACTTTTGATTTCTCAGGGTTTAGAAACAAACAACTTGCTCAGCATGTTTTGGCAGAACTTCTTTTTAAAAAACAAGAAGGTTAACTACCAAATTATGAGGACAGCAAATGGAAAAAAAACAACCGTAATGCTGCTAAATAAAGACATGAAAACAAATTCTATACTGGAAATCAAACTAGCACATTTTAAATGGGAGGTTGTGTGGGGTTGTTGTTGTTGTTTGGTTTTTTTTTTTTAACTTTCTTCTTATATTGAATAATTTTTCCAAAAGTCTTATTATACTTAAAAAGGACTTCCATTTTTTTGGTTCTTTCCCCCTAAAGCATGAGAATTTAAAAAAGAGAGAGAAAACTCTATGACGTCTATTGACAGAGAAATAAATATGTTCTTCTATTTTAGTCTTATTTAAATACATGTGGTACATAAAGGTGTGCTTAGCACTAAAAATACATCTTCCATGTTAAGAAATTGTATCCTTAGGATATAACATGTAGGAAAGTAGTAAGAAACTTTGAGCTACATAGCGTATATGAATTAATACTCCAGGGCTATATGCTTTTTAACAGAGCACGTAACTGTGATTTGCCCACTGACAAGGGAGAGACATAAAGCCAACCCCTGTCTGTGTAAGGGAGACAGATAACTATTCGAAATCATTCAGGTCTGAAGGATTTACTTCAAGACTATCCCAGAGTTTTACCAGTTTTAGTGGAATCTAATTGGTAAATCCACTGCTAACACTACCACACACTGTAGTATTTCTGGGATCAGTTTATCAAAAAAAAAAAAAAAAAAAAAAAAAAATCCCTTTTCTCACCAGGCAGATTGGCAGGTTTCAAAAGATTTTACTAAAGGAAACAAAATGAAATAAATAAAATTAAAAAAAAAAAGCCATTGGCTTACAGAACACTGAATTACTATCCCAAGGTAATTTAAAAGTTTTCTCAGGCTTCCTAGCTGACACCAGACAAGCGGATTGAGTTCTGTCACTCATTGACTTGGCTTGGTTGAAACGCAGTAATATTGAGACTACCAAAGGAAACTGCTTCAGGAGCTGGTGTGAATCACACATTCTCAGAAGCTACCTCTGGGATGGCTTTAAACATACGAGCACATTGCTTTTACACTCTGATTCCAGGATTGAGTGTATTTTTCCATGCAGCTTCCTCGGCTTGCTCCCTTTGAAATGACAGATATTTCCATTCCTGGTCTATAGATTCCTCCCTGGAGCTTCAGATCATTGTGCACTGAACTTCTAATGCCTCTATTTTCATGACTCCGTGCAGCTTTTCTTATTCCCCAGGCCCCTCACTTCTGCTACATTTCTTGCTGTTTGTTGGCTTGTTCAAAACACGTTCCTTAACCAGTGTTTCCCAAATTATTAGAATGTTAAAAAAAATAGCTTAATGAAAAAAGGATTTCAGGGTAAAATAAATTTAGAGAAACTGAGTTAGTCAAAGTCAAACAAGTCTCCACTACTGAGTTTCTTAGGTATGAAGCATACAATGTTGTCCAGGAGCAGTGGCTTATGCGGGACGTCCCACTATTTTGGGAGGCCGAGGCGGGCAGATCTCTTGAGGTCAGGAGTTCTTGACCAGACTTTCCAACATGGTGAAATCCCATCTCTACTAAAAATATATAAATCAGCTGGGCATGGTGGGGCACACCTGTAATTCCAGCGAAAATTTTCTCCTATTTTGTAGGTTGCCTGTTCACTCTGATGGTAGTATCTTTTGCTGTGCAGAAGCTATTTAGTTTAATTAGACCCCATTTGTCAATTTTGGCTTTGGTTACAATTGCTTTTGGTGTTTTAGTCCTGAAGTCTTTGCTTGTGCCTATATTGCTGAATGATACTGCCTAGGTTTTCTTCTAGGGCTTTTATAATTTTTGGTTTTAAATTTAAGTCTTTAATCCATCTTGAGTTAATTTTTGTATAAGATGTAAGGAAGGAGTCCAGTTTCTATTTTCTGCATATGGCTCACCAGTTTTCCCAGCACCATTTATTAAATACGGAATCCTTTCCCCATTGCTTGTTTTTGTCAGGTTTGTCAAATATCAGATGGTTGCAGATATGTGGTATTATTTCTGAGGTCTCTGTTCTTTTCCATTGGCCTATATAACTCTTTTGGTTAATGTAGCCTTGTAGTATAGTTTGAATTCAGGTAGTGTGATGCCTCCAGCACAAAGCTACCTTTTAAAGATAATCAAAACAAGACAACAATTGTCTGTGGGTGGCAAACATCTTAGGGCAGCCACACTTATAGATGCAATGGACAAGGGAATTTCTTACCTCTGTGGCGTTCAATAATTTAACATAGCAATTATAATTATTACTCATAACATATGCTAAGTTGTATCAGAATCACAGGAGTTTTGCATAACTGTGGGACACATATTAACATATTTATACAAATACAGCCCAAAGAGAGCCAGATATTACCTTTATATTAGTGTACTATTGATGTCAAACCCAATTCTTAACAAAACCATATAGACCAATTTATTCCATTTTAATCAGTCTGACCATAAGGTAAGATCTCATAAACCATTCATAACCCTTTACAATTTTCTGTTAAAGAGTAAAACAAAACAATGTTCTAATAAAACTGTGTTATGTTTTTATTCCAATATTACATTTACATATAAACAGAATAATACTCCTGTAATTTTAGCTAATATAGTCACACAGAGAATATCTTTTCCAAGAGTAATCTTTCACAAACCTCCCATAACTTGCTCAAATCTGTAGCTTTGTTTTAACTTAAAATAATCATTTAACCCTCTAAACTTGGGCAAAAATCCACATTTCTATGCCTTTTTATAATTTTTTTTTTTTTTACCAAAAGCACATTTTGCTTTTCTTACACACTTTGTATGTAAAACTTTTTCTTTGATAGTTCCAACTGCATGTTACAATGTTAACTCTTAGTAACTTTTAATTTTGGTGAAAAACCTGGTAAGTAAGGGATTTTGTAAGTGAATCATGTACTCGGTGTGGAGCCCAGGACACCAGACAGAAGTGCACATAAAGTTTGGTTCTTTCCAGCATAGCCGGGGGCATGGCTAACTCCACATGTGCCCAGGCCTTACCTAGAATTTAATTGCTCCAAAGCAGGTAAGTTGAACAATTTTCAAAAGTTAAAGAGGCAGTTTATGACCTTAAAGCATTTAGCAAACCTAATATCTGACCTGCATAATTTAGATCAAACGTCTAAACTTTTGAAGATATTTTTATTTTACCATAATCTTTAAAACTATCTTTATTTCCCAAAGCTTACTTAAGTCACATGAACTAAAAAGCATCACAGTTTTCATCTTTCTGATGAAACATTTTATTTAAGTGCTTATGATTTTAAGCCAATTAATCAGAACTCTTTCATATGTTAACATCACACACACAACACATATAAATACACAGACAGATAGTAGTTGTAGGATTTCTCATTTGCCATTTTTTCTTAATTGGATTACTGGCTTCAGGGTGGAGTCCTTTGAGGAACAGGGCTAGGAAAGCATGCAGTTTCAAGAGCCTAATAAGCAGGCACAGCTGGAAGGCAAAACAGGTCCCCCAAAATTAAGAGTCCCATTTTCATACCAGATCCTAGATTCCAAAAAAAAGAGGGAACAAGTGCATCTCCCATGGGAGTCTTATCTCTCAGTGAGGAGTGGGGACAGTTCTATACCTTCTAGGTGGCCAAAAGCATGCTTCTCTGATCTAAACCTGAAAAGAGCTGAGTATTCTCCCTCCCTGTAACTGCCATTAGCCATCCCTAAAAGTGTGTTTTCTACAAAGTTATTATATACCAAAGCTCTCTCATAATGTGAAATAATTTTTGATACCCTCAAAAGTTAAAAAAAAAACTCAGATAACACAATGCAACATGGAACAGAGACTTAGAATTTGAGAGGGATTTGTCCACATTCAATTCCTAGGGCTTCATGAGGAAAACTGTTTTTCCCAAAACAGTTTTTTCCAAAATATAGGGAGCCTCCTGTGTTTTTCCCAAGGAGTCCCAGACTGTTAGAAATTATCTTAGGTCCTCTCATGTGTGCATCAAGAGTGGCAAGAAGACAAAATGGAGAAAAACAATTCAGTCAACTGAGAAGAATAAAACTTTTTTTTTCCAGAAAAACATGATCCAAGAAGAGAAAAAAACCCCTACAGGCCATTTAAATATATGCAGAGCTTGGATATATGCTGAATTAAGCTGACTTTTAACCATACCACTCTTAAAAACATCCTATTAAATCTCTTATTACCCTACTTTGAAACAGCCAATACTTCTGGCTGTTAAACTTTAACAAAAGTAATCTTACAGGTGAAATCAATAAGACTTAACTAAGGTTATGACTGAACCACGAGTGTGTGAGGTATTTTCAAACAGGTGGTTAGCAGTTGTTACAAGATCTCCAAAGGAGATTTTACGGAATCTCCAACGATAGCTCAGAAAAAAGAAAATTCAAAAATGGAAGTCAGAAGTTATTCATGGAAGGGCAAAGAATTAACAAATGGAAAAGGTCACACAGATATCAGCCAGAAGGTACTCGTTCCCTAAGCCAGGAATTGAACCCTGACCCTATGCTTCCATTGGGAAAACACGAAGCCTTAGCTACTAAGCTACAGCATTGGGCAGTTTCTGTTGCTCTTCCCAGAAGGAGCCTAGAGCAGTCAATTTTGAGCATGCAATGGCTTTTAACTTGCTCAAGATAAGTTTTTAGAGCTAACAATGACATGAATTCCAAAATTCCTGTTCTCTGGATGGTAGAGAGCAAGAGAAACTACTGCCACTGGTCACAAGGACATAAAACAAGATGAGAGGGAAGCTTCATTCAGGTGTGTTTGTTTTGTTTTGTTTGTTTGTTTGTTTTTCAGATAGCTGCAGCAAAGTTTGTTACTGATGAGTTTGCTGGGCCCGCTAGAACAGTGGGCTTACAGGAGTCCTAGGCCCACATTCTATCCTAAGGTACTCCTCTTTATGACAGAACGACACAGACAGACAAATTCATAGCACAAAGTACACCAGATTTGCCATAGCTTGACTATTCTCATGAATCGTTTTTCTGATTAATCGTAACTTTGCAGAGGAGACGGTGATTTTTACCATTCCCACAACTGGTTTGCACACAGAAAGAGGGGCCAGAATTCTGACTGGTAAGAAATTCTTATGCTTTTGCTGGCATGCCAGTTTTCTGGATTACCATTCCCTGAGTGACCCTAGCAACCCTACTAACTGTGCCATAGCTTTGGGTACCAAGCCGTAACACAAAGGAAAACCATCTTCTGTTTCATAGAACCTTTGAATTAGATATAAGTCATTTTCCTTATGTTAGGAAGTTATGGTTTGTATTGCATGTTGCTGTGTGAGTCCTGTGAAAGAACAGACAAGGAGGTTATCTGCATACTGTAGAAATTATCCCCCCTCAAGAGATTGCTCAGTTAGATTTTTGCTAGGGATTCTTTTAATAAATATGGGCTATTTCTAAACGCCTGAGGTAGGAGTGTCCAGGTTGAAGTTATTAGTTAACAATTTAGATAGATTTTTAGGAGAAACAGGGGTATTAGAAAGACAGATGAATTCAGAGGTTGAGTAAATATTAAGTGAGCACCCATCTTATCTTGGAAAGTATATTTTTGTCCCAAAGAGGTGTAGGATATTTAGACCTTACCAGAGACTGGTGGGAGAATGGTAATTGGTCCCTTAAGTAATATAAAGGTGGGTGGATCTTTTCTTTTGGAGGGAGGGAATGCCATCTGCCCAGATTACCCAACAGGATTTGGAGGAGAGTTGCAAAGAGAAGGTTAGCACAGAGTAGGCAGCTTTTCAACCCAAAAGGGAAATTTACAATTTTACTTGCTGCCTCCAGAGTTGCCCTTGGCTTCATCCTTTTGATGACAGTGTCTGATTTGGAAGTCAGAGCAGAGAGTCCATTAGCTGAAAGCCATCAGGGGTTGGGATTCTGTCCCAGGGTCCCTTTGGCCCTCAGGGCAGTCTCCTTCCCAGTGGCTGAGCTTCTGGCAGAGAGGACAAGCCATGTGGGGTTTTTTCCCATTTATCTCATTGGGCAGTTTTCCTTCGAGTGGCCTGGCTTTCCACACCAATGGCAGTTACCTGGAGGAGTGTCCTTAGGGCAACTTGGAGGGGGCTGGTGGGCTTGCAGGGCAGCCAGTAGTTAAGCCTGTCTCCTTTCCCTGTGTTTCTCATTTTTCTTAGCCCTGTCTTCCTTATTCTGCTCTTGGTTATAAAAGTTAGAGGAGGTTAATCTGAATACCTCCTGCACAGGGGCACTGAGTTCCAAGGCTGACTTTTGTGATTTCCTCCCAGTTCATTTTTAAGCCAAACAGTATTACAAAGATAAACTAGTTTTTTGTTTTAAGGTTTGGGGGAATCAAACTTTTCCCAGTTTTGGGGGATGCACCTTAGGGCCATGTCCTATGGTATAGGGCACTATTACCCATCTGCAAAGAGAGAACAGAGGAGATAAAAAGGAGAAGGCATTCTTTCGACTTTCTTATTATCCTGAATGGGGTATCCCCCAATGTAATTTGGGTTCCAGAACGAACCAGTCTTGGTCCCATCTTGTCACAGTTGCCCACTTGAGAACAGAGGAGATGCTGGAGTCAACAGTGGGCCCCTATTCATCCTTGAGGTTCTGAAATGAACCGGTCTTACCGCATACCCCTAACCTTTCATTCCTGTTCTAATGGTATAATCTGTTAGCCTGGGACCACCCATCTTCTCTGTCCTGTGGGTCTCTTGTACCTGCAGCCTTAGTCCGACCTATATCCTTGTTTCCATGACCTTATAGTGACTCTCACTCAGAGCATTATAGCAACAAAATGATTATCTCTTTTCTCAGATTCCCATTTTTCTATGTTCTTTAAGTAGATGAGAAGCCTGTTTTTCAGGGAACTGCTGCAAGGAGGCTGGACTTCCCTCCCTGCTCCCTTTAAATATGATCTTGAAGGTCTTGATGCATATTGAGAAAGACGTAGAAGTAAACAGAGAAATGGAGGCTACAGGAGGAGTGGGAGGAAGTCAGAGGAATACTCATGAAAGTATTTATATGCTTGCAAAAATAGCAACCCTTAGATTCAAAAGGGCAATGTTTATTTGCTCTTTTGATGTAAAGTAGTAACCTCCTGAGGACTTGGGGCTTACGGTAAGAACTCACAAATGGCAAAAGAAGAATTTTCTCTCCTTTCAAAGGGGTGGTCCCAAAGGACTATGAATATTTTCTTTTTGGAGGAAGGGGATGTCATTTGTCCTCCTTATTCATAGGTCAAAAAACATAGCACTTTGAAAAAGAACTGCCAACTGTCTTTCCAGAGGCAAGCAATCTTATAAGGTAAGTTGATGAACTACAAAAATGATTAAGTCACCATATTCAGGTTAGTTGTTTTACTTTATGCAAATATTGTAAACTTTTCTATAAAGATGGCATTTTTGACTAGACTTTAAATTAATTCTTATGATCAAAGTCTTTATTCGGAAGAACAATTTTTAAATTTATATTTGTTTAGTGTGCATTTCTCTATGCACATTTTCATTTTTAACAGATTAAAAGGGTATTCTGATGGAAATAGGAAATAGATTATTTTGTCTACACTGAACTATAAAATAAAAGTCAAGACAGTATAAGTGGCATTGAATTTTTCTGAATTGGCTAGATTGGTCATTTTGATATTCTAGATCAAATGTATTTGAGGTCAAATGGCATCACTAAAAAACACAGGAATAAAAGTTTCTCTTTTTTCTTAATTTATCAAATACATGTTAGATAAACTTTCAGTAAATCTACAAACCTACCCTAAGCAGATTTTTTAAGACTCAAATTTTAAGATTTCCACAAAAGCCTATCCAGAGGGGTCAACACCACAAGCATTTGCTTTTTCTCTTTGAGTGGTCCTAGTCATGAGAATGATGAACTCATCAGAATGGCGGGACATACAGATGAAACCAATTCTTTTGTAATCACATTAAACTGAGTTTGAATCTGGGGCTCAACACAAGTTATTAAACTTCTAAGCTTCATTTTCTTTACTTGTAAAATTATCTACTTTATGGGTTCTGTGAAAGATAGCAAAGTAAGGCAGAAAATGTTAGCATTATGTCTACCACATAATAACTCTTAAAAATCTTAGCAATCACCACCACCATCATCATTATCATCATTAACCTTGTCAATATTTTTACTATTTTCAGTGTGAAAGAAGAATACCTGGTACCTAAAAAACTACAAAAACAAAAGCTCTATGCCTTTCATAAAGTAATCTTTTTCAGGTGTTTCACCAATAACTTTTTGGAGATTTGTTTTTGAATGCTAGTTTCTATTTTACTAACATCTAAACTTCCATGTTGAGTGTCAATGTGAATCTAGTTACCGGTCGATGTATGCTGGGTAATACCATAATTCATAAGACATGGCTGATTAGCTGAATTTATAAGAGAAAAAAGGGTTAAACTGAGATCACAGATATGTAAAACAAAAGATCACATTGAAAAAGAGATGTAAACAGAGGTACATGTACAGTTGAGGACATTGTACCTTGCAAAATCCTGGTTACGCATCTTATTTCACATAGTCTTCTGTGTGAATAGTAAGACTTGCAGCTGTGTAGGGTACAGACTGAGTGGCTGTGGAAGATATTCTCAGAAAAGTTGACCAAAAGTGACACAGGAGTTTTGAGGACGAGGAAGATCCCAAAATTTGGGTTCTTTACCAATTAATTACCAGATTAATACAGAAGGCCAACAACAACAAATGGGAGTTCAAGAATGAGAGATCAACAACAACATAAAAATAGATGGATTAAAAAATGCTAAAGAAATACTCCTGGGAAATATCCTAGGACTGAATAACGTGAGTCTTCATATTAAAAGGACGTTGGAACTGATTACCACCCCCATCACCAAAAAGTTGAGATTATGATTGATTAGGGAAATGTTCATTGAAATATTTAGAAGATGAAACAAGGTAAAGTGAAAAGAGAACACTGGTTTGGGAGACTAACATATATCATGAGTTTGAGTCACGTAGTAGCTGTGTAACATCGGGTCTCCATGAAAAACTTAGCTTACTAACTCACCACCCCAATACAGAGTTCCCCATCATCATTGTAGTGCCTTCTCTTTAAATTTGAACAAGTACCAACAATTAATCAACATTTGAAGAAAGCCTCTAACATGAAAGAGGGAGAAGCAGATTTAAAAAACAGCTAAACAAAACAAAACAAAAACAGAGAAATGGGAACCAAGATTAAAAAATAGAGAGTAGAATAAAACTATAAAGAATATAATTAATATTCTCAGAAATATAAGAGAGGATGTCTCCATATAACAAGAACAGGATGCAATAAAAAGAAAAAGTATATAAGGAAAAAAGTATTTGTGTGCATATAAATATATTTCTGTATAGTGCAGTGGTGTGGCCCATAGTCCCAGCTACTCGGGAGGCTGGGGCAGGAGGACCATTTGAGTCCAGGAGTTCAGTGCCAGCCTAGGCAACATAGGGAGACCACCCATTAAAAAAAATATATATATATATTTCTAAGAGCAAAAAAGTATACATTTATGAAATATATAATATAATATATAATAAATATAAATACAAATCCACAAAACTCAGAAGATAAAGTTTAAACTATCTCAGAAATAAGAAAAAATAAAAGTAATAGGAAAATAATAGAGAAATATACATTCGGGAAGACTGGAAGATTAATACAGAAGGCCAAAAACAACAAATGGGAGTTCAAGAATGAGAGATCAACAATAACATAAAAATAGATGGATAAAAAATGCTAAAGAAATACTCTTGGGAAATATCTTAGGACTGAATAAAGTGAGTCTTCATATTAAAAGGACCAAAAAAAGTCCAACAAAAAAGATCAATATTGAAGTATGTTATAAGGAAATTCCAAAACATTGAGGATAAATATCAGGTCCTAATCCCTCCAGAAAAAACTTCTCAACAGCTATGACAAATGCTAAAAAAAAAAATACAAATGATACCATCAAAAATCTGAGGAAGATGTTTTCCAACCCAAAATTCTATACTCAGACAACTGTTGATCAAACATAACAGTAGAATGAAGATGTTTTTTAAAATACACAGGAACTCAAAAAAGTGTTATTTCTTTTTCATACTGGTAGGAAACATTTGGGTAAGCATTTCAACAAAATGTGTGGTAATACGAGAAGGAAGAAGCCATGGAATGGAACGGAGGTTACAGGGATTTGCTAGAGAACAGTTAAGGGAATTTCTAGGACTGAGCTATGAGCCACTTAATGTGGAATCAGCAACCCAAAGTGGTGCAGATGTATAGAGATATGAGTGAGGAGGGAATCAAAAAGAAGGAGAAGGAGAAGGAGAAGGAGGAGATGAGGAGAAAAAAGGAAGTAATAGATTATCAAATGGATGCAATTATTTGAAAAAGTGTTCCTGGACATTGACAAATATCTTGGAATACTTCCAAAAATTAATTTTAAGTACATCAAAAACAAAGCAAAAGAAAACAGAAGTAATTTCACAAAAAGTAAAATGTGATAATGTATTTTTCAGCATTCATTTGAACATTCATATTATAATAATAAAGTGTTGGATTGTCATTGAATACAAAATATTGTGATTATTATTTTGCAATGATGCAGGCAAAGGCAGTGGTTTCATCAGTCACTATCTAGCATTATAAGAATGACGATAAATAACAATGAACGGAGAGGATTGTTAAAAGTGGTTCCCTCTGTGGAGCAGGACTGAAAGGATGCTGTTTCTGTTATTCTTAGTCTGTTTTAATAGAAGCCTTTTAATAATGCTTGTCTTTTTAATGAAATGTCTATATTACTCTGATAAAAATAAAAATTTGTTTTAGTAAATCTACAAAACTTCAGATCACAGTGGCTAACTATTAAATAAATGGAACAGACAGTGCAGATGATCAGCCTTGTAGAACTCAGCAGCCATACAGCCCTGTTGTCAGAAAATATTAATATGTTTTGCAGATGAAGAATGATGAGAAGTTTTCTGTGTGGGATCCTTGGGTGTTGATGGAGGAGACCAGCCATCAGGCAGGTGGTGACAGGCCTTCAACATCTTGGTGAGTTGTTGGAACTTTACGCTGTGGTCAGGAAAAAGCAATCTTGGGTTGCAAACAGAGGAGAAAGAAAATTAAATTTATTTTTTTGGAGCGATACCTAGTACCAAATGGGAGAAGAGGAAAAGTTTTGGAAGGCAGAATAGTGAGTAGCAGTTGCATAGTTTTGAGATTGGATGAGGGTCACAGAGACCTTGGATAAAGGTTAAATTTGGAAAATATTTGTGAGATAAAACTTCATGAAAGATTGGATGTGAAGAATGAGGGCATATTCTAGGGTAATTCCAAGCTTTCTAACAAGAGAGACTGAGAGATTGGTGACCCATAAAATTGAGACTAGAAAAAAGTGGAGGAGATACAGTTGTCATCCCTTTATTCATGGCTTCACTTTCCACAGTTTCAGGTACTCACAGTCAACCTCAGTCTGAAAATGAGTGAGTACAGTACAATAGGATTTTTTTTTTGAGATGGAAGTGGGTGAGTACAGTACAATAGGATTTTTTTTTCTTGCTCTGTCACCCAGGCTGAAGTGCAGTGGCACAATCTCAGCTCACTGCAACCTCCACCTCCCGGATTCAAGTAGTTCTCCCGCCTCAGCCTCCCGAGTAGCTGGGATTACAGATGCACACCACCACGCCTGGCTAATTTTTGTATTTTTTTAGTAGAGACTGGTTTTCGCCATGTTGGCCAGGCTGGTCTCGAACTCCTGACCTTGTGATCTACCTGCCTTGGCTTCCCAAAGTGCTGGGATTACAGGAGTGAGCCGCCGTGCCCAGCCAATAGGATATTTTGAGTGATAGAAAGAGAGAGAGAGAGAGAGAGAGAGAGAGAGAGAGAGAGACCAATTCACATAATGTTTATGACAGTGTATTGTTATAATTCTTCTGTTTTATTATTGGTTATTGTTTTTAATCTCTTATGTGCCTAATTTATAAATTAAACTTTAGCAAAGTAGACACGTATAAAAAAACATAATATATATATAGAATTCAGTACTGTCCATGGTGTCAGGCAACCACTGGGGGTCTTGGAACATATTCCTTGTAGATAAGGAGGGAGGGACTACCGTAATTCCATTGCTGCAGATTTTTGAAATAATCAACAGAACATACATTTTTCCAAAGTGGGTCACACATCCAGAGGGGTGACATGGCATGTACTTTAAACAGTCAGAAAGTCAGATGTGTGAAAAGCAGTTCTCTTTATTTCTCAATACCTGAAAAGTCACTTTGTTCATAAGACGTCAATTCCAGTTTTAAAAGAAAATGTATCCTTGCTACTGTAATGTAATTCAGTCAGATCCCATTAGAGCTCAGTGTCCTTTGCATAACTGCAAATATATAACAATGGATATATATCCAATGTCCTTTGGATAACTGCATATAACATATAACTCCTCATGGATTTCTTTCCAGCTCCCTGTTCTCTTTCCCCTATTTCCAGGACAAGGGAGTGAGGTAAGATCCTGGTTAAAAGGATAGTTAGTGAGGAAGCAGAGGTAGGCAGGGTGGCTTGTGAATTGTTCTGGCATTGAGAGAGCTGTGTTCATTCTCTGGTAGTCATCCGTCCCTGCTGGTCTCAGCTTGTACCTTCCTATCTTGCACAGTGGCCTCAATCCCAATCTGCTGCCAATGTCCATAGTCCTGCAACAATCCTTAACAATCCTTACGTCTTAGACCCAGATGTTATTCATCCTCCTTTAATCAAGGAAAGTTTACTCACAACTGGTCCTTAAAACTGTTTCTGCACCTTGCTGAAAGTGTTTTAGAATTATCCAGTGTTTTACCTGCAACTTGCTGATCTAAGCTGAAGTCTGTAGGCCCATACTCTAGACTCCTCCCACAGACGTAGCTACTCTGGGACTCCAGGGCCATGTTGAATAGCAGTGCGTTGACATTAATTGCTAACATGGATCCATACTTATTTTCATATACTTATCCATCCATCCTATGCATTTATATTTCTATTTGTTGTATATATCTCCTCACCATCTCTCTCAGTATATATGTTGAGGAAACCCATTTCAATAAACCAATCACTTTCTTTTTTTAATTTTTATTTTAAGTTTGGGAGTAAATGTGCAGGTTTGTTATTTAGGTAAACTTGCTTCATGGGGGTTTGTTGCACAGATTATTTCGTCACCTAGGTATTAAGCCTAGCACCCATTAGTTACTTTTTTCCTGATCCTCTCCCTCCTCCCATCCTCCACCCTCCAATTGGCCCCAGTGTCTGCTGTTCCCCTTTATGTGTCCATGTGTTCACATCATTTAGCTCCCACTTATAATTGAAAACATGTGGTATTTAAAATACAAGTCACTTTCAATTAGATCCTTTAGTGGTTATGAGAAAGATGAAAGTATATGTGAGTGAAGCAAGTAGAGGCCATGAGAAGACTATAAATTCCAGCAAAATGCACTAAAGCTAATAGACCAAAGCTAATGGTGAATACTTAGAGGACAAATCTTTACCTTGTTGAAGGTCAGAAAGAACAAATGGTGACACACCTATCAGACACCCTACTGTCATTATTTCAAGACACATGATAATTCTCCCACACATCCCATGGTGTAGGAAAGGAAAAGGGGTTGTGGGCAAAATTGAGAGTTGACTGAATAAAGAGACTGTTGAAAATTGGTCATAAAGAACATGGTCTTTTATTTATTTATTTATTTATTTATTTATTTATTTATTTTGGAGATGGAGTCTTGTTCTGTCACCCAGGCTGGAGTTCAGTGACACAATCTCGGCTCACTACAACCTCTGCCTCCCAGGTTCAAGCGATCGTCCTTCCTTAGCCTCCTGAGTAGTTGGGATTACAGGCATGCGCCACCACACCTGGCTAATTTTTTTGTATTTTTTGTAGAGACAGAATTTCACCATGTTGGTCAGGCTGGTCTCGAACTCCTGACCTCAGGTGATTGACCCTCCTTGGCCTCCCGAAGTGCTGAGATTACAGGCTTGAGCCACCACACCCAGCCTAGAACACGGTCATTTTTTTTTAAAGAGTAGAAATGGTGTAAATATTCTTCTGACCATAAGAAAATATAAGTAGGAATCAATACCAAAATGAGTTAAAATAGACAATACATAACCTGTCACCTGGAAATTTTAAATAAAATACTTTCTTAAATACCATGTCAATGTGGGAATAAAGTGAAGAAATATATGGAATTTGACAATGGAAACCCTATGTGTTAAAATCTAATAGATACAGCAAAATCAGAGGAAATAAATAGCTTTACTCATTTACATTAATAAAAGAAGTATAAAAGATAAATAAAATTTCCAATAAAGATTGATAAAAGTAACAAAATCATCCAAAAGCATAGAAGAGTTCAAGACCAGCCAGGGCAACATGGTAAAATCCCATCTCTACAAAAAAAAAAATTGATATATATATAGAAAAATTGGCCTGCTGTGGTGGCATGTTCCTGTAATTTCAGCTACTCAAGAGGTTGAGGTGGGAAGAATGCTTGAGCCCAGGAGGTCAAGGCTGCACTGATACATGATCCCACACCTCACTCCAGCCTGGGTGACAGGATGAGACCCATCTCAAAAAAAAGAAAAAAGAATTAATGAATTTTAATAGCATTAAATATATAGTATTCCAAGAGCAGATCTTTTGAAAATGTCAAAAAATTAAAAATATAGTTAATCTAAACAAATACAGACATCACAAATTCACAGAATACAAATGATAATCAGTGAGGAATCACAAATGCTTGGGAATGAAAAGAAATGTAAGATATTGTTTGGTTCAAAAAAGTATGCAATTATATTTGGAAGTCTGAATTAAAGTGAAAGTTTTTTGCCAAAACTATGTAGAAAGAGCTAGAAAATGTAAAGATACCAACAAAAATACACAAAGTATTTAAATACCCACTTCCTCTAAAAATAACAGACCCTAAGAGCAAGATATATAATTCCTACCAAAGTCTTCAAAATAGGTAATCCTCATATTATTTACACCATGTTAGAATATTGAAAAATAGGAAAACTGATACCAAAGCTATTAAAATACAGACAAATAAATTTTATTGCATAAAAATTTAACACTCTATGAACAAAAGCCAAAAATAATTGCAAAATATAGATGAAATACTGTGAAAAAGATACGCTTAAATAAAAGTTTCTAAGAGTTAATATATTTAATGATCAAAAAGGTTACGAAAATGTGAAAGCAACAACTAACAACCAAATAGGAAAAAGGGTAAACATTTAAAGTTATTTTAAATAAATGTTAAAAACTACCCACAAGATGACAAATATAAGCTAAATCTATAATGGGATATTATTTTTCTCTAATCGAATGCACCATAAAAAGAAAACTATAAAAATAATATTTTGTCCAGGGTATGGAGGTAGGTTGGAGATAAATTAAGTAATAGTTATTCATTTTTTTCTTTTTTTCTTTTAGTTGGAGTGGTGTGGCATGTTACCTCCTCATCATCCTGGAGGATCCCACATGGGCTTTTTTATGCTTTTTCCCATTAAAATTTTAAATGTACATACCTTTGACTTAATAATGTTACTTCTATAAATCGAACCTGTAAATAAATATGCATTGTACTTTTCAACATTTATTTCAGAAATTTTTTAGTAACAAAAATGGGAAACAACTGAAATGCCCATCAATAAGTTAAAGTATATACATCCATATTAATGAATATTTTATAGTCATTAAAAGCAATAAGTCAAGTCCGTGTTTATTGATTATGAACTAATTTCCAGAATATATTACATGAGAAAAAGCAAGATGCAGAACAGTGTACACAGTATGTTATCATTTGTGCCCAAAATGGACAACACACGTGCATACATGTTTTTTATTTGCATCGAATGTCTATGGAATAATACGTAAGTAACTGGCAAGAGTGGTTGCCTCTGAGGAATTACTTTGTACTGACTGCATTTTTTTTAACATGTGCATGGAAAAAGAAATAAGGGAAGGGAAGGGAAGGCGAGGGAAGGGGACAGGAGGGGAGGAGAGGGGAGGGGAGGGGAGGGAAAGTGGGGAGGGGAGACCTTTAGAGGAAGGTAATGAGTTAAGCTTTAGACCAATTAAATATGTGTTATTTGCAGGAACTCCAGAGATAAGTTTTCAGAAGCAGTTGTAATTGCAGTATAGAGGATGAGAAAGAGGGAGAAACTACAGGTTAAAAACAAAACTTAGTGATTCTTTAATGTGTAGCAACATTTGGAGGAATGGGTAAGATCATCTTGAGAGAGAATAGAGGTACTAAGACAGGAAATATGGGCAACACAATATTTAAAAAGCAGGCAGAGGAAGAGAGGCCAACACAAGCCACAGAGGAGTGACCAGAGGAAGAAAAACAACAGAGCAAGAGTGGAGGAAGTTTCCCAAAGAAAATCCTCGGTTTTCCACAGCATGTGATTTAATGCCACTGAAAAAGGCTACATTGTATTCCGTATGAAAAGTGAATGTAACCCACAACAGAAATGTTCCCATGCTAATTAAAGACTAGAATGTTATCTATGCTTATAGGCACATATAAAAAACTACATTTTGAGCTAGTAAAATAGCCTGTATCCCTATTTATGATAATCAGTAGTTTTGCTTTGCAGGGGGCATAACAAAGAGTTCTACAAAAATCTAACATTTAATCTCCTTAAAGAACGAACAAATATATAATGTGTGACATGTTGTAGGAAATCAATAAGTAGCTATTGAATGAATGTTGAATAAGCACAATCGCTTTGTCAGGCTCAATGAAATGTTAATAGTTTAATAATTATAATATATTCTGCAACTATAAATTAAACCAAACAGCTATTAAATAGACAAGTGATCAACTATGAAACAGTTCCACTTATACTTTTCTAGTGCTTCTCCCTAATTGTTAGCAATAAGTTTAAAATGCTTGTTAATTTTCCAGCTGAGGTGCAGGGAAAGAGGAAAGAGGACAGGGAAGATGGGGGGGGCCTGGGGGCTGTGAGTGCATCACTCCTGTTGTGAGACACACTATGACACACACTCATAATTATGTAATTCACAAAGAAAAAAAGAGTAAAACATGAAAATTAACATGTTCTAATTACTATTTTAAAAGTGAATTAAAAGGCATTTAAATAATAAGTATCTATTATACAGTAAAGGAGGCACTTGGGAAGGCATTTTGGCAGTTACTCACAAAATGAAATATACTCTTGCCATATGACCTAGTCACTGCACTGCTAGGTATTTGAGCTGAAAATGTATGTTCACATAAAAACCTGCACATGAATGTTTATAGCAGCTTTATTCATAATTGCTAAAACTTGGAAGCAAACATACTGTATGATCTCAACTACACGACACTCTGGAAAAAGCAAATCTGTGAAGACACTAAAAAGATGAGTGGTTGTCAGGGGTTGGGGTGAGGGAGAGATAATGAGGTGGAGCACAAAGGATTTTTCAGGCAGTGAAACTACTCTGTTTGATTTTGTAATAGTAGATACATGTCATTTCACGTTTGTCAAAACCCATAGAATATACATCACAATGAGGGAACTCCAATGTAAATGATAGACTTTAGATAATAATAATTTATATTGACTCATTGACTGTAATAAATGTACCACAGTAATGCAAGGTGTTAATAATAGGGGAAACTAGTCAGGCACGTTGGCTCACCCCTGTAATCCCAGCAATTTGGGAGGCTGAGGAGGGTGGATGGCTTGAGCTCAGGAGCTAGAGATCAGCCTGGGCAACATGATGAAATGCCACCTCTACAAAAATACAAAATATTAGCAGACATGATGACACACACCTGTAGTCCCGGCTGCTTGAGAGGCTGAAGTGGGAGAATCCCCTGAGCCTGGGAAATGGAGGCTGCAGTGAGCCAAGATTGCGCCACTTTACTCCAGCATAAGCAAAACTGTGTGGAATGAGGAGGTATATGGTAACTCTTTGTACTTTTTACTAATCTAAACTAAACTAATCTTTACTTTTTACTGATCTAAAAAATAAAGTCTATTCATGTAGAGGGGGAAGTAAAGGAGGCAACCCCCAAAGATGTAAAAAGTAATATACAACTTGCGATAGTTTGAATGTTTGTGTTCCCGCAAAATTCATATGTTAAAATCCGAAATCCCAAAGTGATGGTATTAGAAGGTAGGGCCTTTGAATAATTACGTCATGGGAGTAGAGTCTTTGTGAATGGGGTCAGTGCCCTTATAAAAGAAGCCTGAGAGAGACGCCTTGCCCCTTCCACCATGTAAGGACACAGCGCGAAGGTGTCATCTATGAACCTTGGAAGTAGGTGCTCACCAGACACTGAATCTGCTGGTACCTCAATCTTTGCCTTGCTAGCCTCTAGAACTGTGAGAAATAGATTTATTTATTTAAATCACCTAGTTTATGGTATTTTGTTATAGCAGCCTGGATAAGCTAAGGCATGAATTATTTAATTAGTAGCTTATTTTTGACCTAAAGAAAATAGAAAGCTGAAAAATCAGTGCGCATGATTAGGTCTTGACCAACTCTGTATTTATTTATTTACTTACTTATTAATCTTTTTTTAAATATATCGAGTCCTTTTTATGTCAGACAGTTTCAGACACAATGGAAGCAAGTAAAGCCCCTGTTTTCATAGACCTTACATTTGATGGGAGACAAAACAATAGCAACAATAATCAAAGCGATGGGATAAAGTTTAGAAGTCACGCTTCTCCTTTTAGCGTTCCATCTACACCTCAGCTTCTCCTCATTGCAGCAGCTACACTTTCACAGCCTCAGTGAAGGGATGACAGCAGAGCACAGATAACAGAACTGAATTCTTGCTTCTCAAATTTCTAACTGAGCCAAAGACAAAAATAATTTTTTTTTTTTTTTGAGACGGAGTCTCGCTCTGTCACCCAGGCAGGAGTGCAGTGGCGCGATCTCGGCTCACTGCAAGCTCCGCCTCCCGGGTTCACGCCATTCTCCTGCCTCAGCCTCCCGAGTAGCTGGGACTACAGGCGCCCGCCACCACGCCTGGCTAATTTTTTTTTGTATTTTTAGTAGAGACGGGGTTTCACCGTGATAGCCGGGATGGTCTCCATCTCCTGACCTCGTGATCCGCCCGTCTCGGCCTCCCAAAGTGCTGGGATTACAGGCGTGAGCCATCGCGCCCAGCCAAAAATAATTTTTTTAAAAATTCATGATAGTTAAAGTTAGCTGTCCTCACCCCTGGACTTACAGTAACCCTGCTCTGGAGGACAGGAAAAATGAGAAGAGCGGCTGAGAATTGGTAGGCATTGGGCTCCTTGGAAAGGGAATGCTAGATTCTGCCCCAATTCAGGTCAACCCCAGGTGTGGTGATGTTGGATGATGAAGCCACTCTAGGAAAGTTTGCAGAATTGAGAGGAGATGTGGACATTTACTTTCCACTGAAACCCCCGAGGAGCCGTGAGACAGCAGAGCGAGGGGCTGAAATCTTCTTCTGAGGCCATCTCTAACTCTCAGAAACTTAGGTTAGGAAACTGTATGTCATTAATCTCAGACATACATTTTTTACCTTTACTGACAGATGTATGTAATAAATGACATGTGTTCCTTTCGTACAATTACATTCTAAAAAATAAATGCTTCCCCATGTCTGAATTTTCAAATGAAAATGAAAATGTCTTGTCATTTAATGCTTAAGTTTTCTTTACTCCAATTATAATGATGTCTTGTAAACAGGAGTGAGCTCACCTCAATTGATTTTTTTAAGATTAATATCCTAATAGGATTAAAATAGATAAATGTGTATTTGTTTGAGACAAAATAGGACAAATATGTCCATTGTCATTATTAGACAACTGTTTGGATAAACCAAAGTACTTTGAATTTTAGAATCTGACATTGTTTTTGAGTCTCTAAGTGTGTAAATAGTACATTTTTTCTCTGTACATTTTAAGGCAATTTTTCAAAACATTTACGTAAGTATTAATTAATTTGATTGTTTTGGGGAAGAGTTTGAATTTGGACAGTTAAATTACCTTACAACTGACTACATTTCAGGTAGATATGAACACAAATCTTTTGTATGAAAATGCTTTTTATATACTTTCTTTTTTTTTTTTTTGACAGAGTTTTGCTCTTACTGCCCAGGCTGGAGTGCAGTGGCACGGTCCCCACTCACTGCAACCTCTGCCTCCCAGGTTCAAGCAATTCTCCTGCCTCAGCCTCCCAAGTAGCTGGCACTACAGGCGCCTGCCACCATGCCTGGGTAATTTTTGTATTTTTAGTAGAGAAGATGGGGTTCCACCATGTTGGCCAGGATGGTCTCCAATTCCTGACCTCAGGTGATCCACCTGCCTAGGCCTCCCAAAGTGCTGGGATTACAGGCGTGAGCCACCGCGCCCAGACTATACTTCCTTTTAACACTGTTTCTTTTCTTACTTAACCATCAGTAGAACATACCATAAGTGACAGGTTCAAACAAGGCCATGGTCCATTTGCGGTTTTCCCAGTGATGTGGCCACTGCAAATTAACCCAATAGTTTATTTGCTTTCCAGTTTTAGAATTCACTTTAGCTTTCTTTACTAAATGTTAGAAGAGATATTGAGCCTGGTCTGTTGGTTGCTTCTTGGATGTCAGGGAAACATGTCTTCCTCAGAAGAGAAAAGGGCTTTGGCCATAAGGTAACTCTTAACCAAATGAAGTTTTGATGACTTAAGTGTAAATGAATCAGAGCATACATATTATATTTCCGTTGAAATACACTTGGATTTAAAAATTAAGGCAAAAATGGCTTGGCAAAATGTATTAGGAAGGTTTGCCAAACCCAAAACATTAAAAAAAATAGTCTGGCTATTTGCAGAATTCTAACTGCCACCAGTTTTGCCTATCCCTAAAGTTTATAGTTTGACATTAATCGTGAAATCTGGTAGAGCAGCACTGAAAAACTGAGAGGGGAAATAGATTACCATCTAATTGCCATTTATTTGTCATTGTGTTTTCCATATTAGCTTTCTAGCACATTTTAAATCTACATTCAGAGTAATAGATTTTCTATTCTGACTTGGGTTCACATGTTGCCTCTACTAGTTACCAGCTATTTAACCTTAAGCAAGTAACTTAATATCTCTGTACCTCAGTTTCCTTAACTTGAAAATGAGCAAAATTATACAATGTTACCTACATATATAATATATTTATGAGCCTTGAGCTGAACCAAGCACACAGTAAGTGCTCAATAAATATTAACTATTAATTAAGAGATAGTAAACCACTTTGGTTACTAAAGACCAGCCACTTGTAAATAACTTTACTTTCTCCAATACCTACTGTAATTGGAGGAATTAAACATCCAGACTCTAGTGAGGGTATTTGGCTCAAGTTCCCACACACTTGTTCCTAAATTCTCTAGTTTCTTCTCCCCTCTATCTATTTCTCTTTTGAGGTTGCTCTTGCATTCCCTCTGCGGAGGAGGTGTTGTTGTGACTACTTTTGTCAAGACAGAACCATATTCTACTCCTCTGCTGCTGCTGCACCATGCCTTACAAGACTACGGTAACTCCATTCCTTGTTCCTTCTGGTGCTCTCACCAGGGAAGAGGGTGCTATCACAACACGTCCCCCAACTCCACCATACACACCCTGCTTTAGTTCATTTGTGCTGCTATAACAAATATCTGAGACTGGGTAATTTATAAATAATAGAAACTTATTTTCTTACAGTTCTGAAGTCTGGGAAGTCCAAGATCAAGGCACTCGATTTTGGGTTTTGTGCCTGGTGAGGGACATCTTGCCACATCCTCACATGGCCAAAGAATGAAAGAACAAAGAAAAAGAAAAGGGGACTAATGCTATGTCCTCATATGGTGAAGAGGAGAAGGGCAAAAAGAGCCGAAGCTGGATCCCTTCAGCCCTTTTGTAAGGCATTAATCTATTCATGAAAGTGGAACCATCACAACTTAATCAATTCCCCTAAAAGCCCCACCTCTTATTACCACCACAATGGGTATTAGGTTTCAACATAAACTTTGGAAGGAACACTTTTAAACCATAGCGCACCCCAACCTTTGACATCACCATTTGAAGCATTAATACCAGAAAGCAAAGCATAATCTTATCTTGAAGTGGTAGATTTTCTCTTGGATGGTGCTCAAAACTGATCTTTCCTCACTCATTCATTTATTCATCAAATATATGTTGAGGATACAACAAATTATTTGATCTGTTATAGGAATCATTTTTATAAAAGATAGGGAATTTCATTTATCCCTGCCATTCAGAAACTTGCAGTCTAGCTGAGGAGACCCATAAATCCTGATCTGCAAATCGGGATGTTGTAGAGCAGACTACTGGTAAATGATGAACTGAGAGGAACACACTGTGGTGCTACAGGAGATGAAGAGGAAGGCTGAGGGCTCTGCAAGCTGGTGGGCAAAAGCAAGGCCTTGTGCAAGAGGTAGAAATAGAAAGCTAAATCATGGGAAGTCAGGCAGTTATTAAATCGAACAAAGAAGAAGGGAAGCTCGTTCTGGGAACTCAGTAGAGCACAAGCTGAGCATAAAGGGAGGGAATTCCCCCAGGAAAAAAAAAATACAGCATGGTGAGAAAATACAGACATGTTTTTGAGGAAGTTCGGCATATAGGGAATACATACTAAAGAAATCATTCTTGAAGTATACACAGCCTAATGAAGCTATTGGCTGGTGTTGCATGAGTAAGGACACCCAAGGTAAACCGGGGCATGGAGAAGTACCTGCACCTGTATCTCCAGTTTTCTTGGTAAGATCCAACAGCTGTTTGATCCTGAACTTAAAGCCATCTTGTTTCTTATCAATGTCATCAAGTAATCTAAGTATTTGGACAAATTGTGATAATCTACCAACCTGACTGCCTGCCCATCAGCTGCCTCTCTAGTCTGTGTGAGAGTTCTCGCAGCTTCCCTCCCCTCTCCTCTCTTCTCCTCTTCCATTTCTTCTCCTCCTCCTCTTCCTTCCTCCTCTTTTTCCTTTTAGGCTCTGATAGTCTTCTTTCACTCTTAGTCAATCAACTTTAACAAGAAGCAAATGGAACTGTAATGTATATCATAAACTACGTATCTGAGTTTGTCTATCATCATGTTGTAGGTTCTCTTATATTTCTGATCATTACAAGCAATTTGTTTTGCCCTCAACCCCTCCCTGAGGGCTCAGTGCTGTGAAAGGGATGAGTGGAACCTGGAGACAAGGACATACATAACCTTGTTGATTTTTGTAATGAGCTTCGATCAACCTTTTAACACATATACATGCACACACTCTCTCTCTCTCACACACACACACACACACGATTGATTGATTGATTGATTGATTGATTGATTGACGGAGTCTCACTCTGTCACCAGGCTTGAGTGCAGTGACTCAATCTCGGCTCACTGCAACTTCCGCCTCCCGGATTCAAGAGATTCTCCTGCCTCAGCATCCCAAGTAGCTGGGACTACATGCACACGCCACCATACCCAGCTAATTTTTGTATTTTTAATAGTGACAGGGTTTCACCATGTTGGCCAGGATGGTCTTGATCTCTTGACCTCGTGATCTGCCCACCTCGGCCTCCCAAAGTGCTGGGATTGCAGGCATGAGCCACTGCGCCCAGCCACACATATTATTAATATATATTCATTATTAATTCCATAAAAACTTATCAGGGACTTAACATATGCCAGGCACTATTCTAGGAAGTGGGAATGCAGCAGCGAATAAAAAAAAATAAAGAAAATAAAATAAATTCATGGAACTTTATTCTAGAAGGGGAGGGAAACTAGAATCAAACAGGATAATATCATTTGTCATGTGGCAGAACAATAAAGCAGGAGAAGGGGTGAGGATGGTCGCCATCACACACACATGATTACTACCCTGCTGTAATCTCTGTTCAGATAATAATTTTGTGTCTCTAATAATATGGAGATTTTCAAAGATAAGACTGGAATGGAGAAAACATAAGTGACTTATACTCAAATTTTTTCCTTTCCATGAATGATAAAACTGTAGACCACAATCATAAATAAGTATTTCAGTATTTCAGTTGTATTTAAAGTTGTATTTAAGTTGTATTTAGTAATACATATATATATAAAATATATAATGTAATATGTGTTTATATTTTTATATGTTACATGTAATATATGTGTTTCTATATTATAGGTAATATAGATAGAAAGTAAATATATATTATATAATACATCATTTAATTATATATCATATATTATCTATAAATGTATATAAAATACATATATATATTTACTCTCTAGTGGAATTTAAAGTGTTCAAAAGTCTTACTTTTGGTGCTCTGAGAGTCTGACAGTGAACCCCAACTCACCTGACATTTTTCCCCCAGGGAACATGGATGCTGGGTGCAAATGAAGCGCCAGCTGACCTCTGACACCCCAGAGTTCCCAAGTCCAGTATATACTCTGGTCCTAACTCCCAATCGCTCCCCCATCCTAGACTTCAAATACCAAAAAGTTCCAAAATTGATTCTTGGCCCTTTCACTCCTTTTCATTTCCAATATGATTCACGAAGCCTGTGAAAATGGACCTGTACCTAATTATCTCCCATAGTTTTGTAAAGTTAGTTTATTTGAGTAAATTTTCTATGGATTTCCTCTCATTAGGGCAAAATCACAGTTGGGCATTTCACAGGCATGTGTAATTCAACACAGGGAGAAAGAGGGCGACAGGTGGCTAAACTCAGCAGGATACTGGCAACATTTCTAGGAGAAAATATCTACTCTTATTATTGAAAAAGTGACATAGATTAATTAATAAAAGTACTTTTTAAATGCCAGTGAATGAAATATAACTTTAAGAAATTTTAGCAAAGCATTCTACAAAAGTTTACAAAGTCGAAGAAGAATTGTGTCACTGGTTAGGAGAATAATTCTGTAAATTTTACAAATTCATTGTTTATACTTGCTATTTCTTTCGCCTGGAATGTGCTTCCCTTTGACTGGCGAAACTCTTATCATTTGCAGTTCATTTCATGACCTACCTCTGCTTCTCTGATAGCATGCCTATACAAAATTCAATGCACTTCTGTGCTCCCATAAAACACTAAGCTTTCCTCTGTTACTGATTTTTCAATCAGAAGCATAACAACTCAAATCTGATTTTCTCTTTATTTCCATTCATTGTGGTTGGTGGATGATTTGTTCTGAAACCTGTGCCATTTCTTACTTATATAATTTAAAAAAGAGGCTCATTAGGAGTCACCAATGCTTCCAGGCAGATTTGGAAGTTTTAGGGACAGAAACTATGATCAACATCTTTAGACTGAGATAGGTTGAGATATAATTCGATGATCATTAGATTGAGATTAGACATTGACTATAGAATCAGTGAATCCACAGTGGATTAACCAGTTAATTAATTTATGCTTATATTTAATCAGTCAATCAGTAGTCATTGAATACCTTCCTGTCAGGCATTGTACAAAGCAGAATAAAAAGTTATAATAATAGTTACCATTATTATTATAGAAATACATAATAATTTTTAAAATATCTAAATACAAGATATAGGAGTGTAGAATTGCCTGCCATTGAAGAATTTGATAATTTTGGTCAGAATATGGAAAATCTGAGACCACTAAACAGAAATGAAATATTTACAATGAAAAAATTAAAAACGCATTTTAGTGGGTTGTTCAATATGAAAGAGAAGACTGTTCTTCCAGGCTTCCAACAGTTTTGTTTATCAGCAGGATTTTTACTAAGAACCTTTTTACACAGAATGAGAATGAATAATTTTCAAAGTCTCAGAGTCAGAGACCTTTGGCTCCAGAGTGAATATCATTATGCTATTCTGCCTCTTCTATGTTCTGGAGGTTTTAGAAAGCTAGTATGAAGATACCATAATCAAGCTTGCTTGGACAGTACTGGGATGGAGCAGAAGGGTTTAGGAGGGGGTAAGCTAAAAGTTCAAAAAAGCCTCTCTCCTACCTACTCTTCTCCCGTCCTCACCCCTCTCCAGGACTGAGGATAAAGAAAATGAGAGCATCAGGATTATTTGTCCAGTAGATGTAAATCTGAAGTTGGTCTAAAGCCAGGATATCAATTAAAAGAGAAAAACACATGTGTACACAGAAGCTGTTAGGCATTTCACATTCTGGTACCTAGAATTTCATTTATCCAGCAGTGGTGGCTTGAGCCAAAAAAAATGCAATCAACCTTAGAGTTTCAAGCTGAACTCTATATGTGTAGTTTCACAAGACATTTTCCATGATAACATATACATAGTCACAAGATGGCTGGAGTTCAGAGGTGGAACTTCATTCAGTGGAAGGACTAAAGGAACCAATTAGGAGCCTGGTGAATGGAGACCTAAGGGCAAAAAGGAAAAGCCAGCAGAAAAGGCAAACTCAAGTACTGGAGGGCTAGAACACCAAGGTCCTAGACTGGCTGGAATGAATTCTTGTAATTTTATGTTGCCTCATTATCCTTTTTGAATAAGAGTTGTACTGTCTCATAACAGAAGTAGGGCTTAGTCACATTTGAATACAGTTTCCAGTTCTTCATCTCCTCCCAATTTTCAATAGGATCAATCTGGATATATGCCTTAGACAACCACCTCCTGGTGAAACCACCTCCCTAAGGACAGCTGGATACAATTCTCTTGACTCACCCCACTGCTCCCCACACCTTACATGGACTGTTCAGACAGGCCACAGTGATCCACAAAACTTGTGCCTGCTTGCTGTAAGCCAAATAGTTAGAACTCCCTGCCCGTAATCTGCTTGGGTAATGCCCTGGACCCCAGTCAAGGCTTTGCCCCACAGGTCCTTCTCTCTCTGTCACTTGCTTCTCACCTGCTGGTTGAGCCGTCGTCCGGGTTCTCCCCTTCAAATTAGCCCTGCAAAGTGTGCTGCCATCTTCTCTCTGGATCTGTTAAATAATACACCACTTGGGTTATTTCATGTGTTTTGTTGTGTGGCCTTCTTTGCGTCTCACCTGAGGGGCACACCCGAGCACAACTCTCCTCCTGCTCAGGGCCCTCCTAGAGGGTGGCTATCTTGGTTGGAATAAACTGAACACAGGCCAGCCAAGAGCTTTAAGGGCACCTGCTAGTAGAAGCAAGTTTCCTGTGAGAGAAACACCTGATCAAGGGTTAGACACTTAGGTATTAGGCCATCCATCAGGATAAAGAAGCATCCCATGAAAGCCATTCTGTAAACATCCACGACCACCTCCCCTGGAGCCATCAGGTCAGGGCTAGAATGATAGTCACTCTCCAGAGAGAGAGAGACCTCAAGACCAAATTAGAGGAAAATTTGACACCAGCTGTGCATCAGTTCATTATCACATTGCTATAAAGAAATACCAGAAACTGGCATCTTTATAAATTAATAAAGAAAAGAGGTTTAATTGGCTCACAGTTCTGCAGGCTGTACAGGAAGCATGGTGCTGGCATCTGCTCAGCTTCCAGGGAGGTCTCAGGAAACTTGCAATTATGGCAGAAGGTGAAGGGGGGTCAGGCTTAGCTGACAGGAACAGAAGCAGGAGAGAGAGAAGGTGAAGGTGTCACACACTTAAATGAACAGATCTCATGAGAACTCACTATCACAGGGACAGTACCAAGAGGGAGGGTGCTAAATTATTCATGAGAAATCCGCCCCAATGAGCTAATCACCTCTTGTCAGGCCCCACCTCCAACACTGGGGATTACAATTTGATGGAGATTTAGTGGGGACGCAGATCCAAACTATATCATACAGTGCTATGGAAGTTCACCTGGCACTGATCTAAGTTCTCTTATTGTCTCCTTGCTTAAGTAGAAGGCCCCAGACCTTTAGTGTTGGCCTAAGTCTTCAGTGACACTATTTGAGAGTTATGGGACTTAAAGACTGAAAGAGTAGTTGATATTATAGAGCAACAAAGAAGAGGCTATTCAATCCACAGGCCTATTTTGCAGCCCACCATGTGGCAGAAACTGCTCTAGGATATGGGATACTCCGTGGCCAACTCTTCAGAAAAGCCTCATTGACTCTTTCTTCAAGCTGAATTCTTACAAATAGAAGAAGAAGTAAGTATCATAAATACCGTAGCCAAAAATAAACCAAAACAATCCTTGTATAAAACATGTACTGCCAAATAGACATTCCTGAATGAATCCATGCCAAAATATTGGGAACATAGAACAGCAAAAGACCCAAGCATGAGAGATTGCCAGGACATCACAATGGCTCATATTCCTTTGTCTTCACTCACAACAACTCACTTTCCAGAAACCTTCAGTTCATTCTTTCATCACCTTGTCCTGCCAGTGGTGTTGAACCTCTGTGGAAGAAGGGCAAAGTATAAAAGAAAACTTTTCCCACCTGTTATGAAGAAGGTCAGAATGGCAGATTCCACTGCAAAAACATTGCTGACTCTCTTATTCTTCCCCAACACCCAAAAAAGTTTTTTTTTTTGTATTAGTATGAGCTGAGACTGCAGAAGCCTCCATAAAAATGTCCCCAATATACTCATGTGTGCAAAAAGACAGAATATGAAGACAAGGGTATTATCTGTAATGTGTGAAAAACTCATGTACTCCTTAGAAAGACTGCGCCAACACTGAGGCCAACCCCAAATAAGAACGAGAGAATGGGTTTATTACAGCCATACTCCCCTCAGTGCCTTAGCAAAGCCTCCCACCTCTTGTTTAAACTCTGAAACAGAGCAAATCTTTTAGGCACTGAAACACTTTTCCAACCGCTGTTTCAATAAAGTAAATGGCTCCTTAAAGGACACAAAAAGCTAGTGGAACTTTAGAGCGAAGAAGCTGTCCAGTTTTCCATTCAGTGTGGTGGAGAGAGTACAGGAGCGGGGCTAGTTATATTAAAATCAGGTGAGCCCATAGGCATATCTGCAGTGAAGCTGGGTGGGCTTCCCTTGTTTATTAAGGGCTCAAAGTATTAATGGACTCATATGCTGAATGCACAGATATGTTATAAATAGGCCAAACGGAATGTAAACTTTGTTTTGTTTTTTTGTTTGTCTGTTTATTTTCTTTTCCCTAAGTTCTCTCTAAGCCAGAAATTGGTTTCCTACCTTTTGAAAAATTATTGTGTACAAGCAGGCACTGAGACCTCTGCCCAAGAACCAGCCCAACTGCCGGCCGTGGTTAGTGGAAATGCTTATTTGTTCTGGGAAACGAAACCATCCGGGTGGTGTGGGGGGTCAACTTTTGAACAAAATACTAAAAAGAAACAGATCTGAGAATCTGGTGAAATTGAAACTTTTAATCCAAAGAAGATAATAATGACTGAATGGAAAATAATTTCATCCTCTCATATTTTGATTTCAAGCATTGGAAGTTCTCTTATGGTCTAGAATTGCTGCCATAGCAGTGGATAATTGTGCCTGATTGGCAGTAGTTTATTGGAGATATTTCTTCTTTTAACCTCAGTTTAACTGATGGCAGAAAAACAAATTAACTGAGGAAATTGCATTAAAGACAACCATTTTAAGTACAAGCCTGTCAGATAATTCTGGGTTCCTTTGGCTTCAGATGGAAGAATAATCACATTAAAAAATAAGGACTGGAACCAATTGTAGGCATGGCCAGTTTCTAAACTGAGCTGAGCTTGGCTCAAGAGGATCCCTTCCAGGGGCTGACATGGTCTTACTAATGAACATACTTACATTTTAGGGGAAATATTAGTGTGGATATTTGTCCATTCATAGCCATGCCCAAAAGTGCCCTATTGTTTCCCATTTAGCAAATACAGGTGAAAAAGACAAAACACTATGAATTAGAACTGAAAAGACAGCCTTTCCTACTTATTGCTCATATTGAATGAAGTGTGTATTGGGTTTCTAGTTTCATAGGCTCTTCTTCCCATAGCAATAACAATATCTTGGTAACATTTTTTTTTTACCAGAAATATTTATTTTTTTCTAAAGTTCTCTTAGGATTCCATGAAAATTTCTTTGAAATTATTTTTTTCTTTTTTGTTCATGTGAAAGGCTTAAGTGGAAGTGTACTGAACATTTAATCCACTTTTAAAAAATGAGTTAATGTTTTATAACATGAAATGATAGCAATAAAGGTATCTTGTGTTCTCTCCTCACATTGTTTCTCAAATCACTTCTTCTATCCAAGTTTCTGCTGAATGATTCATCAATACAAAATCCAGTGCTTGTAAGGCAAATCTCAAATTAAGCTACTGTCTTTAAGTACTTGTGAATCTTAGATAACCAGTAGACAAATTCCATCTTGTGACAAAACAACAACAAAAGTATTCTAAAGAAAAAGTTAACCTAGTTGACAGAGCAAGAGTTAACATTGGCTTATGTTTCTTGTTATAAAAATGTTACCTTGCATATTCTTTGACTTCTATTTAATGTTTCCCAACTGTCAGTCTGCCCTTTGCTCAACTCTGAACATCCAATTAGTCTTTTGGAGTAACGAAATAGCATTTATTCAAAAATCTGTACCCATCTACATTTTACTGCATTGTACTTAAATTACATATTACTTCTATTTTTAAATTCATATTGGAATTTAGTTAACTTCAGCATCTAAAATTGTGGATTAGAAAACTATTCCTACTTGCACAAAATTCTAGAATCAAAAAAGTTATCTAAGACAACTAAAACCAACTTTTTGTGTGTGTGTGTGTTACATACGGTAGGTGCCAGAGGTATTTTAGCTATACATAAAAGCAAATGCACTTTCATTGTTATATTTAAAACATATATTGGAATTCTTTATCAACCATCTATCAATGAAAACCGGAGTTACTGAAACAAAGACTCTTTTAAACTTGAGGAAGGGAATCTGTTTGACAAGACTGTTATAAATTTGATAAAATCTCTAAAAGAAAAATTTAAGCAGGAAAATAACCTACCAATATTTCAATGGAAAAGGTGGGAAAACTCTAGTGGTTTAATACTTTTTTTTACAAAATTAAAATGGCAAAAATGAAAACTTTATTCTGATTTGGAAGAATAAAAAAACTGTAAAAAAAAGTCTTATTTAAAAAATTTTAAGAGTACATCAAAAATTAAATTATCTATAGCAAAATTCCTACCTTCAAGGGAGAATCAAAAACATTGATGCAAAAGTGTTTGATGATTTAGTGTCAAATGGTAGATCCAAAAGCAGATCATTTCTCTTCATGTAATTATGAGTAAACATAGCAACATATGGAGAATTCACCTAAGACACGATTCCTTAATTTTCTTTACTTCAACTACATTCACTTGAGTTTTACTACATCTTTATGCAGTATTTTCAAGTAATTATTCAATATTTAACTAAGTGCAATGTCATTATTCAACATTTATCAAATTTCATTAATTCACTAGTCATCATGTGAAGAAATTTAGTATTGGTTAAGAACATATTCTAGAGTTCATTTACATGGGTTGAAATTCTGGCCTACTTACTAGCTGAAGATGTAGCTGAAGATCCCCTTCCTCATATTACACAACTATTCATCCAAACCCTATTTAGATTTAAAGTTAGTGCAAAGACGCAACCTTGCTTCTAGCCATGTAATAAAATAAATACCTTCAAAAACCCTCATACTTAAAATCATTAAAATCTGTATAAAATACTTAACTTGCTTTAGTGCATCATTGGACTGACATAAAATGAAGGAATCCAAAGAACAATTTAATAAAAGGGGAAGCAACTGGATATTCTTATAGGAGACTTCAGGTTAATCTGGTAAGAGCAGATGAGAAATAAACCCACCGCACAGAAGTGAACAGCAGGAAGTCTTAGCTGACTTGATCTTGGCAGTAAGTGGTAAGATAATAAAATCGTCCTTGAGACTTTGTAACCACAGCTAGCCCTTACATGACCAATGTTTCAGTCTGAATCCACTCCGTTTGCAGTCTGAAAAATTTGAATCCAGGAACTTAATTTAAAGTGGTTCCAGAGTGACAATGTCCCTATGGGACTAACTGAAGCAAAGCCCTCTTAGAGAAACTCAGCTACAGCCCAGGCCTCAAATAATCTACAGGTAAAGTTCCTGGTGTGTGTGTGTGTGTGTGTGTGTGTGTGTGTGTGTGTGTGTGTGTGTGTGTGTGTGTATGTGTGCAGGGAAGGGAGGGCTTTATGTTAAAAATCACAACAAAAACAAACTTGCAACTGATGCAGATATTAGAATTAGCAAATGCAGACTATAAAATAACTACCTTTCATTTATTCAAAAAATTAAAAGAAGCCTATAAAAATATAAATAGAATAAGATACTATACATAATAACCAAGCAAATTTGAGTAAAAACCAATTAAATCTTTGAAGATAAAAATTTAAATGTTTTGTCAGATTTTTTAGAATTCTAGTATCTTTTTCTTTTTGATTTCTTCAACAATTCTGGATATAAGTACTTTTTTGGAAGTGCATTATAAATTATTTCTCCTGGCTTATACTTTACCTTTTTATTCTCTTGATGCCATCTTTTGACAAGCAAAGGTCTTAATTTTAATAAAATTCATTTATATTAATAAATAATTCTATTTTTTGAGTTAATGTTTATTGTGTCCTGCTTAAGGAGTGTTTGTCTATCCCAAAGTTATGAAGATATTTTCTTAGGTTTTCTTCCAGAAACTTGGTTTTAATTTTTGCTTACAGTTCTGTAAATCAAATTAATTTATGGTGTGAGATAAGGCTCAATATTATTGGTTTGTTTGTTTTCAAATGGATAGTCAAATTATAAGGAAGAATTTATAGAAAATATAAACCTTTCCCCAATGAATTGCAGTATTACTTATGTCTTAAATCAGGAAACACAGACACACACACACACAAACACACATATACATATGAGTTTGTTTCTGGTCACTCTATTTGAATTTGAGTATTCTTATGCCAATACTACACTGACTTACCTACTCTAGTTGTTAAAATCAGTCCTGAGATCTGGTAAAGTACTCTCAATTTTATTTGTCCAGTTCAAGACTTTTGGCTATTCTAGGTCTTTGCATTTTCCTGTAAATTTTATATTCAGGTGGTCAATTTACACACACACACACACACACACACACACACACAAAGGAACTTTAATAGGGACTACATTGAATTTATAGATCAACTAGGAGGGTACTGGAGTCTTAAGAACACTGGGCTTTTCAGTGCATACAAATGATTTATACATTTCAGTTGATTAGCTTTTAAAATTTCAGAGTAAAAGTCTTACACATAGTTTATTAAATTTATAACTATTTGGTACTTTGGTACTATTATAAACTTTTTTTAATTTAATGTTTAGCTTTTGTTGCTAATAAGCAGAAAGTCAAACTTACATTTGCATATTCAATGACCTTGTCAAACATACTTATTAATTCTAATTATTTGTATATTCTTCCAGATTTTATATGTGCACAATCATGTCTTGCATTAATAGTGGCAACTCAAACATTCCCTTTCCTTTATATATATATATCTTTTTTCTTTGCCATGTTACACTGGATAAGACTTTAATACAATATTGAATAAAAGTGATGATAGTATATATAGTTGTTTTATTCTTGGCTTCCATAGAAAATTGTTCAATATTTAACCAGATTAAATATGACGGTAGCAGTAAGACATTTGTTAATATCTTTTATCAGATTAAGGAAGGTTACTTAGTTTTCCAAACAATGAGAGGTTTTTGTTATTGTTTTATGATAGTTCGTTAATTTTATCAAATGAATTTTCTGCTTCTATTTAAATGATATATGAATTTTCATCTTTATTTGATAATGATTAGAATTACATTAATTGATTTCTGGATGGCAAACCAACTTCAAATTTGTTTTGGATTTATTGGTTTCAAATTTATTCAAATTACTGGAATAAATATATTTTGGTAATAAAATACATAATAAGCTGTTCGTATGTATATTATATATATTATATATATATATATAAAGAATACAGAATCTGTGTGATTTCAATCTTGTGAAATTTGCTTAGTCTTGCTTTCTGGCCTATTATAGGGTCCAATTTGATAAGTGGTCCATTGACACACATACAGAACATTATTATGCAGTTGTTGGATAAAGTCTTCTATATGTACAAATAAGTCATATTGGTGGGTCAAATCTTCTAGGTCTCTCTTGAATTTTTTTGACTGCTGATTTTGTCAATTATTAAGACATGTGCTCCAACTTCCCCAATGATTGTTGAAATGTCCATTTTTTTCTTTTAGTTCTGCCATATCTTTACGTTGAAAATATATGGCTTGGTGCCTAAAACTTTATAATTTTTATATTTTTCCATAAAATCAAGATAAAATAACTTTTTTTTTAATACTTTAAGTTTTAGGGTACATGTGCACATTGTGCAGGTTAGTTACATACGTATACATGTGGCATGCTGGTGCGCTGCACCCACTAACTCGTCATCTAGCATTAGGTATATCTTCCAATGCTATCCCTCCCCCCTCCCCCCACCCCACAACAGTCCCCAGAGTGTGATATTCCCCTTCCTGTGTCCATGTGATCTCATTGTTCAATTCCCACCTATGAGTGAGAATATGCGGTGTTTGGTTTTTTGTTCTTGCGATAGTTTACTGAGAATGATGATTTCCAATTTCATCCATGTCCCTACAAAGGACATGAACTCATCATTTTTTATGGCTGCATAGTATTCCATGGTGTATATGTGCCACATTTTCTTAATCCAGTCTATCATTGTTGGACATTTGGGTTGGTTCCAAGTCTTTGCTATTGTGAATAATGCCACAATAAACATACATGTGTATGTGTCTTTATAGCAGCATGATTTATAGTCCTTTGGGTATATACCCAGTAATGGGATGGCTGGGTCAAATGGTATTTCTAGTTCTAGATCCCTGAGGAATCGCCACACTGACTTCCACAATGGTTGAACTAGTTTACAGTCCCACCAACAGTGTAAAAGTGTTCCTATTTCTCCACATCCTCTCCAGCACCTGTTGTTTCCTGACTTTTTAATGATTGCCATTCGAACTGGTGTGAGATGATATCTCATTGTGGTTTTGGTTTGCATTTCTCTGATGGCCAGTGATGATGAGCATTTTTTCATGTGTTTTTTGGCTGCATAAATGTCTTCTTTTGCAAAGTGTCTGTTCATGTCCTTTGCCCACTTTTTGATGGGGTTGTTTGTTTTTTTCTTGTAAATTTGTTTGAGTTCATTGTAGATTCTGGATATTAGCCCTTTATCAGATGAGTAGGTTGCGAAAATTTTCTCCCATTTTGTAGGTTGCCTGTTCACTCTGATGGTAGTTTCTTTTGCTGTGCAGAAGCTCTTTAGTTGAATTAGATCCCATTTGTCAGTTTTGGCTTTTGTTGCCATTGCTTTTGGTGTTTTAGACATGAAGTCCTTGCCCATGCCTATGTCCTGAATGGTAATGCCTAGGTTTTCTTCTAGGGTTTTTATGGTTTTAGGTCTAACGTTTAAGTCTTTAATCCATCTTGAATTGCTTTTTGTATAAGGTGAAGGAAGGGATCCAGTTTCAGCTTTCTACATATGGCTAGCCAGTTTTCCCAGCACCATTTATTAAATAGGGAATCCTTTCCCCATTGCTTGTTTTTCTCAGGTTTGTCAAAGATCAGATAGCTGTAGATACGTGGCATTATTTCTGAGGGCTCTGTTCTGTTCCATTGATCTATATCTCTGTTTTGGTACCAGTACCATGCTGTTTTGGTTACTGTAGCCTTGTAGTATAGTTTGAAGTCAGGTAGTGTGATGCCTCCAGCTTTGTTCTTTTGGCTTAGGATTGACTTGGCGATGCGGGCTCTTTTTTGGTTCCATATGAACTTTAAAGTAGTTTTTTCCAATTCTGCGAAGAAAGGCATTGGTAGCTTGATGGGGATGGCATTGAATCTGTAAATTACCTTGGGCAGTATGGCCATTTTCACAATATTGATTCTTCCTACCCATGAGGATGGAATGTTCTTCCATTTGTTTATATCCTCTTTTATTTCCTTGAGCAGTGGTTTGTAGTTCTCCTTGAAGAGGTCCTTCACATCCCTTGTAAGTTGGATTCCTAGGTATTTTATTCTCTTTGAAGCAATTGCGAATGGGAGTTCACTCATGATTTGGCTCTCTGTTTGTCTGTTGTTGGTGTATAAGAATGCTTGTGATTTTTTACATTGATTTTGTATCCTGAGACTTTGCTGAAGTTGCTTATCAGCTTAAGGAGATTTTGGGCTGAGACAATGGGGATTTCTAGATATACAATCATGTCATCTGCAAACAGGGACAATTTGACTTCCTCTTTTCCTAATTGAATACCCTTTATTTCCTTCTCCTGCCTAATTGCCCTGGCCAGAACTTCCAACACTATGTTGAATAGGAGTGGTGAGAGAGGGCATCCCTGTCTTGTGCCAGTTTTCAAAGGGAATGCTTCCAGTTTTTGCCCATTCAGTATGATATTGGCTGTGGGTTTATCATAGATAGCTCTTATTATTTTGAAATATGTCCCATCAATACCTAATTTATTGAGAGTTTTTAGCACGAAGTGTTGTTGAATTTTGTCAAAGGCTTTTTCTGCATCTATTGAGATAATCATGTGGTTTTTGTCTTTGACTCTGTTTATATGCTGGATTACATTTATTGATTTGCATATATTGAACCAGCCTTGCATCCCAGGGATGAAGCCCACTTGATCATGGTGGATAAGCTTTTTGATGTGCTGCTGGATTCGTTTTGCCAGTATTTTATTGAGGATTTTTGCATCAATGTTCATCAAGGATATTGGTCTAAAATTCTCTTTTTTGGTTGTGTCTCTGCCCGGCTTTGGTATCAGAATGATGCTGGCCTCATAAAATGAGTTAGGGAGGATTCCCTCTTTTTCTATTGATTGGAATAGTTTCAGAAGGAATGGTACCAGTTCCTCCTTGTACCTCTGCTAGAATTCGGCTGTGAATCCATCTGGTCCTGGACTCTTTTTGGTTGGTAAGCTATTGATTATTGCCACAATTTCAGATCCTGTTATTGGTCTATTCAGAGATTCAATTTCTTCCTGGTTTAGTCTTGGGAGAGTGTATGTGTCAAGGAATTTATCCATTTCTTGTAGATTTTCTAGTTTATTTGCGTGGAGGTGTTTGTAGTATTCTCTGATGGTAGTTTGTATTTCTGTGGGATCGGTGGTGATATCCCCTTTATCATTTTTTATTGTGTCTATTTGATTCTTCTCTCTTTTTTTCTTTATTAGTCTTGCTAGCGGTCTATCAATTTTGTTGATCCTTTCAAAAAACCAGCTCCTGGATTCATTAGTTTTTTGAAGGGTTTTTTGTGTGTCTATTTCCTTCAGTTCTGCTCTGATTTTAGTTATTTCTTGCCTTCTGCTAGCTTTTGAATGTGTTTGCTCTTGCTTTTCTAGTTCTTTTAATTGTGATGTTAGAGTGTCAATTTTGGATCTTTCCTGCTTTCTCTTGTGGGTATTTAGTGCTATAAATTTCCCTCTACACACTGCTTTGAATGTGTCCCAGAGATTCTGGTATGTTATGTCTTTGTTCTCATTGGTTTCAAAGAACATCTTTATTTCTGCCTTCATTTCGTTATGTACCCAGTAGTCATTCAGGAGCAGGTTGTTCAGTTTCCATGAAGTTGAGCGGTGTTGAGTGAGATTCTTAATCCTGAGTTCTAGTTTGATTGCACTGTGGTCTGAGAGATAGTTTGTTATCATCTCTGTGCTTTTACATTTGCTGAGGAGAGCTTTACTTCCAACTATGTGGTCAATTTTGGAATAGGTGTGGTGTGGTGCTGAAGAAAATGTATATTCTGTTGATTTGGGGTGGAGAGTTCTGTAGATGTCTATTAGGTCTGCTTGGTGCAGAGCTGAGTTCAATTCCTGGGTATCCTTGTTGACTTTCTGTCTCGTTGATCTGTCTAATGTTGACAGTGGGGTGTTAAAGTCTCCCATTATTAATGTGTGGGAGTCTAAGTCTCTTTGTAGGTCACTCAGGACTTGCTTTATGAATCTGGGTGCTCCTGTATTGGGTGCATATATATTTAGGATAGTTAGCTCTTCTTGTTGAATTGATCCCTTTACCATTATATAATGGCCTTCTTTGTCTCTTTCGATCTTTGTTGGTTTAAAGTCTGTTTTATCAGAGACTAGGATTGCAACCCCTGCCTTTTTTTGTTTTCCATTTGCTTGGTAGATCTTCCTCCATCCTTTTATTTTGAGTCTATGTGTGTCTCTGCACGTGAGATGGGTTTCCTGAATACAGCACACTGATGGGTCTTGACTCTTTATCCAGTTTGCCAGTCTGTGTCTTTTAATTGGAGCATTTAGTCCATTTACATTTAAAGTTAATATTGTTATGTGTGAATTTGATCCTGTCATTATGATATTAGCTGGTGATTTTCTCGTTAGTTGATGCAGTTTCTTCCTAGTCTCGATGGTCTTTACATCTTGGCATGATTTTGCAGCGGCTGGTACTGGTTGTTCCTTTCCATGTTTAGCGCTTCCTTCAGGAGCTCTTTTAGGGCAGGCCTGGTGGTGACAAAATCTCTCAGCATTTGCTTGTCTGTAAAGTATTTTATTTCTCCTTCGCTTGTGAAGCTTAGTTTGACTGGATATGAAATTCTGGCTTGAAAATTCTTTTCTTTAAGAATGTTGAATATTGGCCCCCACTCTCTTCTGGCTTGTAGGGTTTCTGCCAAGATATCCGCTGTTAGTCTGATGGGCTTCCCTTTGAGGGTAACCCGACCTTTCTCTCTGGCTGCCCTTAACATTTTTTCCTTCATTTCAACTTTGGTGAATCTGACAATTATGTGTCTTGGAGTTGCTCTTCTTGAGGAGTATCTTTGTGGCATTCTCTGTATTTCCTGAATCTGAACGTTGGCCTGCCTTGCTAGATTGGAGAAGTTCTCCTGGATAATATCCTGCAGAGTGTTTTCCAACTTGGTTCCATTCTCCCCATCACTTTCAGGTACACCAATCAGACGTAGATTTGGTCTTTTCACATAGTCCCATATTTCTTGGAGGCTTTGCTCATTTCTTTTTATTCTTTTTTCTCTAAACTTCCCTTCTCGCTTCATTTCATTCATTTCATCTTCCATTGCTGATACCCTTTCTTCCAGTTGTTCACATCGGCTCCTGAGGCTTCTGCATTCTTCACGTAGTTCTCGAGCCTTGGTTTTCAGCTCCATCAGCTGCTCCTTTAAGCACTTCTCTGTATTGGTTATTCTAGTTATACATTCTTCTAAATTTTTTTCAAAGTTTTCAACTTCTTTGCCTTTGGTTTCAATGTCCTCCCGTAGCTCAGAGTAATTTGATCGTCTGAAGCCTTCTTCTCTCAGCTCGTCAAAGTCATTCTCCATCCACCTTTGTTCCGTTGCTGGTGAGGAACTGCGTTCCTTTGGAGGAGGAGAGGCGCTCTGCTTTTTAGAGTTTCCAGTTTTTCTGTTCTGTTTTTTCCCCATCTTTATGGTTTTATCTACTTTTGGTCTTTGATGATGGTGATGTACAGATGGGTTTTTGGTGTGGATGTCCTTTCTGTTTGTTAGTTTTCCTTCTAACAGACAGGACCCTCAGCTGCAGGTCTGTTGGAATACCCTGCCATGTGAGATGTCAGTGTGCCCCTGCTGGGGGGTGCCTCCCAGTTAGGCTGCTCGGGGGTCAGGGGTCAGGGACTCACTTGAGGAGGCAGTCTGCCCGTTCTCAGATCTCCAGCTGCGTGCTGGGAGAACCACTGCTCTCTTCAAAGCTGTCAGACAGGGACATTTAAGTCTGCAGAGGTTACTGCTGTCTTTTCGTTTGTCTGTGCCCTGCCCCCAGAGGTGGAGTCTACAGAGGCGGGCAGGCCTCCTTGAGCTGTGGTGGGCTCCACCCAGTTGGAGCTTCCCAGCTGCTTTGTTTACCTAAGCAAGCCTGGGCAATGGCGGGCGCCCCTCCCCCAGCCTCGCTGCCGCCTTGCAGTTTGATCTCAGACTGCTGTGCTAGCAATCAGCGAGACTCCGTGGGCGTAGGACCCTCCGAGCCAGGTGCGTGATATACTCTCGTGGTTTGCCGTTTTTTAAGCCGGTCGGAAAAGCGCAGTATTCGGGTGGGAGTGAGCCGATTTTCCGGGTGCGTCCGTCACCCCTTTCTTTGACTCGGAAAGGGAACTCCCTGACCCCTTGCGCTTCCCAAGTGAGGCAATGCCTCACCCTGCTTCGGCTCGCGCACGATGCGCGCACCCACTAACGTGCGCCCACTGTCTGGCACTCCCTAGTGAGATGAACCCGGTACCTCAGATGGAAATGCAGAAATCACCCGTCTTCTGCGTCGCTCACGCTGGGAGCTGTAGACCGGAGCTGTTCCTGTTCGGCCATCTTGGCTCCTCCCTCAGGTAGAGTTTTCTAAAATAACTTTTTAATGTAATTACTGATATACAAGTTGAATTGTATAATCTAGCCATTGGTTCTCTATGTCTCATCTTTGTTTCTTAATTCTTTCTTTTTGACTTCTTTTGAGTAATCCATTTTTCTCATTTTCCTGCTCTATTAGATTTTTATTTTTACATTCTTCTATTATTCCTTCAATAATTGTTCTAGAGATTATATGGTTTCTTAAATTATGACTTAATACAGTTACTGTTCCCTAATCAATGGAAGACACTCTATTTTCCTCCCCACTTTATATTATTGTTCCCATATATATTATTGTATATACATTATAAACCCATAAGACATCATTATTGCTGTCCTTTTAAACAGTTAATACTCATTTATATTCCCTTTATATTCACCTTTCTGGCATTATTTATTTATTCTTATAGTTCACTTTTTTCATCTGGTATCACCTTCCTTGTGTCTGAAGCACACCCATTAGTTTATTCAGGCAATAATTCTCTCAGCTTTTTTCTTTCAATCTGCAAATATGTTATTTCATTTTTATTTTTGAATAATAAGTTCTACAGGTTTGGAATTTCAGTTTGGCGATTTTCTGCTTTTACTACTTTAAGGATATTATTCTTTTGCCTTCCATCATTCAAAGTTTCTATTGAAAATTAACCCTTTGGTCTACTTCTTGCACCATTAATGACAATTGTCCTTTGTTTCAGCTGCTTTAAAAGCTTTCATTCTCTTTGATTTTTAGTAATTTGACTATGATGTGCTCAGGTGCAGTTTTCTTTTAATATGTTGTGCTTAGAGTTTTAAAACTTTAAATATATTGCCAAATGTCTTACATCACTTTGGGAAAAAAAAACTCATGATTATGGAAAACAGGAAAAGGAAGAGAGGATTTGTTTCAGAGATCATCTCGGTCAGAAAGTCTAAGAGTCCATACCTACCCACAAATCCCAGGTCTTCCTAAGGTATACTTGATATTCTCATTTAATATTGCATTATAGGCCAGACATAGTGACTCACGCCTGTAATCCCAGCACTTTTGGGAGTCTGAGGCTGGCGGATCAACAGAGGTCAGGAGTTCGAGACCAGACCGGCCAACATGGTGAAACCCCGTCTCTACTAAAAATACAAAAAATAGCTGGGTGTGGTGGTGCAAGTCTGTAATAGCAGCTACTTGGGAGGCTGAGGCATGAGAATCGCTTGAACTCATGAGGCAGAGGTTGCAGTGAGCTGAGATCACGCCACTGCACTCCAGCCTGGGTGACAGAGGGAGACTCCATCTCAAAAAAAAAATTGCATTACAGTACATTTCATGCTAGAATGTAACTAGCTAGCTTTTCCACTAGAGAAATGAGTAGAATGCAAATAATGTGGACTGTTTTTTAATATGTAAAAATATGTATGCATATGTAAAAATATGCAAGTATATGAAACATATAGAAGGTGATACCATTATACTTTTTATTTAATGTTTTGTTTGTGCATTGTGCTTGTTAAAAAAAAATTAGGAAATAGAACAGATGCTTTGAAATGCCCTAAATAATTTTTATTTACTGGAGGATATTATGAATTATTTAAATTATAAAGTTATATTTTGCCATAAATATTTACTTAACAAGGGGATCAGCTATTCTATTGTAATTGGCATTTAAATTTACACTAAGTAGAAATGATCTTTGAAAATACTTTTTGTTTGTTTGTTTATTTGTTTGTTTTGAGACGGAGTCTTGCTCTGTCACCCAGGCTTCCAGGTTCAAGCGAGTCTCCTGCCTCAGCCTCCTGAGTAGCTGGGATTACAGGCATGTGCCACCATACCTGGCTAACCTTTTGTATTTGTAGTAGAGATTGGGTTTCACCATGTTAGCCTGGCTGGTCTCAAACTCCTGACCTCAGGTGATCCACCCGTCTTGGCCTCCCAAAGCCCTAAAATTACAAGCGTTAGCCACCGCGCCCATCCTGAAAATACTTTTAATTAAAGTAGAGCCCTGAACCATTTTTGAAAAAATTTACAACCCTTATATCAGTTTCTCACTCTTATTTAGTCAGTGTTTCTCTTCAACTTTATTCTCAAATATCTTTGAAAACATCACCACACACTCACTTGTCCACTTGAAGTATGAATTACGTTACTTTGTCAAAGATTGGAAAACTAAAAATCATTCACGTGTTCTCTGCATACGTTTCTTTGACAAACATTTTCTATTTCTTCTATATTTGAGTATGAGTAATGGAAAAAATATATTTAGTATACCTATGATGTAACTAAGTTCCCATAAGTTTGCAACAGAAGTATGCCACTGCAGATAGCTACAAGAGTGGCATCTGTTAGTCACTCATGTACATGCAGGCATATGACTATGGCAGAAATAATATGACAGCTTGACCACAGTCCTGAATAAAAGCATCAATTCTTTCAATGGTGAATGGCTATTCTGTGCTAGTAGTGTGTAATACAAAGATGACCCTAGCACAGAACTTGTTGTGTACTAAAGATATTTTTAGGATGTTTATGATTACGCAATAAGGGAAACTAGAAGGTAAATGCAAGAATAGAGATATCGTTCAAGTGCTGTTGGGGCTCAAAGGAAAGAAAGTATGCTCATAAATTGGGAAACCAAAGACCTCCAGAAGAGGTAAAATTAAAGCCATGACAGATTTATGCTGTCCCACGCATGCCCAGGCGATGTAAATTGTGTGAGACTCAGCAGAGTTGTTGGGAAGTATGGAAGAAGATATAAGTAATACAAGGTATCAGTTTATCTTTAGAAAAAAGGATGAAGCATAGTAGAAATAAGCTGTAAATATAAACTCTGGCCTTCAGCCTGAGGGTAGTTAAATGGAAATAAAGGCTGTTTGCATTTATTCTATAAGGGGCAAGAAGCAAAGAAAAGAATTTGAACAGCAGAGTGACATGTCAGGCTTGGCCTAGGGGATATGGGTTCCTCATTAAACCACTCAAAGTCCCGGAGATAATAGAGGTCAAGTAGGAAAATACAGAACTGAAGGAGAAGAATTTCAAGAAAAATCAAATGAAAACTGCCTTAAGTTCAACAGAGACAATGAAGAAAGACAATAAAAGTGCTAGTTATTTTCAGTGAAATCACACAATTCTTTCAAGGCACAGTTGCATTTCAGGGAGAGTGGACATCATTCAGGTGTTGGCTCAGATTTTACCTCTTCAGTGGGGCCCTTCTTGACCAGCTCAGGTACCTATGGTCCCATCATCCTCTCTGTCCTCCCCTGTTTCATTTTTCCTCATAGCAAGGATCTCCACTGGGCATTTTATTATACACTTAGTGACTTCTATATTTCTGCCACCTGCCACCACAACATAAGTTTCTGGCAGGTATGCACTTGCCTGATTTTTATTTTAGATAGTACCTAACATGTGAAACATGCTAAAAAATGTTTGTAGAATGAATGAATTGCAAGAGGCCAGGGATTAAGCAGGCAATTGGGATAACCTGCAGAATGGGAGAAAATATATTTGAACTACCCATTTGACAAGGTTATATAACCAGAATATATAAGGAGCTCAAACAACTCTATAGGAAAAATCTAATAATCTGATCAAAAAATGAAGTCAATGACTGTGTGAGGCACATTCATGAGTCTGAGTAGTCAGGGACTAAACAGTGGATAAGACAGTGGCTGTTTTCTGTGTGCTCTTCTGGGCTTGGAAGAAGAGTAAAACTACCAGAGAAAGAAAAGATGATTGACAGAGCAAGATCCTAATGAAGGTGACCTCCCTGCCTCTTTACAGTCTATTTTGAGCACAGTGAAAATAGTGATCCTTCTGAAATGTGTTAAATCATGGCACTTTTCTGCTTAAAACTTTCAATGACTTTCTGTTTCACTCAGAATAAAAGTCAAAGTCCTTACAATAATCTGGTCCACACAGTATTTTGTGATCTCCTTGTCCTCATTTCCTTTTTTTATTGACTCATAAGTGTACATTTTATGGGGTATACAGTGAAGTTTTTTGATACATGTAATATATTGTTATCAGACCAGGGTAATGATCTCAAACATCAGTTTTTGTGTTGGCAATATTCAATATATTCCTTGCAGTTATTTGAAACTCTATATTATTCTTAATCATGGTAATCCTATGGTGGTATAGAACACTAAAACTTATTCCTACTATCTAGCCGTAATTCTGCATCCTTTAAGAAATCTCTGGCCCCTTTCTTTTTTCTTCTTCTTTTAATTTTTTAATTTTTTATTTTTTTGTTTGTTTTTGGTTTTGTTTTTGAGATGGAGTTTCACTCTGTCACCCAGGCTATCATGCAATGGCACAATCTCAGCTCACTGCAACCTCTGCCTCCAGGGTTCAAGTGATTCTCCTGCCTTAGCCTCCTGAGTAGCTGAGATTACAGGCACTCGCCACCATGCCTGGCTAATTTTTTGTATTTTTCGTAGAGCTGGGGGTTTCACCATGTTGGCCAGGGTGGTCTCGAACTCTGGACCTCAGGTGATCCACACGACTCTGCCTCCCAAAGTGCTGGAATTACAGGCGTGAGCCACTGCACCCAGCCGCCTTTTCTAATACTATTTTATTCTCCCCCTCTGCTGCACATCTGTGGACCAGACAGGCATGGTCCTGCCACAAGGCCTTTGCCTCCATCTTCCGCTGCCTGGAAACTTCTTCCCCAGAGATACACATGGTAGATGCCTAGGTACAGTTGCCACATGGCTATCTCCAGCAAATCTTTCATATCTTTGCTGAAATGTTACTTTCATTAGGACTTTCCTGACTCCTTAGGTAAAATTAAGCATCCTCCCTCCCTGTTCTTCCTCTGTCTCATCCTGCCTTATTTTTTCTCCATAGTGTTGATTACCCTCTGACATATTCCGTGTCTTTGTGTCTCTTGTCAACCTCTCCCCGTCTAGAACAGATGTTCCATGAAGGCATGGATTTTTACTTGGTTTGCTCACTGCATAGCTCCAAAACCTAGAATAGAGTCTGGCACATAGTTGGAACTCAAGAAAATCATGAAAAAAAATGAATAACCATGCACATAATTATAATAAAATACAGAAGTAAGCAGCACACAGAGAACTTTAATAAATTAAACAGACTAGTTTCATTCTGTTTACTCATGAGTGTCTCTATCAGTGATTCTCAGAGATTCACAGTATCCCTCCTCTTCCAGAAGGTTATTCAAAACTGCATACAGGTAATTTTGTTTGTCACCACAATATTTTTTAAATATATGGATGTTGTGTTCAACCTCAGGGAAGATTGTAATTTATCTGAAAATTTGTTAATATAATTATAGTTTGGTAGAGTTGTTTCATTATATGTATGGTTTAACATTTTATTTTCTAGCTCCAAAAAGATATTTCACATACTTAGACTTTTTTTTCTATGTGAAGTAGTTTCTTTTTCATATTCATTTAGTGGCTCAAGCTGATGAATCAGTTAGATAAAATTCTCACATTCTTAGTCTTCTGAGTAGAACTCATTAAGTACTGTAGAAAAAAACACCCAAGTTTCAAAGATGCCAGTTGATTCGGTCATTTTCAGATTACCCTATTTGATTCACACTGGAATTACTGAGCAAACTTACTTATTTTTCTGAGACAGTGTCTCACTCTGTTGCCAAGGCTGGAGTGCAATGGCATGATCACAGCCCACTGAAGCCTGGACCTCCCAGGCTCAGACGATCCTCCCACCTCAGCCTCACAGGCGTACTTCTCCTCATGTATGTCTTCGTTGTCTTTCTCTGTGGCCTATTTTCATTTTCAAATACAGACAGTATAGGAAAAAGCTAAAGGATTCAGTGCTGTTTTCCCAGAACTTGCATTCTTTGCCACATTCTTATCAATGTAAAGGTGAAATCAGGGGCCAACATAAAAATGTCTATCTAGGCAATCTGTGTCATGAGTTGACTGTTCAAACTATATGAACCCATTCCTAAAAGATATTAATGTAATTATTTCCAGCTACAGATTTTTTTTTTAAAAGTAACATAGCAGATGATAAATACTAGTTTTGTGAAAAAACAAGCTTGGTTTACTATTTCTATGGCAAATTAACTCCGTTAGCACAAACTTTCTAAGAATATAGATCTCATAGATCCCTAATTATTTTTCAGAACATTGTAAAAAATGATAGAGATAAATAATGATTTGTGTTAATTCCTCACAAGGAACCATGTTAAATGTTCTATGTACATTACTTCATTTAATCCCTACGACTCCATTCATCGTTTGATCCCCCTAAAAATATTTACTGGGCACCTGCAAAGTATTAAGCACATTTCTAGGATCTAGGAAAACAGCAAATAAATAAGGAAAAATCTCTCTTTCATGAAGCTTGCATTCTAGTGGGAGAGACAGCCTTAAGTCAACATATGTAATGCAACTGAATGGCGCATATACGCTCACACAGGGATCTTAGCAGAGTAATCACAGTGTCACTGCTATGGAGGTAATAACACTAAGGCAAACGCAGAGAGTGCTGGAGGGGCAAGAGGGCTGTTTTAAATCTGGAGGTTGGAAAAGTGTCTATTAGGAAGGGCCAGAATAAAGTGAGAGATAAAAAGCCATGTAATATCTGGGAGGCAGTAGGAGTAGAGGGAAGAACAATTGAAAAAGCCCCACCAAGGAGATAAACCTGGAGGAAAGAGAGCAAGTAAGGTCGGGGCAGAGTGAGCAGCAGCAATGAAGCAGAGAAGGACCTTGAAGGAGGAGGCAGGAGCCACCCAGCAGAGCTCCCGTGAATAGCGATGAAACTCAGATTTCCTTATGAGTGCATTGGAGGCCAGTCGCAGTGGCTCACGCCTGTAATCCCAGCACTTTGGGAGGGCAAGGCAGGTGGACTGCCTGAGCTCAGGAGTTTGAGACCAGGCTGGGCAACATGGCAAAACCCCATCTCTACTAAAAGTACAAAAAAAAAAAAAAATTAGCCACGATTGGTGGTGGGTGCCTTTAGTCCCAGCTACTCAGGAGACTGAGGCGGGAAAATCATTTGAACCTGAGAGGTGGAGGTTGCAGTGAGCCAAGATTGCGCCACTGCACTCCAGTCTGGGTGACAGAGCAAGACTTTGTCTCAAAAAAAAAAAAGCAAAAAAAAAAAGTGCATTGGAATGTCGCTGGAAGGTCTTGGGCAGGAAAGTCATGGGGTGTGTTTTACTTTGAAAATGATCAATCCTGGTGCTGTGGGGCTGGACAGTGAGAGAGCGAAAGTGGAAGCAGACAGACCTGTTAGGAAGCTGCCCCGGTTCGCACCTATTGCTTCTAAAATTTTTGGCTGTGCAATCCGATAGTAAAAAGTTTGGATCTTCCCTACCCCATTGTGTATGATATAAATTATAACCTGTGCTGATATATATTAGACATTAGACATTAGAGCCCCTAGGTTCCATGAATTATAATACATTGTATACATTATAAAATATTCAAGTAACAAAATATTTACAGTAAAATTTCTAATAACTGTTAAAAATATTTTGTCATCAATGCTATAAAGTCATTTTGCTTTCCCCAGAACAGTACTGTGATATTTCTATTATAATTTCAAATTTAAATTTTGCCAGTATTTACATTTTTAGCAGAGCAACATGATCAAATATGCTCAAATATGCTCAATAATTTTGAAAAGTTTTGTTTAGTATATCACTTCAATCATCATTTTACATTTATTTTCATTTAAAAACAGTGCTAATCATGATGGCCTAACTCACCAGCTAATCTATCAAGGCAAATATGAATCATTAACAGCACATTTATTACTCCTAGTAGTCTAGAAAATTTTGAATTCCTTGGCCAGTCTATCATAGTAGATCATCATTATTTTTACCTTATAATGTAGTTGACAGCTTGTTATTGTAAGCAAGGTAAGTACCAGCTCTTACATTTCCTAGTGTTACTTGTGCATTCATTATCAAATTATTTTTAATATTTGTTCCGTGGGAATTTTCTGAAACTTTTTGTCAATGTTCGTTAAAAGCCGGATTTCAAAATTAGTTCATTCTCTTATCTGGTTCACTAAAATACAGTATGTGGAAAAGCCCTAAAAGCACACACCCGCATGAGAAGCACAGGCGACACTGCTGTCGTAGGCCACTCGCCATTCTTCAGACACCACACCCTTCTGGGGAAACATGTCCCTTACTGATGGATCAAGGGAGAGCCATCGCTGTCAATCCATTGTCCTGCAGGGAATCTTCATTTTTTTCTTTCTTTTTCTTAGATAAAGTTAAATATCAAAACAAGTTCTTGTGTTTCCTAAGCATGACTCTCAATTGTGCTTCTTGAGCACTAGGGACAACAAACCCCACTTTGGACTCCATTAATGTATGTGAGAGACAGTGGTGTCAAGGATTAGGTGGTGGCAGCTGAAGTAAGGCCAAGCCTTACCTTAAGCGATGATGGTGTTAGGGACAACAATCTGTACACTAACTGAACTTAGCACTATTGGATTCTGAGTTTCTAGGACTTTACACTGTTCAGAGCTTTTAAGACTACATAAACTCAAATACCTTGAGTTAATATTGATGTTTCAAATTCATACTTCAGTGTTATTTTTTCAGATGGTACCTCTTTTCTCTTACATTGAAAACTTTGATTTCTAAAAAGAGCAGTCTAGTTACTTATGTGCATTAGTCTCTCACCCCTCACTAATAATACTACAAGCAGGCTACTGAATAAAATGAAATCTTTCTTTGCAACTCTATCTTTAAAATATGTTCCACTGAGGATATACACCCAAAATACTAAGTGTTAGAGTCATTTGAAATATTTTTGTCCATTTATTAGGTTCCCTTCTTACCCCCTAGAGGTAATAATTTTTATTCTTTTCTGATTCACCATTCCACTTTTCTTTTTGCGAATAAAAACTGATAGTATCATAAATGCATGCTTGTGTACGTGTAGTATTCCCCCAGAATCTTCTCACCAGGGTAGCATACCAATTACACTCTTCTGTACAATACTTTTTTCACTTAGGGAAGTATCCTGGGAGACCACTTCGTATGAGTTTATAAAGATTTTTTTCAACTGCATAATTTTTATGGACTGAGTGTATCCCCACAAATTCATATATTGATATCCTGACCCCCTAGTGTGATGATATTAGGGGGCTCACCTTTGAGAGGTAATTAGGTTGTGAGGGTGGAGCTCTTATAAATGGAATTAGCATCCTTATAAAAGAAACCTCAGAGAGCTGGTACACTCTCTTTCTGCCACATGAGGATACGAGGAGAAGCCAGGAGTCTGCAACCCGGAAAAGAACTCTCTGTAGCCTCATCAGGCTGGCATCTGATATCAGACTTCTAAGCTCCGGAACTGTGAGAAATAAATGTCTGTAGTTTATAAGCCAATCAGTCTGTGATACTTTATTATAGCAGCCCAAACAAAGGAAGGCAATGTATTATCTCATGTGGGCATACTACTCAGCCAACCCGTTTCTGATTTACCTTTGTTTCTGGCCTTTTGCTATTGAAACTGACCCAGTAGTCCCAAAGACGGTTTTTTGTTGTTGTTGTTGCTGCTGCTGTTGTTTTTGTTTTTGATAAACATAGAGATTGACCCTTCTGGTCTTAAAGCTTGAAACTCACCAGATTCAGACAATGAGAAGCCAGGCCCTTCATTCATTATGATTTCTTCTTTACCTCTCCAGAGTTCCTGTTTTCCCATACATGGTGACATTTCCTCCCTGCTATATAAACCCCTAATTTTAGTCAGAGAGGGAGATGAATCTGAGACTGATCTCTCATCTTGTCCACTGCAAAGCCTTCTTCCTTGGCAATAATCATTGTCTCAGTGACTGACTTTCTATGCTGAGAGCAGCAGGAGCTAGACTGAACCCCTGATGTTTCGCTAACACTATTACAAATAGTTACAAATCATACTATAATGATTCACACTGTACACATGTCATTTCATATTTTGCCAGTGTATTTCTGCAATGGATGTGTAGAAGAGGAATTGCTGAGTTAAAGGGTAAATGCATACACAATTTTGCAGGATACTGACAGATTCTAGAGCTTGTAGAATTTTCACATACCTTTTAGTTTTTAGAATAAAGTATAGTTATACCATTTTCATGTGCATGTTTTCAGAAAAAAATCATTTTTGAGATAATTAACTACATTGTTCAATGTATTATGTAGAAAGTCACAGAATGAATTTCTGTCTGCACCTAAGTTTGGTAAAATCCATGTGTTCCTTCATAAGCTGGCGTGTTCCCTTCAATTATTAGGCTGTCAATGAAGGAAACATGCCAGGATTTCATTTTTCCTTCATCAAAGGAGAGAGCTGAGGTCACAGATATTCAACTGAGGATGTGTGTCACCTCTCCACTTTGCTAAGACAGGACCAGACAGGACCAATCACTCCTGCAAAGTGTAAGCACGGCACAGGAGAGAGTCAGTGCTTCCTGGGACCACAGTGCCAAGGTTACTGTCTCAGAAGGACCTAGGGCAGAGTCAAGTGACAGCAGGAATAGGCTTTGCTTACAAGAGTACAGTATGCTGTATCTGGGAAAGCCAATGTCTGCCTTGTCAGGGGGCATTGCCTCTCATAATTAGCACAGGCTAATTAGTGCTCAACAGTGGGTAAGACTGAATGGGGTCATCACCCCCCGCCCCATTTCTTCACCTTCAGAGATGTCCCAGAATAGAAGGGTGAGATTTTGCTAGCATCAGTCAGGCCTCTGTGGGGCTAGAAATTGCAACACACACCTCACACACCTGCACACACATGCATGCACATACACACGCACAGATCAGTGAATGGAACCCCACCTCCTCTGGAGATGACAGAACTTCCCAAAATTGTGAGTGGAAAACCAGAGGCTTCAAACAGGAGGAAGTGAAGTGAGCAAGGACAACTAGCAAGAGAAAGAGAAGCTGAGAGACAGCTACAGGGTTGTGGGGGAGATGCTCTTTGAAAAGGCTTCAGTTAGTGAGGCTCTCTCTATGGTAAGGAAAAATTTAAATGAAGTCCTAGATTCTGGTCTTTCTCAACTGGCCTGTGAGATCAACCATCTCATTAGAGATGAAAGAGTTACCCCTCTACAAGGAAGAGCCACCCTGGGAGTCTCCAGCCTTGGGCAGACTAGCGGCCTGAGATGGTGCCTCTCCTTTAAAAAGGCTTAGAAGCCCTCTAGGAAGAAACAAAAAATATTCATGGTCAACTGCAGCAGTTTTCCTTAGTCAGAACTTCTTGATGTTGTTCTTTTGCTCTCCCTCCATGGAAATATCTTTTATAATGATACCTCAAAATATTTGCGGGGATTTAGTGGCAAAAGAAGGAAAGAAGGAGGGCAGAAAATAGAAAAGGGAAGGAAGAAAGAAAAATAGAGAAGTTGGTGTTCAGTGATGCGTTAAAGATACAATCATTGTTGCTTTAGAAAAGTGATTTATCTCTCATCAAAACTGGCCGATGGTCCAAAAGGCCAGTTCATCTAGTGTCTAATCTACTTTAAAACTATGAAAAAAAGGAAACAATTAGATATACTTCAAAAACAACCAATTAATTATACTCTTTTATTGAAAGAAAAAACAATACAATGGACTTTAAAAAGCTACATTTGTTATGGTTCATAAGGACAGAGGTTTACACAGGTTTTATATATGTACACACTGACAATACTATATCACAACATCAGAGGCACCATTTTTGCCACAGAATTAGGTAATGAATAAAACTTCTCCAAATTAATCTGTTTAAAAAATATCTAAAATGGTACAGTATATTTGAGGATTATATAAATATGTGAGACATATTTAGATATTTTTTAAAAATAGTGTTTATATATATGCATCACAATCTTCTCTAATTCTCAAAATATTATGGCACCAAAATTCTGTTTGTCAAATAAAACACAAGATGCTGTAATATGTATCCAAGCACCAGCTTAGCACAGTATTTAATTCTCCCCCAAACTGAAAGACTGCTAACAGGTACAAACTGAACTGAATATTTCAAACAACCATTGAAATAATTTAGGCCCTCAAATTTTTTTTTTATTAGCTGATTGTTTTTAGAGAAAAAAGAGGGAGCTAAACCATTTAGATTAATGTTGCTCTGTGTGATAGAATCAATCCTAGGGCTCAGAGAAGAATATTCCTAGGCACTGGAGAAGGTGAGAGGAATAAGTAAGTCCATTTTATGTATACTACAGGTTGGAGTTTTGCATGTGATTTAGTTCATAGAAAAGGTTCTACTGCTTTAAAATAAGTTTGAAAGTATCAATTTGGAAAGTGCTTCAAGGTAAATCTTCCTTGATTATGCTAACATAATTTAAGAAATCTGTCAAAACAGATTACAAAAGAGATTACACCCAGTCAATTATATATCTAAACTGAAGGTTTAGGATGTTATCTATAATAGTTACACATGATATAATCCTAAGCTTTTGCATACATTTTTAAATCTAGAAAGACTTTGAATGGAATAATACATTAGTTCAATAATATGACCAAATAACACTAACAAATGATAGGCCAATAATTAAAGGTGGAGAAATAATCCTTTTATATATGAAATTGATTATTTTTCTATATATTTTTCTTATGACCTGTGCTAAATAAAAATAAATGATCACTTCTGAAAGTGAGACAATTATACCTCTGTTAATTAATTGTAATTCTAATTGTGTTTATAAAGCTAACTAAATTTAAAAATATATTTTACCAATACCTAATTAATTCAGAAAAAAAAAAGCACTTTAATAAGTGCCTCAGAACTGGAAAATCATGGAAAACATTACTAGGAAAGTGGGTGCCAGAATATATTAACTCTTTTTTCCTCTTAGATACATGTTAATATTATCAAACATTTTAGGTGCTGTCAGATGTAGGAAACATATGATAATTCTAATATTGCACAACAAATTTTTATGGTACAGAAATGGCTTTTGCTGTAGGTCAAGTAGCCATTAAGAATTTGTCTTCATAACCACCAGAGGGCGCCAGTGCCTGCAATATTATTAGCTGTAGAAGTAATCTAACCAGTTTAGGTGATATTTGACTTTGGACATTGCCAAGCTATAAAAAGATTTTAAAAAGAAAATAACTCCCAAAGAAATATATTTACACTCTGTAACACCTAAATAATGTTGGACTGTTGAATTAAAACAACAGAGTTAACTTGCCTGTTTTTGGTAAAGATTAATTTAACATAGGATTTTATTGATATTTCTGAATCAGGAATCAAATGGATAACACTAAATTTAGCAATGAATAAAAGGAGCATTACTAAAGCCATCAACACTAACAATTCATTTAGCACCATACATTTAGCACCAGAATAGATACTGACAGTTCACACTGAATAAAAAAACTTTAATTGCTAAGAAACTTCAAAACTTATAGCAAGGATATGTGGTAATTGTAACGTGTTTTCAGCACCATTAATCAGTGAAGTGTTAAACCTTCTAAGTTTTTGACTGATCTCCCATAAGTCAAATTTAAACAATAACATAATTTAAAAAATTATTTTGCATGTGTTCAAATAATTGGATGTGATTATACGTTTCACCAGCATAAATAATGACAAATTTTTATGAAACATAAAAGCAAAGATAATGTTAGAAATTAAGACAAATGTAACTTTATCCTTCCTAAACACTTTGGTAGGTAAGAGCTTCCATCTATGTCAACATTTGCATCCTTCGATACTGCAGAGCCTGGGTATATGGCTACACAGGAAGAACCTACACCAAAGTCTAAGCATTATTTTTCCTTCATAGACCCATTCAAATTATGTTTAGCTTGTGCATGTATTTGATAAGCATGGCATCAACACAAAGCACTTAAACTGGCTTAAATATGTATTAGATTTAATTATGCAGATAAGTTGGTTTCACATAGGTATATATTATGAGAAAAATTTCTATTGTTTCAATTCAAATATTCTGTGTAAATTGAACTTACGCCAGTGTTTGGTCAACTCTGTGCTAAAGCTGCATGGAACTTTCAAATGAATGTTTTCATAAACTTTTTAAATGAATGTTATGGCGCTGCCAAATGAAATTTGTAGGGCAACTCTGCTGCGTGATGGGCCACAGAAGGGATGATACTTAGACAACTGAACAGAAGCAATAACAATAATAACAATAATGGCTTCATCCACATTTTTTGAGCAAACTTATCTGTCATAACCAGAAACATTAAGACTGTGTCTACACAACTCACAGATAATTCTATAATGAAATCCATCAGTTTAATTCTAAAATTATAATTTTTCAGTCTTTTGATGATATGGAAGCCCCAAAACCTATATTGTGAGAATATTAAAATTTTTCTACTGGTCATATAAAAAAATTAACACCACAGAGAGGATCGATGATGTGGAATATGTATGCCAATTACTTTTTTTTTGAATGACACCTTTCCACATGAAAACCTTAATACTGACAATTTAAAGCTGCTTTTATGAAATAGCTTATACCCAGACCATTTCTGCCTCTGGCAATTACAGTAAGAAATAGCTATCCTAGCACCATTGTTGCATGCTGTGAAAAATATGGCAGGCTGTGTTGATACCAGCAAACTTTCATTTGCTTTAGCCTGGAAAATAAAATATTTTACATGGCCACTTTATATTATTAACTTTAAAAAATAGAGTTAGAATAACAAATATACCCGTTATATTTTCAGCTGAGTTGTTAAATTATAAATAAACTTGTAGTTTTTGTCATGGTTTGGAAAGGACTATTGCCTAAGTGTGTAAACCCTGGTCTTAATCTGATATATTTGATGATTTATCTGGATTTTTGATATAATCACAGCTTTATATTTAAGACATTTTTGTCTTAAGCATGGAAAGGTGGGATTTCTGTAAATTGTTGCCATTTTTGGCTTCTTAGTTAATTCTAAAAATCCATTCATATAAGCATTTATTAAACATTTATTATGTTACAGCCACCATTTAAGAAGCTGGGATAAATACAAAGAATTAAACAGAGTTCCTGCCAAAGAGGGGCTCATGAAAAATTTAATTTAATCTCAAATAAGTGTTTTATATTATTAATGATAATTTTAATATTCATAAATTTTTATTAATCTGGTAAATTTACCTTCATAAGAACCCCTGTGAAATATGTAGCAAATATTATTCTTCCTTAGAACTGAAAAGTGAACTCACAGAAGCAATTCAGCAACAAAATTGGAACTTAGTGTAGCCATCTTCTGTTTAATAGTACTTATTGCTGTTCCTGTAGAATGAATATAGTAAAATTGAAGAAGGAAAAACTTTCTAGATAAATCAAGCCAATATTCCATGAATAAGCTTCCCTTTCAATTGTTTAGATATATTAGAAAAAAGTTGGATTAAGACCTAAATAATGTAATTACTTCTATTCTCCATTTTAATCTCCAAAAATATTTATTTTTAGTAGTGTCTACATATGTGCCCACAAAGGCAGAGTAGTATGATATCAAAGCATTTGGTCACCATATTCAATTTATAAGGATAATTGGGCTAGTCATTCATTAACAAGTAGACTCAATCTCCAGATGGTGAGTTTCTTTACCATTGAATGGATTTAACAATCTGTCATCTTTCAAAGTATCCAAATGTGTACAAGAAACTGCAAACGTGTATGGAATTTTAAACAAGTAGCTTCCTTCTGTAATTTGCACTCTGGAACTAACCATATTTAATTGTTCTATAATTCTACGGGAGCATTACACAACCTGAATAAAACACACACACATGTACTTGAAATGCAGTATGTTAAATGTCTGGACTAAGATGTTGTATTCTCCTCTCTGAAAGAGATTTCATGATAGGAAAATGTTGCATTTCCAAACTACATGAGTAAAATTTTCATAGTGACTTTGAATGGATTTCCATAATCAAACTCAATGAAGAACTGAAAATGTTTCTTCTACAGAAACACAGAAATAAAGTTGGTAACTAGCCCTTAGAAAAGCATCTGAAGAAGGCTACTTTAACAAAATCATGACTGTGTGTGGTGTGCACGAAGGATCTTTCATACAATACTCAAAGACCCAAGATGATAAGTAGATTGATTCAATGACAGACTAAACAACAAAGAGATAGAGGTGCCCTCAGCACCTCCACATCTCTTTTTGGAATCCTTTGTCTCCTGCTGAGAGGCCTCAAGATGTACTAGACTCTAAGGATAGCCCATTCTGAAGCTCTCCATCTGGTAGTTAGGCGCAATTACACTTTTCATACCTGTCCACTAAATTTTATTTCTCTTAGACTTCATTGGTTTTCTGAGGGTCTTACTTTCTGTTTTCCAAAGTCACAGCTGTACAATCTGCTCCAGAAATCTTGGCATTTGTTAATTCTTTCCTTCCCCTTCTCATTCCAAGCACTGTAACTAAATTCCCATGAGAAGCAGAAGCTTTATGTATATATTGCACAGCATGGCTTATTACTTGCTCCACCTACAGGTAAATACTGCTGTGTCTGCTTCCTTCAAAAATAATTTTATAGCAAAATCACTAGTCTGCATTATTTCCTGAATACTTTTGTGAGCTTCTTGAGGGCGGGAACCATGTCTAATTATCTCTGCATTATTAGAATATAACTAGCAGAGTGCCTTGCATGTAGTAAGCACTCAACTCATGACGACTGAATGAATAAAATGAGACTAAGCGGAAGGCATGATTTGAGAACTTATATAAGTTGGCATTATCCTTTGGTGGACTCAAATAAGAAAAAATATCTCCAGGGTGAAATTCGTGGTTGCTTAATTGAATTATTATTTCCAGATATCACTAAGTGTTATTTTACAAATTATCATTTCATGGGTATTATAGAAATGTGTGTTAAGAAGTCCCATCACCTCGTATATAATTGAGAATAGTTTTTTAAAAATTTCCCTCAAGTTGACTACTGAATCATATTATCATCTACATGTTACATCACATATTATATGTTTGTGTGCATATATAAATCCATACACATACATATGTATATGTATACATACACACACTTACAGGTCAAATATATATTTACTCCTTAGGAACATAATGATATAATTCCTTTGGAATGTAAGTTTTAGGATTGGATGCATCAACTATGTCATCATTACATATACAATATCTTAATTTAGGCTTAGAGGTCAGAAAATAGAAATTGATGTTTCAAATATTTCAAAGGATTAAACAAACATGCTAGACAAACACTAATTTATACAAAGGAATACTAAGAGGAAAACAAGATTAGCACAAAATATGTATAATATGTGCAAAATTCTCTCTCCATATATATATATACATGCCCATGTTCCCAGAAATCATTATATTTCCTGGAGGAAAAGGTAAACTTATTTAAACCAGTACAGGTAGTTTGACGTAACTCCTGGAAAACACAGATTGTCAGTACAAGATCCCCCATAACTTGGAGGACAAGATGAACATGGTACCCCTACTTTATATGGTGCTTCTCCAATCCAATTGCCCCTAGAAGGGAAAACAAAAAAGATAGCATTAGTGCAACCCACCCATTTTTTAAAAGTAGATTGTCCTTAAGCCATATGTTCACAAGTATTGACATGTGATGATCCGTTTGAGAAGTTGCTTTAGAAAGTCACTGAAAGTTATAATCATTTCTTATTTCAATAGTAACTTATTCTGTATATCTTGCTTTTGAAAACTATTCTGAGTATTATACAAAAAATTAGCTGGGCGTAGTGGCGGGTGCCTCTAGTCCCAGCTGCTGGGGAGGCTGAGGCAGAAGAATGGCGTGAACCCAGGAGGTGGAGCTTGCACTGAGCTGAGATGGCACCACTGCACTCCAGCCTGGGCGACAGAGCGAGACTCCGTCTCTCTCTCTCTCTCTCTCTCTATATATATATATATATATTTATATATATTGTATATATATTTATATATTCTTAGTATTGTTGATGCTATATTAATTTACAGATAAGAAGTGAATGCCTACAACGCCTGATGATACAGAGCCCTGGGACACCAGGGTCATTCCACTCAAATCTCTCTCCTTCTACAGCAGATTTCTGGAGCACATACTCAGGCCATATTCCCTTAAACTTACTCCTTTTAAACTCACACTAATGCTCATCTGAGGATGATTAAAAAAACAAACTAATATTTTCTGGGAGGCTTAAAAATAATGAAATGAGTAATAAGTTATCATATACACAAAATATAAGTTATCATAAATAAAAGGAGATTTGCTTCTGCAAAGTATTTTAGTTTCCCAATCTTCATAAAATGAGATGTGAAAAACTTCATATATGGTATAATGGTATAAACCAATATACCATTATTCTCATAAGAGAGTAATGTCTCTCAGGAACAATTAAAGGTGATTTCAAAAGTTTTATTTCATATGCAAATTCATAGCTACTAATTGTTTTAAATTAGTGCTATTAGATTTTTGATAATACTGAACCCATTTAATTGAATTACTTTGTGTTGTCAATATTTTTCCTTCACTGTGTTGATGGCCATTATCATAATAATAAACCAAAATCTCCACTTAACAGAGTTAAAAACTGCCATGATGCCATACTGTTATTTTGCTCTTTTAATTATAAAGGAGAAATTAATAAATGTGTTTTCAGTAGTGTGGTGATAAGTAACTAGAATACTAAGAAATAGCAATATAGACAGCAATGTGAAGACAGTTAAATGGTCGGGAGAAAATTTGGTTATCGGTGGTAAAAAGTCAGGGTTGAAGATAAGACAACAATAGGTAAGAGGCTAAAATGTGAAACAGGTGGTCCTCATCTTCCTGAAGACCCAACTAAGACCAAGCAGTGACTCACAAAGTATATGTATAAGATATGAAAATATCTTGATCAACCATTCAGTTAAAAATTCAGACTTTTAAATACAAAATATCTAGCTATACAGGAAAATCTATCCTTAAAATGAAAAACTTTTATTCATATTACAAAATGAGATGGGATTTTAAGACTGCCCACCTTTATTAAATTTATTCTACACTATAAGGATAAGCTTCCTCTTGCATAATTTTGATACCATCACAGGCTTGCTCAGAAAGGTTCAAGGGGGACCTATTATCTTATGAGTGTGGCTCGCTCTCTTATCCTAATCCTGTACCATTCATAATCTTATTTCCCTCTATGTATTTTTTTTTTTTTTTGAGACAGAGTTTCGCTCTTGTTGCCCAGGCTGGAGTGCAATGGCGTGATCTCAGCTCACTGCAACCTCCACCACCCAGGCTCAAGCGATTATCTTGCCTCAGCCTCCTGAGTAGCTGGGATTACAGATATGCACCACCACACCAAGCTAATTTTGTATTTTTAGTAGAGACAGGGTTTTGCCATGTTGGTCAGGCTGGTCTTGAACTCCTGACCTCAGGTGATCCACCCGCCTCAGCCTCCCAAAGTGCTGGGATTACAGGAGTGAGCCATCGCACCTGGCCCTCCATCTATGCATTTACCCAAAGTTATAAAAGCATATGGGCCAAGCTAATGCTATCTTAATTTCATCTTTTTGTTGATTTGTTTCACAGACATTTTTGGAGCACATATTTTTAGAAACAAAAACTTGGAAATAAAATTGTATCATAAGTAAAATTATTACATATTTTATATTATAAACTTTTACATAAATCTCAGATTTTATTGAATAGAGGATAATTCTATTCAAAACAGTGAATCAGCCAATTTATACACTTATACTATTCATTCTTTTATTTTATGCTATTCTAACTAAATTATTTCTCTTTCTCTCTCTCTTTCACTTATCTCTTTCCCTCCTTCCATTCCTCCTCCTCTCTCTCTTTCTCTCTCTCCGTCTCTCTTTTTCCCACTGAATAACAGTTAGACTTAACATAATTTCATATTAGGTTTGGAAGAATTATATTCAGCTATCAATCAGGATTTTAAAACCTTCTTCATTACTTAGTTTTCAGAAAAATTGTTCTTTATTACAACTGAAATGTAGCATGTTAATGTAATATCTTAATCTCTTGGACCTGTAAAGCAATAATATATCTCACTGATAATATTAGAAAATTATAACTATGGGCCAAAAATGAATAGTTACATAAATGAAACAAAAATCTCTTAGACTATTTGGGTACTAATTGGTCTATTTATGTCAGGGAGAAAGGGTAAAGGCTTCATAGGAAAATGCAATGTGTAAAACTAAAATTTTCGTATAAATGTAAAATTTTAATGCTTTTTTTAATAATGCAGACACAGTCTACTTTCCAAATCTTCCCATTCTAATAATTATGAAGAGGGGAACATAGGGAGAATCACTATTTTTCTGACTTTGTAAAAGCACTGCCACTGGCATACTACCACATAAATGAGTAATGCAGTTATTTGTGAAACATTTTCTCATTCCCTCCCCATGCTGGAATAGCTGGAGAAAATCTTTGTTTGAGACTTATTTTGGAAGACACCAAGAGTGTCATAAATCCTTTGCACATTTTGGTATTTATTCCAAATGGGAACAGAATTGTATATAAATATTGGAACATTTTATCATCCAAAGAGTTATTGTAATCAAGAGGCATTTTACCAAATGCTGATAAATGTTTATCCTCATAAATAATGTTCACAAATATGGCTATATTTATAATGTTTGATAAATTTCCATAATCCATTTTATATATGCCCTAGGATGAAATTATGAATTTTTAAAATCTAAAAAATAAGAGAAGGAAGAAGGAATTGACTTCCAATGTTTTGCTAAAAAGGTAAGCCAGCATTTTTGTACTGATAGATGAGAATATCATGGAAGATTCTTTCTTGATTTATTTTATATAGCTATTAAAAGCTTGTGTGGTACAGTGTTTATTTTACAATTGCCATAATTAAAACATATGGTAAGGAGAATTTAGTGAGCCCTACCATTTCAGATTGTTTTGCCTACAATTTTGAACTAGAATCCTTGTCTTTGTGAGAAGTAACCTTTCAGCTAATCTTTTTTCAGAAATATTGGAAGGATGGTGGATTTGAGGATTAGAGGCCATTATAGCTAAGCCTTACTCACTTACCTGTCACAGATAACTATCAGCCTAGGGATATTTAACGTCTTTAAAGGATCCAGGAAATAGAATCCAACCTGGTACTTACTTTGGGGCATAGTTGCATACCAAGTAAACTGCACGTCGCCACACAGATCCCCAAACATTCATGTTTTGGCAAGTATGAATTGCGCATCCTATCCGATTGGAAGTGGCCCAAACCATCTGTGAAAATAAACCAATAAACTGTTACAGAAGTCAGAGCTAAGACAATGCATGTCCACCAAAATAGTATTAGCATATTTTAAAAGTATGAATCAAAAATTAACAAGGTAATTGAAATAACCTGCGTATAATGTGTGCACATGGGACCAAAACATCTCATAGGACATCTGGGGTTGCAATCCTGGGGATATGGAAAAGCATAATCTTTCACTTCATCATACCATGGCTTGACCAACTGGAGAATAGAGCGATATCTGCATATAAAGAAAAGAAAGAAATCAGAGTGCAGCAGTGGTAATATATAAGGGACTCATGTTACACTGTAAATTGATTGTTCTTTTTGCAGATTATTCATGATGATCCAAGAGCACATCCACCCCTCACAATCACCATCACCACCTAGTCGGGTCCTCTATTCCTCCAACTAGGGCCAAGCATGGAAATGGCCAGGGCTGGAGTAAGTGATTCTGTATTTGTCTAAACATGTGTCTGGTCATTCCACGAAGAAAATGCAAATAATTTCAGGAATCATCAATGTCTTATTTAATCCATGTCGAAAACTTCCTCCATCAGAATTTTATAAATGATCCAGAATTAGATGTATAAAAGTAGTCACAATATTAGAACCCAGTGCATTTTTTTCACTTCAGTCTGAATTCCCTTAGTTTTAATAATAGCACAGTTGATTTTCCTTCCCTATTTGGGGGAGATGGGTATTTGGAGTGTTGGATAACGACTTTGCACAGTGGCAGAAAAATTATCCTAGCAAATGGGAATAGCTTTTCCCATAGCTGCATATACCTGCATGTATATGTATGTGTATAAACATATGTAAATGCCTACATTTTTATTGTATATGTTTATGTAAATGCGGGTATATGCAACTTTGGGAAAGTTGCACTCATATGCATACACACACACACACACACACACACACACACACACACACACACAGCCTCTGCACAGTCATGGGGCTTTTTCCTGAGATGGAGGGGGCAAGATACAGCACAGGCTTGACCCTTTCTAAGATTCTGCGAGCTCAAAGAAAAATCCAGGCTAAGGGAAGGTGTTCCAAGGGTGAAAAGGGGAACTGGCCCTTTAGCCTAATTAAGTAATTCTGGAAGACATCTAAAATATTCATAGGCCAAGCGTTAGTACCTGACACATAGTGAGCATTCAATAAGAATTTGTTGATATTACTTGAAATTGATGAAATTCCCTCCTAGAGTCCATAATTAATAAAGCCATGTGGATGAACTGCATCAGTGAAATTACTTCCTACCTTCCAGTGCGTACAGATAGATTTTGGCCCAAAAATCTCAGTAAGTAAGAAGGTCCATGGTCCCAAATGCAAGTAGCCGCCCAAGCCTCTGCCGATTTTGCAAGATTTTCATCCCAAACCTGTAGGGGAAAAAAATCTTCAGCGTTACGGAATTTGCTGATAACAAACAAAAAGTAAGACAAAATAAATGGTGCTACTATTTCCTAGAGTTATTGTTTGTCTGTTTGTTTGTTTTTGTTTTTGTTTTTTCTGCCCGGGCTGGAGTGGAGTGCAATGGTGCAATCATGGATCACTGAAACCTCTGCCTCCCCGGGGTCAAGCAATTCTCCTGTCTCAGCCTCCTGAATAGCTAGGATTACAGGCGCACATCACCATGCCCAGCTAATTTTTGTATTTTTCGTAGTGATAGGGTTTCACCATGTTGGCCAGGCCGGTCACGAACTCCGAGCCTCAAGCGATTCACCCGCCTCCGCCTCCCAAATTGCTAGGATTGCAGGTGCGCACTACCACATCCGGCCAAATTTTGTGATTTTTAGTAGAGACAGAGTTTCACCAAATTGGTCAGGCTGGTCTGGAACTCCTGACCTCAAGTGATCCACCCGCCTTGGCCTCCCAAAGCGTGGGGATTACAGGCATGAGCCACCACTCCAGACCTCCTAAAATTCTTTTAATTCTGGTTCCTGAGACTGCTATAACTAAAAGAAAGCAAATTCAGGCCACTGTTATTCAAAGTTCTGTAATGCAATATGGTTATACTACAAAAAATTACTGCCTTTTCAGTGTCATCTAGATCCAACATTCATACATCAGTTTTAGTAAAGAAAAGGTTAAAACAAAACACCATAACTAGTTGTAACTTGGGGACAGCTCATCCTGACTACTGAAATTTGAATCCAACAAAGTCCATTGGTTTTCCTAGAGATAATTTTCACAGCCGTCAAAAGCCATGATATTAATATATTTTAAGAAACAAAGATTATCTAATTTATTCAAACTGATTTTACCAAAATTAATAATGTCTAATTTTATATTGCAACGTATAAGGTCATACTCTATTATGGTGTAATAAAACCCACAGAGTCTACATATATAATATAATTTGAATCATTGGTGGTAATAAAAATAATACGATGATAATTTATATTCTTGTTGGTATAAACTAGAAACAAACTAATAAAAGTAACACTGCTACATAGTGTTATAAAAACATAGTACTTCATGGTTCAATTAAATGAATTAAGAAAAATAGCAACTGTTGCTTTCCTTTATAGAGGAAGCTAAGTTAATAAGGATGTTAGTGATGGATGGTAAATTTTCTTTCATTGAAAAATATCGTAGGACAAAATTTGAATGAGCCGTGGATTTAACATACATTCATATTAGTTAGCATATGGATTGACATACTCATTTCCATAGCTGCAAGAGGAAATCAAGTCTAGCATTTGCAGACCTGCCAGTAATAAATCAGTTCTGAAATGGTAATCTATTTTCTAGCAAGTCATAAGGTACAAAAATACACAATAGAGAATATTTATAATTCTTATACACATTATAGAAAAAGAAGTTTAAAAAAATTTCCCTAGTGGTAATATAATTTAGTGAAGTATTTACCTGTTGAAAATAATTATTTTAAAATTGGTTTCATAGTTCAATGTCATGGCATTATTTCCTAAACTATTTATAATATTTATATATTATTCTACCTGGAAAAATAGCGTTCACATTGTGACTAGAGAGTGGTTAGCAGCATATTTTAGAAATTGAGACCTTGTATGAAGAAGGAAGCAACAGTTTTATGATCACTTATATTTACATGGAGCTTATATGAGGAGGTATGTAAATGTCCTATTGATCTTTTTTGTCCTACTTTTCCTCCATCAGATTGTGTTCAGCTAAGTAAGGATTAGTAGCTATGCATTGGCAAGTTACAAGCTTTCAAGCAAACTCATGGGAATGCTTGACCATATCACTGAAAAGGCTTCATTTCCCTCAAGGATAATGGATTGCATAGATTTATTTAATGTAACAACATATTTCATTGAAAGAAACTAATTTAGTGACTTTAAAATAAAATAAGAAAAAAAAAGATAAACTCTTCAAGAGACCCTCTTACCTCAGGAGGCCTACTTTCAAAAGACATTTGTTAGTTACTCAGAAATAGTTTTAAATTAGGAAAAACAAAGTCATCTTACATAAATTGACCTAGGATTGCACAAAATAAACTCACTCACAGAGGTCATATAAAAATCATAGTATTCTGGGGATGAAATGAACTTTAAAAAACATTTCTTTTGGTTGAAAATTGATTTATCAAATATTTTTTCTTCTGACCAAATATTAACAGAATATGGATTCATAAAATATTGATTGCAGTTCACCACAATACAAAACATTACAATTAATTTATACAGGAATTTCAGATGGAGTAGCTTCAACAAATTATGTCCCCTAAAAGGTTATTAACAAATTATAGTTACTTTGGAAAAAGTACATGTATGCATTCTGTACATATTGGACTAGAGTGTGCACTCAGATCTGTAACTGCTAAAAACACTTTCTTATAATCTTACGCTAAAATATTAGCACAACATGCACACATAGCGCTGACCTGGATCAGTGACTAATCTAACCCTAATTCCACTGCTAAGGTCATCTGCGACTGAGGCCATGTCAATTGTGATCTCCCAGTTAACTCATCTGTAAAATGAGATTGAATGAGGGCATCTCCAGGGTCCCTTTCATCTTTAACTTCTTGTGATTTAGATACACTTGAGTAGCCCTAGCATCAGAGCAAGGAAGACCTGTGTTCTATTGGCCTGGGACTTCCTCAGTTCTGGCGTTTTCCATATCATGGAGAAAGCAAATCTAGATTATTTTTGAAATAATTAAAAATATTCAAGACATTTCTTTTTCCTTATCTCACTCTCTGTGTGTATACCGAAACATCACATTGTGTATGTTAAATATATAAAATAAAAAATAAGTAATAAAAATTAAGGCATTTAACAACTTTAAAAGTAATTTACCATATGTAATCCTACCTTTATACTCATTCATATATTTAAAAGCTAAATATTGGGTATGTCAAAAAGATAAACTAAAAAGCTCATGCCTGAAAAATATCTTACAAGACCATCCTTTGTTAACTATTATAAGGAACTTAGATGTGAAGAAAACGTGTTCACCGATGTCCATGCTTTTTGGTATTTCTATGCACAAATATTATATATTGGAGAAGGTAGTTACAGGGAAGGAGGGATAATTGCTTTCTCTCACTGTGTTTGCTTTTAGGAAACTAGGAGGGTTTCTACCTGTCTCCATGTACCTAAAGGAAGGTTCTGGAAAGTCTGACAGGTACTGTCAGACTCCCACATGGAGACAGGACTGACCTACCCTCTGATGCCCACTGCAGCGGAAGTCAGAGGGCCCCATGCTCTTTCTTGCCTTTCTGTCTCCAGGCAGAACTTGCATCTACTCAAGAAGGGGAAAGTCTGGCTTGAGTAGTGAGCTGTGAAATTTGGGAATTACATCATATCCTCTGGTAAAGCTGAGACCTACATTTACTTTCTCTGTCTTTCTCCATTGGTTACAATTCCCAGAGAAAGATGGGTAAGTGATTTATCCCCTTAGTCTCCACTTATTTCAATTTATTACTATGATGAGGTCTTTTAAGTTTGAAACTGACAAGCAATGATGACTTTATTTAATAACTATCAGAACTATATGAAGAGAAGTTGATTAATGGGTACAAATATAGAGTTTGATAGAAAAAAATAAGACCCAGTGCTTGATAGATAAGTAGACTATAGTTTACGATAATCTAGTGTATATTTCAAAGTAACTGGAAGAGAGTTATTCAAATGTTTCTAGCATAAAGAAAAGATACAAATTTAAAGTGATAGCTATCCCAATTACACTGATTTGATCTTTACAAATTATATGAATGTATTAAATTATCACATGTATCCTAAAATATTTCTATTATGTATCAATAAAAAATTTTAAAAATTAAAAAACAAAAAATATAGAAATTTTCAACAAAAAAAGTGGGATCCGTAAGTACTTATGATTAATTCTTTCCTATCGGGAAGCTCTAAGTTGTAATGAATGTTGCCATTGTAATTATGGGAAACATTTAACAACTGACGAAAGTTCAGAAAATGAGGATGTAAATTGTATAAACATTTGACTTAATTTATTAATTTCCAGATGCTTAATAGGCAATCTATCTGATAAATTTCTCTGAGTGTTTGTAGCATTTATTTAAAATGACTTTAATATACTCTACAGATGTATCAATGGAAGAAAGAAGGGCACAGGTGTGTACTTATTTCTGTGAAATGCCTAGTAAATATGCAACAAATTGTTATCTATTCGGAAAAACTAAGCACCTAATATATACGGAGCTCTTATTAAACCATATTCAACATTCTGACTTCCTAGTTCTTCTCCCTCTAAATAGATAAGGTATTTTCACAGATAATTTGCTTGTAAGGTATTTTCACAGATAATTTGCTTGTAAACACTTAAAATATTTCAACTTAAAAATGAGGAAAAATTAAGAATATTATGCGTAAATATGCACAAATATTTACAAGACCCACTAGAAGTTATACATTATGATTAAATTAGATAAATCAGATACAGTTTAATTCATAAAATAAAAATGGTTCATAATGGTATCAGAATATGCATAGGCTTGTAGGATGCCTTATTGCTTCCAAGCAGTTTTCTTCCATTCTTTTTTATTAAGAGCCATTCAGTTGGTCAGCTCATAAATTGGTTGATTTAGCTCTGGACTAAAATATTCACCATGAGCTATTGTGCTTATAAATAAAATTAGAGAGTTTGAGATAGACACAGTACCTTGCCTGCGAAGCACAAGAAGTTTAAACCACCAAACTAAGACATGACACATATCCAGAATTCACACTGAAGTCATTTAAATATCTAAAAGAGTAGTGATGCCAAAAGATAGAAGGAATATGAAAAGAATGTAGGATTCTCATCAAGTTCAGAGATGTTTAGAACTTGAGCTGAATACAAAATTGAGTAAAAAATGTTGCTGCATGGGCAAAGGTTGCGGACTTCCATAAGTAGACAGAAAAATTTGATGATACTGATCCAAACCAGATATGAGGCTGTCTTATCAACTGTCTTTCTAAGTTTTGGGATCCTCAACATAGTGGCAGCCAGGACCATAAAGCACACTGACATCTGAAGATGTTGTCTTAAATCCCAGCCACTATCTCTGGCTAGTAAGAAACGCCATAAGAAATGGAAGGCAACCCCCAAAATTACCTGGGACTCCACTCCTAAACTTGATTGAATTGACTTTTTTTCCTCTTTAATTGGGTAAGATCCTTTAACTTCAAATATAAAAATTAAATGTAGAAATGTTTAAAAAGATAAAATTTAAGGTAAAAATCCAAATAGTGCCCTTTCTCACTTATAAGTGGGAGCTAAACATTGAGCGTACACACAGACACAAAGATGTAAAAAATAGACACTGGGGACTACTTGAGAGGGGTGGGAGGGAGGTGGGAATAGTAGAAAAGCTACTGGGCATTATGCTCACTACCTGGGTGATGGGATCAATTATACCCCAAACCTCGCATCATGAAATATACCCAGGTAACAAACCTGCACATATACTCCCTAAAATATGAAAGTTGACATTACTTTTTAAAAAGGTTAAAAAGAATGGGCTTTTAGGGTAAGGAATCTGATCTTATTTGATATTACTAATAAATGTAATGGTTACAAAAATGCCCTATTACAGTAACATGTTAGTCCTACATTTTCAATTTAAAATATATATGCATATAAATACTTGAATTTATGATTTCTTATCATTTTCAATGATAAGAAAATCTGTTAATTTTTTTCAAGCTGTTTTGCAAAATTTAGGTGAAATGAATCGCTACATTTCTTAGAATTATATAACTTATTTAACTATATGGAAAGTATTATTATCAATAAATCAATTGAAATACTAAACAAGAAAATCAAATCTATTAAACCTATACATGCAGTTTAAGAAATTTAATTTGCAAGTGGTAACAAACATTAAATAAATGTGATTGTCCAAACTTGCTATACTTATGGAAAGAACAAAAATTCATAAAGTTAAAATTTTAAGGAAAAAAGAATATTAATTATGAAAATTAAAGTGAACTTTGAGAAGTCTATTCTACACATGGAAACCATTTTCAAATACACAAAATGCTAAAAATAAAAATATCAGACTCTGAATTTTGGGGGACAGAAATAAAGTTATTTTCATAGATGCCATGTCAATGGCATTGGAGACTGTGTGGCATGTCCTTTTGGACATTTATTTTTTCTTGGACGTTTATGTGTCATTTCACATACATAATATAAAAAGCAAAAGCATCTTACATAGACAAGTTTTTATTTTTAAAATAATTTAGCTAGGGCTATTTGATCTTTTTCTTAGATTGAGAAAAGAGTGCTAACCTATAGAAGTGAAAAAAAAAGCCATTAAAAAATTAAGTGATGCCAAAATTATTTTCCTTTAGGGCAGTCAAAGGCTTAAAAACACTTCATAGGCATGATTGTGGTTCTGTTTTAAAATTAACGGATTTATCCTTATTAGATAGAAATGCTTGTGAAATGGCCAATAAGGGAAACTGACAGCTGAATATACAAGAACTTGTGTTAAACCAGACAGGAGGGCAGCACTGAGCCTTGTTAGGCCAGGGAAGGGGAGGGTGGGGCAGAGGAAGAGAAAGGGCTTTCATAGGAGAATTTGAGAGTGGTGATTAAATTAATTAGATGATATTAAAATAGTTCTCTGTAAGAGTAGAAGGAGAGGATTAAAGAAACTTGATTTAAAAAGCATTCCCTTCAACCTCAAAAATAACTACAAAATATGACACTATATTATGTATATCAAAAAATATAAAGGTGAGATCCAAAGGATTTTTGTAATGTTTGAAGAAAGATAATGCTTTCCTTAAATAAGATGAGTATTATCTTTCATGTAAATTTATTTATCTATAAAGAGATGGTGTAAGGTGTACTATTTTTAGGGGCTCTGAACTGAATCATTGCCAGCAACATAAATATCTTAAAAGCACACAGATATTTGTAAAAATCCTCTCTTGAACCCTTTTCCTATTCCAACTGCTATGCCATTCTTCTCCTTTCTTTTACAACAAAATTCCTTGAGAGAGTTGTCTTCACTGGGAATTTCCAGTTTTGCTTTCCGCATTCTCTCTTGAGCCCACCCCAGGCAGATTTTCCACCCCATCCCCACTCCACCCAAGCAGCTGTCTTCAAGGTCATCAAAGGTCATCTCCTGGTCATCACCTTCCTTGGTCTATCAGCAGCTTTTGGCATGCCTGACCACTTACTCTTTCTGAGCACACTTTCATCCCTTGGTTTCATGACCCTACACTTGCCTGTTTTTCTCTGGCTGCTTCTTCTCTATCCCTTTGCTGATTCCTCCTTATCTCCACAACTTCTGTGTGCCGGAAAGTTCCCAGGGCTCAGTCCAAGTCCCTTCTCTTTTTTTTTCCATCCTTGTTTCATTTATATTCACTGCCCAGGTAAACTCATCCAGTCCCACGGATCAAAGCACCAATTATTTGCTGATGGTATTGTTCCAAATTGTATTTCTAGACCCCTCAGTTGAATTTCAGACTAATTTATTCAACTGCGTACTTTTCCAAAATTGAGCTCCAAATATTCACAACCTTACCCCCATTCCTCCAAATCAACTACTCCTTCAGTCTTCCTGGTATCCGTGAATGACAATGCCGTTTCTCTAGTCCAGGAATCAGCTAACTATGGTGGACAGGTCACATCACCTCCACTGCCTGTGACATGTTGTCTATGGTGTTTTCCTGCTACAGAGGCAGAGTTCAGTAGTTGCAACATAAACCATAAGACCTGCAAAGCTGAACATATTTACTATCAGGCCCTTTACAGAAAAAGTTTACTGGTTGCTGTTCTTTATTGCTCAGGCCAAAAATCTAGTCATCTACTCTATTTTTTATAGTCTATATCTGCTCAGTGAGCAAATCTCATTGACCTTACCTTCAAAATACTGTATCTCTAGACTATAACCACTGATCACCACCACCACAGTTACCACCTTGGTCAAAGCCATCATCATTTGTTATCTGGATTATTGAAAGAGACACTAAGGGTGTGCTCAATACAGCCTTAATAGATAAATTAATGAAGGAATACATGAAAGAAAAATAGAATTTTGAGAAAGAGTATTTAAATAGCTTGTTGATTAAAAAAGTCAAGGAATAAAATTTCCAGTGCTCTAAGTCTATGCATCATTAAATGTGCACTGTGAAACCATATTTTGGTTAAGTGCTTTGAAAACAACAAATTTGCTTCTTTTGAAGTTTTCTTAGTCAATAAAGCACTTCCCAAGTAAGGTTCATTCCCTGTTGTGGATATCTATAGCTCACCCATAGTGCTCACATGTTTTCTAGAAGTAGGTGCTGAATGAATAGTCAAGTGAAATTATGTGATAATACGGAAATTATCCCCAGAATAATTTTTGCTTTAACCTATTAATTCTTTCAGTATATAGACAGATAAGTAGATACTTCAACCATATAATATTTTTCTCAACTTGGTTTGGAATCCTGAACCATGATCTTAAAGCACATTTTAGGGTTCTCACCAGGGAAATAACTCTAGAATCTCCCAGGGAACTTTTGAGAAGGCAGATGTCTAGCTCAATCCTGAATCTATCAAATCAAAAATTCAAGGTTGGAGACCTTGAATGTGTACTTGCAAAGTGGTTCTATGTTCACGGAAACTCTAAATGACTTTATTGGTTGAAATACCCAATGTAACACGTGAGAATTGTATGAAACTTTCTGAAAATCCAAAATTTTTAAAAAGATAAAAAAAATTCTAAAGTAAGATTTGAAGGGATGGGGGTAAGGTTGTGAATATCTGGAGCTCAATTTTGGAAAAGTAGGTAGGTGAATAAATTAGTCTAAAATTCAACTGAGAGGCCTATAAATATAATTTGAAACATCATCAGCATATAAGTGGTATTTTAATCCATAAGACTGGATGAGTTTACTGCAGTGAATATAAATGAAACAAAGATGAAAAAAATGAATCCCTTTCCATTATAACAACATCGTCTGCATTTACAACACACATTTATGTGACCTACAAGCAGCTTAGTTCATGAGAATGTGAATCATCAGGAGAATGTGAATCATCAGGAGAATGTGCCCACTGACTCTGCCAAGTTAACTCCACAGAAGTAGAGCAATTGGAGAGTAATTTGTCACATAAATTCTAGGCATCTCATGGTCAGAAGAACACACACATGTTGTAACCCAACCAGAAAGTGCAACCAGTGATGGGAATTCCTTGCTCAGGGCCACACAGCTTCCAGGTCCCAAGATGATCTCACTGTCACTGTTCATGCGTGCATATGTGGAGTAAAAGGCAGGTGGGAGTGCCTTGACTTTCCATTTCCTTAATGATAAACTTCTTACCTTTTCCAGGATCTTCAGAAATCAAATGTATTTGTGTAGCCTTCCCTGACAGCTTATGCTGGCATCATCTGGATGGGAAGGATTGTGTGTGTAGATGTTTAACACAAAGGGTCTTGAGGCTAAGAAGGAGTTTGGTGACTGGATCCACTGAGTCAAGGATCTATGACATATAGGTTTTCTTCCCTCTTAATATACATTCTGAGACTGGATGCTCTAGCCTGTGAGTTTTTCTGTATGATTTCCAAGGGTATAAATAATACAAAGAGAAAGATTTGATTCCACATGAAGAAATTCTTTCTAACATTCAGCAATATCCTCAGATGAAATCCATGTAGGGAAATTCTCTATCCAAAGGGCTCAGAAACAGGAGAGATGAACGCAGGAAGAGGAACAGGTACTTTACGTTGCCATTTAAAGCAGTGCTCCCCAGTGGTTTTGGCACCAGGAACGTTTTGTGGAAGAAAATTCTTCCAGGGAGGAATGTGGGAAGGGATGATTTTGAGATGAAACTGTTCCATCTCAGATCATCAGGCTTTAGAGCATTAGATTCTCCTAAGGAGTGCACAACCTAGATCCTTCTCATGCACAGTTCACAGTAGGGTTCACACTCCTGTGAAAATCTAATCCTGCTACTGATCTGACAGGAGGCGGAGCTCAGGCAGCAATGCTCACTCATCTGCTGCACAGCCCAGTTTCTAACAGGCCACAGATGGGCACTGGTCTGCAGCCTGGGAATTGGGGAGACCCCTGATTTAAAGCATGGGCTTGTTGTCAGATAGAATTGTGTTCTTAACATTTTTATTTACTTGCTCTATGACCTTGGGGAAGTTACTTACGCTCTCCAAACTTAAGATTCTCTATCTCCAAATGAGGAAAATTATCTCATCTCTCAAAACTTGAGAGAGTTAGATGAGATAGTGACTGAAGTGTATGTAGCACAGCTCTAGCAGGGCAAAGGTGTATTTAATGGTGGCTATTATTATTGTTGGAGATTTGGGAATGGTGGTAGAATCAGTCACCTAAAATGAAAAGCAGTGAGGTGCACTTTTGATCACATTATCTGGCAGCCGGAAGTTTAAGAGACATCAAGAATTAATCTCAACTAACCAGGCAATCAGGTAAAGTGAAAATGGATAAACCCTGAAGCAACTAGATAATCAGAAACAGAATTATAAGGAGATTCTAAGGAGCTTGCTTACAGGCAAAAGAAGCTGAAAATTAGAGAACATTTTAGATGTTTTAAAACATATTAATTCATCTCTGTAGATCCCTCTTTAATACATGTTTTAGCTTTAAATTTTAAGACCACTTGTTGATAGAGTCTAACAATCATCCCACTTTCCAGGGAACTATAGTACCCACCAGCTATCATTTAATATTAAAATTATAAGCCAGGAAGAGATTTCTACATGTGTTTAATTGTTTTCACCAACTCAATGGTATATTTTAATAACTAATTTTTAGATTGTTGAACTCTCCTGTGATACTCCTGCAAACCTCATATCTTGCCATTGCCCACTTGGTCAGAAGGATTCAAATGCCTTCCCGCCTACCTACGGCCTGCTGAAAACATGATCTCTCTGGAATGCAGAGAGATAGATTTGGTAGAATGTTCATATTTAACTAAATTATTAAAAGTGAATTTGATGCACTTTTTACTAGAAAACATTATTGTGTCCTTGAGTAACACTTTTGGACTACTTCAGTTTGGAGTATGTGGTGTGAAATTTTAAGAGATTTTATGAGAAGTTTAGTCTTGTTGGGCAACGTGTTGGGCATTCTTCCATATTTGTGTTAAGAAAAATGCTTGGTACCTGATTTCAGATACTATGGATAACATAGACTGGAAGAATTCAAATCCTATCCCTCCAAGCCTCAGTCTAGGTTGCATTTTATGCCAAACATCTTTCTTGACCATTTTAAACTGTTAGTTTATATCTTCTGTGCCCACTTCATACTATTCTTCAGAAATTCTTATAGACAAGCAAATACCTCAAGTTCACAGCTATTTAATGGTAAATGGTTTTCATAAATACTAAATTCATGGCACCATTAAAAAAACAGAGGGGGGTATTTTCTTGCATATTTGTTGAGTAGATTCCCAGGTATAAAATAATGCACCTATGCTGTCTCCACTACACTACCCAACCTCTATGATGCAAAGTGGTTCATTTTGACTACCGAAGGATATACCCATCCAAAATTCTTTGTAGTAGAAGAATGTTCCTTCCCCCACACTAGCTACTTTTTTCAACCTCCAGAGGTGCGTGTCCTGGGTGATAAACCTGCAGCCACTAATGGCTTCCAGAATTCTGCTCTTTATTTTGTGTTCTCTAACTCAGAGAAACTTAATTGTCCTTGTCAAAAACGGAGGCATCCTCCTTGGCTGCCTCATCATATAAATCCTTATTCTACTTCATCATGTAAACCACTTACTCCTATGGATTTGTACCTTACATATTTCACGGTTCTAATTTATGGTTTTTTTATATCCTTATTGCCTTAAACGTAGCTGAGGATACCTAGACTATCCTAACAGCCTCTTGACTGCATCTTTTCTTCACTTCGTTGATTATATAACTTCCCTGCTTGAAACCTTCAATGATTACCCTGGATCTTAAAATGAAATTCGAACAAATGTCTGGGTGCCTTCCTCAACTTCATCAAACATCACTCTTTCTTCTCTACACTAATCCAAGCCTCAATGAGTTTTTATCCATGTCTCGAGTGTACTACATACCCTCTTAGAACATCCTCCTATACCCACTACAGATCCCTCTTTCCTTAACTCACACCTGTATAACTTTATTTATTTTGTATATTTTCTATTTAAAATCATTCCTTCTGGAAGCCTTCCCTACCTTCTTACCCCCACTCCACATCTGAGCTAGGTCTTCCCACAGGATTCCAAAGAACCCTGTATCTATCCTAGTTCAGCATTTAGCACACTGCCTTGCACCTGACTTGTCTGTTCACAGTACTTCCTACCAAAGAGAGTCCCTTTGCTCCCCACTGACTCCCTCAGCACACAGTGCCAGGCACACGAGTAAAAATTATGGAGTAAGTGCTTGAACATTGTACAACTCTTGCCCCCCAGAGCACCACAGTCACACACTAACCAGAAAAAGTTAAAGGACCTCATTTGATTATTCCACAAATAGTTACTGAGTAGTCACTGCATATTCTCTGTGGAGCAGACATGATGCTAGGCTCTATAAATATTCAACAGAAACACAATAAAATTATTTTTCTACAATGTTGCATTTGGTCAAATATCATTTTCCACCAAAAAAACTGTGTCCAATACTCGGAAGTACAGTCACCACCTATGTGGCCTACCTGTGATTCACAGCTTTTCTGCCTGCCACCTGATGCTGAGGTTTCAAATCACATCCTGTTACTGCTTTTACATTTGCATTTTTCAGAACCTATATTGAAAATGGTGACAAACAAAATGTTCTTACCTTTGGCTGGCTCCCTGTGGGGAGAGCGGAACAAAAGGCAAGAACCTTTAAGGTTACTACCTTCTTCAGGCGTATCAAAGTGATAATAAGCAACGTGCACCGTGGAAGAAAATTCCTACAAAATGTGCCCAGTCTCTTTCTGAAGCCAAGACATTGAAAAGATTTTACATCCAGGAGAGCAGGAATGTAGAGTTCTGAATGTGCTGGAGAAAACGCCTCCTGCCAGCAATTGTTCTCAGTACACTGCCTTCTGGCAGAGGCCCTCAGGAGGCCTTCTAGTGGTCACGAAAGCATGCATTGGAGAGGTTTACATTATACACATTAAAATTCTCATGTTTATAGCAAGAACATTGAGTTATCCTTCCCAAATGAGAGGAAATGCGCCTTGTGGGACGGTATATGGCTTTGTTAAAAAAAAGATATATACATGTATATATAAAGATAGATACTACAAGTGTTTAATCAACTACTGAAGAAAGAAAAACAAAAAGTAGTTTACCTTTTCCACATTCTCTTCCACATGAAGCCCAAACAAACAAAATCAGCATTTTTGTTTATTCCCAAGTCATAAATTATCATCCTAGGCAAATAGTTCATGGGCTCTTTTCAAGCATGGATTAATCTGTTCTCCATTCATTCATTTAAGTCATGCTTTCTGTAACTTTACTACCTGCTGTGATTTGGTATCCAGTATTTTTCTTTTTTCCAAAAATGATAGGAAACCTTATATCTGTAGCTCTGCAAATAATATTTGCAGGTATCAAACAAATAAAAGAGATACTGTATTATCAATATAGTTATTTTGGCTTCTTAAAATTACATTACACTTTTTTTTTTCAGTTTTAAGGTGATCAGTTCATTTCCTTCATTATATTCACATTGTCCCTCATCTGCCTTTCCACCACTCCATACCATCTGTGAAGGCTGCCATCTCACCCATGACACTTCAGGGAGTTCTCCTGCCTGCCACTTTATGTTGGAGCAGCTGTGCGGTTCTTCCTTATCTTTGCCTGAAGGATTGGCATTGCTTACTCGGGAGTTACCACCTCTCTGGTCACTTTCACTGCCAATATCAGCTCCATCAACTGCCAGGATCATCTTTCTAAAACGCATCCCTAATCCTTCTCTAAAATCTTCACAGTCTTCCTAATTGCCTTTGGAGTAAGGAATCCTCAACCTTTTCTCAAACTCTTCAAAAATACAGCTCAAGTGTCATGGTTTTTCTCTGCTGGAGATTTTGTTCATGCATTGCTTTGCCTTCTGTAACAGCCAACCTTGACCCTTCCTGGGCATCTATTTCACATGCTCCTCCTCCAAGGAGCCTTTCATGATCTGCCAACTAGAGATTATCGCTCCCTTCTTCAACTCCTCCATGGTATTTTTCTGTACCTCTTTTATTACATCAATCTTATACAGCAGTGTATTATACTGAATTATATCCTTAGTGGAATTTTTTTCCATTTGTTTTGTTTTTACTGCATTGTTTAGACTTTAAAGACAAAAATGTTTGTTTTCTTTGGATCTCTTTCTCTCATAGAGGGACCTCAAAGTTTTTCAAATTAATTTATTCAATTGACTTAAATTCAGAGAACATCCTACAAATTTTACTCTATGTGTGGGTCTTGCAATTTTATTCTTTTGGAGATAATTCTTATTCTAAGAAACTAGTGTGGTTTGTGGTTTAGAGTCATGGTTTAAGCTACCCTCAGGAAGAATAAAAAACAGCTGGTGTGCAAGAAGCTCTGGAAATAGTCAATAAACTAATTGTAGAACAGAAGCCAAGAGTAAAAAAGTTTTACTTGCAAATTTTAAGTTCTATCTATATGGTTTTTTTTAGAATTTAAGAAAAACTTTTTAATTCAGGTGTGGAATCAAATATCATTATAAATGATGACAAAAACTCTGTTAAGACATTTATAATATCAAAATTAATGCTAATTATAAACACATAACAATTCACAAGGATTTCATCTAAATTCAACAAATAATGGTTGATCACTTTCTATACACAAGAAATTGCCCAAGAAAACAGAGATACAAAAATGAATAAATAGACACAGCACCCAGAAAGCTCAAAATTAAAGTTTGCAAGAAATGCACAAAGTAACTGTAAATCACTTCATGAGAGCAAGACATGATAAGAGTAGACAAGAAGGGCTACCACAGCTCAAAACTAGGATAAATCATCTGTGGTCATGGATATTAGAAGCATTCTGGCATCAAAAGCTTGAAGGATAGTATTATAAACAAACTAAGGAAGAGACTTTAGAGGGAAGGAAAATGGAGTGGTAAAAGGCTCAGAGAGTTGTAGGTAAAAGGAATTACAAACTAGGTTGATGCAATTAGAAGCCCTGAGCCAAAGACCATCTTCTGTTAAGTTCCCTTGGGTGATATCACTCACTGAGGAGAAGTTGAACACACAGCTGGTGATCACAGCACATATATCTGTGAGGTATCAAGTGAGGGGTGTCCTAAGTTTCTGAGGTACATAGAACAGGTTAGGAATTCTACTATCTTTCACATGCTCACAATCCAAATCAATGTTGAACAAGTTTAACTAAAGGTAATAGTATCAAACTAAGATCTGCATTTTCCATATAGCCTAGAGAATTCAAGTCACTTATAGTCCCTGCTTCAATCTCCAAGCCACCTACTATACTTACTTCCCTCCAAGTCCCTCTGGGTCTTCATGACGGATTTAGATGAACTCTTCCCAGTGACCAGTTTACTCAAAGAGTCCTTCTAACTTATGATTTCACTCAATTGAGCACATTTTTCTAACTGAACTGATGGATATTCTCCCACCTCCAGACCTTTGTCTAGACTCCTCACTCTTCCTTCACCTTTGAGAGTGGCTCACTCCCTTGCCTGCCTCCAGGCTCTTTCAGTGACTCTTCCTTGAACACTTGTTAAAAATCAAACCCTTACCACAAGCCACTTTGTTTTTCTTCATAACCTTATCATCTTACATCCTGTGTAACTTATTTATTTACCTGGCTTATTGTCTGATTCCCCACCCAGGGAGCCAAAGATGTCTATTTTATTCATGAATGTATCCCCAATTATGTAGCCTAACATATAGTCAATGCTTAACAAATATTAAATATTTAATAAATATTAAATTAGCAAATACAGGTGTGAATGAAGTGTATGCACAGTATTTACATGAGTTTTTGAAACAAGCCCTATTTTACTTTCTAGCACTTACTGTTCTCATTACTTTTACTGAATTAAGGAGCATTTAGAAAGCACCTACTATGTAATCAGCACTGGAGCTAGTTCTTACAAAATAAATCATATATAGTGGTTCTGATATTCAAAAAAATAATAAGAATGGAATAATAAATAGAGCATGGATATTATAGGACTTCAGCTGGCATTTTAAAGAAGGAAAGAAAGATAACTGTACATCTTCAGGGGTCCTGCCATGGGGCATTTCCTCAATGCAGCAAATGAGAAGATGCTCCCCAATAGAAGCATGGGCTTTGAAATTACACAGACCTAAATTCTAATTCCAGCAGTGCCATTCATTATCCTTACCACTTTGGCCTACTCGTTGACATCTGTGGGTCTCAGTGATTTCATTTGTAAAATGAAGATCACAATGTTAACCTCACACGGAGAATGTGAGCTATCAAATGAGATCGTCTATGGAAACAATTAGTCAAGTCCTTGGCATACGGAAGCAATTAAATAAATGCATGTGGAATGAATTAATTCTTGATAAGGGAAAATAGAGCTAGAAAAAATGTGGCTTTTTTCAACCTACTTATACTGTGTTTACCTAACTATGCCTTTCCTCGTGGTGAACGCTCTGACCTCAATAGGATAAAAATAGTGAATTGCATTCTTTGATTGGTTAGTATTGTTATTCTCATTTTACAGATAAATGAATTGGGTCTTAGACACATTAAATAACCTGTGCAAGGCCACAAAGTAAGCAGCAGAGTTAGGATTTGAACCCAGATGAGCTCACCTTCAAAGCTGGCTCAGCAGTCTTGGTTCTCACTTTAGAGTCATGTGATTGCTACAAATTCTCTAAACTCATAGTTGGGATATTATGCCTTTCTGAGCTTGCATGGTATCTTAGGCATATTTATTTCATCATTTTAGTAATTTTAAAAATGTGTTTGCTCATCTAATTTTTACATATTTACATCACCTTCTAAAAACATCTCTTCTGTATGGGTAACTTTTTGTCTTTAGATCTTGAATGAGTTTTCACTGGGCACCTTTCACAAGAAGTTCAAAGAAACCCATCAAAACTAATGTTTGTTGAACATCTAGTTAGCAACAGGCTCTGGTCTGATTACTCGTCAACTCATACATTTCTCACAACAATGCTGTGTGGCAGATACCACCTTTATCTTCATATTAGAGATGATGAAAATGAAACAGTGTGGTAATGAGTTCATTCAGCATATACTTCAGGACTAGGATTCAAACCCAAGCATTTAGATTATATAGCCCATATTCTTAATCATGAGACTATACTGCTCCTCACACACCAGGACTGATTACATCTTCTCTGTCTTTATAAATTCTAGGAAAATGCATTTTCACAGAGTCTAAATTGTACTTCTATGAACTGTGACTCTGTTACATCATTTAGCAAGTCTTTAGTTTTCCTGTGACATTGGCATCTGCAACTAGCCAAACTTTTTAATATAACTTATTTACATAAAACAAGTGAATCTAGAATATGATAAAAATCCCAAATTTTAATTCAGCACATATAAAACTGTTAGTGGTACCCCCTCCCCTCACCCCAATTTGGAAATACCATATTGATGGTCTTCATTGCCTTAAACAGGCTCCAAGCTGTGCTCTTGTAAGACGCTGGACTTTAAATCATAACCTTGCATAAATTCAAAACCAAATAAAAATTTTAACAAGACTTTTTCCTTTCAATACTAACTTTTTTTTTTACTTTCTAAGTAAAATGATTTAAACATTGTCTATTTTTAAGAAAGAGCAAAAAATGTGTTCACGGCAAGTTGGAACAGTGTGCAAATGCACTGGCTTCACTGTTATCTGGACAGCAAAGCATTAAATCACAAGGAGAAAAAAGTCAGCATGTTCTCTTAGAATACAAATAGGTTAGCGTCAGTAAGAACTTTGTCCAAAAAAGGGAAAAGACACCTACCCAGAGAATAAATCATGCATATGAAACCTATAATTTTAAGAAGTATTTTCAAGAAATGATATAGCTGATAAATATGACTGTGAGATAAAGCACAGAAAAAGTTCATGTGACTTTTTTTAAAGTGGACCTTCCAAATGTGATCAGTCAACATACCCCACTTTTTATCTATGATTCTTACATAAGATACAATTCACCAGTAGCTATGGAACTCACAGAAGAAAGTCTACATAGATTCTCTCTATCTGTCTGTCTCTGTCTCTCTGGACCTCTCTGTCTCTCTGATTCTGTGATGCAACAGTACTCAACATTATTAGGCACATAAGAACCTTAGGTTAAAATATGTAAAAAGTCCATATACCCGGACATATAAACACTCGTGGTCGTTTGAGATTCTGCAGATGTACAATATAAAGCTTTCTCACTCAGAACTTAAAAAAAAAAAAAAGAATTCTTCTTACCATATATTCCATATTTGCTGCCGGTGGGAACACTTTGCCCCGAACTTGATTATGATAATCAAGAATGGCGATCATGTCATTCTGCGAAATGTAGCGCTTCCGCCTGGCTTTGGGGATATCCGCTGAATCTAATTGTGCTTTCAGAGCTGCTTCAATATCAGTGAAATTATTGGTTGGCGGGGATGAGTCAGTGGAATTGAGTAGGACGACGGTACTTGCTTCACAGAGAAGGGAGAACAGGAGTGCACTGCTGACGGCAGAGATTGCTATCATTTTGAGGGGTGGAGAAGAAGAGGCCACCGAGTTTACTTTGCTTTAAAGCAGAAAGGTAGAGTTAGGGTCTATGAAAAAAAATAGGGCCAGAGGGTATGAATTTACAAAGACATCATTTGGGAGCATTGCTTGATTTGACTTTCTTCAAAAATCCAAACAAATGTTGAACTCAAGCCTAGGAGATAACCTACAGTAGAATCTCTATTCATTTTTTAGTGTCATGAGGCAGACCCCTAAGAGGAACTTTGTATAGCAGAGAAAAATAAACAGCATGACCACTAACCCTAAAATGAATGTGAACCATTTGCCCCAAATGTCTGAACCACAAAATATATTACTGCATATTTTCAGTGGGAAATTTTCAGCAATTGAAATTCACCTGGAGAGTGAAGAAAAAATGAATCACAGGTAACAACAGAGAATGTGCTGATAATGTCTGCCAGACATATAGACACACCAAGTGATAGAACACATACAAAAAAGTCATAGTAATCCAATCTCATTTCTTTAAAAAAATGTGAGCTACTTTAAAATCAATGCATGCAATATAAACTTGTTGAGCTAAATAGCTTACCTCTGCACAATGCCAAAATGAATATATTGTTCTTCCAAAAATTTAAGGTTCTTTGCTATGTGGTAGCATGAACTCTTGTAAGAGGAGTGTGTCTTTTTACAAACTCTCTGAGAGCAAAGCTCTGCAAGGTTTGAATGCTGCTGGCTAGAGGAGCAGCTAACAGCTTTTATATGTCACAGTTTGCAACGTCCAGAAAGGGCAGTCTTTCTAAGGGTCTCTCTTAGCCAAAATCAAAGGGGAGGGGTTTGGGGTAGAAAAAAACAGTGATTGGGTGGCAACCTTTTTATGTGGGTGGTGAGGAAATTGAGTCACACCCACAGCTTACAAAGTACAAGCCATAAAAGACAAACCCCTTTTTCTCTGGGCTTCCACCTTTTCTGTGAGTAATTTCTCTCATTTTATGCTTTCTAGTTCCTGGTTCCCATACAAAAAAGAAGAAACAAAGACAAAAAAAAAAAAGACTGTGGGTTCATGAAAAAACAGACAGTTGAGTAACAAGCAGTACATTTTTTTAAGACAGTAAATGACATGGGAGCTAAAAAGAACAAGCTGATATTAAATCAAGAGATCAGCTAACATAGTTAATCTGGGTGGCCACAAATATGATTCGAGAGGGATGCCAGGCAAATCGGTAGTAACCAAACTATAGCATATGATATTAGGATAATAGATGCTCAAGTGGCTGTGTTCTCTGCTTCCATGTGGCTGCATTCCTGTGCTTTATATATTTCTTCTTCTCTCTCTTATTTTACCTTCTCTCCCTTTTTTCTTTCTCTACAGAGTGAGGTCAGAAATTACTTGCTTTTTACCTGCCTTGTATAAAATGTGAATAGAGAAGCTCATGGCAAATGACAGCAGCCAAGATAACATCTGTTTCAGGTTTAGAGCATATAGTTGAAATTTTAAGCAGAGAATAGCTCAGCCTCTCAGGAAATGTATTAGAGGGCATAACACAGAGGCCATGAAGAATTTTAACAGCAGCAGCAGCTGCCAACAATTAGAAGTGCCTTGTTAGGAGGATGTCACAGGGGCAAAGTCTATGTCAGGCAAAGCAAGAAGAAGAATGTGAACATTGGTGCTCTATAATGAAAGGACCCTCCCCAAAATGCGTCATGATCTCATTAACAAAATGTGGACCACTTACAGTCAGTAGCAATAGGAATCCTGGAAAACACACGCTCTTCAGTTTAGAAACTTACTTAACTTACACTGATTTTTTCCAGCTTGCTAATGTGATTGTCTCCCACATGTTTCAGCAGAAGAAATACTATGTGAATTTACAGTCATCAGAAATGATGGTCATGTGGCACACTGGACAGGCAGCCAAGTTTCCTAGGATATATTCCCAGTTGGATCACGAGTAGTATGTGTGGTCAAATGCATACTGTTTAACTCTTCATTGGTGCACCTAAAAATGGGAGAGAAAAGATTCACGTTCTATGGTGAGACAGACATCATCAAGTTCTTTAAGAGGGTAGTGAGGTGTACCAGAGGTGTCACTAAAATTCAAACTACAGTGATGAGATACAGACTTTATAATAATATATACCAAAGTCCAGGTTTTGACACATTTTGATGACTATTCAACTCCTAACTAAAGTGAAATCATTTTAGGAGAGCCATAGCTGAAATATTGAGAGCTTTAAACAAGGAATTAATACTAAACTTGAAAAGGCATAAACAGATATATAAACTCAGGAGGTGAGCAAGGATATTATGAAACATTGGAGCAACTAGAGGAAATTCACATGGTTGTTCACAGCTGCAGATCTTAACAAGTGGAGCTGTCCAACTAGGGTTGCACCACTTTGGAAAGTATTCATGGCACCTTCAATGAATCTCAAATATGCTATATTAAGGATTCCTGAATTAAATCAGAGGTTAGATGAGAAACTCTCTGTAGGCCATCCAGCTCTAAGATCTGTGGACTTTTTGAGAAATTAGTGGCAGCACACATTAGCCTTTACTCTCTACATATCTCACACAGTTTCCCAGCTATCTGAGGAACAAAAGGACTTTTAATACCTGAACAGCAGTCATGAGCCTTTCATTCTCCAGGGTGACTGAGTTCTTGCTTAGAACCTCATAAGAATCGAAAGTTATATTTAAGACTACACCCTTTGTCATATACACAAAGAGGTATTGTCCACCTCTTGGGGTTTGACTTGAAAGATTTCCATAGGGATAAAAATGTGATGCTTGACAAACTTGTCTAAACCAAAAATGGATTTCCTCTAAGTGCAGGAAGTGGCTGGATGGAGGAGGAGGAGAAGGAATTTCTGAGATGCATCTAAACAGGAGATCACCTCTGAGTCCAATTACATAAGGGCAGAGCTGATAGTTGCTTAATCCGGAGACCCTGAGGCATGTCAATGATTTCAAATGTCTTTCAGCACACATGGATTATATTGTGGAATTTCGGACTATTAAGGAAACCCACAAGGCTATGGAATCATAAAAGAAAAGACCTGTGGGAGGAGAGTTAAGAATTCTGCTTCCAAGCAGACATTATTGCCAGAAGAAGTATTTGAAATGCTTTGGAGGTAATTGTAATTTTAAAATACTTGCAAAATTAAGAGGCATACATCCAAGTTGTCAGTAAGAGGACTGCTAATGAACAACTAACAATGAGGTGGTTTTTTTTATGAGGACTCTTCTTGAAAAAGACCATTGACATGTTTTGAAACCTTTAGGTCCTGCTTGCCAACAGAGACAGAAATGGAATGTAGTTATATTACTGAGAAGAAATGCATACACATTTGGCAGCATCTTGAAACCTGTGAGAAAATGGTTGTTATTTTAAAATGGAAATCAGATGTAAGCATTCCAGAATGGTACACCTGCTTAAGCAAAGCTACTTTGACGTGTGTGTGTGTGTGTGTGTGTGTGTGTGTGTGTGTGTGTGTGTATGTATGTGTGTATGTGTCACATATGCATTTGACTTTAGTCTAATTCTTTTCTAATTGAAATATGTTCTGTGGACTAGTACCCTTGAGATCACCTGGAAGCTTGTTAGAAATGCAGAATTTCAGGTCCAGCCAAGACCCACTAAATCAGAATCTTCATTTTATCAGGAATCTTGGATGATTCATATGCACATTAAGGTTTGAGAAGTACTATCTAAATCACTATGCTTCCAGAGACACAGAGAGACAATCTACTGCACACATGCCTGAATCAGCTATTGGAAAAGGCGATCTATCTAATAACATGGAGAGAACAAAAGACAATAGAGGTAGGCCCAAGTGTCTTTGAAGTGGAGAACACAAGTCAACCTCTATTTTATATGAAAAAAAAAATGGGCTGGGCACGGTGGCTCACTCCTGTAATCCAAATACTTTGGGAGGCCGAGGCTGGCGGATCACCTGAGGTCAGGAGTTCAAGACCAGCCTGACCAACATGGTGAAACGCCGTCTCTACTAAAAATACAAAAATTAGCCAGGTATGGTGGCAGCGCCTGTAGTCCCAGCTACTCAGGAGGCCGAGGAAGGAGAATTGCTTGAACCTGGAAGGCGGAGTTTGCAATAAGCCAAGATCACACCACTGCACTCCAGCCTGGGTGACAGAGGGAGACTCAGTCTCAAAAAAAAAAAAAAAAAAAAAAAACCAAAAAAAACGGGAAAAGAACACTCAGCATCTTACAAAGAAGTTATTTAGCAGTGGTGAGAACCTTTGCAAGATTACTATGTAAAGCATATTTTTAATTTAATACATATTAATTCATCACAAGATTGCTGAAACAACAAAATGCACTATATGTGAAAGGGCTCATAAACTGTGATGTGGCATATAAATAAAAAGCTATTATTTTATTCTGTCTCCCTAAGACAGAGGCCCAAATCATCCTTTGTTCCTCACTCTCTCACCTTGTTTCATACAATCAATAACTCTGGAAAACGTGTATTTTTAATCTCTGACCTGTTTTGCCAATCTACCCTTTTTATCATCATCATTGTTATTGTGACTGCTTAAAAGTTAATGCCATTATCTTTTTCTAGAATTAGAAGAATCACCTTCTAGCTGATATTTCTTACTCTAGTGACTCTCCTCCTATCCATTATTCACACTGCTTTCAGCTCCCTTCCTATAAAAGAAACTGAATCATTTAACTCATCTACATATAACTCTCTACTGGCTCTCCATTGTCCACAGGGCCAAGTTCAACTGCCTTGACCTGCCTTACAAGAGCCTCGACTATTAACACACAAAGCATATTTTCAAATTTGAGTGCTCTGTGTAATTCACATTATATATTTTAGGATATAAATATATATCATTACATATTTACATATTATATCTATTATACATTTATATAATAAATATATAATTATAAAATGCCAAAATACTGTATTACCAAAATATTTGAGAAATTTTATAAAATATATATGTATTACAATCTATTCCTATGCATGCAGCTTAAATGGGGCTGGAGGATTAACTTCCAGGGTGGCTCATCCACACGACTGGCAACTGAGTGCTTCTGGCAGGAGGCCAGCATACATGGACCCCACCACACAGACCTCTCCATTGAGCTGTCTGATCGTCCTCACTGCATTGAAGCTGGCTTCCTCCAGGGTGAATGATCCAAGCAGGAGCAAGATAGAAGATACAATGTGTTGTATGGCCTACCTGTAGAAGTAACACACCAGCATTTTCACAACATCTTATTGTTAACATGGGTCACTCGAACCTATTCAATGTGAGAGAGGACTACACAAAGCCATGAACCAGTAATTGAGAATTATTGAGGGTCATCTTGAAGGCTGGCTACAACAGGGAAATTTTGGAAAATAGCTGAAACAGAACTACAATTAGACCCAGCAATCCCATTACTGGATATACACCCAAAGGAAAAATAACATTCTACAGAAAAGACACATGCACTCATATGTTCATTGCAGCACTACTACAATAGCAAAGATATGGAATCAACCTAGATGCCCAACAATGGTGGATTGGATAAAGAAAATGTGGTCTATATACTCCATGAAATACTACCCAGGCATAAGAAGAATGAAATCATGTCCTTTACAGCAACATGGGTGCAGCTGCAGGTCATTATCCTAAGCCAATTAACACAGGAACAGAAGACCAAATACCACATGTTCTCACTTATAGTGGGAACTAAGCACTGAGTTCACATGAACATGAAGACAGGAATAATAGACACTGGAGTCTACGGAGGAAGAAAGAGAGCCATGGATTGAAAAATTACCTATTGGGTACATGCTCACTACCTGGGTGATGGGATCATCCATACCCCAAACCTCAACATCACTTAATAGACCCGTGTAAAAAACCCTCACATGTACCCCCAAATCTAAATAAAATTTGAAAGTATTTTTAATGAAAATAGCTATCTAAAAAATAAAGAAATATCTATATTACTTGGAAATATGGAGTTAACCACCAATAAGAAATTTTTTAAAAAGGTAAAAGTGGTTGCTTCCTGAAAGCAGAAATATAGATGGGAGTGAGCAACATGGGATTATTGTATTTTTTATTTTAACTTTATAGAACTATTTGACTTCGAAAATTATATGCATTTGCAACTTTAACATAAAAGGTAATTACTAATTAATATAAATTAATTTGGTAAACAGTGCAGATTAAAGTATGTTCAATGAACTACTAAACACATAACAAAACTTGAGATGTAGATAAAACTGAAACCACATTTGAGTTTGCCTGGTATCTCTCTCATTGGGTTTGGTTATGTTACAGAAGTTTCTAACTGGCTGGAGCTTTAATCTTAATTCAGTCGCCTTACTCTGAAAATAACCCTTCAATGTTTTAAATGATCCTTGTCTAACTTTCTTGTTCTACTGAGTTTGAGACTATCCTTTTATCTTCCAGTTCAATGAAGGAAATGAGGCCCTGAATTAGCATGTATATGGCTGTTCCTCAGTACAGTAGCATGGCCCCAGATAAAGAGGGGGTAACCTTCACACTTCAGTTTTCTAATCAATACTTAAAATGCACACATCTTTTTCTCTCTGTTTGCTAGGTATCCTTCAGAAAGCCTGGGCAATAAACCGAAGGCTCCTAAAAAGAGCAAAGTGTCTGGTGAGTCAAGCAGAATCTCAAAGCTGAACTAAATTTGGTGAATCTGGACTTTGCCAGCCCTGAAGAAGAATAAGCATGAAGGAACTCTTCAAGTAGCTAGTGCATTTGTGTTGCTGTCAGCAAAATAGCCAGTTGGAGAGCTATGCTGTTCTCCACTAAAAGAATTGTAGAACCATTGGGCTTTAATAGATTTGAAAGACTGTATAATTGAATTTATAATCATCTGGCTTAGAAAATATGCAAAATCACATTCATAGTGAGCAGATGAGTTATGGTATCCGTGGACAATTCTGATAGGAAATATTGGTTATATCTGGTGAAACCCATGATAAACCAAAGGCACGTTAAGGGCAGATGGTTGGAGTTGGGGTATGAGTGTTGGTCATACGGTGGAGGGGAAAAGAGTAGGATGTTAGGATCATGCAGAAATTATGTGGTTGCCCTACAGAAATGATAAGCCATAAAGTTCTACTCTGGCCAGTGTTTTAAGTCGATGCTAGAAAAGAAAAACAATAGTGGCACAGGGGTTGGTTATTTGTTTTCCACAGGCCAAGAATATGTCAAAATAAAGCCCAATAGGATGTATATTCAGTGGTCAAGTAGACTGAGAGATGTTAACACACTTATTCATGGCATCATTTCAGATTTTGCCTATAGTAGGCATTCAAAAGATGTTTGTTAAATTTTATAAATAAACAAAAGCTATATCAGCATGGCCTTTTTCTAATCCAAAACCTGGGCACACAGCCAGGATAAACTTAAGCTGTCCAAAAGCCATGTGCGCTCTCGCCAGAATCATCAATTCTCTCCAGTCATTTCACTATGAAGAAGGCCTGGATGAACTTAATGGGAAAGTCCCATTAGCTGCCACTCTTGGATTGCATATCTACGTATCCTTCAGATTTCATGTCCCTGATATATTTGTGTTCTTGCTAGTCCTGATTTTAAATTATTGCTTTTCCTTTTAATATTGTTCTGATTTATTTTTATATGTTACTCAATATTCTTTAATGACAGCAAATAATGATAAAAATAATAGCTGCCATGGCCTATTGAGGCTTCCTATGACAGAAACTCTTCTAAGATAAAATTTCATCCTCATGACAACTCATAACCTTTGAGAAAGTTTCCATAGATTTCTATTTTACTACTAAAAATACTGTGGTTTAGTGAGATTATGCAATTAACTCAAATTCACAAAGATAGGAAATGCTTCAGCTGGGATGCAAACCTCTATCTAAGAGAAAAACCCGATTTCCTCATTGCTATATATACCATTAATTTGGAGCAAAGCAGAATCACTTAAAAATCCTTTTAAGTGATGATTAAATAAATCATCAATTGTTAAACAATGATTAGATTCCTAATTATTTTCAGTCATTTGTTTACCACTAAATATAACAATAGTAGTAATAATAATAATGATAACCCATCTGCCTGTGTTCTTAAGTGTCTTATATATTAGTTGTGGAAATAAGACATATATGATGAACTGTTAAAAACTATAGAAGAGAATTTATACCTAAATATGTTCATGTATTAAGTAGTACAAGAAAGTCATCTGGAAATTTTAAAATGAAAGGAAATCTGCAAATATTAAGTCAACTGGGCATTTCTTTTCAGGAAATGAAAATTAAGCTGAATCTGAAGGGTGCTAAGAACAAAATTGATGGAGGTGAAGACAGAGACTTCTACATAAAGGAAATAGTTAGAAATTAAGCACAGAGACAAAAATAAAAGACAGTGTTTTGTAGGGGCAGAGTGATTGGGCATAGCCAAGAAACAGGATATATTAAGTAGATTGATAATAAGGTTTAAATGCTTCAAAAGTTCTAAGCTTAGATGCTTGGAAACAAAATTTGACCAAGAATTTGGGTAATAAATTTGAAGAATAAAATGAGAAGCTTAATTTGCATGTGTTCAGTTTAAAATGATATCCGGTTGGAAATACCAAATTGTAGAGCTGGAGACATTGTACTGGGAATTGAGTAATGGTCAGGATTTATTACACTGGGACAGAAGAGACCAACACATAGAATACACTGAAGGTCAGGTTCTGTCCAGAAACCACTCAACACCAGAGCATTAATGAATATGTGAATAAGTAAGTGCATCTTCTTAGCTCAGGCATGGAAACTGATTTAAAATGTAAGAAGTCTGTATGGATGGGAGAAAGAAGTGGAAATCAATTTAAGGGAAAAAAAGCAAAATCAGAATATACAATCTCTCTTCTGAGGCCCTAGTCATATGTTGCTAACTATAGAGGAGTCATTAGATAAAAGTGTGTACATTTGGAAGCAAACAAAGACTGCATCCCATGAGATTTCAGAAGCTATGATTATTATAAAGAGCAATAGACTCTCAAAAATACTCTTAAAATACTATACATAAAAATAGCTAGTATTTAAAGGCTCATAAAATTCTTGAACAGGTATTAGCCATTTAAGAAGTGATGGTAGAAAGAGAAATGTATAGGTCAGAGAACAGTCCTTGGAAAATGAAAGGAGTTAGGAAGTAAAAGAAAGAAAATCAAGGGAAATAAATGAAAGAATGACAGAGAAGAAGAAGGAACTATGTTGGCATTTTTGTAACCATGATCATACTCATGTTTCACTCTACCTTATCTGCATTTAAAGATATATAAAAATAAATAAATATAGTATAATAAGCTATATAATATAATATCCTAGAAATAATGGCCTTGAATATTGTGAAGATGTCATTGTGTTAGGCTGGTGATCCATGGATATATAGTGATTATTTGTAATGTGTTTTGAAGAAATTTCAAGATTCTACTTACTACCTAATCTCCCCACTATTCACCCCCTCCCTCCCTGCCCTTTCACCAGTGAAAATGCCCAAATTTAGAGTCCCTCATGACACAGTCAAGAAATGCAAAGCAAATGTGTACAAAAGGCAATATTAAAATGCATTTATGATACTTTCCACCTTCTTTTCCCATCCATACACAGATACCATAAGTTAATTCTTCCAACATATACCTTGAAAGTCATAGATGATTTGTCCCCAGAGGACCTCTCAATCCCCACTCCACCCGCACCTTGTAATTGGCCTTACCTTTTCAATTCTCTTAGAGCAGAGGCTCTCAAACTTGAGCATTTATCAGCATTACCTGGAGGGCTTGTTAACACACCATTAACTGGTTTAGAGTTTCTGATTTAGTAGGACTGGAGTGGGCTCAAAAATTTATTCTTCTAACTTATTCTCAGTTGTTGATGACACTGCTGGTCTGGGGACCACAAGAACAACTGGCTTAGAAGAATATATACAGTTATAGTCGCCAGTTAATTTCACACTCACCTCCTTCACCAGGTAATATGATAAGGAGAAGACTGTCTCATTTATCCCTGGACTCCCCCTAGGCTGACACATACCTAGCACAATAGTAAGCATGGGCTGAATTAATGAATAAACGAACAAATTTACTCTCATTTCTATCTCACAACATTGTTTGTGTGTGTGTGTGCCTATGTCTAATTTAGTATCCCTCACCCCCATTCTTAGAGAAATACATCTTTTTTTCTCTTAAAATTAAATCTTCAAACTTGCAACCTTGTTTTCTTGCATTTCTGAAAGAAATAAATGTGGAAGGGAGGCATCTCACTCACAATGAAGCATATCACATCTACAAGTATTCCTTCCCTTCCCAGCCTTTTCAGTAGACTTTCTCTACAATTTTTACTTTTCCATGACTCAAATTTTTCACAAGTTCTACTTATTTCAGGACAGTTTTTGAATAAGTTTAATTTGCCCCTCCTCACTTTTACCTTGTAACTTTTGGTATCCCTTAAATCAGGGTTCTCCCACTGGTTCCAGTCCATGGCCCATTGGGAACTGGGCAGTACAGCAGGAGATGAGCGGCAGGCGAGCCGGCAAAGCTTCGTGTGTATTTACAGGGGCTCCCCATCTCTTATATTACTGCCTGAGCCCTGCCTCCTGTCAGATCAAAAGCAGCATTAGATCCTCATAGGAGCATGAACCCTATTGTTAACTGTGCATGCAAGGGATCTAGGTTGTGCACTCCTTAAGAGAATCCAATGCCTGATGATCTGTCACTGTTTCCCATCAACCCCAGATGGGACCATCTAGCTGTGAGAAAACAAGCTCAGGGCTCCCACTGATCCTACATTACAGTAAATCGTATAATTATTTCATTATATACTACAATGCAATAATAATAGAAATAAAGTGTACAATATGTACTTGAATCAACCCCCTCCCTCGTCTGTGGAAAAATTGTCTTCCATGAAACCAGTCTCTGGTGCCAAAAAGGTTGGGGACCACTGCCTTAAATCTCAGGCCTTGAGTCCCTTATCTCTTAATAGTACTTCTCTAAGAAAATTGTCTATAGGTCTTTATCTTCAGACTAAACTTTTCACTCAAATTCCAACCTCATACTCCACACTACCTTCTAAGAGATAACTTCAAACTCAATAATACCAGAATAGACTACAGGTATACCTCTGAGATATTGTAGATTCAGTTTCAGATCACCACAATAAAGTGGATATCAATGAGTCACATGAATTTTTTGTTTTCCCAGTGAATATAAAAAGTTATGTTTACACTATACTATATTATATTAAATGCTCAAATAGCATTATGCCTAAAAATGTGCATACCTTAATTTAAAAATACTTTATTGCTAAAAAATGCTCCCTATCATGTGAGCCTTTAGCAACATGGTAATCTTTTTGCTGATGGAGGGTCTCATCTCAATGTTGACAGTTGCTGATTGATCAGGGTGGTGGTTGCTGAAGTTTGGAGTTGCTGTGGAAATTTCTTAAAATAAGACAACAATAAAGCTTGTCCCCTCAGTTGACTCTTCCTTTCACAAAATATTTCTCTGTGGTGTGCAATACTGTTTGATAGCATTTTACTCATGGTAGAAATTCTTTTATAATTGATGTCAATTATCTCAAATCCTGATGCTGCTTTATAAACTAAGTTTATGAAATATTATAAATTATTTGTTTTCATTTCAACAATATTCACAACATCTTTACCATGAGTAGATTTCATCTTAAGAAATCAGTTTCTTTGCTTATTCATAAGAAGCAGCTCATCTGTTCAAATTTGATCATGAGATGGAAGAAATTCAGTTACATCTTCTGGCTTCACTTCCAATTCTAGTTCTCTTGCTTTTTCTACCACATCTGCGGCTACTTCCTCTACTTAAATCTTGATTCCCTCAAAGTCACCCATAAGGGTTAGAATCAACTCATTCCAATTCCTGTTAATGTGACTGTTTTGACCTCATCCCATGAATCATAAGTGTTCTTAATGGCATCTGGAATGATAAATCCTTTCCAGACGGTTTTTAATTTAGTTTGCCCAGATCCATCAGAGGATTCACTATCTACAGCAGCTATAGCCTTACAAAATGTATTTCTTGAATAATAAGATGTGAAAGTAAAAATTACTTCTTGACCTGTGGGCTGCAGAATGGATGTTGTGTTAGCAGGCATGAAAGCAACATGAATCCCCTTGTGCATCTCCATCAGAGTTCTTGGGTAACTAGGTGCATTGTCAATAAGCAGTAATATTTTGAAGGAAATCTTTTTCTCTGAGCAGTAGGTCCCAATCGTGGGCTTAAAATATTCAGTCAGCCATGTTTTACACTGATGTGCTGTCATCCAGCCTTCACAGTATGTCTCCCCAGTGGTGTAAACTCATTTTCTCTTCACCTCTGCAGATCTTTCCTACAAGCTATCTAAACACTTCCACAAGTTGTCTCATGTCTTTTGTTTCAAAACCTTTTTGGGGACAACATGAAGTAGTGCAAACCAATGTTTATCTCACTTCTCTGAATTATCCTATAGATGACACCACTCTATTTTGTATTTGACTAAATACTTTATTATTCCTTCTCTGTTTTATGTGGATCAATCTGCTAACTACCACACAACCACAATTATTTTTTTCTTGGTGGACAAAGACTATAATCGTCTCTGCCCCCATAGTATCTAGAAAAGTAATCTGTACATAATATAGACTCAATAAATAGTTTTTGGTTGTTCAGTTATTTACACATCTGAAAGTTAAAGACAATAATGACCTTAGTATGAGTGAAAGAAAATGATACAAAAATCTTTGCATTCTGATTAAACTAAACTCTTGAAAACTCAAATGACAGGTACCTTTTATGTGTGCCCCTTTAACATCTCAAGTCAAATTGTCCTTCACAAACCACAATGTGCAATATCTATCTCTGATTAACAGTAACTAAAGCAAAGAGTACAATTTCCCAACATTGTGGTGGAAAAATCATCCCATATTACCCACTTTTCTTGTAATTTTCAGTCATTTATTAAACAGAGGGTTTTTTAAGTGTACATACTCCCACTACAATGTAACGTCAGCAGTGTAATCCCTTAACTCCCCCATATTTGTATACTTGGCCAAAGACCACATCCTCAAGCCAACTTTTCAAGGATCTGAAGAGTAACAAGTGGTACCCAAAAGCTGAAAAAACCTATAACATAGAAAAATATATTTTTCTTTTCCAGGAGATGGTGGCAATTAAGCCATAAGAATTCTTTCTTCTGTTTTACTAGCTCTAGGATATCTCCAGCTTATTCAAGTGTCAGCCTCACATTTACCACAATCTTTTCCTATATTAGGGGAGGGAAGTGAAAGGCAGCCTAGCAGGGCAGTTGAGAGCACATCCTCTGGAAACACACAGCCACCTCCAGCATATGTCCAGCCCCACTGTTTCCCAGCTGCAGGCTTGTCAGCAAGTCACCTAACCTTCTTAAACCTGATTTTTTTTTCCTCTTTAAAAAAGGGATAATAATCTACCTCCCTGGGTTGTTGTGAGAATTAAAAAGAAGTAACATACAAAAAGCACTTGGCACACAATTATACACACATGTACATATGATATAGCACATATAGGGCATTTCTGCTGGTGTCCAAGAACCCTGAGGGGAGGGGGGAAATTGTGAGAGTGAGGAGGTGGGAGGGCAAGGGATGAAAGGAAGGAGAATGTCCAGATTTTTGAAGGAAGAGGAGAAGAAACATGTTCTGACAATTTTCTAACTTTAAAAATTGTGCATGGTTGGGAAGGTCATCATAAAGGGAGTAATAGAATTACATTTTTGACAAAAGTGAACTTAGTGTAGTGAAAGAGAGAATAAAAATGGGTTGAAAGGAAACAACTCTATACCTAAGGGTCACAGTCTCTCACACTGTTCATATGCCATTGTCAGCCTCAGTGTGAGGTGGTCAGACCAGCTGCCAGAGGAGCCTATGCCAATTCCTGAAGAAGGTGGATACTTGGAAAAGTGGAGGAAGAAACTGACAAGGAGAAGGGAAGAAGGCATGCGTAGGGTAAATAGGCAGTCAAGAGATTCGGTGGGAACATCTGTGAAATCCCAGATGTCTAGACACATCAGTGAGGTCTCAGTGTCACACTGTCCCAGCACATTGAGTAACATTTAGAACTGGACAAACACAAGTGTCCTTTGGTCTTTCTCCTTGCTTTATTTTCCCACCAATAGTGATTGCCTCTGTGCTCACAGAATATCTGTGCATCATCTGAGCTACATTAGTCCATCAAATGATGCACTTGTTCAGAAAGAGGTCCATGTGATTGTCCAAATGTTCAGGCCAACTTCAGAGAAGGCCAAGCAAGATCCACTTCAACAGATCATAATTTATACTGGCAGCTGGACAAACAAAAGCAGAGTGACGCATGAACCAGCTTAAGAAAATTGCCAATCCTCCACCAACTGCTTGTTATATTACTCTTAAATGTTTCTAAATAGGTCAGTTAGAATAACATCATGTGGGCCATAGTAAGTCAGAAGAAAATAAATGTCACTTTTAGCAAGTTGAATTCTTCTAAATACCTTTGGTCCTTTTATTTAACTATCATCCGGCTGAGGGTAAAAAACAAAATTGTCATGTTTTTGTAGTGCTCAGCAGTTTCAATGATTCACATTTCAATGTGGCCCTGTGACAGCTATGGGTCTTTTCCAGGTGGTTTTTGGCACTACCTACATCCCTGGTCACACAATGTATTTTGCCTTGGAGACTGGAATAATAATAACAATGACCCCATCTCTCGGAGAACCACAACTTCACTCTGGCAGAGGTTCTGAGCCAAAAGCTCTGAGATCCTGAGCTCTAGGAGAGAAAGGAGGTCCAGAGTCTTGGGTCACCCAGCCTCTCCTTCCTCGATATTCAAATGACAAGATAATCCCTGGAAGTGTCCCAAATCAGTTCTCTGGCTGAAGTTGGACCTCATGTCAGAAGTGATCTCTAATGAGATTTTAGCCAAATGGAGTTGTGTTAATGGCTTTGCACATTTGGAAATGCAACCAAAATAAATTTGTCAGCACTGAAAACTGTAAAGGGCAGCTGCCTTTTTTTTTTTCTTGGCTTGTATATTCTGTTCTATCTGTGATGCTACCAAAGGGAAGAAATTAGTAGGATCCATTTTTGAGGTAAGAAAATAGCAAAATTATAAAGGGGGAAAGGAGCTGAAGTGGCATATTTTTCTCTTGATATTATGATAGTGTATGATAATCATGCCCTCTTTCAATATAGAAAACAGTGGTCTCTAACCACTCCTGAACACCACTAATATTTGCGCAAAGACTAAATATGAACCCATAGAACTGGCTCAAAACCCACATCACGGGCCTGCCCTTGTCTTATCTACAGTAAAGAGGGCACTATATGTTGGTTGGTTTGTTAGTGGTGGCAGGTATCTGAGTTACCAGCTGTTAACCTGTATGGGTCTGCAGCAACCTCAATTCTTGCCTCTTCAGAAAAAAGAATACAACTGAGGGGCATAAGGTAGGAGAAGAGACCAAGGCAAGTTTTAGAGCAAGAGTAAAAGTTTATTAAAAAGCTTTAGAGCAGGAATGAAAAGAAAGTAAAGTATACTTCGAAGAGGGCCAAGCGGGCATCTTGGAGGACAAGTTCGGGATTTGACATTTTGACTTGGGTTGTATATGGTGGCATACTTCTGGAGTCTTGCATCTCTTCTCCCTGATTCTTCCCTTGGCGGGGGTTGTCTGCATGTGCAATGGCCTTCTAGCGCTTGGGAAGGGAGCATGTACAGTGTGTTTATTGGAGTTGTATGCATGCTCACTTGAGGTGTTCCTCCATTTACCAGTGGAATGTCCCCAGAAGGTCACATACCAGTTAAACCTCACCATTTTGCCTCTTAGTGAACAAGCTTCAGCCTACTCGCCCAGCTCCTGAGATCTTATTGGGAAGTTGCTGATCACCAGTTACAGGTGTTTCTATCTATTACGAAACTGCCTTTCCCTGCAGCAGGCTGCAACCAGTTATTATTTTAGAGAGCCACTGTGAAAACTGCCTGACCATCACCTGATGGTTGCCTCACATTCCTAGTGGGGTGGGGGACAGCCCTCTCCTGCCCTCCTCATGCCCGCTAGCTACCTACTCTAACATGTTCTTCACACATCATTTAGGTAAAATCAAGATCATTAGTGCAGCTGTTTTTCAATAGATAGCTATCCTTTAATATATTTCTAGCCAAATATATTTTATATGTACTTCAGAATATGATACCTTTGAAAAGTATAATTTAAATAGCAGTATAAAACCTTTGGCAAACGTTTATTGAATTATAAATATGAATGAAATATAAATAAATTATAAATAAATGCTGGCCACTGAAGATTCACACATGGATAGACCCAGTCCCTTCCTTCAAGCAACTCATGCTTGAGTAAGGCAAAAGATATACACAGTAGTCATAGCTCAAGGAAAGGTTAATCAGTAAAATTTTAAAAGTAAAAACATAGCATTATCAAGTATGTGAGTGATCATTTCTAACTACCACAATAGGGAAAACTTCATAGAAAAAAAGCATTTCATCAGAATAATGAGAGAAAAATAGAATTTCAACAGAGAGGGGTATGGATATGTGGGTTATTCTTGCCCACTGCACAAAGAAAAACCACAGCATTGTGGTAGAGAGAGAGTAATTTTTAACCGCCCAAGGGGTTCTCCTTGCCTGTTACATAAAGACATACCATGGTATTGCAAATAGAGAAAGAATATAATGGACGTGAGGCTGACCATGCCATATGGGAAATGGAGTTTGTACTCAAATCATCTCCTCCAAAGCTGTTAGGTTAGGGATTTTCCCAAAGGCAGTTTAGGAGAAGGGGTTAGGGTGGCCAGGTACTTGCTGCTGATTGGTTCTGACAGAGATGAAATCATGGGGAGTGGAAGCTGTCCTCCTGTGGGCTGAATCGTTTCTGAATGGGGCCACAGGAATGAGGTTGGTGGGTCCAGGTAGAGCCATGGGTGTCAGGCATGCAAAAAACCTGAGAAGGTATCTCAAAAGGCCAATCTACAATAGTGGGTGTTTTTTGCAGGAGTAACTGGGGAAGTTGCATATCTTATAACCTCTGCAATAATGGCTGACGATCATTTATGTCTGCACCCCAGCAACACTCAGGCTCCTCTCCTCTCCCCAGCCTGATGGCCTCCCATTAGCTTTACAAAAGCAGTTGAGTTTTGGGCAAGGCCTATTATCATTGAAACTATAGCCTAAATGTCTTCCAAAGTTAGCTTGGCCCAATAGCCCAGGAATGATTAGGGGAAAGGCAAGACTCCTGTTGGGTGGGTTAGCTCAGATCTCTTTCACTGTCATTATTTTCTCACTGATATAATTTTTGCAAAGCCAGTTTTTTCAGATTGTTACAGGAAAGGGGTCCAGATCCAGATGCCCAGAGAGGATTCTTGGATCTTACGCCAGAAAGAATTCAGGGCTAGTCTGTAAAGTGAAAGCAAGTTTATTAGGAAAGTAAAGGAACAAAAGAATGTCTACTCCACAGACAGAGTAGCTCCGAGGGCTGCTGGTTGCCCACTTTTATGGTTATTTCTGAATTACTTGCTAAACAATGGGTGGATTATTCATGACTCCCTTTTTAGACCATGTAGGGTAACTTCCTGACATTGCCATGGCATTTGTAAACTGTCACGGCACTGGTGGGAATGTAGCAATGAGTACTACCAGAGGTCACTCTCGTCGCCATCTTGATGTTGGTGGGTTTTAGCTGGCTTCTTTACTGCAGCCTGTTTTCTCAGCAAGGTCTTTATGACCTGTATCTTGTGCCAACTTCCTATCTCATCCTGTGACTTAGAATGCCTTAACCATCTGGGAATGCAGCCCAGTAGGTCTCAGCCTCGTTTTACCTAGCTCCTCCTATTCAAGATGGAATTGCTCTGGTCCACATGCCTCTGACAAGATCAACAGCAGAAATAAAGGCAAGAGGCTTTACAGGAGCTGAAGTGTTCATGGCACAGAAAGTAGAATAATGAGATTAGAAGCTGAACTGTATGGAGGAGGAGAGGATGGGGAATTGAGGCTGGAAAATAATATTAGGTCCAAATTACAGAAACCCCTTAATATTATGCTAAGAAATTTGAATTTTATTTTCTTCTATGTGAGGAGCCATTGAAGGTTTTGATCAAGTAAATGGCATGAAAATAATTGTGTTCAAGAAAGATGCCTTGTGACAACATAAATGATGGGCCTAGAGAGAAGGAAACAAGCAAGAAAGCATTTTAAAGAATTATTATAATAGTACAGGTGACAGACCATGAATGACTGAACTAAGACAGTAAGAGTATGCTGTTCAGAAGGAGAAATTCTAAAAATCTTGGCTTAAGGTAATTGATTTAATAAAAAAAATCTGAATAAAGGAAATAAAGGCAAGGGAATATTTCAAGCAACAGCTGAGTGAAAAGACTTCTTAGATGAAATGCAGGAGGAAAAGCTGATTGGGGAAGGAGGGTCAAAATTTAGTTTTAGTCATGTTGGGTCAAGTTTGAAAAGTGACAGTCGTACTTAGAAATAGCAAATTCTTTTATAATATTTTGGAAATAGCAACAATAAATTATTGGGCCAAAAACTAGATTTCAGTGAGTTCACTCAAGGAATGAAGAGATCAAAAAGGTGGTAGATGTAGGCTTCTTTTGAGATATGTACAGCTAACTGGGTTGGTAATACATTATTAGACCTGCCTGTCAAATATATATTTTTTATATTAAAGAGCATTTTGAGTATGACTGTTAAGACCAAAAAGTATTAGAAGAAGTTATGGAGTTACACAAAAAGAAGGTAACACACAAAATTAGTCTGGACACTGAGTTTAGGCGGACAGTGATAGCAGAACAATAACTGATTAGCTAAAGCTATTGAGTTTGTTTGCATGCTATTAAAGATGGAAAATTATTGTACTTTTAGAGAAAGACAGGAGACCTCTTTTGCATTCATCTGAAACAATTATATGTGGCAGGTGGAAATTATCTTAGGAATTACTTCATCTCATTTTACTTGAGAAAATGAAGGCAAGCAAACATCTCTACACAATTCAATTTAAATTTCTCTTCATATTATAAAAACTACATATAATGCACGCTTAATAATGTAAGTAAATGGAAAAAGTAAACAACATAGAAGCTTCTGAAGGTTTCTTCCATTTTTATCTGTAGATAGGCTATGAATGATAAGGCAGTCAGATACATGCAATATGATAAGAGACTAGGAGAAAATCTAAGATACAATCTCACGCCATGCACTCCAAAGAAACAACAACCTCAAAGAAAACAATGTGATACAAAGAAAATGGCAAATCAAGGTGCTGAGAGACTAATTTGGGCAACCAGAATTTGTTTGATATCATATGGCATTGAAGTTTAATCTAGAAATGTTTCACAAAGGGTGTTAACTTACATAGAGTTGGGATTAATGAATTAGGGAAGATTTAGTGATAGGTTAAAGGGACACTCTGCATAGAAAAGATAACATGTTTATAACCCAGATGGGTGGAAAACAAATGATAAATAGTGAGCAATAAGTTACTAATCTTTGTTCTAGTTTAGAGTGTGGAATGGGATAAGATCAGATGAGAAAAGATTATTGCTATATAGTGTCAATAAACAGAAAGTTACAAAGCAGATTATTGGGTTAAAATTAGATTTGAAAGTTACCCCTAAATTTTCAGCAGAACCATAGTATTCAATATAAAACCCAATTGATGGGGCAACTCTGCTAAGTTAGAAGATGTCAAGGGAAATCATCACAGTTAAAAAGGAAATGGTCTAGAGAAAGAGCCCAAAGCAGAAAAGCAGACCGCTCTCAAAGGATTCCCAGTAAATACTTTGGATTAAAAAAAAAAATATTTAAAACTATTAATGAAAGAGTATTAGATTTAAAAACCAAGGAACATTTTGCTTCTCCCTTCTTCATTACTGTCATGTTCTGACCTTTTCACAACTCACCCTTAGTCACTGAGAAAGTAGTACTTGATTTATTGTCTTTCTTTCCATTCAGATTTCTGGCACCATAATAGGAGAGTCTTTCATCTTCATAGAAAACTCATCCTAATAATTTGGTATATTTATTCCTTGATCTTAGCAGCTTTCACTTTTATTTCGCATTCTACAACTTCCTATTTGCAGTGTCACATTTTGGGTGTTGCCAATGAAAGGATATCCTTAAAGTGCTTTAAAGAAACCTTATCAATCCAAAATTCTGTATCTATTAAAATCACTCTTCAAAAATAAGGTGGAAATAAGGACACTTTCAGAAAAAAAAAACTTGAGAAAAATCTACTCCTGGCAGACCTGCTCTGTAAGTAATAATTAAGGAAGTTCTTCAAGATAAAAGGAAATGATACCTGATGGAACCTCAAATTCACAGGAAGGGATAAAAAGTACTGGAAATGTTTAATTTGGTTCTTGTCACTTTGTGACAAGCAATTGTTTTTTTTAAAAAAATTTTAAAGTAATTTTTCTCAGAGTTAGTGGAGTTGTGAAGAGTTCTTTTATGAATAAATATGTAATTAATACAACTGATACATGCAGGTGTTTCACCCAGTAAGTACAAATTTTTAAAATAAAAACTGAAAAGCAGACGAGCATCTTTTTCCCAGACACACTGGGACAAAGCTGAGCAAATTAATTCAGAAGCCCAAGAACCTGTGTTACAGAGGATCTGACTGCAGCCTTCTTAATTTTACTGTGGATGATACCCAAAGCTTCCAGAATTCCAGCAACCACAGGAAAGAATTCATACATTATGCAGATCTCAAAAACCTGAGACATTTTCTTTTGTGATTTTGGGTAGCAAGATTAACTTGAGTGACTGTCAAGAGTCTATGGGAAAAGCCCAGACCTGGTGCAAGGACAACAGAAACTATCCCTACTTTGAAATAAGTGCAAAAAATGTCAGGAATGTTATAATGGCCTTTGAGGAAGCAACTTGGAGAGTTCTTGATACAGAGGATAGACTAGCCACTTATTCCTGGCAGACTGTTAATTCCACTAAAGCCTAAATCTAGCTCCTCCTGTTGTTGACTGTTAGGGAGTGCCAATCTGTTCTAACTCACACACACAGCATAAATACAAAGATGGATTATATAATATATATTTGTGGAAATGTGCCATCTACTAATGCAATTAAACTAATCAAGATTGCCGCCTCATTAGCGTATAGGAAAAGAAAAATCTTCTCACCCAATTATCTATTTCCTGAATCATAGAAGCTTATTCTTACATATTTTAAAGGGTGTCTAATAACAATATTTCTTCTGTTTAATTATTTAACTAGATAATAATAGTAGAGGTAACTAAAACTTTAATTATAATTAAAACACGAACATCCTAAAAAAAACAAAAAACATAAAACCATGGCACATACACATTTAACACAGAAATGAAGGTTATGTTTGAATTTTGCTAAATGATGTAGTAGGTTATTGCTTGGGTGTAAAGGCTCAGTTTGGTTTTCAGCAAGCCTATCCGGAAAGGTGGTTTTCATGTTGTGATAATTATCTGAGCAACTCATAGCCCACTTGTTAATGATCTCCTTCAATTTAAGTGGGAATTCCTCTGCCTCAGCCCACAAGTCTAATCAGTAGTGGTGTTTCATGATCTTTTTTTTTCTAGGTTGCTTACATTTTTAATTCATCTCATTAACTGTTCATTTAGAAAATTTTTAGCATATAAAGCATACTATAAATACTTTAGATGTGTCCCGCTGGTTAGTAATATGTAGATCACATACCATTCAATTTCATCCAGAGAATCTGGAGAAAAAACACGGTATATAAAGGTATTTTTCCCACCTTCATTCTCTCTTTCATTTACTAACTAAATCCCAGATGTTGGTATTTAGTCTTGTTCTCCCTCCATTGGGAAATTACCTCATATCTTCCTGACTCATGAGCTATATACACAGATACTGTAGGTCATTTCCCACTCATGTGTTATATTTTGGGAGCAGAATACTAAGAGGTTTAAAATAACACAAGTACCACAGTCCAAATATATGAAATTATCTTTGGAAAAGTTATGTGATATTTTGCTTTGAGAAAGTAAAAGCACGTTTACCAGTTAATCAACACTTTTATTAAATATTTACATCTACTATTAAGTATAATACATAGACATTGTATTCAGGAGGAGCAAAGCAAACAAACATGAAATATTAATGTAGTAATACATAGAAATATATGATGAAGTGCCAAGGGAGACAGGTTATAAATGCTATAAAAATTCAGAGATGACCGAGAATCTAAATAGTCAAAGTTTTCATTGAGGCGGAGAGGTTGGCTTAATTAATGTTTGGCCTTAAAAAGTGAATTCAATTTGATCCATGATTAAAGAGGAAGGGCATTGCCAAAGAGCATCATGAGCAATGATAAGGAAGGAAAGTCTATATTGGAGGGGTAGAAAGAGGAATTAAGAACAATTGTGAAGACCATGTCAAAGGCTTAAGTTAGTAAGGCTGGAGAGAAGAATAGATCAATAACTATTAGTCTGTTCTCACACTGCTAATAAAGACATACTCAAGACTGGGTAATTTATAAAGGAAAGAGGCTTAATTGACTCATAATTCCACATGGCTTAGGAGGCCTGACAATCATGGCGGAAGACAAATGAGGAGCAAAGTCACATCTTACGTGGTGACAGGCGAGAGTACAGGGGAGCTCCCCTTTATGAAATCATCAGATTTCATGAGACTTATTCACTATCACAAGAACGACACAGGAAAGACCTGCCCCCATGATTCAATTACCTCCCACTGGGTCCCTTTCATGACACATGGGAATTATGGGAGCTACAATTCAAGATGAGATTTGGGTGGGGACAGAGCAAAACCATATCAATAACTAAGGTCAGATTTTTGAGAAACTAAAAAATTTCATGAAAAGAGCAGGCATGACAGGTTTGGCCATAGTAAGCCCTGAGCATTTCCTAGGGCTAAAGGATCACAAGAAAGAAATTGTGCTGTAGGAAATCTGGTCTGATATTTAAACAGATTACCAATAAAAGAAATTAATGACACAAGGTTGGATCTGGATGCTGTTGTAATAATCTAGATGTGGAATTATAAAACTGTGACCTCACATGATGGGAGTGGGAATAAGTGAGTAAATCTGAGATACTTAAAAGTAAAACTTAATACAATCTGGTAGTAGTTATGATCATGGGAACATGAATGCAAAAACTGCCAGAGGAGTTTATAAAGCCAGGAAAAGAAAAAGATTAATATTGCCACTAATCAAGATATTGACAGAGATAAGAAAGTAATTGCAACATTATCTTTATTTAAACATAAGGAATTTTGAGTGAACAAAGAATATCCACATAGAGGTGTTTTGTGGGAAGTAAAGAATATAAGACTGGAATAGAGATGAGAAGTCAGGGCTGCTGAAGTTGATTTGAGCATCATTTATTCAGAGCTATTAAATGGATTATACTCCGTAGCTCACTGGTGGCTCATGGTTAACTTATGTATCAGCTCAACTGGGCCACAGGATGCCTAGACATTCAGTTACACATTCTGGGTGTATCTGTGATAGTGTTTCTTAATTAGATTAATATTTAGATCAGTAGACTGATTAAAGTAGATTGTCCTCCCTACTATAGATGGGCCTCATCCATCCAGCTGAAGACCTAAATAGAATAAAATGACTAAGAGGGTCTTCCTCCTGCCTGACTGCTTGAGCTGGGACTTTGGTCTTTATTCTGCCTTCGGACTCAAACTGAAACATCTACCCTTCCTTGGTCTTGAGCCTACCAGCTTGCAAACTGGAACTACACAACAAGCTCTCCTGGGTCTCCAGCTTGCCAGTTACAGATCTTGGGACTTTTCAGCTTCTATAATTGCATGAGCCAATTACTGAAAACAAATCAATCAATCAATCTATCTATCTATCTCTCTATCTATATCTATCTTGTATTGATTCTGTTTCTCTGTAGAATCCCGATTTATACACATGGTTCCTTGGGTGATGTACTTTATTTTTTCTATCAGACTGCAAACACATAGATAACATAAATAATGAATTCTTAATCTTGTCTGTGACATTGCCTAGCAGCAATAGAAAATGAACATTCAGTTATGGAAAATGAGTCAAAAAAATGTAGACCTGAAGTTGAATAAGTCCTAAGGCATAGATATAAATGGAAATAAAGAGAATATGAAAAAAAGTGGATGCTGTGAAAGTCATTACATTATAGAAAGTTCTATGTATTTACTACTGAAAAATTGAAGAAAATAGGAAATTAGTAAAAAGACTAGGCCAGAGAAGAATGGAGTTGCGTGATGTTTGGGGGTTGATTGTTAGTTTCTCTGCACTTATTTTTTCTTTATTATGGAGGGGAGATAGTGAAATTTTTGAGAAAAAGAATGAAGAGGAGAGAAAATGTGAGAAGAAAAATTCCAATATTTATATAGACATTAAGTCAGTAACATTCTCTAATTTACTTAATATCCAGGCTCGGCTCTAAGATCTTCTTTTAAAATGAGAGAAGTTTCTTCCCATCATAGTAAACAGAATTGCCCTAATGCTATCCGGTGTTAGCAATATGACAAATCATGATTCTTATTTTGTAATATCACATCATTATCTTAATGATACTGGTCCATTTTTTCTACTGACAACATAGATGCAAGAAACAAAAATTACTTGAAAGCTTCTAAAATTCTGGAAATGGTAATGGAAAGGTTGAAAACAATAGTAATAATTATCTATCTAAAACCCATGGATTTAGATATAGATAAAACAAATGTTCACTATTCTTAATTCTTTAAACCAAATATAAATAATTTTAACTTTGGAAACAAATACGTTTATGTCAATGAAATTTAATATTTCAGATGACCCAAAGTTAGTAATAATAATACACAAAAAATAAGATTGATTATTTTCAATTGCATTTGATATTTTCATTATGTCAACTTGGCATTAGACTAAGATTGAACTATCATATACTGAACATCTAATATGTGCTTAGACCATCCTGAAAATCACCCTTTCAGTAATTTGTTATTCTAAATTTACACTCTAGTGTACTAAGGTTTCAAAAGGTAAATTAACTTGTCAAATATTAAATAAGCTAATAAATTTGAAGCTGGGATTCCAGCCACGTTCTTTTGACTCCAAGTCCAGTCGTTTTTCAGATTATATTTTGCTGAATTGGGTACAACTGAAAACTTTTTAGATGGCTAGGTCTTCTTTGAGACCAAAATGAGAGATTGTTTGATATGTTTTGGATAACTATGAGAACCTTGCCTGCTAAATAATTCCAAACCATCTATCGAGCTCTGCACATTGCTAATCCTAAATCTCCACTATTGGGAAGCTATATTTTCCAATTGGGTTTTTTGCTTGTGGTCACAGACATAGGCAATAGCCAAGCAATAGTATATTGGCTGCCCCTGGAAAAACTAAAGGTTGAAGGACAATTATTCATTTGATAAGTAATTGTTGCTCGCTTTCAAAAAATATAAATAAAGTACTGGGAACATTTACAATTATTCTAGACCTAAAATTTCTCACAGGATTATTTGGCTTAGGGATAACAAACAAAATATTAAGGGAAAACACTTAGAATTTGCAGGGAAAAATGCACTAACTTTATAATACAGTCTATATAAAACTTATAAATTTTCTCCTCAGGTCTTTCCAAGATTTGGTCATTCTGTTTGACAGAAGCGAAAAGAGTAGTAAGATGAGTATCTACAAGACAAACACAATGGCCAGGACACCAAATGTACCTCAAAAAAGTTCACTAGCAAGAGATTAACATAATCAAGCTTACTGCAGCCACTTAGATATGTCAAATTAATTCGTGAGTTGTTTTTATGTAGATTCTATTAAGAAAATAACACTGACTTTTAAACAAATGCAATCAGTGCCTATAGGAATAAATGACTTAGGAAAATAAATGATTGACCAATAAATGTTTTCATTCTTTCAGCCAGGCACGATGGCTCATGCCTGTAATCCCAGAACTTTGGGAGACCAAGGCAGGTGGATCACCTGAGTTCGGGAGTTCGAGACAAGCCTGACCAACGTGGTAAAACCCTATCTTTACTAAAAATACAAAATTAGCCAGGCATGGGGGCATATGCCTCTAATCCCAGCTACGCGGGAGGCTGAGGCAGGAGAATCGCTTGAACCCAGGAGGCAGAGGTTGCGGTGAACTGAGATGGCGCCATTGCACTCCAGCTTGGGCAACAGGAGTGAAACTCCATCTCAAACAACAACAACAACAACAACAACAACAACAACAACAAAAACACTTTCACACCTGAATGACTAAATAATTGGAAATAATAAGGGTTGAGGGGGAGAATAAAGCTACTGAAATATGGAAAGAAGACTAACACTACTTTTAAACTGATGTTCTACTAATGTAGACCCGTACATCATATCACCATTACATTGTTTAAGCATTAAAGTTTGCACTGTAAGTGGCTCTTTAAACCCTTCCCTCCATTTCTTTTCCCTCTCTTTTTTTCTTCAATTGAGGTGATTTTTTTTTAAACTGACTCCCGACACTGCATTCTGAAAGTGCTTGGAAGAAGAGCGTAATTCTTCCTATTCCAAAGTCAGTTAAACAACATGAGGAATTTGTATCCATCTAAGAAATATTTTCCTCAATATTTCCTCAGAATTTAAGATGAATATCATTTTTTCCAATAGGAAGAAACTTACATTTCATTAATTTAATGATAAAACAGAGATATAATACAGTATATTTAATTCTGAAATATTTGCATAATAGAAGATGTAGTATAACTAATCCAAATCATGACAAAAACAAAAATAATTTACATTCAGCTTGACATTTGTTTTTGTATTTTTTAATGTAAAAGGCTTATTTTCTTATTTCTTGTTTATGCAAGTAATTAAAATTAATGTTTTCCTCCTGAGTTGGATCAGTCCAAATAAAGAATTCAGATTTTCCCCCACACACACACACAGACACACACACACAGAAAGTCCATCCAGCAAGTAACTTCTTGTATATAAGTTGAATGTGAAAAATTATTGGAATGGTGGTTGCAGAAGCTCTCAAAGAGCAAGTCCTGACGTTAGGAAAAACATTCTGAGAAAACCAAAGAGAAGCTATAACATGGAAAGTATAGGTAACAAGAATTCAGAATTTCAGGAGACCACATGAAATCTCAAGAAGCAAGAAAAATAGGGAACTCATGAGAAAAGCTATGAATTGCTTAATATTTTTGAAACCTAGCTTTCTCAACTTCTTTTGAGCATTACTGAAAATGCACAAAAGATTAATGAAGAGACATATATGATTCATTCTTTTAACTCATTTACTTATCACCAGTGGATTCGCAATATACATGGGAAAATACAGATCTCAAGAGTTAGAACTAGAATTTATCAACCCACAGATATCTGATGACATATGGGAAAGCTCTCTTGGGTTTTGGATTGGTCTCTGTGTGAGCTTTTCAATGCTGTTCAGAACCAGGAAATTACACTAGGTTTCTTTTTGTTACTAAAATTTGGCTTTTAGTCAGAGTTAAGGCCGATGTTAGGTGTAAATCATAAGAGTATCTGGTCCAACTAAAATATTATTTTTGAACTGGGTTTTAGACTAGACCCTCATATATATCAGCTGTTCCCAGGCAGAGTAGCAAAAAAAATCTGTTCAAAAAAACACTGTTTACTTAATCCTATCTCCTAATATTGTGCTTAAAAATGATTATGACAATACTGGGAAAAAGATTGGGCTTTCTGTTTTGCATTCATAGAATTGAACTTTAATTTAAATAATAAAGCAAAGGAATATAGGATCAAAAACAGTTTTTTCATTGTTTAGTTTCTACAAGTTATGACCTTTTAGTTTTAGGTAAGGGGAAATCTCTGTTAACACTTTCTCTTATCTAAAAGCTTCCTAGGACTCTTTCCCCTTTTCTCTCCTTTTCCTTACTGCCAGCCCCTACCTTGTTTCCTTTACTTTTGCCCAGCCGTGCTCCCTCAGTAGGATCTTTTCAGTTCTCCCTATGGGCCCAGATGCATTCCAGACTAGGACATTGAGTACATCAGAAGCCCCATATTCTGTATCTAATGAGTATTCAAGTTAGATCTTGTGGCCCATGTCAACTCTATTCTTCAGCCTCAGGATTCTGGATGATTTCTCTCCAATCCACTTATGACCTAGGGCACAGTTCCTACCTCACGCTCCTGCTTGACAAGCTCATTCTCCTTAAGGGATTGTCAGGTGTTTGAACCAGAGCGACTCCATCTTGAATAGGGGCTGGGTAAAATAAGGCTGAGACCTACTGGGCTGCATTACAAGGAGGTTAGGCACTCCTAGTCACAGGATGAGATAGGAGGTTGGCACAAGATGCAGGTCACAAAGACCTTGATGATAAAACAGATTGTGGTAAAGAAGCTGGCCAAAACCAAGACAGTGACAAAAGTGACCTCTGGTCGCCCTCACTGGTCATTATACAGTAATTATTATGCATTTAGTATGCTAAAAGACACACCCACCAGGACCATGATAGTTTACAAATGCCAGGGAAATGTCCAGAAGTTACTCTGTATGGTCTAAAAAGGGGAGGAGCCCTCATTTCTGGGAATTGCCCAGCCCTTTCCAAGAAAACTCTTGAATAATTCATGCTTTGTTTAGCATATAATCAAGAAATAACTATAAGCATACTCAGTTGAGCAGCCCATGCCACTGTTCTGCCTAGGGGGTAGCCACTCTTTTATTCCTTTACTTTTTTCTTAATAAATTTGCGTTCACTTTACTCTATGGACTCACCCCAAATTCTTTCTTGTGCGAGGTCCAAGAACCATCTCTTGGGGTCTGGATTGAGACCGCTTTAAGGTAACAGAGTGAATACTTGCCTTGAGCCCAGACTGTTTCTTGTTCTGCCAGCCTCCTTCCCCAGCAGGCTGGATTCTGTATCCTGTTTCTTTTCCTGTGAATCACAGGTATTACCCTGAGTATGGCATGCTGCCTCCATGAGTCTGCCTTGTAAAAATATATCTCCCACCACTGCTGATTGTTTCCTATATTCATGGAAGCTTGAACTAGGTCTGATATTTCATACTTAGTGTGTTTTGTGGAATTGCTTATTCTGCCGCTCTTATTAGGGCCAGCCTCTTAGGTAGGTTTTCCCACTTCCCATGGGCCTGGCTTCTTCATTACTTCCTGCTCACTCCTCTCTACATAATCTACACACCTAGACCCTTGGTGACACTCTATCAATTTTCATAACTATATTTAGGAAATATGTAGAGCCCTCTGCTTTCCATTGCTGCTCTGCCCCTCTTGCCTCAAACTCAAACAGCACAGCATATCTTGTGTCCAAAGCCCATCAAAGGTAATGCAGAAAAATAATTCTCTCCTGCTCATTTATTGTGCTCAGTTTCCCCATCACCCTCTCCAACAATGCACAATATAACCACCTCCCACCAAAAATCACAGCTTGATGAACAGAGTCTAATAAGTGAAAAGGTGTCAAAGAAGGCCGGAGTGGCTGCAGCTGAAGAGAAACGTGGAGTTAGCACTGAGCTTAGGGATGCATACTGAAGCCAAACAGCCTAATCTTTGTAGTTCATAGAAATGGAGTGATGTATAATTTGTTATCCAAATGGACCCTATTCCAGAGTAAAAAGGAACACTATCAATAATTTCACCAAGACAGTGATGTAAAATGACACTATATAGGACTAATTGGAAAGTATGGTCAACTTATGAATATAGGAATTTTGTTTCTGGTCTAAGAGCAATAAGGAATCCATTAGTGAGTTTTAGACTTCTGCATGATTTGATCTGCGTTTCACGAATGCGTCTGTGGAGGAATGATCAGTTCACAACATGGTCACAACCCCTCTCTCCAAACTGTCTCCTTTCCACGGAGGGTCTCTTGGTAATTACCACTGCCACCAACATGCTTGCTCCATGGCTATGCTTCCACCTGGTAATATTCTAAGACCACAAGACAATATGATTTCACACTTTATAGGAAAACTGAGTTAAACAGGAAGCATTTAAAGATGGTGTGGCTAACAATGTTAGGTTATAGGCCCCAACAATGCAGACAGCCCTTTTTATATCTGTAGGTTCCATATCCGTGGATTCAACCAACTTCACATCAAAAACATTTTTTAAACCCCAATAAAAATAGCAATACCACAATAGGAAATAATACAAATAAAATACAGAATGACAACTATTTACATAGCATTTCCATTGTACTAGATATAAATAATCGAGATGATTTAAAGCATATGGGAGGATTGTATAGGTTATATGCAAATACTATGTCATTTTATATCAGGAACTTGAGCTTCTGCAGATTTTGGTATCCACAGGAAGCTCCTGGAGCCAATGACCTATGACTATTGAAGGACAGGGATGAAAGTATTCAATTTCAAGTGACAGCTTATGCATTGTAAAGAAATAATTATTATGTTACTTTTTCATAGTTTTAAATACAGACATCTTGAAAAAAGTGAAAATACAGATAATTACAAAAAAAGAAATTAGATGTCACTATGATTATAGCAATCAAAAGTGTAATGATGAATATTTTAGGTGCACTTTCTTCAGCTACTCTCTTTCTCTCTTTTCTCTTTCTCTGTCTCTCCGATAATACTAAGTATAATTTTATTTCTAGTTTTTTCACACTTTGTTACATTATTTTTATTTTCCTATGTCATTAATACATCTTGGTAAATACTATTTTACTTTCAGCATAATATGCCATCATATGGAGATATTATATCTTAATAATTTCTCTATTGTTGAAAATGTTGATAAAAACTTTGGCAAAAGTATGTATCTATACTTCAAAACATTTCTTTATAATGGTTTCTTAGAAGTGGAATTACTCTTAGAGTGGAATTACTCTTAAATAGATAAAACCATAATTAAACTTCTTGATAGATATTGGCAAACTGCTTTCCAGAAAGTTTCACGTGATTTACAATCATATCAGCATTGTGGGAGAAAACCCAAGTCACTCTCTCAAGTTCCCAGTGTTGTCACTTGCTAATCTCTGCAAGTGGCCTGTACCATTACTGCTTTGTAGAGTTTATTGTGATTTTCTTTGTAATCTTTTTGTAAATGTCCCATGGACAACAGAAGCATTTTTTTTTAATTTTGCAGTTTGCTGAGAAAAGTGTTATACCCATTAATTAATCAACTTTACCAAATAAAAGTTTCATCTTCTATGTTATCATGCATCTACTTTTTCTGCAATATACTGAAGAAGGATCTATTTTGGGTTTCTTGATCAGTAGTAGATTAAAAATACATTCTAAAATCCTTCATTAGAATTAGTTTCTCCTCATATTTCAGATGACTTTTGATTTGTCCATGTTTATGCTCTTCTAGGTACATGAATGTTGAGTCTCATGATTGTTGAGTCTTCCTTAGAAGTTTTACCCTTTAGAAATAAAAAGCATTTTATGTCTATTTTCACTAACATTAGTTTTTCCTTATTATTTTGTATATCCTTGCTCATTTATTCTTTTTTAACTTAAAGTTTTAATTTTGTTTATTTCAAGCTTATTTAACTAGTTCAAGTAGCAAGCATAACATTGAAATTAACGTAATACAATCTAACACTTTTCCTCTTTTTTTTTTTTTTTTTTTTTTGAGACAGAGTCTCGCTCTGTCACCCTGGCTGGAGTGCAGTGGTATGGTCTTGGCTAACTGCCAGCTCTGCCTCCTGGGTTCACGCCATTCTCCTGCCTCAGCCTCCCAAGTAGCTGGGACTACAGGTGTCCACCACCACGCCTGGCCAATTTTTTGTATTTTTAGTAGAGACAGGGTTTCACTGTGTTAGTGTTAGCCAGGATGGTCTTGATCTCCTGACATCGTGACCCACCCACCTCAGCCTCCCAAAGTGCTGGGATTAACACTTTTACTTTTAAAACTTTGATCCTTTCATCTATTATATTTTTATATTCATTCTTGCATCTGTTATTTTGTATTATGGTCTTCTTTTCAATGTTTTCTTTTTCTTTTGTCATTTTTTTGAGTTCAGCGTATGTGTGTGTGCTATTAGACATCCAATTCTAGCAGCATAATTTTCTGAAAGACATTCTTAAAAATCTGTGTTTAACTAAATGCCAAGGCCAATAACATATAAATAATTTTAAATTAAAGGTGTAGTTTCAATATTCCATTTTACCCCTCTCCTTTACCAGATTTCCCAAATTCAATTAAAGTTGTAAATATGACCAAATTTCTTCTTTAAAAATATTTAACTTCTTTTTTTAAAATGGGTCTTTTCGTTACTTACCTCTATGTGCTTATTTCAATGCTCAAATGAGTCTAATCATGATTATCTCATTCCTGAGTTCCTTACTTTGATTTGTCTTTCATCTGCTACCACCAGAAACATACCAACATCTCTAGGCCTTAGGGGTTAGGTTTGGGAAATCGAAGAGGTATACCTCTCATCCTATCTAAAATCCACATCTCTCCCATCATCTCCTGCCCCAGGTTGACACTGGGAATATGCACACATTTTAGAAGACATCTCAATTGTCACCTTGCCCCTTCCATGGGTGTGACAGAGCCTCAAGGCAGGTTTCAGTGTCATTTTCTCTCCCTTAGAGCTGAAAACATGGTGTAATTTGCATTTAGGATCTAAGTTGGTGCACCTTATTATTAGAGAAATATTCTACTATTCCTGAGCTCGTTGTTTTTGTTTCATCATTTCTATTCTTTCATCCGTGTGTTGGGTCTTTGAATTCTCTATACTTATCACTTTAACACTATTATCCTATTTTATTTGTGTGCTTCTTTCCGGAAAAAGAAATTTACCAGTATTATTTTCCATGACATCTAGCCTGACTCATTGTTGTTTTATATCCTTTGGCAACTGTGTTTTTCATATTTCTTGTCCAGGCTCCTAACCTTTCCTTTTATCTAACTCTATTGATATTCTTGTTGAAAGTCCTATTATTTTGTTACTGTTTTGTTTGTTTTCTAAGACTATTTCTAACAGGTGATCCACTTTCCATGTTCTAAAATAAGAAGCCAAATCCTTCAGACACTCCATTAGCATCGTAGTGTCAAAGCTCTGTGCTACAGTTCTCACCCGTACTCTCCCTCCTTCCCCAGTGCTGTATCGCCAAGGAGGAGCTCATCATGGATTATTTATTCTTTGGGACTGAACCTGGAAGTACCTTCTTGAACATTTTTGGCTAGAATCTTCAGCAGTCCTTAACATGACTCAGCATATTTCCTGTGAAACTTTACAGGCTGAAGATTCACAAATGAGCTTCCTTTTCCAAGTATGACTAAATAAAACATAATCATCCATATATGCTTCTCATACATTAGGATTGCTTCAAACTGGCCTCTTGTAGTGATCAGTCTCTGCTCAGTGTTGGCACAATTGCCAATCGCCCACTGTACGCCATTTGTACATTGCTGAGCGGCACGAGGTCTGCGAGTCAATGCTGGGCAGATGGAGAATGTGGAGTGAGTCTCCTGCCTGACTCTCAGGACACTCTTATCTCTAACATTTAGCCCTCTAACCTAGAGTGAATCCCCAGCGCATTGCTCAATTCAACTCCCATTCTTTTGCAGATGTGCCAGGGTCATGTATCAGTCTTCCAGGCAGATGGTTTCCATTAATCTAATACTATTTGTAATGGGTAATTGTATGGGTCAACATGGCAAGGCTCTGGTGCTTGAACAAACACCAGTCTAGATGCTGCTGTGGTTGTACTTTTTTAGATATGATTAATACCTACAGTCAGTTGACTTTAAGTAAAGCAAATTACCTTCCATAAAGTAGGAGGATCTCATTGAATCAGTTGCAGACATAATGAGCAAAGACTGAGGTTCCCCAAAGATGAAGGCATTCTGCCTCACAACTGCAACATAGAAATTGTGTCTGAGTTTCGAGCCTGCTGGCATGCCCTGAATATTTTGGACTCAAGAGTGAAACATCCACTTTTAGCTGAATTTCCAAACTGCCAGAATGCCCTACAAATTTTGGACTTGACAGCCTGTACAATTGCATGAGCCAATTCTTTAAAATAAATCAATCTTTTTTCTCTCTCGTTCTCTGATGGTTAATTTTATGTGTCAACTTGAATGGGCTAAGGAATTACTAGATAGCTGGCAAAATATTATTTTTGAGTGTGTCTGTGACTGTGTTTCTGGAAAAGATTAGCGTTTAAATCAGTAAATTGAGTAAAGAAGATCTTCCCTTCCCAAATGTGAGTGGGCAATATGCAGAATAGAACAAAAAGGCAGAGGAAGGGTGAATTCTATCTCTTCCTGAGCTGAGACATCCATCTTCTGCTTTTGGACATCGAAACTCCTGATTCTTGGCCCTTCAGACTCTGACTTATACAGATTGAATTTCCCTCATCTGAAATTTCAAATCCAATTGCTCCAAAATGTGAAATATTTTGAATGCTAACGTGACCCTCAAAGGAAATGCTTAGTGGAGCATTTCATTTTGGGATTTTCAGATTTGGGATGATGAATTGGTAAGTATAATGCAAATATCCCAAATTCTGAAAAAAATTGAAATCTAAAATATTTCCAGTCCCAAGCATTTTGGATAAAGGTGAGATACTCAGTCTGTACCACAGCATCCCACCCCTTACTTGGTTCTCAGGCCTTCAGACTCAGTCTATATTACAGCACTGGCATTTCTGTTTCTCTCATTTGCAGATGGCAGATAGTGGGACTTTTTGGCCTCTGCAATTGATCATGCAAATCAATTCCCATAATCTCATTCTCTCTCTCTCTCTGTCTATATATATATATATATATATATATATATATATATATATATACACACACACACACACACACATAATATATATACCATGTATACACACACACCTACACATACACATATATGTATATGTGTGTATATACACACACACAAAAACATACACATACACATATACATGCACATATGCATGTGTATACATGTACTCATGTACAGATGTACATACATATATGTATATATACATATATGTGTATATATGTATATATACATATATGTGTATATATGTATAAATATCCTATTGGTTCTGTTCATCTGGAGACCCCTAAAGAACACAAAATGGTTGAAGAATAATGGGAATATTCTAGTACAACAGCAATATTTTCAATTTCTTACAGGTAGCAGCATGCTGCCCTACTTTCTAGTGCTGGCGCTGATTTAGATTTCCCTTTAATTCTATATCATATTGCATATCTCAGTAGGAATATGGGAGAGAAGAAATAATGACTGCACCATGCTGGTTTATTACGTCAAAATATCAATTCAGCCATATTTTTCTTTAGTTTTTTAAAATACTCCCCATTGGACAATTCAGCCACTCTCTTATAATACAGTTATTATCTATTTGAAAAAGATTCTCAAATGTATATCTCAAGTGTCAAAAAAATTTCCAACTACTTAACTAAAGTTCCATCAGAACTTGAAACTTTTTCCTCAAATAATACTCAGTTTCTGCTCTCTGCAGAATACTAGCTTTGACCAAATGGGACATGTAAAATGATTATGAACTGAACACTGTTCTTAGAAAGTATATGTTTGAGATGATGGATATGCTAACTACCATAATCTGGTAACTTTGCACTGTATGAATAAAAAAATCACTATGTACCCCATAAATATGCACAAGTATTATTTGTTGATTAAAATATAAACAAAAATTTAAATAAATAAAAGCAATATTGATTTTAAAGAAAGAAAAGAGCTATTGGAAGTTTATTCTTCAGTATAGGAAAAATAAAAAGCTATGGTAGGATTTTTTTTCCTCTAAGTATATTTCAAAATACACTGAGACTGAAGGACAGGCTACCTATCTTAACACATCATAGGAGATTTTATAGACAACACAATGGGGACCAGACAAGGCTCTGGGTCCATCATGACTCAAAGAGACAATTTCTCACTGAGATTTCACACACTTCAATGGCCTGTCAGTTCTTACCTCTTCAAACCTCTCTCAATACCACAACATTATACAACTACAAGAGAGTCAGAAAAGTTGTCAGAGCTTATCTTGCTCATGTTTTCTGAATTTTTAAATCAGTTGGAACAGATTTCTATTAGAAGACAGGGGCTAGGCACAGTGACTCATGCCTGTAATCCCAGCATTTTGGGAGGCCGAAGGGGGCGGATCATGAGGTCAGGAGATCGAGGCCATCCTGGCCAACATGATGAAACCCAGTCTCTACTAAAAATACAAAAATTAGCTGGACATGGTGGCATACACTTGTAATCCCAGCTACTTGGGAGGCTAAGGCAGCAGAATCACTTGGAACCGGTAGGTGGAGGTTGCAGTGAGCTGAGATTGCGCCACTGCACTCCAGTCTGGCGACAGAGTGAGACTCCGTCTCAAAAAAAAAGACATGGAAATACTAGATGTGTTATACAAAATGTAATTGAATCAAGGAAAGGAAAATAGCATAATTGGAAAATGTTTGTTTAAGGAAGTATCTGGCCATTCATAAATGTTATGCCATAATATTAGATCTGAGGCAGATAATTAGGGAAAGAGCATTTTGCTTGTGCTGTAGGATTATGAAATATTCTATGTTGTAGCAGTTGAAGAATCATTATTGAAGATATGGAAAGTAGCTGTGTATCAACAAGACATGTCTAATTCAAAGATATGCATTCTTCTCAGATGGTAGATCTATAATATTACTTAAAAACCGAATTACTAGTCCTTCCTGGGATCTCAATTAAAATGACATATCATCTTGAAGCCATTTTTGACATCTCTTTATCCTGTATAGTGAAATAGTTGACATTATTAAGTAGACTTCATATTTTCGAATGTAATTATTGACTTGCATATCCAGTGTAATACACTGAGCATTCCCTTAGAATAATGACCATGTCTTATTTGCTTTTCCATATACACAACTTAACATAGTGATTTGAATATGATAAATGCTCAATAAAATTTATAAAATAAAAAAATCATAAAGTTTACTGGAGGAAAAGACAAATAGTTGAATGAATAAACATAACATGAAATTGTAAATATTACATACCACAAAGTAAAATGTATAGATATAGCAAAGAAATTTTAGAGAAAGGAAAGAAGAGAATACATGAATTTCTTTATAAAGCTAGTATCTGAGCTGAACCTTGCAGAATGGGCTGGTTTTTAAATATATGAAAATGAAAGTAAAGAATAATATGGAAAAAAGGCAATAGTTTAAGTTAAAATAGATTATGGATAATATACAAGTATCAGTGAGTAACATACTTGGTAGGAGTGTAAGTTGTTTAGAGAAAAATAATGGGGAATGTATTTGGAAATGTAAATGGAAGCTAGATTATGCAGTGCAAAGGCAATAAAGTTTTCTAAACAGGAAGAAAAAGAGAGGACGCTACAGAACCAATATGCATTGAGTGTATACTATGTACTTGGCACTTCTGTGTTATTTCATTTAATTCTGCTTCTCTGATGGCCATTCATTCACCAAATATGTATTTTAACCTCTTTCTCTATGAAAAGCAATATTCAAGGCAGTAGGGATAAGATAAATCAACAGCATACAGTAGTCTCATTTTATATCCAGAGACATCAGTCTCACTGACTTTAAGCAGCAGACCTAAGGTAGTAGCCTGCTGGTAAGAGTCAATGCAGAGATAGAAGCTGTATCCATCTGACAATAAAACTAAATGATCATTTGTTTATTGTTTTCACTATAACATGCTACTTTAAATCATGCTCAGATTTGAACTTCAGGAAAGTTCATCTCACAGTACAAGATTAATTTTCCATTCCTAGACCCCCATCTTATCTCAGGCTTTTATTATTATTTTCTCTACCTACTCACATCTTACTTGTCTCTTGAGTGCCCAGCGCATCACTCCCTTCTGAACAGTTCCTGATCCTCCCCCACACCCCATTTCCAACTCAGCAGCTATCTCTGAACTGTAATAACACAGACTGGCCACACTATTGACAAGGCTCAATAGTTCATAACTAGTTGCATGCTTATGAGCACAAACGTTCAACTCTCCGACATGATGGTAAGTCCCTGGAATCTGAGGCTTATAAACCATTGAACATGCCTGGAGTTACAGAAAAGTGAAATGGGCCCTCCCTTGACTGGAGAGAGGCCTTATCTGATGGAAGAGTCGCATGTATGCACAGATAGTGACAATATGATGTGATAATTCTATATAATTCTCCTCAGAAAGGAGTGAGTGTACCTTCAAAAGTGCTTCACACATTAGCATGCAATTAGTAACTATTTTTTGAACAAAGAAGTTAAAACATTCATGTGCTTACTCATAATGTGCTTACAATATAATTTCTGATAAGTTCCTCTGGAGGTATTCATTTGAAAAATACAAAATGTGACAAGAAACATTACCTTTGATTTTCCCTGTTGGAAAGCAGAAACATTCTTCCTACTGTACTCGACTGTGCTTATACCTTCCTTCTTCAGAGGTCTGGGTTTAAGATTCCCATGACGTTGGCTTTCATTCTGTTTGCTTTTTCTATGCCATTAGAAACAGCATTTTCCTGGTATTTCTATTGAAAATACTCTTGACTCATAGTATTTGGCTCTCTGGCCACAGGTTGCAAGCATGGGAAGGGGGTGCAGGAGGGGGAGAAAAGGGACTGTTCTACAAGCTGGCAACAGAATCCTATAAGAGAATGCATTGAAACAAACCACACGCTGGATTTTCCCAAGCCCCCAAGTGTCTGAATTTCATCTCAACCGAGAATAGGGAAATAAAGACAAGCAGTAGGACTGCTTGCTTTCAGAAAACAGAGTCCCTCTGTGGTTCCAGTGTAAAGAATTTATTCTTCATGTTTTAGAAAGCATTATTGTAAATAAACACATTCACGGACTCTCCTTGCATGCAATTCATGACTGTAGCCATTTATTTTCAAGTGGGCCCCTTGAGTTTCATTGACTGGTTTCCAAGATACGGGTGCCTTCAAAAAATTGGAAGAGAAAGGGAAGAAAGATGGAGCAAAAAAGATCTTTTGTCATCAAACTCTGTTTTGTTATTACTAAGCAATGCAGAGCAAAGCAGAAGAACGTACTTACTTATCTTTTCTCTCACTATTCAAAAGGTTCTGCTGAGACTGGAGAAGTATGCACAACCTCCTCAACCTCTTTTCTCAGCTTTTGGAACTTGTTCTCTCTCCTGGGGTGTATTTCCCCTTGACCTTGCCACGTCCTAGGATTTGACAGCTACTCTAGGCCAATAATCTCAAATAGTTTTAAACATTATTTGGTGACAAGTGGTTCCAATTTTGAAACCTGAAGAAATCAAAGCCAAAGACACAAAAAGATCATATGAACAGTTAGCATTAGAGCTACATGTTCACCTGCCCAAAAAGCTGTAGATAATAAATATATACATAAACATATAAATATTTACATATATTCATATATCTCTATATATGTAAATGTGTGCATATATATTCATATGGATATATATTAAAACAGCTGTGTCAAGGCAGTATCATTTGTACAATGAAATATATCTCGTATTGAGTCTCAGCTCTGTTACCGGTTGTTGACCTTGGGCAAACTAACCTTCTGAGCCTCATGTTCCTTATCTGTAAAGTCAGAATAATAATGTTCACCTAACTGTTGTTGATAGAATAACATTTAATAATATGCATAAATATTTCACCTAGCAGATAACTTGGTTTATAGCAGGAGCTCAAAATTATTATTGTTATTGCTTTGTAAAATGTCCAAGATTCACCCTAGAAGATAACTGGAGAAGTTAAACAGCCCAAAACATACAAAATCTTCCCTGGTAGGTTTCCATTTAATTTTTGTTTGTTTCTTTCCCTTCTCCTGCCATGACTTAAGTGAGCTCACCACCAGTATGATTCCAAAGCAAAAGATGTTTGGTCAGCTGGATACCAGGAGAATAAGCGTTATTTCACTGCTTAAATGATCCCTTTGTAAAATATTGTTTCTCATGGCTCCCTATATCATGGTCTTTGATTTTAAAAACTACTCACACAATGGGAAAAAAAAGTCCATTTAGTCAACCCAGTTAATGAGCAAGTCGATTCCATTTTTTAAACTGTCAATTCTGTTGCTTTATAGAATTGGCTTTTTCTCTTTCCCACTGGACCAATCGATTAAGTTACAATAATACAGTCTGTGTGGCTCAATTACATTGAATTTTTCTGCCATTGGCTGTCAAAACAAAAACAGTATTCTTTCTTTCTTTAGCAAGTAAAAAGAACTATTTTCTTCACTAGTTTGGTTTCCTAGTAACACAGAATCATGACTTAAATGTCCACAATAGTGATTTGATTTTAAGCCATAATTCCATAATTATTATGGTAACATCACCCCAGTGTGTGTCTCAGGTAAAGGTTATGAACTAATCCCCACCTTCCAGTAGCAATACAAATGGCATTTAGGGATTATCCTTTCTGCCAGGAACCTGGTCTGATCTATTTCAGCTATAGAGTACACTGCATCATTCAGGAAGTGTGAAAGCTCTTGCCAGTTTATTTTAGTAATAAGTGGTTAAATGTTTTAGTAATAATAAGTGGTTAAATGTTTTATGCAACTTTTCAAATTGGAGAGGAAGACATTAGTACAAGGTTTTTCTAGCCTTGTGGAACAGTTTGATAAGAATTGGCCTATTAACAAAGCAAAATATTTGCCACGACAACTGATATCTCCGTACTTGACTGGTATTACAGGTCTCTTTATACATTTTTCTAATACTTCATATTCCTTCTATGCTTTGGAGACCTAAAAGTCTCATTACTTTCGAGCCAATTGCTTTTGTTCTTTTTGTAATCTCTCCATTTTAAATTCAACGTATGAGTGCAAAGTTAGTACCTAGAAATTACATATACCTTTCTGGTTTATTCTAGTGGCCTGTGGCCAATCAACACAAAGATTAAGTCTTGAAATGTAACATTTTTTTTCCTTGTCAGTGTAATTGGACATGCTCTGATGGTAGCACTAAAGTTTCTACCTTCCTGACTTTTTCTTGGAAGAATAAATTTGCTGAATGTATTAGACATAATTAAGCAAGAAGCCAGCATTGTTACTCTTGTTATTTCAGTGAGAAAATGTTGCCCCTGAGGAGAAATACTTCCAGGAATGGCCAAAAATAATAAAAAGAATTAAAATGCTCCTGGTTTTTAGTTCTGTCAGTTGGGCAACCAGTAACTCTTTTGTCCTTCTTCTGTAGTATATGAATCATTTCCTTTCTGTAACAATTTAATATGTCATCATAGATGGCACAAAATAGGCTAAACTTTCAGACCTATACATTCTTAATGCTCAATATATAATAAACTTTGTCCCTGATAGTATTAAGGGATGGCAATCTCTTTATTAAAATCTGATATCTCCCAATCATAACAAATATCCAGAGAGATGCATGTCATAATCAGGATTGCATTAGTGGTGAGGATAAGGGAGAGGATATTTTAACAACTGTAGCATCCTGCTTAGGATGATGATATTTCTATGCCCTGTGTCACTCATTTACCATGTCATTCCCTACAAGCAACAAAAAAAAAAAAAAGAGAGAGAGAGAGATGTCCCAAGAACATTAAGAGTTTCCTCATCTTCATGGAAGTCTGATTAGTTTCCCAAGTCAACATGGGATCTTGGAAGACATCTTGAAGACTGCCTGCCACACCTTACCATCACAACTCTGTGTTCAACGAATTGTCAGTCTTCTAACCTTCTAGCAGAGCTTTAGAATTCGTATAACATCCTAGGAAATACTGCTTATTTGGTGAGATACATACAGGAAATTTGAGTAAAACACTTCTTTATTAACTGTCAAATTAAGTGATTTCCAATGAGGTTGAAATGAGAGATAATTTTGGACTTGAGTAGTTATTAAATTTTCATGGTTGTAGTAAGATATGAATGAACACTTCTGACCACATCCTCTTCTATTGATAATGACTTGCATCACTTAATTTTTACAACTTGTGCATCTTTTTTTTTTGAGACAGGGCCTAATTCTGTGCCCCAGGCTGGAGTGCAGTGGTTTGATCATGGCTCACTGCAGCCTCTATCTCCTGGGCTCAGGTGATCTTCTCACCTCAGCCTCCCAGATAGCTGGGACTACAGGCATGCAACACCACACCAGCTAATTATTTGCATTTTTAGTAGAGACAGGGTTTTGCCATGTTGCCCAGGCTGGTCTTGAACTCCTGGACTCAAGCAATCTGCCCTCCTCAGCCTCCCAAACTGCTGGGATTACAGGCATGAGTCACCATGCCCGGCCCAAGTCTTTTGCATACACTTTTTCTGTAATTACAATGAAGCAAATCATATATCCCTCTTCATGTGGTAAAGTTCTTATAGTTAAAGCAGAGGTTTTCAACTGAGTGTAGTATTGCCCCCACCTTCACATCAAGATATTTGGCAATTTCTGAAGACACTTTTGGTTGTTCACAACTGGGAAAAATGATGTTTCTGGCATTTACTGGGTAGAGGTCAGGGATGTTGCTAACTATCTTACAATGCATAGGACATGCCTCTCCCATCCCCCAGGATAAAAATAAATCTCCCACCACCCACTCTGTTTTATTATTTCTCTGAGCTTCTCAATCTCAACACTATTCACATATCTAGTCCAAATGTCAATAATACTGAGACTGAAAAACTCGGAGGAATCACAAAACAGGTCACTGGTGGGAGAGGACTTATTTACTAAAGCAGTTTCACTCATTTGCAGTTTACATTCTCAGTAGGATCAATGGGCACATTATTTGTTGAGTTTCTATCATTCATTCTACAAGATCTTTGTGTGAACCTACAATGTTCCAGGCATTGATCATATAATGATTAGCAGGCATGGACTTTGCTCGTTCTTTATAGAGCTTAAGTCTAGTGGAGTCAGATGAAATTATGACACGGATGTATATTCAATTGCAAACAGCGATCGTTAAAGGAATGCTGTTTGTTTCTATGAGAAGATTAACAAAGGAAACACAAAATCGGTGGTGTTAGAGAAGGCTCCCATGGGTGAGTCCTCAGAGGCAAATTGGTGAAGAGTAGGGGAGGTGTATTATATTTGCAAAGCCCTGTTGATAAAACACAGAGAACAGGGGGAGTTGCCCTATACGGAGCTGAAGAAAGCATGGGCCAGACAATGTCACGCCTGTGAGCCATATTAAGAATTGCGATCTTTATAGTAAGACCAAGAGGAAGCTATCAACAATTTTGGGCAAGGTAATGAGAAGATTAGGTTTATTTTAGGATGCTTGAGCAGTGGGATTAAAAACCGATTGCTCAAGACCCAGTGTCAACCTTGAAGAAAGACTGGTGCAATGGCACAATGTTCTGTTGTTGTCATTTCCTGTCTACTAATTCATCAATGACTTGGATGAAAATATAAAAGATGTGTCAAGCAAATTAGCAGATGGCACAATCCTCAAAGGAAATCCTACTATCACATATTATGATAGACAGCAAAATCTTAAAATCCAAAATTATTTCAACAAACCAGATCACTGAGCTAAAACTAAATAGGTGAAAGCTGCAGGAATAAATGGAAAAACCTCAATATCATCTTTTAAATAATTAAGTTTAGAGGTTCAGTTGTAGGACTGGCTTTGGCAGTTGTTCTTGTAAAAATATTTAAATGTTTTAGCTTAATATGAGTCATTATGTTATGGTTGCATAAAAGAGCCAACACAATCTCAGGTTCAATTAATGAAAAAAAAATAGCCTTTGCATTTGCCAGTCCATGTGGATGACATTGTACTCAGTCTGAGTACCATATCAAAAGCACGATATTTGGAAACTACAATACATCTAGATAATGGCAAACTCTATGGTGAAGGAAACCATGAGAAATGAGTCTATGAACTAGAAATCATAATAAAAATCTTTCAGACAAGAGTCGCTGAGGATTAAAACATACTATCTCACAGTGTGAAAAGCTCTCCATCATTTATAAATTCAAGCACAGGCTAAGAGTGTTTACTAGGACACTCTGAAGGGGACTCTCTCAATTGGAAGAGAGATAGAGCTAAATAGATGAGTTTGGCATTTTCTTCCAATTCTGGAAGTCATTAAAGTCTACAAGCATGAACCCCATTTTCATTTGCTTTCCTGGCTGTCAAATATCTGAACTCTCTTTCTACACATGGTAAGTTTTTCACTTTATAAGTCTCGGTGGGAGACAGAGCCTTTCTTCTTCTACAAAAACTGAAATTGCCACCCCCTCATTTTATAGCCTTCCTAGCATGGAGGACACAGAATCCATAATCTCAGTTCAGTAGTCTGAGATACCTGCTGGGAACTTTGTATCATGGGCTAACAAGGCAAAAGCAGAAAGAAGCAGATGGCTCCATCAGATCCAGAAGCAATATCCATGGGCAGTGGCCCCAGCTCAGCCATGGGCTGCATCAGCAATGCTGGTCTTGTTTGTGCCAATGAAAAGATTCAAACTCTGTAAAATATTTGAAGAGATTTACTTTGAGGCAAATATGAGTTACCATGGCTCACGACACAGCCCTAGGATATCCTGAGAACGTGTGCCCAAGGTGGTCTCAGGCTACAGCTTCATGCTATATATTTCAGGAAGATGCAGACATCAATCAATACATGTAAAGTGTACATTGATTTGGTCTGGAAAGACTGGGACAATTCAAAGCTGAGGATGAGGGTACTTTCAGGTCATAGGTGGCTTCAAAGATTTTCTGATGGGCAATTGGTTGAAATAGTTTATCTGAAGCCCTGGAATCAATTGAAGGGAATGGCTAAGATAAGGGGTGTGGAGACTATATTTCTTATTATGCAGAGGAAGCCTCCAGGTAGCCCATTTCAGAGAGAACAGATTGTAAGTGTTTCTTGTCTGACTTAAAAAAGTGCCAGACTCAGTTAATTCTCTCCTGGATCAAAAAAAAAGACCTGGTAAGGGAAGGAGATTCTCTATGGAATTCAGATTTTTTCCCACATAAGACAGCTTTGCAGGGCCATTTCAAAATATGTCAAAGAAATATATTTTAAGGTAAAACACTTCAATTTCTTTCAGGGCCTGCTGCTATCTGTCATGTGAAGCTATAGAATCAGGTTGGAATTTGTGCCTTATTGCTACAGAGTCTGTTTCATCAGTCTTAAGATCTCTTTTAATGTTAGTGTGGGTCAGTTGTGCCTGAATTTCAAAGGGAGAAGGGTATCATGAGGCATGTCTGACCCCCTTCTTCCCATCATGGCCTGAATTAGATTTTCACGTTTACTTTGGAATCCCCTTGGCAGACAGGGAGGCCATGCATCAGTTGGTTGGGGGAGCTTAGAATTTTATTTTTGGTTTGCATTCATCACCCCTTTTTGACCGTGGTCCTGGCAGCAGCCCAACCTCCGTTATTCCTGCCTGTTTTCCAATCCAGGTCCTTCAGCTTTTCCCAAGATTCTGTTTTCCCCAATATCGTTTTAATAAATGTATTTTTAACTTAAATCATTTAGATTTGGTTTCTGCTCCTTAAAATAACAAATCCTGACTGGTACAGTCTCAAATGTGTATTTCACCTAATGTTGAAATCTATGTTTCTAAGAGGTGCTGAAAGACAACATGTCAAATTCCAAAGTGAGACTCCTAATCACCATGCTCAGTTTTACAAAGGGAATGATTCCAACGCTTCCTTCCTGAATCTGTGGACTTTAAACCAGATAAAAAATATAGACATAAAAAGAGGAGAGGCCAGGCATGGTGGCTTTCGCCTGCAATCCCAGCACTTTGGGAAGCTAAGGCTCCTTGAGCCCAGGAGAACGAGACCAGCCTGGCCAACATGGTGAAACCCCATCTCTACTAAAAATACAAAAATTAGCTGCATGTGGTGGTGCACACCTGTAATCCCAGCTGTAATAGTACTTGGGAGGCTAAGGCCCAAGAATCATCTGAACTCAGGAGGCGGAGGTTGCAGTGAGCTAAGATCACGCACTGTACTCTAGCCTGGGCAACAAAGCAAGACTCTGTCTCAAAAACAAAACAAAACAAACAAAAAATCCAGGAGAAAGTCTGATAAGGATATTGTGAAAATATTTACAGACAATCCTCATTATTCATTCATATTTGCAAAGTTGCCTATTTACTAAGATTTATTTGTAACCCCCAAATGAATACTTGCCACACTTTCGTGTATAGGACATATGCAGAGCAGTGAAAATTTTGAGTCATCCTATGTTCATGTCGTCAGCTGAGGTTGAACAAGATAACACTCTGCCTTCTCATTTCAGCTCTCGTGCTATAAACAGAGCTCATTTTCTGAGTACATTTTGTGCTAGGTTTTCTCACTTTTTGTGATTTCTCTGATGTTCTAAGTATAAGAAGGCAGTGAGTGTTGTGCTTTACAAAAAAGACATGTGTTAGATAAGCTTCCTTCAGCCTGAGTTATAGCGCTGTTAGCTGTGAGTTCAATGGCAATGAATTATCAGTGTTTATTAAATAAAGTGTCTTCAAACAGACACGCAGAGAAAACAAGACTAAGTATTGATGGGTTGGTAAAAATGTTGTGACCAGAGATGCAAGAACCTAACCCTGTAATTCTGCTAGGAGCAATGGCTCAGTATTTGCTAATTCAGGGTTCCCAGCGACTTTGCAGAACAAAACCAATGCAAATAATGAGACTCTGTATTTGAAGAGTCACTGTACTATGAGTACTCATCACATCTCAAGGGTGAAGGGGAAGCGAGGGTTTACTTTTCTCCTCCCAAGACTAGAGAGTAGCTCTCATAGGACCAGCTGAGAGTTTGTGATGTTTCCCAAAGTCAGGGCCATGATGAAATGTTATCTGAACCCAGGATCCAGCCCAGCGCAAGACCTAGCTATGGAGGATAGGTTTAACTCAAGTTTGTAATTTGGTTTATTACATGCATGGAATTGACATTTTAATTTCTGAATCAAGATTATGTTTGTGATTTCATGTGTCTGTAGAGCTACATGTTACTTAAGAGTCATTAGAAAAAGTCATAGGCCTGCCAAAGTTTTCATACAGCAATGAGAAAGAATTCTCCCCACTGAACGGGGGTGGAAGGAAACAATGATTGAGTGTGGTTTAATAATGAGCTCATGCTTGTAAGATGAGTTATCGGTGCTCATATAGAATTTTGCTGCACTGTGTGTGAGACAGCTGAGTGCTGGTTCACTACTCACCATATGACAACTGTGGCCAAGGTATTTACCCTTACAAAACCTGAATTGAGTTACATATAAAGTGCAGATGGCAACAATATGGCAATAGTATTTTAGGAATATAATTTTGTAAACATCGCCCTTGGACCAAACCCAGATAAAAGGACAAAGGTACAGATGAAATTTGGCTGCCTCAGATCCATTAAGTTAGGGTCCTCCTGAATGGTAGCACCAGAAGCTCCACGCTCATTAGGGAGCTGATGGCAAAGTCAAGCCAAGGTAGGCATTCCTTCCTTACGCGGTAACCTCACTCCCAGTAAGTTTCTATGTTCTTGGCAAAATAAACAGGGAGATTCTAATCCTACCATGGAAATGTATAGGGCCTTTTCCCAAGAATCCATGTTCTACCTGAAATGTTTGCAAGAAACCACCGTGTGGGTTTGTATAAAAATATAATAGAATGGAAATTATGCATATAAACCATTGTATACTATTTGGAATATAATAATCAGTTTTATTTTGAATTACCAATATCATTAATATTATTTTGATAGGCAATATATCCAGTATTTAATTATACCACTCTTTTTTTTTTTTACAGTATAATTGGTTATCAGAAAATACAGCTGAACAAGACATCTGGAGATTATTTATGATAGATTCATGCCCCATGGCCAAGTTAACTCTCCAACCATCCAACATCTTCATCATATTTTATAATTAGTGGGAAATCTACAGTGTTGTTCCTTAATAATGCACTTGGATTACAAAGAATATATTTCTTATATCAATCTAAACTTTCCATGGGTAAAATTTTAACTTTTTTTTTTTTTTTTGCTTAAAAATCTACACAGATGAAATCGTAAATAGCAATCGGTACATCAGAGTGCTCCTCCCCCCACCCCTTCCTCACACTGTCACTAAGTTGCCATATCTCTTCCTCTTTTCCAGGCTCAGCAACTCAACTCTTTCATTTATTACTTTCCCTGATTTTACATCATTTTATTCTTTTTTTATTATAGCCTATTCTCATTTAATTTTACATGTTGACAAACTTGGATATAATAATTTAAAGGTTCTAACCATTATTAAGTATAATAAAAAAATTGTTTCTTAGCATTTAAATAATGTAGCATTCAATACACTACTGTGGTATACTTATTTTTGAAAATATCTTCCATGTTATAATAGGATTTTTAAAAGAAGGCATCCCTTTCACAATCATTGGTTGACTACACAATTGCGTGGGCTCCATTAGCTCCTTCCTATCTAGGCAAGTCAGGGTTTATCAACACAAAGTGTTTCACTGGATTCAATAGCTATCTTGAATGTGTACCTTGAATGTTCCACTGTAAGAGGTCCTAAAAATGAAGTCTGAGGCAGAAAGTGTAAGCAAAGGAGAAATTTAAAATGCAGTTAAATGGTTGAAATGAAATCAAAATTGTAAATGATAAAGTACCCAAATCCCACTGTAAGAGCATAGATCCAAGAAGGAAGGGAAGTTAAATGGGAAAGTATTCATTCTCATTTCTCAGACATGCGGCAATTTTCCTGGAGAGACAAAAGGTTTAAAGAAATTAAAAAACCAAATACTAATTCATCCAGTAACATGTAATAGAAAAATAGCTTCATTAAAGAAAGCTTTTTAACCTTCTTTTTGCTAATCTGAGGCAGCACAATTTTATAAACATATTTGGTTTTTAAACTTCAAAATGTTTCTTCAAATAATCTGTTCTCTCTTAAAATGGGGTGAACAAATTAAATGATAGTTTGTAAGAATATGAATCTTATTTCTAATAAGACCTGATCCTGAGACTTTAACTTTCATCTGAACCCAGGGATTCCCCTATAGTTGGCAAAATCTGATCAGCTCCTAGAAAAGAAACACATTTGGGGTTATTACTTTCTTCTTTAGTCATAATTTGAAGTGGCCTAAAAAAAGCCAGAATACTCACAATAATTGTAGAAATAAATTTCAAGATACTTTAGATATAATTTTTTAAAACTTACAATGTATTCCCAAGTTGCTAAGGAAACAAAATAGCACCACTGCGTTTAACTACTTAATTGGTCAAAGACATTGGAAAAAAATATTTTATATACTCAACAGGCTCACCTCAGTCCTATTTGCATTGGCAGATCAAATGCACTTGACAACGACTACATCAAACACAATCAGAAACTGGGTTAAGATTTTAGAAGATGACACAAAATAAAAAGGAATGGTGGAACAAATTCATTACCTGATTAAAACTGTAAGAAATATCTGAAATGTTTTTTATTAGGGCAAATGAGTGACTATTTGATAAACCATCAAGGAAGAAAGATCTTTACAAATTTTAATATTGCAGGAGAGTACAGAATAGCAGAGGAATGAAAAATATTATTATGTGTATTGAAGAGTGATGGTTCTCAATGCCGTATTATAAACCAACATTTCTTCATTTCACTTTATTGTATTTGGTATACGAATCCTCCATTAGATAATACAATTCTCAAAAGTTTCCCAAAGAAAGGTTTTGTTTAATTCATCTTTAAGCTTGTAGTTTTAACATGTTATCCGCCTCAAAGATAATGCAAAATGCATATTCATTAAATTAACTGTCAATATTGTTTTATATTGATATCTGAATTCTAGAGGGCTTAATTAAAATTTTATTTGATGTTTTGATATAAAGAAAATAGGGAAAGTCTTGAAGCCAGAAGGCTTGAGTTCTAACTTTTCAGCAAACTAATTGCATGTCTGTTCTTGTTCTCAATTGAATGAGAATAATAAGTAAAAAATACAATCATAATTTAATGGCTCAGTTAAAAACGAGTTCCATCCTAAATTTTAAAATGATGCATCTAGAGTAATAGTGTGCAACTTCAGGTAGAGCACATCATAAATAAGCAAATATAGTCATTTGTCTATGTTAGAAATAGACTATGCTATAAAGGCATTTATTCTTTCTGGGCTGAAATTTTGGGAGACACTCTCAGTTTTAAAATCTTAAAGTAGCCTCTTATCATGAGGACAAGCCAGCATTTCCAGATCAGCTGCTAAAAGCATGGGAGAAGGGAATCAAATACAAGCTAGGCAATAGCATTTTTCCTCAGTGTTTGCTAAGGAAAGCTGCTGCTGAAGAACAATAGGGTGATAGGTTTGTAGGTTTTTTTTTTATTACTTTGTTTTTGATTATCTACAATTTCTACTTTCTCACTACTAACTGGATAACTTATTTAAAAAACAAAATCAAAGACATTTCATCCTTTAAATAGGGCTGCCATTAGAAGGAGGCCCACTTGTGAAATAGAAGGTACTCACTATATTGTTAAAAACGGGACTATAGAGACTATCTTTTAAATATAGAACATTAACACAAGTTAGACATAGATAGACAGAGAAGGTAGCTGGTATGGCAGACATAGCAACTACTTGCCAACATCTACGCTCGTCTCTTTTTCCAGACATGTGGAAGGATTACAACTTCTCCACCTTTTTGAATTTGAGTATGGTGGTATGATTTATTCTAATTAATGAAATATGAACAAAGGTAATGAATGTCACCTCGGGGTAGAAGTATATAAGAGGTGATGTGCGGTTCTCTTGCCCTGCTCCTCTGACTGGAGAGACTATGGGTTTCACATGTCACAGCCCAGCTGGCAGAGCATCTCTCAGCCTAGGTCTCCAGTGTGCTGTGTAGAAGACCATTGACCTGGAGAGTTGTCTGGTCCTGGACAAGACCTACCTGAACAAGAAATAAATTTTTGTTTCGGTACACCACAAAAATTATGGTGCTGTCTGTCACTACAACATCCTCCAGATTTTTAACATAGTTGGTATATGTCATAGCCCAAAATACAAAAGACTTGAGTTTGGCATGAGCCCTTGGTAAGCAGGCTAAAGCAGGAAACCAAAAGGTAATTTATGGTAGTATTGAGTACTTGCTAAAGTGAACTTATGGATCAGGTGGTACAAGTCAGCCCATTTTGAGCTCAGGCTTTGCAATTTGCCCATTGCATTGTTTTGAGCAAAGTTAATTTACATCTCTCAATTTCCCCACTTGTAAAATGAAAATTATAATCCAAAAATAGATTGGGGTTATGTCTATAGTAAGATTATGTCTACAAAGAGTTTAGTATAGTTGATCCTTAACACATTTTGTTCTCTTCTCATATTTTTCCTTTATTCATATAAGCACCTACTATATTCCAGGAAAGAAAAGCTAATGTAGTAGGCATTGAGCCTACCGCAATGGACAAAGCAAAAAAATCTATCTCCATGTATGGCAATGGGCTGCAAATAACTGGGCATTCAACCAGGGGAATTGCACGGTTAGTGACTTTCCGCAGGAGGTATCTAATAAGACCTTTAAATGCTTTTAAAAATTCAGCATAGTGTAGGGGCTAAACAATACATTTACCCTTCTTTAGCGGGAAATAGGATCAGGCTGCAAACTGCAGGAGGTAAGGAATATTACTCATCTGATTCACAGTTACATGTTCAGTGCTTTGCATAAAGCCTAACCACAAGTAGAAACTTTGCAAATATTTGTTAAATTGATAAATAAGTGAACACATTGAAAGAGCACCAACTCAGAGAACAGAATAAAATGCATTGATCACAGCCTATTTTCTTCCCTTATTTTTTTTAAAGCTCTTCTTTGGGTGTTAAAGGTAGGTAAGTGAGCAAAACAAAGTTCCTGTCACCATGGAGCTTCTCAAGAGACTTAAAATTATTTTTGATGACAGATGGATGGGTGGGCCCACTTATGTTCTGAAAAATCAGATTACTTGGTGATCCTACTTCAGTAGACTTTGGGGAATGGTAGCGTCATCAGAGATTAGTTTAAGTGCTTATAAAATAGTTGGCAGAAGAGTACAAGATTTAAAATGTCTATGGTTTAATTTTCAGAAAGAAAATGGCTGCTGAGGTTTACACTGCAATTTGCACTGCTACATCTGTTATTTGTTTCTACTTATTACCCCATGGGTTAATAATTAAGGCAATTTTGGCTGGACAGGGAAAACTAATAAATTGGGTTTGTTCTAATAACAGTGACTTATCTTCCGCTTTTGATGGGAACAAATAATTACAAAAGCAAAGGGTCAACCCTTAAGTAAACTCCCTGGTGCCGTTAAGGTAAACAAGTCAACTGTTTCAAGGTAAGTTGTGTGGGGTGGTTGGCATGGTGGGAGAAGTGGTTAGTCAGGATACACTTTATGTCCTGCAAGTAAGCAAACTAGTTTTGTATCCTGGATCTTAGGCAAGACATTTCCTGACCAGTGTCCTGTTTTTCTCTTGCTTTCTCATCTGCCTCATGAAAGATGAGAAACTACTCAATATTATGTTTAACAGACCAGGGAGACAGCTTCTATTTGTTTTTATGTAAAGAGTTAATATAATGTATAAAATATCTTGGTCACTATTTCTACGATCTATTATTATCATAAAAAAAATCACATGTATATTGAATTGAAGGAGATTAAATTCAGACTTTAAAAGATTTTCATAATCATAAGGGGTGTTAGGGCCTTGTGGCTAGGAGACCTTGGACAAGATGCCAAAACTCCGCACAATAATATTATATACACCAAGATGTTGTTGAGAGTATTAAGTAAAATGATCCATGTTTAGAGCTTAGCACAATGCATTGTACCCAGTAAATTTTCAATAAAGGTCAGCTGTTGCTATATTAACTATTTTATGGTTATTATTATCAAAGGTTCTCCTAATAATGAAAGAAAGAATACAAAAATGGAGTCATGCTGTCTTACTCATAATCAGGAAAATGGACTGAATTATCTTTCCGTAGCTCTAAAATTAACATTTTTTATTATAGCAAATCTAGCAGTAGAACTTATTTTCTCACAATTATTAAATACAAGTTTCTAATATCTAACATAATAAAGAAGGGTTCAATTTAAATTTAAGCACTTAAATCTTTATCTTCTCACTCTTTGCAAGTAAAAATCACATCCAAATTGTCACCCTTTTTTCTAGTGGTACTGAGAGGTGACAACGTGCTAGCAGCCCTCGCTGGCTCGCGGCACCTTCTCGGCGTCGGCATCCCCTCTGGCGCATCCTCGGCCTCGGCATCCGCTCTCGCCAAGCTCGAGGAGCCCTTCAGCCCGCTGCTGCGCTGGTGGGGGGCGGCCCTCTCTGGGGCTGGCCGAGGCCGGAGCCGGCTCCCTCTGCTCCCGGGGAGGTGTGAAGGGAGAGGCGCGGGCGGGAGCCCGGGCTGTATGCGGCGCTCACGGGCCAGTGCGGGCTCCAGGTGGATGCGGGCTCCGCGGGCCGCCCACTCGGTGCGGCCCGACGGCGCCTGCTGGGCTTGATCCGGGGACCAGCTCCCTCTGGGCTGCCAGAGTGCCCGGGCTAAGTGCCGCAAAGCGTCGTGGCGAACACAGTGAGAGGTGAAGCTGTCTGGGCTTCTGGGTGGGGTGGGGACTTGGTGAACTTTTCTGTCTAGCTAAACGTTTGTAAACGCACCAATCAGCACTCTGCCAAAACGGACCAATCAGCTCTCTGTAAAACAGACCAATCAGCTCTCTGTAAAATGGACCAATCAATAGGATGTGGGTGGGACCAAATAAGGCAATAAAAGCAGGCTACCCAAGCCAGCAGCTGCAGCTTTGGCGGGTCTCCTTCTGCAGTAAGGTAGCTTTGTTGTTTTGCCCTTCACAATAAATCTTGGTGCTGCTTACTCTGAGTCTGCACCGCCTTTAAGGGCTGTAACACTCACCTCAAAGGTCTGCAGCTTCACTCCTGAGGCCAGCAAGACCACAAACCCACTGGAAGGAAGGAACAACTCCAGACATGCTGCCTTTGTGAGCTGTAACACTCACTGTGAAGGTCTGCAGCTTCACTCCTGAAGCCAGTGAGACCATGAACCCACCAGAAGCAATGAACAACTCCATACATGCCACGTTTAAGAGCTGTAACAATCACCATGAAGGTCTGCAGCTTCACTCCTGAAGTCAGCAAGACCATGAACCCACCAGAAGGAAGAAACTCCGGACACATCTGAACATCTGAAGGAACAAACTCCAGACACACCATCTTTAAGAACTGTAACACTCACCATGAGGGTCCGCAGCTTCATTCTTGAAGTCAGCAAGACCAAGAACCCATCAATTCCCAATACAGTACTAACTTTGTTACCTTAACATTTTTTTCTAATTATTTACAAGTGTAAACAGTATGGTGCCAAGTGAGGAAGTTTGCCAGTCAATATTCTTCATATCAAAATTACATGCTAGCGTCGTCTCCTACATGACAAAAATTAACAGGAGCCAGAGTTAGCTCTATATGCCCTGCCATCAACAAAGCAATATTCTATGCCAGAGTCTGTGTGAAAACAGTCCAAACTGCAAACCAAACCAAAAATCCTCGGCAAGACTCCAGTGATGGCACAGCCCAAATGCTTAAACTCTCTGGATGTAGAGGTATACCACTGGCAGCTGTAGGTCACTTGGCCTGCTTTGGTGAGCCAGTGTCTTGACTTCTAATGTTCACTGCAAAAGAAAAGTGAAAACCTGAGCCTGGAATTTTTCTTGACAGATACATGCTATCGTAACTTGTAAGCTGTTTCTTCCAAATTAGGAAATACAAATCTGCTAAATTTCTCTGGGGGCTGAAAACTGATATTTGTCAGTGCATCAAGTGCAAGAAGAGTCATTTATAATGACTGTGCTGCTGCACAGAAAACACAAACCCTGAGAGTTCACAGAAATCCGAATTTTAAAAAAGTGTGTGATGTAGTACCTACCAATTAAAAATGTCTTTTCACACAAAACATTTACAGTTAAGAATATAGGGATGACAGCAAATTCTCAAAGACTGTACTTCTATAAACTCAAGTTTGAGAAATAATTATTTAATGGAGCTCGTTCATTACTGAAAAGCTTCAGCAACCTCAGTAAATACATCCCATGTCTCTACTGGGTAAGTGCTACAAAGCCATAAATACAGTATGTGTTAGAAAAGAAATTGCAGCATTATTATCTAAATTCAACGGAGACAGACGTCTATTAAAACGTTAACTTTAGCTTTGAAGATTGTGTGCAAATATCACTAGTCCAAAAAACATAATTTGTCCATGAACCTGTAGTAGTCTTGCCCACGCTATGAGTTTTCTAGGCTCCTCCTTCCCTCCCATCTACCAGCTGGATTTTTCTTACTCATTCCCCATATCAATAGGTTAACCTAACTAGACAACAGATCCTGCATTGCTGAGAGGGTTCTAATTTCACCACTCTCTCCCCCTACATGGTTTTCAAAATGTCCTTATTTGACTCATTCTGTACTTACTCTAACATCTCATCCTTTTGTTTTCTCATTCATTCTTCCTCTTCAGATCACTCTTTATTTCAGTATAACACGTAGCATTTTCAGCTCTGGTATTTCTCTTTTTATACCTTAAAATTTCATTTTCGACCTCAATTTCATAGTTCTGTGACCCATGTTCTCTGGATTGGTCCCTTGATTTTTGCATCTAACTGCTTTATCTTACCTAGATTGTGTTTCTCATCCTATCTGAACACTCTAGTGAATATCCATGGAAATTTCACACCCTCTGGTCTTTGGCATGGAACTCTTGATTTGGGGTAAAAAGGACACAAGCTTCTGTCCACAAAGCTCCACCACTAACACCAACCAAACAACAATGGAAAAGAGTAGATAGGCTTATGACATTTATTTTAGGCTCCTTGCCTGATTTCTATTAAGACAGCTCTGCTTTCTTTTATGCTTTCTGCACTTGGACCTGCAACTATTTTCATGAGGATGCTAGCTGGAGCTTATGAAAATTCAATGCAGAACACCCGACACCCAAATCTTGATTTCTAATACCTTCTCTGATAAAAAGGAACCAGGAATTTGTAATGCCAGAGGTAAGAAAAAAACAGTGATTAAAAAAAACCAAAACCTATACTAATAGGGGTATGTCGAAAAGACAGAGAAGCCAACTGAAAGTTTCTAATGGCCAAGATGTATAATTTGAAAAAAGAAATAAAGAGATTTTTACTGGATTATGACCCAAAGTGTAAAATAAATATCCATGAATTCATACTGATATAAATAAACTCTCTATTAATAAATGCAGAAGAATTCCAAATAATTTACATAGATACTCTGCCCTCAAGAAGGGGGCACATAACTCTCCACTACCTTGGTTTGTGCTGCACACAGTGACTTCCTTCCAAAGAATACACTATGGAAAGGGCAAAATCTAGTAACTTTACAATGGAGAAAACTGGCAAATACTATCATAGCCAGGATCAAAGTCATTATCAACAGTGATGTTATGTTGATGCTATCAGCATACCCTCTGATATGATGTGGTGAAAATGGCACTTTACCTCCGTGATGGTTAATATTAGGTGTCAACTTGATTGGATTGAAGGATACCTAGACAGCTGGTAGCTGGCAAAGCATTGTTTCTGGGTGTGTCTATGAGGGTGTTGCCAGAGAAGGTTAACATTTGAGTCAGTGGACTGGGAGAGGAAAACCCACCCTCAATGTGGGTAGACACCATCCAATCAGCTGCCTGTAGGGCTAGAACAAAGCAGGAGGAAGAAGGTGGGATAAGTTGGCTTGCTGAGTCTTCCGGCTTTCATCTTTCTCAGGTGCTGGATGCTTTCAGCCCTTGGACATCAAACTCCAGGTTTTTCAGCCTTTGGATTCTTGAACTTACACCAGTGGCTTTCCGGGACTCTGGGGCCTTTGGCCACAGACTGAAGGCTGCACTGTTGTCTTCCCTACTTTTGAGGCTTTTGGACTCAGACTGATCCACCACTGGCTTCTTTCTTCCCCAGCTTGCAGGCGGCCTATTGTGTACTTCACCTTGTGATCACGTGAATCAATTCTCTTTAATAAGCTCCTTTCATGTATATATGTATCCTATTAGTTCTGTCCCTCTGGAGAACACTGACTAATGCTACTTCTATAGTGTTTCTCCCCAAAACACATTAACTCCAGTTCTATCTTGAGGAAAAAACACAGATAAATTCCAAAGAAAGGCATTCCACAAAGCACCTGACCAATTCTCTTCAAAACCGTTAAGGTCATTGAAAGCAAAAAAGGTTGCAGAAACTGTCCCGGTCAAGAGGAGCTTAAGACAACTAAAATGTGCTATGGAATCCTGGATGGCATCCTGGAACAGAAGAAGGACACTGAGTAAAAACTAAGGAAATCTGAATATAGTATGAATTTTAATTAATGATCATCTATCAATATCAATGCATTAATTGTAACAAGGGTACCATACTACTAATAATGTAAGCTGTTAGTAATAGGAGAAACTGGGTGTAGGACATATGGACATATGGAAACTATGATATCTTCTCAATTTTTCTACAAATCTAAAACTAATCTAAATGTAAACCTAAAAAATAAAGTCTGTTTAAAAATTCAATGCAAATCAAGTGGAGAAAGAAGAGGACAAGTAAAAGTGGTGTTTCGGGAGTTGTCTCTAGGAGGATTTGGAAAATAAAGGAAGCATCTGCAACAAAATATGAATCCCAGAGATGTTTCCCCCAGGAGTGTGAGACAGGTCTGGAGAATGTCTGTACTTTGATAAAAATGAAGTTTACGCCAGGTCCTTTCCCTGCATCAGCACTCTCCCCTCTGTCTGCAGGACTTTCAACCATCTCATGGGTCAGGTTTCAAATTTAACTTTACATTTGCAGAGAAGCTTTCACAGACTCTTCAGATGAGGTTAGGTCTCCCAGGGTTGGTCCCCAGCCTCTTCTACTTCTTTTTTATAGCATGTTTTTGTTGGAGGAGGATAAGGAAATTATTTAATACCCTTTCTCACAAGGCTACAAGCTCCAGGAAAGCAGAATGTGTAGTGTTCGGTAGACAACAGGTACTTAATACACATGGTTCATTGATCATCTGTTAAGGTGAATTCCAGGAGTAAGGGAAGCCACAGGCACAATGGCTCATGCCTGTAATCCCAGCACTTTGGGAGGCCAAGGCAGACAGACCTCTTAAGCCCAGGAGTTCAAGACCAGCTTGGGCAACATGACGAGACACCATCTCTACTAAAAATACAAAAATTAGCCTGGCATGGTGGCGTGCACCTGCAGCCCCAGCTACTCGGGAGGCTGAGGTGGGAGGATTGCTTGAGCAGGGGAGGCTGAGGCTTCAGTGACCCTTGATCGTGCCACTGCACTGAACCCTGAGTGACAGAGCAAGACACTGTCTCAAAAAAACAAGAATACTAAGAAAAAAAAAAAGGAAAAGGAAGCCATGCTCACGTGAAAGATGATGTAGATATAATTCCAGATTAGATTGTGTAAAGTGCAGGGGCAAAATATTAGAAATGCTATGCTTAGTTTGATCATCCAACCATATATTATGTTTTAGACATGACATTGGTAATGAAAAATACTTTCAAAAAATTTACTAAAATTTAATGCAAAACACCCAACACCCAAATCTTGATTTCTAATACCTTCTCTGGTAAAAAGAACCATGGATTTGTAATGTCAGAGGTAAGAGAAAAACAGTGATTAAAATAACCTCTATATTAATAGGGGTATGTCAAAGAGACAGAGAAGCCAATCAGTGTTAGTTGCTCAGGAATGTATTCTAACTTTAATAAAAGCACTACTTGAGTCTATTTATGGAATTTTAAAATAGCAATAATAACTTTTATGTATTTAGTAGTTACTCTATACCAAGCGATGTGTTAAGCACTTTGTTGAAAATTATTTTTTTTAATCTTCACAGCAATCCTGTGATGATAATAGCTAAGTGATATCCAGCACTTGCTGAAAGCACATTGTACACATTAGCTCATTAAGTAATCCCCCCATATTCTTTTTTTTAATATTTTAACTTTTATTTTAGGTTCAGGAATACATGTGCATGTTTGATTATATAGGTAAACTCATGACTCGGGGGTTTGATGTACAGATTATTTTGTCACCCGGATACTAAGTATAGTACTCAACGGTTTTGTGGAGTTTGTTCTGAACCTCTCTCTCCTCCCATCCTCCTTCCTCAAGTAGGCCATAATGTCTGTTGTTTCCCTCTTTCTGCCCATGTGTTCTCATTATTTAGCTTCCACTTATAAGTGAGAGCATGAGGTATTTCGTTTTCTGTTCTTGCATTAGTTCACAAGGATAATGGTCTCCAGCTCCATCCTGTTCCTGCAAAGGACATGATCTCATTCTTTTTTATGGCCTCATAGAATTCTATGGTGTATATGTACCACATTTTCTCTATCCAATCTTCCACTGATGGGCATTTAGGTTGATTCCATGTCTTTGCTACTGTGAATAGTGCTGTAATGAACATACATGTTCATGTGTCTTTATGGTAGAATGATTTACATTCCTTTGGGTATATGTCCAGTAATGGGATTGTGGATCGAATGGTAGTTCTGTTTTTAGCTTTTTAAGGAATTGTCAGACTACTTTCCATGATATTTGAACTAATTTACATTCTCACCAGCAGTGTGTAACTGTTCCCTTTTCTCCAGCACCTGTTATGTTTTTACTTTTTAATAATAGCCATTCTGACTGGTGTGAGACGGTATCACATTGTTGTTTTGATTTGCATTTCTCTGATTATCAGTGATATTGAGATTTTTTACATACTTATTGGCTGCATGCATGTCTTCTTTTGAAAAGTGTCTGTTCATGTCCTCTGCCCACTTTTTAGTGGGGTTATTTTTTGTTTGTATGTTTGTTTAAGGTCCTTGTACATTCTGGATATGAGATGTTTGTCAGATGTATAGTTTGCAAATATTTTCTTCCTTTCTGTAGGTTGCCTGTTTACTTGTTGGTGGTTTCTTTTGCTGTACAGAAGCTCTTGAATTAGGTCTCATTTGTCGATTGTTCCTTTTGTTGCAATTGCTTTTAGCATTTTTGTCATGAAGTCTTTGCCAGTTCCTGTGTCCAAAATGGTACTTCCTAGGTCTTTAATCCATCTTGAGTTGATTTTTGTATATGATGTAAGGAAGGAGTCCAGTTTCAATATTCTGTATATGGCTAGCCAGTTACCCTAGCACCATTTATTGAATAGAGAGTTTTTCCCCATTGCTTGTTTTTGTTAGCTTTGTCAAAAATCGGATGGTTGTAGATGTGTGGCTTTATTTCTGGTCTATGTGTCTTTTTTCATACTAGTACCATGCTATTTTGGTTACTGTAGCCTTATAGTACACTTCAAAGTCAGGCAATCTGATTCCTCTGTCTTTGTTATTTTGCTTAGGATTGACTGGCCTACTCAGGCTCTTTTTTGATTCCATATGAGTTTTAGAACAGTTTTTTCTAGTTCTGTAAATAATGTCACTGGCAGCTTGATAGAAATAACATTGAATCTATACATTACTTTGGGCAGCATGGCCTTTTTTTTTTTTTTTTTTGAAACACAGTTTCCCTCTGTCACCTAGGCTGGAGTGGAGTGGCATGGTCTCAGCTCACTAACCTCCACCTCCTGGGCTCAAGTGATTCTCATGCCTCAGCCTCCCGAGTAGCTGGGATTACATGCGCACACTACCATGCATGGCTAATTTTTGTATATTTAGTAAAGACAGGGTTTCACCATGTTGGCCAGGCTGGTCTTAAACTCCTGGCTTCAAGTGATCCGCCTGCCTTGGCCTCCCAAAGTGCTAGGATTACAGGTGTGAGACACTGCACCCAGACAGTATGGCCAGTTTAATGATATTGATTCTTCCTATTCATGAACATAAAATGTTCTTCCATTTGTTTGTATCATCTCTGATTTCTTTGAGCAGTGCTTTGTAATTCTCATTGTAGAGATCTTTCACCTCCCTGCTTAGCTGTATTCCTAGGTATTTTATTATTTTTGTGGCAGTTGTGAATAGGATTGTGCTCCTGATTTGGTTCTTGGCTTGGATGATGTTAGGGTATAGGAATGCCACTGTTTTTGCACATTGATTTTGTACCCTGCCTGAATCTTTGCTGAAGTTGCTGAAGGAGTTTTGGGGTAGAGACTGTGGGGTTTTCTCGGTGTAGAATCATGTCATCTGCAAACAAGGATAGTTTGAGTTCCTTTCTTCTTATTTGGATGCCTTTTATTTCTTTCTCTTGCCCAACTGCTCTGGCCAGAAATTCCAATACTATGTTAAATAGGAGTGGTGAGAGAGGGCATCCTTGCCTTGTTCCTGTTTTCAAGGGGAATGCTTGCAGCTTTTACCCACTCAGTACGATGTTGGCTGTGGGTTTGTCATAGATGGCTCTTATTATTTTGAAGTATGTTCCTTCAGTGTCTAGTTTATTGAGGGTTTTTAACATGAAAGGATGTTGAATTTTATTGAAAGCCTTTTTGGTATCTATTGAGATAATCATGTGGTTTGGGTCTTCAGTTTTGTTTACGTGATGAATCACATTTATTGATTTGCGTATGTTGAACCAACCTTGCATCCCAGGGATAAAGCCTACTTGATCTTGGTGGATTAACTTTTTGATGTGCTGCTGGGTTCAGTTTGCTAGTATTTTGTTGAGGATTTATGCATCTATGGTCATCAAGGATATTGCCCTTTAGTTTTCTTTTTTTTAATATAGTGTCTCTGCCTGATTTTGGTATCAAGATGATGTGGCCTCATCACCCTTCCAAACTGTATGAGGTCAACTCTACTATTTAATAGTGGATGATACCAAAGAACATAAAAGTATCATTGTTTACCCAAAGTAACAAAACCCACTGAGCTGGGATTTAAAGAAGGGCAAGAAAAGGAGAAGGAAAGGGGAAGCTCTGCACTTAACCATTTTCCTCCATTGCCTCATCGTGAGCCCATAGGCTGAGTGTTATTTTCTAAACTTTTCAGATTAAACGACAACAACAACTGAGTCTCCGAAAGACATAGTTGTTTGTCCCAAATCACATAGTAAGTTACACAAACCATCCCAGGCTCCAGGCTTTATCTGACTCAGGTTCTTAACCACTGTTCTACATAGTTTCTTGACATTACAGATTTCTGGGACAACAAGATCTATATGTTTACCATATACTATACAAGTCATTATTATTCTATTTATCCTGTTTATCTTCTTCAAGTTTAAAGCATTGTCTTCTATTTTAAAAGTCCCAAATAGGATTAGCATACAATATACCTTACTGAACAATAAGCTTCACCTTATCATACCCCTTGGACCTTTCAAAGGATGCACTGCTGGGTTTCTTGGTATTCTCCTTTAAGGCCTTATGTTCCACTAATAGTAACCGTCATTGTACCAAAAACAACTATATCCCTTTGATTATTTGTGTTTCTCAGATCCTGGACCACTCTGGTAGTTTTAGTTCATCCTTTAAGGAGAGTGACTTATATTGCTTGCACTATACTAAAATCACTCATAATTTATGGCTTTGGTAAATTGAAAGAATTACTGTCAGCCTTATTTCCTGTACATTTTTGGTGATTCACTGTAGAAGCACAGCTACACACTGGCTGAACTCTTCAAGAAAAAAGTTTTCTTTCCCTCTGTGTTTAATTCATAGGACCATGTACTTCGTCTAGGTACTTATACTAGGCAGCCTTGAGAATTCAGTTCTCATCTTACTGCAAGCTTCCTAGAGGAAAGACTGTTTCTTACGTATTTTTGTATTTCTCACAATGTCTAGCACAGTATCTTGTATTTTGTGGATATTCAATAAAAGTTGGCTGATTTGAAGGAAGTTTAACATATCATTGAGGAGAGTTTCCCCATCTTTTTGACAGAGAGAGCTCCAAAGTACATATTTTCTTAATCTTTGTGTTTCCCTCCTTGTAGCTTAGTGCTTGGTAGCAGACGGAAACCTTCAGTAAATGTTTGTTAATGCATATAGATGTTAATGCATCTAGAATGCATCTGTTCATACTTATTTGTGCAATCCATTATCACACAATTTACACTTTTTTTCAGTTTCATAAACATTTAAGAACATAGAATCAAATAAGCAATTCTGGTTTGGTTCTCTGTTCTGCCAATTACTTGGCATATGATCTTGGAAAATATAATTTGCCTCTTTAAGTCTCAGTCTCTTTACCTGTAAAATGAGGAAAATAAGATTAACCACCTAATTAAATAATTCTAAGGACTGTATGAGATAATAAATCTGAAATAATATGTTTCTGGCACATAATAAATACTCAAGAAATGTTTCTTAAACAATACTAATGTTAGTTATAAGGTAATTTAAATATATGACATTTAGAGATTGTAAATAGCTAAATAAATAGTGGATATAGTTATACATATTATTGTAATGATAGTGATGTTGCTATTGATGGCATAGAAAAGTCATAGACCTAGGGAAACAAAGGAAAGAGAAAGGAGGGGCCTATTTAAGATACTCAGTTAGAAAAGACAGTTATGTCTGTGTCCTGAAAGGGCTTCTGAAGTCAGGACATGCCCATAGGAGACCCCAGGAATCCTCTCCTCTCTCCCTCTCTAACCTTTCCCTTGGCCTCCTCTGCTTTTGCTTCTTGACCTGCTACACACCATCAGAACTTTTTTGTAGAATGGTGTGGGCTTGTTTGTTCATGCTTAATTCTTAGGAAAGCAATTCCAAATATGCTGCACTTTTCAAGCAATCTGTAGAGACTGGAATAATAGAGAGGATTGTGTTATTTAGCCAAAGAATAGCTTTTTCTTTTGTTTTTATCCATCAAGGAATGAATACTATCTGAGCTGAACTAAAATGCCTGAGTCACTGTTAAGTCACACATTCTGAGCATTTTTCCAGGACCATGAAGGAAGCCATTCTGCTGACATAGGAAAAGCAGGGAAAGTTAGAGGGTATTAAAAGTACATAAACATTTTAATGAATCTTCTGCAATTTTATGCTATTGTTGAATATGACCATGTTAAACTACTAATCAGAAATATGTTTTTCTGATAAACCAATCATATTTTGAGAAACGTTTATCTAAATATGTGATAATAGTTGATTTATCAACTAAATGTTTAACTATACACACACTTATTTAAAATCTGAATAAAATATTTAACAACTACTAAAAAGATGTATTAAAAAGCAAGTAAATTGAGGATACAAGGAAACAAAAATCTCACCTACTTCCACCGGGAATCTGATTAGGTAGATTCTTCCTAGAGCTAATTCACCATGATTTTAAAATATCCTTTTTCTACAACATACAGTACAATATAATACATTAAAAAAAAAACACTGGAAAGGCCATACTCAATAATGTGAACAGTGAAATTCTTTTAGTAAAATGGTTAAGTGCAGTTTTAATTTTTACTTTCTGGATTTTCAAATTGCCAACAGTAAGCATGTATTAAATTTGAGTGCTATTGCTGCATTGGCTATGGCTATCAATGGATTTCAAAATTTCTTCAAAAGAAAAAGCAAATGAGAAATTGTAAAAGAAATGATGTAAATTAATGTAATGTTAATAAATGATATAAATTAATCATACTCAGTGAAAAAGGAAACTCAGGCTTTACTGAGGGTGGCCAGTACAGTAGTATCATCTTATAAATGTACATAATAGTAAATTAAATTTTTGACATTTGGTAATTTAGCTGATGTAAATGCAGGTTAGCTCAAGAAAAATTAAAAAGGATTACTCTGGAAAAAAAATTTCAAGGGAGAAAAATTATCTGTGTATTGTTGGGATCTTTTTCCCACTTATTTTCTGGGCACAGGGGAGATGTGTCATGAGTAATAAAATGAAAAGTGTTTTATTCAGCTGAAATTTTCTTAGCAAGGAAACTAGGTTTACTTGGGAGAAATAATTTAATGGATGCAAGAGTGAAATGGGATAAGCCTGCCCTGCACTAGTCAAAGGAAAGATGCTCTGTTGAGCCCAAGAATGAAGGGGACCACGGAAAAGGGCTCACAGAAGCAGACATGGTGGAAGTCTAGTAGCCTGAGATTTGATCGCTAGATATTAATTACCAATAATAATAGCTAATACCTGTTAAGCATTTACCATGTGCCAGGCAGGTACTACACCAAGTCCACTACATGTTCTAAATCATTTAATTCCTCTAACTACTCTTAATGTTTGGGTTCACAAATTCATGATTTGTGGGAGATTGGTATATTGGGTTTCCTGTATAGACACTGACACCTGGAGGCAGAAGGAAATATGAGGAAGCAAGTTTGGGAACTGTACAAACCAGGAAAGATCTGGCAAATCCTATACAGTTTAGGATTAGGACAATTATAACCAGATCTTGATGAGAAAATAAGTTCCAACTAATATAAGCAATATACTTATCTGAAAAGCTTTTAGGCTGTAGGATAACAAAAGAAGAAAGTTTGTCAATTGTTTTTCCTACTAGAAGGGGGCAAAGAGGTCCAGTAGAAAGAATATTGGCTTTGGAGTCAGAAAAGCACAGATTCCAAGATTTACTCTGCCCTTCACTGAATGTGTGACCTTAGGCAAGTCACTCAACTTATTTAAACAACACTTTACCTATATCTGGGGCCAGCTTCATGATCCTGACATCTTCACGATCGCATAGGATGCTGAGCTTTGAAGGGCACTTGCCTTGGTTTAATGCTTTGCCATTGCCACCTTAAAATTCTTAATAATTTTGAACAAGGGTCCCCACATTTTGTTGTATGCTGGCCCTGCTAGTTATCTAGGCCATCCTGCCTATCTAGAAATTGAGAATAACAATACCTACACCACAGATCAGCAGGAAATTTCCCAGGTTGAGTACCCATGAAGGAACCTGCCATACAGAACTCAGGATTCCTCCTTCTTGGCTTAAGGCACAAAACAGCTAAGACCAATGTACTTTTAGCTCCAGGCTACGATTCTTTGTCCAAAAAAAAAGCTGAGAGGAGAAAGAAGTGGAGAAAGAAAATGTCTACACCTAGAAAGCACCCAATAAACTACAAGAATGCACATAAAAATTTTATCATAGGCACTGTCAGGATCTACTGCCTAATTAAATGTGTTTCTAGCCTGGGAGTGTGATAGTGCCATTCACCTAGCCCAGGTTTCTCAACCTGGATGTCATAGGATGTTCAGCATACTGGCCTCTACCCACTAGATGCCAGTAGCAGACCCCTCAGTTATGGGAATCGAAATGTATCCAGACATTTCCAAATGTCCCCTGTGGAGGAAAGCCACTCCCAAGTGAGACCCAGTGACCTAGATGGTGAGGGAAAAAGAAAGAGCAATGTTGGCGCAGGACACCAGCCACAGAATCTTCTACTGAGATCAACATATAGATTGCTGGGCTACAGAAGCCATACTACCTGGAAGTTTCCTCCCATCTCAGCCATCCCAGTGGGCGTCTCCTAGGCAATGGGATTGGTGAATCACAATCTTCCACCAGGAAACTGCAGTGGAAAATAACTGGACAAAAAGGGTGCTGTGGCTGAATTACTATAGAATTAATGTGTTTTAAATGATATTTTAAAATACGGAAAGAGAAAAAGGCAGATTCAGAGTAGTGTTTTATGGATGAGTGCAGTGGCTCATGCCTGTAATCCCAGCAATTTGGGAGACTGAGGTGGGAAGATCACTTGAGCTCAGCAGCTTGAGACCAGCCTGGGCAACATGGTGAAACCCCATCTGTACAGAAAATACAAAAATTAGCAGGATGTGGTGGCATGTACGTGTAGTCCCGCTACTTGGAGGGGCTGAGGCAGGAGGATAGCTTGACCCCGGGAGGTCGAGGCTGCATTGAGTTGAGATCGCGCCACTGCACTCCAGCCTGGGTGACAAAGTGAGACCATGTTTCAAAAAAAAAAGTAATGTTTTATAATATATTAATAGATGTTACATATGCATATATATGCATATAAACCTATACATACCTATGCTATACACACACACACACACACACACATACTTAGGAATAGGAAAAAGAATGGAAGAATATGCAGGACAATTTTAATTGTGGTTCTTTCTGGACAATTTTTATTTTCTTCTTTATGCTTATCTACATTTACACAATAAAATGAGGAAAATCTATAATAGATGTTATTTTTAGGCTGGAAATACATGAAATTTTAAGATATTAGAGTATTTTTCATGCAGTGAAAGATTAAAGAAATTAAAGCAATAGAGACAGAATTCCATTAAAAAAAATCTTACCCAAAACATTGATTCCATGGGCTGTGACTATTTCAACATTCTGAAAGATAAAACTAGAATAAGGTTTTGCTGCATTGTTTGCAATAGATTTAATTAAATAAAAAGTTTTATATGAAAGTCAGCAGGCCCTGACTATAGAAGAATCAATATTTATGACACAGTCCCGATCTTCTTGTTTATTCTTTGTGGTGTCATTATGCAGATGCTATATCAGATTAAACATCTGATTAAACTCAGGCGGTTGGGCTGACATTTTTTGGTATTTTGGAAAACAGCAATAATCATTTTTCCCCACAAAGGAACTAGCAGGCTAGAGGTTAAAATCTGATTTTCAAAGGGACAGAATCAACAAGCAGAAATAACCTTGCACCCAAGCAAGGAGTAGGCATCACGAAAATGAAGGACTCTTTAATATGTATATCAGCTCTTTCTCAGGATGTTCTAATAACATTCTTACTGTAACAATCTTACAATATGTTGATTAGATTTGGGTTAAAATTTTGAGACTACTCATCATTGAACAAATGACTTTGGCAAATGATTTAACTTCCCCAAATCTCAGTTCCCCATTTGTAAAAAAGACACAAAATTGTTTCTGCCTCATTCGGTTATTGTGAGGATTAAATGAAATAATTCATGCAAGACATTCATAATCTTAGCAATTATCATTATTACCATCATTAACACATCCAGAAAAGCCAACTTGCTGGGCAAAAGTTACTATGATAATTGTCACAGAGAAGGAATGCTTCTCAGATGCAGATGCCCATGGCAGTGACAGTAGTTCCCAAGGGAAGCAGCAGTAACTCCCATGATGCCCAAAGGCTCTGTCTGAAGCCAGTACAAGAGCTCATAATAAAGCTAACTATTTTTGGCAGCAGTGAACAAGCTCCTAGATAATAACTTCCATCCCTCACTTTTCCAAGCCTCATGATTGTGAGGGAGGCAGACAGAAGAGGAGGGTGTTATTAACCTAATGACACTCTCACAGGTGCAACTTGCTTTTCATAGCATCAAATCTCTGCATGACCTCCAGTGCCCTGAACCACTCACTCTTTCCCTCCCACAGAGTCCTCCACATCCATGCCTATAACTGACTTCACCTAGCCTGGATGCCATAGCTACCCATCTCATTCACACATTCAGTACCAACTAAAAATGCTACATATTTGGGAGTCCCTGATCCTTCTAGCTGGCCAGTCCCTAGTCTATTTCATCCACTCCAGGACCAATGAGTACTGCTTTATTCAGGTTCACTTGTTCATATGGTAAGTATTTATTTAACAGCTAATAGAAAATAATATATACTAGGTGCTGGGGTTGGGGGAGTGGCTGTCAGAAAAGGCAACACATATTTTTTCTTTCACATCTTACAAACTACCAGGGAAAAAACAGATATCAAACAAGCAATTATAAGCATGCTTATCTGTCAGTGTAGAATCACTGTCCATTTGGTTTTCTTTAAGGTATCTGGAAAAGCATGACCATTGAAGAAGACCAAGCTGGGATCTAATCTTTGTTCTGCTGTGTTCTTGCTGTGTGACCTGGGGCATATAAATGTTACATTTCTGATCTTTAGTTTTCTCATGTTAAAAAGTAGGGATGAAAAATACCTATTTCACAGAATTTCTGTAAACCTTAAATAAGAGAGTGCAGGAGAGGGCTGTGGTATCATAAAGAATCTGTATGGTCTTTGTTCCAGATTCACGGGACAGAGTTCCAAAAATTCTCAGAATGTTCACGGTGATTATCCTAATGAGTGATCATCCACATTATCCTAATGAGGGGACTCGTGGTAGGCCTCTAGATAACTTTAGAATGGGGACAGTCACCTTGAAAGACTAACCACACAATTAGAAGTTTGGGGCTTTCAGCCACCTGACTCCAGGGGAGTGGAGTGGGGCTGGAGACAGAAAATTTGCATTCCATTTCAGACCTCATTCTGTGTGTCCCATATTTAGCTAGCACTCCTGACTTGTATTCTTTGTAATGAAACTATAATTCTAATTATAGTACTTTCCTGAGTTTTGTAAGCCATTCTAGCAAATTATTGAACTGAAGCGCTCATGAAAACCCCAAAACGTATAGTCAGTCTTTCAGGAGTGCAGGTGGTCTGGAGACCCCCCACCTCAGTGCTGCTGGTGTCTGAAGTAAGAGCAGCCTTGTCGGAGACCATACCTTTAACCTATAGAGCCTGTACCACCAACTCCAGATGGTTAGTTCCAGGACTGAATTGCAATACATCCAGTAGGGCTTGAAATGGACTAGGGGCTCAGATCAGTACCCAGCCACGTGATTGGCCATTTGTACCTGCCAATTACCTCATGACACCACTCCAATTCCATTACACCCACTTCTATCCCTAGTTCCATTATCTTTTATCTCAAGTGGCCGCTTGAAGAGTTCTCAGACAAACATAATCATGTCCATAAGGACCATGTTTTATGAGCACCACATTTTAGCGCATGAACCAAGACAGGGAAACAGATGGATAGAACGCTGGAAGACCGTGCATCTGACAGTTGAAACTCTTAGAAGCGCCAAAAAGAAGCTTAAAGGAAAAGAGCCAGCAGAACATTTTGTAACTTCATTAACTGTTTGATGTTGAGAAAATCTGCAATGTCACTGCATCCATCCTATAAATTCAACTGTAGTTCTACAAATACAGCCTGCTGGCTCATTACCAAAGTATGACTTTCCCAGAACCAATGTTAACTACAATGGCTAATATGGTCAGCAACAAATAAATCTTCTCAACTGAAACCGCGTATTTGTGGTTAACAGTCTAATCTTTTTAGAGGTCTTTTGGCATTGTTTATCTTCAACTCTGCCAATACACACATACCCATCACTTCAAAGACTCTATTCTACTGCTGTTTCAGCAGCAGATGAACTGTAAATATATAAACGTCACTGTAAAGACCAAAATAAAATTGTGTTGAATTTTTTTAAAAAACCCAAATATCAGTTCCATTTTGGAAGACAATCGCAATCTCTAGAACCTGTTCACAGTTATTTTCCCTTAGGAGCTATTATGATTTAGAAGATGTAAAGTTTCGGGTGGGAGTTAGGAACTGTTAGTTCTCATGCTGATTCAGCTGTGGGTCCCCTGGACGACCTAATTCAGACTTCTTCATTTCTCTAGTTGTCTCCAAAAGTGGAATAAGTAATCACAACATGTCGTACTGGGACATTATGAGAATAAAGAACAGCCAACCCTAAGATAGCAATGGTTGTTAAAATTGACAGATCACCCTAATATTTATTTCTTTTGCCTAGTTTGTAGTGAGAGTTGTAAATAATAAAAATTTCAGTGGCCAAAAGGCAGGTACAATGGGACAAAATAAATAACTTCAAATCATCCAGGAAGCATTGGCTCTGAAATGACTGAAAGTGTACCTAACTCAGTAGCTGCTCTTCCTTTCCCCTTGCGTCTAACTTTCAGGGGTGCCCTAAGGGCACCTGACCCACAGTTCTCTTTCTCGCCTTCATCACTAGCTGTAGTCTGGGGCTGAAAACCACTCTAAAGCAAGAGCTTCACAGCCGTAGATCTCTTCAACCACAATTCATTTCTTCTCCACCTAAACTACCATTTTTCTCATTTCCATAGAACCTATTCTCATAATGATCCCTAAATTCTCAAAATTCCACGTTCTACACTCATAGCTCCAAGTCTCATTTTACATGTCACTCTACTTAGGCTGAGCCCCCAAATCAGACATTTCAATTAAACACTAGCTGGCCACCAAATGTGCCTAACACTCTGGATCTTCTGTGCTTTCCACCAGTCCACTTGCCAGGCTGCAAAATTTCACCGAGCATGAAAGTTTTCTAAAGTGGTAATCAATACTATTAAATGCTGCTAAGAGGTCAATGGAGAGGATAATAGAGGAAATAAGTATTACATTTATTTTATTTAACATATACTTATCATGCTTCCTATGTGCTGAGTGCTCTGTTAGTGTTTTACAAGTATTGTTTTATTTAAGCCTCAGAACCACCCTATGAGGTAGGTACTATTATGTTCTTCATTTTACAGACGAGGAAATGCAGCGCATAGAAACTTGCTCGAGATACTGCAAAAAGTGAGACAGGTAAAGCAAAGGCTGATTCAGAGCTCATGTCCTAACTACTAATCTATGATGCTTCTCCCTTTGATATCAGCCCATTATTGGTAACATTATTTTTCCAGAAAAAGAAGAATTCAACAGCACATAAGTGAGTCAGATTGTCAGAGCACAATAGGTAGGATACTAACAATTCTCATGTTAATAAATTTATTGGTGAATGGAAGGCAACACATTAAGAGAAGAGCATAGTTTTTAGGCAGCATGATATGTCAATAGACAAGAGGTGAAAATTGCAAGGAGATTATGAATAATTATTGGAGCAAGGATTAGAAAAAGTGAAGGGGCATGGGAGATGATTGAATGAAGGTCCTGGAGAGAGGCCATGGAACATTTCCTAATCAGCACCTGCAATAATGGCTTTCAGGTAGTCCTGGGGGTAAGAAGAATGCAAAAAATAGCTTGGGTACAGTGGGAAATATAGAGAGATGTAAATTCAGTGAGAGGCAAATAAAAGTATCTCAAAGACAGAAGAAAAGTCTGGCCACGATGCGAAGGAATGTAACAGAACACAGTCAGTTTAGTGTCATCTCACAGCTCTTTCTAGAAACATTTCTCAGTCTTAGTATGGAATTGGAGAATCACTATGATTTTCCACTTCTAAAATATTGATGCAATTTATTTTGTAATAAATGTAAATCAAATGAAGGTCACTGTTACGCATCCTATGCTATAGTAAAAATAAAAATCTAATTTAACATATTAGCAACAAAGACTATATAATGTATACATTTGCCTGTGTGGCAGCCCACATCTACACTCAAAGGCAAAGTTGTTTGGATTGGTGTAACGAAGACTTAATGTAGCTTTGACTTTTACTTAGAAATCCATTTATCTGGGACCCATGCACCAAATGCTCATTAGAATTACTTTGACTTTATGTTGTTTTGAGTTTAGATTAGCTAGTAGAGCTAACCTAGTAAACTCGTATTTCTGAACGTCTTTCAGCAACTTACGTGTTTTAAAAAATACCTACCTTCTGATTAGATTCATAGCTGGAAACACATTTCCCCCATTTAACTTGCTTTGCAGTGCAACATGGCAACTCTTTCAGTCTGCAGAGCTAAATAGTCACTTGCATAAAGTTGCCGTTTTAAGGAATCATGCAGGTGAATCTGAGATGCTCTCAGGGACAGTCTTTAAAGCCAGATAAAATTGAACCAGTTTTAACTGAAAGTTTTTTCAGCTGCTACATATTATGAAATTTGTGTTCTATTAAACTTCAGTTCTGGTCCATAGCCAAGGGAAAAATTAATCATTGACTCATTTTTTACACTGTTTTTAGTAAATGCCAAGGAGAGACTGTTACTACCAGGCTTATTTACTAGCAATCTAGCATTTTTCTAGGCATCTGCAATCAAGACTCACATCTTTAAAAATTCAACAAAGATACAATCAAATGCTTCTTGAATGGCTAAGGCAGTTTAACCACAGTACATAAATATTGAAAAGAGCTGAAAAGTCAGAGAGAAAATATCTTTCCTACTTACTTTCAGATGAACTCTTCAGGAACTCTGGGTAGCCTCTCCAAAGTTAATGAGTTTGGAGAATGTGTTGATCTGGTGGCTGGACTGAACGCGGGCCTAGTGCATGAAATTCACAGACACAAAATGAAAAATGCTCCCAAATGTGATCAAATGCTAAGGATTATCAAATTCTTTTAATTGAGACCTATGCCTTTGAAATTAGTAATTGAAAATTAATCTCTTAAAATCCTATACTTTTTTTTTTTTTTTTTTTTTGAGACAGGATCTCACTCTGTCACCCAGGCTGGAATAAAGTGGAGGGATGATGGCTCACTGTAGCCTCGACCTCCCAGGCTGAGGAAATCCTCCCATCTCAGCCCCTCACCTAGCTGGGTCTATAGGCAGAGGCCACCATGCCCAGCTAATTTTTAAATTTTTTGCAGAAATGGGGGTTTCACTATGTTGCCCAGGCTAGTCTCAAACTCCTGGCCTCAAGTGATCCTCTTGTCTCAGCCTCCCAAAGTGCTGGGATTACAGATGTATGACTATGCCTAGACTGTTTTTAATAGCAGTTTTTGAAAAGTCTGCTGACAATGTATTTGGATTGCATGAGCCTTAAAAAGATTAAACAAAGGTATTAATTACAGAACATTTAATCATTAAACCTCTCCATATACCAACCATCTTCTTGATATCCCTACAGTCATCTGTTTATACAGTATTTCTATGTTAACCTAGTAGTGATTACACATTTCTCAATTATGGGCCTGTGTATTTCACTAAATTTAATTTGTCATCATAATTAGGAATGTTTACACACAAGCAAGTTCTTACAGTTCATTTTACCATGACATAAGATGTCTTTTTGCTTGTGTTTGTGAATAATATGGGGTAAAAACTGTGGTACTATCAATTCTTGTTATTCACAGTAGTTTTGTTCTATAAAGATGCTGCCAACACCAAAGTAGCAAATACTGAACCACTGTTTCTGCAGGAAAGACAGAGTTAGATCCCTATAAGCCTCTGGTCACAACATTTTCATCAACCAATTAATACGTAAACTTGTCTTATGTGTGTTTCTTTTAGAGACACTTTATTTAACATGCTGTTGAATCTAACTTTGAAAGTCAAACAACACTGTAAGTCATGCCTGAAAACAACTTATCTAACACACATATTTTCTTTTAAGGCTTTCCATAGCCTTCTCATGTTAAGAAACACTAGGCAGCATAGCAACGCTATACTTGGAGGCCATTGAAAACAGTAAAATCAGCAAGAAATAGCACAAAAATGAGAAAATGTTGCACTAAATTCACCATGAAAAGGACGTTTGTTTATAGTATGAGCTGAAAGAAGACTGTTACCACGTTCAAGCCCAGCTAGGACATATGCATCAGGCAAATGAAACTTTTTTGCCACTCTGCACATGACCGCAAACGACCGTAAGTGCCACCAGCATTGATTTTGTGTTTACAAATACATTTTAATGAGTGGGCAAATTTGCAAATACAGAATCCATGAATAATGAGAATGTGCTGTATTTTTAAAAGCTGTTTAGGTTATCTAGCATTCTTAATAAAAATTTAATAACGTTGTGAACAGTGTATAATTTGGAACAGAAAAATTATCTGTCCTTCATCCCCTCTATAGAGATAGTAAATATAGTGCTAGATAAATTTTTGCTCTTTCATGAAATCTTTGATACTAAGACCAGTATATCTATATTCACATGATGGCATGTAGAAGCCTCATTAATAACAAATGTATTATCGACTCTCCTAGTTACCCTTATCTACTTAACCTGCTAAAACTACACTTATTAAATGTTTCTAAAGAAATATGAAGTTATAAGGCAAGAGTTATGATGGTCCTGTTTTCATTGAAACTGTGGAAAGTAACTTTTCTTACAGTAAATTTGACATTAGTTGTCCTTTCAAGAGAAAGACTAGGATCAATTAGTTCAGAGCCTTCAAAACACAACACAACTCCTTGTCAAAATGACCTCTTATTTGTTTAATATTTGACATTATAAGCTGACACATTTGTCTTTAATATTATATTTGCAAGCCTTGTTCCTATGATATTTTAGCAGAGTATCATATACACAGGTAAGATTAGTTTATGATTGTAAAATCTATGATTACTACACATCTCAGATGTTGAATTTTTCAGCGAGAAAAAAATTAGATTTTTCACTTTGACTTTCACTTTCCTCTTTCAATTGCACCTACATAACTGAACCACTCTCTTCTTCAGTGAATATAATTTGCTAGTAAAATATTCTAACCATGGTCTTGATTTTTCACTTAGATGTTTAATATCTTACAAAGGCATATGTGACTAAACCACTCAGTATAAAATATTACTGCTAGATATCGCTTCAAAATGATCAGACAGTAATTTGTGATATTGCTTTGAAATGATATTATTTCACCCAAAATGAAACAATTACTTTTCATTTCAATATAGTCACCATTGACAAGCTTGTTTCAGCAAAGTAAAATGTCAGGCTGACCCTCCACTGGACTTTGAGACTCTCAGAGAAAAGAAATGTAACTGGCTTCCATTTTAATTAGAAGGTCTACGCAAGAGAGCAAGGATATGCACTGGAAAGAGTTTTGAATGGACTCTTAGTTCAAAAATGTCTCAAAATGTATGTCAAAGTGCTACTCCAAATGTAGCCTACAATACTTTTTTTTTTTTTTTTTTGAGATGGAGTCTCACTCTGTCTTCCAGGCTGGAGTGCAGTGGCACGATCTCGGCTCACTGCAACCTCCACCTCCCAGGTTCAAGTGATTCTCCTGCCTCCGCCTCCTGAGTAGCTGGGATTACAGGCACCCGACACCATACCCAGCTAATTTTTGTATTTTTAGTGGAGGCAGGGTTTCACCATGTTGGTCAGGCTGGTCTCGTGCTCCTGACCTCAAGATCCACCCACCTCAGCCTCCCAAAGTGCTGGGATTACAGACGTGAGCCACTGTGCCTGGCTTACGAAGCTTATTTAATGTCACATTCACTTTATGATGTCGAACTTGAAATTATGTTGAGACGTTTTCACTAGTTTAGCAGTCATTTATTTTGAAAATTACTTAACAGCTGGCTTTCATCACAATTTTGCTTCAACTAAAAAGGCACTACAAGTTTTGTTTTTTTTTTTAACTTGGTGATAGGAAGTGGCATCATCCATTCCCCTCTGAGATATTCCAGAGTAGTGATAGATTTCTTATGTCCATATTGTAGCTTACAGAGCTTTCAGCCATAAAAGAGAATCTAAATGAATTACAGCATCAACAATCATGGTTTTGTCATTTGGGATTTTTTATAATTAGAAAGATATGTTTGCTGATAGGATGCTGACAGTATGTTGCAATTTTAAATCATTTTGTTCAATGTTTATTCTGTTACCACCTTTCAATATATTATGTAGATTTGACAAATCTCACCTTTCCTTTCTCTTTTGCAGATACATTGATTATTATAAAAATTCTATAATCATTATAGCTATCAAAAAAAGCAAATACATTGAAATGGCATCCAAGAGGCATGCAAAGTTTTAAAAATTATCTTCCCAGGTTTCACAATTAACAGAAAAGCAGACCCACCAGCTTTGTAACTTTGTAAAACTCAACAAGCCTGATTCTCTCTCTCCATGTCAATATGATGAGAGCATAATTACACTCCCCACAGAGAAACATCAATATCTGGCCTTTGGAAAGTCATGGAAGTGGTAGAAAGCAAACATCTGTTCACACATATCTCATTGCAGAATCTCCACAGCAGTTCTTCACAGCAAGAATTTTTTCCTTTATCCCTGAAATTGGGAGTAGCCAAACAATAGAGACAGGAAAAAGCCTGGGAAACCCTCTCTGGGCAGTCTGCAGGTTACTGATTTTCTGTGCAAGAAGGTATGTTGTCACTTGTTCATAAGCTCCATGAGACAAAATTCAAGCTGGACTGGAATGCAGCACCTTGTTATATGGTTCTTAGAATCCAAAAAGCCATACTTAACATAAAAATAACAGCAGAAAAATATCTTATACAAAACCATGAATTATAATATTTGTCTGTAAGGCAACCTGAGAGATCCTTGGACACGTATATTGCATTTTTCTTCTTTCATTGTCTCCACTAGTGGTGTTCAACAAGAGAGATTGAAAATGCTTATAGGACTAGTGAAAGTTCCTGTCTTTCATTGTATTCAACCTATTTAAGGACAGAGCTGGTACTCCTGGACTTTTACTAGACCAAGAACACTATTTTCTGAACTTACTCCTTCACTGTGTTTGATGTAGTTGGAATCTGTTTTACCTCAAAGATTATTTAACAGGTCCATCAAGTCATAGGCAAAGTGCCAGCTTCTGACTGAGTTTCTGCCTTTGAATTTTGGCTTGTATTCCAATCCTTCAGCGTTAGAGACATGGGAGAAAGTACCTCTGAACACTAACTTTCTTTAAAAAAACAAAGGCCATAAAATTCATAACAGAAACCATTGCCTCCTATTTACTTATTTGGTTAAGAATCACAGAAGTGGGCTTTGACAATGAGAACAAAATTAAGGAATCAAACAGCAAAAAAAGACCATGAGAATGAAAAATTTGAAATGTATGCATATACTTTGGATCATCTCAAGTGGTAACTATATAAGAACACATTTCATGAGGAAAATTTTCTAGGGGGAATGAATTTGTAGGACTTGACTACTTCCCAAGGCACTGTGATGATACATTATAGATTGAAAAGGACATAGAACTAAATGGAATTCATTTGTCTCAGTTTAGATAAGTTTTTCTTTCTCCTAATACATTGTCTTCCAAATTAGAAGTAAAATGTAATCAAAATCTACCTTCTTGGTGAAACATACTTTAGGTAGATGTTACACAGGTTCTTAACCAAGAATGTCACTCTTGTGACTGTTCTTTTCTTCTGATACTACCTGATCATTGGTCAGGTAAGTAAAGAGAAATGATAGGCCAAAATATGTTACTCAGAGAATAACACGATTCACAAATGTGCTTGCAGCTTTTTAGGTTTTTTGGTATGTAAGGAGTTATTACATATTTTTAGCAAATGTATTCTAATATGTAAGAGTTACTGTTCTGAGTCTCTCATTGTTTTGTCTTGATTTATTTAAGCACATATAGTTCCAATTTCTCAAAGTTGTTGGTAAGAAAGAAATTTAGAGGATCTTATAGAATTATGCTTAGGGATAATTTTAGTAAATGCTTATAAAATGGGTACCATGTGCCAACATTGTCCTAAGCAGCTTAATCTTCATAACAGCTTATGAAACAGTTACGTTGCTTTCCCAGGTCAACAAATGAGAAGCCTAAGACATAGTTCAAGTAACTTCCCAAATGTCACATACTCATTAGTGATGGAACCAGGATTTGTACACAAACACACTGAGAAATTTTGTTTTCACCAATATAGGACCAGAATCTTAATTATCTAGATGTTCACATCTAGAGTATATGTATAGAAATATCCAAAACTAGATTAAGTGACTCTTAATGGAGTTAGCATGGATCAGTGTCCTCAAATCAATTTATTCTTTGGTAGCTTTTTTCCTATGATTACAGCAAATTCATATAAGGGGGCTTGGGTGGTAAAACAGAAATTTTAAAGAGCATGGTAACTCTACTTAATAATTCTCTTTTTGCTAGTCTCTTTTTTTCTTCAGTTTAGCTTTCAACTAATATCAGAGTTGGCTACTTCAGATATTTCTTGATCATACTGTTACCTTTTTCAATCCTGCCAGTGCTCTCCATTTCAAACATAATACAATTTAACTATTTAGCTTGGGTGATGGTGTCTTCACAGCCTTGATCCTAAATTAAGCTCCTCCATCTTCTCTCTCTTCTCTCCACTCTATCCTCTACCCCTTTTTCTGCTTAGCAAATTCTACCTCATGCAAGGCCAAATGTAAATATTCTCTCTTCCTCCCTCCTCGACTCTTTGACACACACACACACACACACACACACACACACTTCTTCTCCTCTTACAATTACTTTTACAACTTTCAGCCTGCATTCCCATGGCACTTTAATTCTCCCTTTCTTATAACATATTGCTTTTGCTTGGAGTTATTTACTTATTTGTGTCTGTCCCCTTCACTGAGGGTGTGCTCAATGACGTCTAGGGCTGGACTATTTATCATTCTATACCTACCGCCAAGTACTTCATATATGAGATGTTTAATCAATGTAGTTGCATTAAGTCGAACTGAAATGAATTTAATTGAACTAAACATATATTATTCCAGGCACATGAGAGAATTAGAGACTATGCACATCTCTGATGCTTGAACAATTTCTACCAGAAGCTAATTTCAACTGTTTCATTTTTTTGCATCTTGCACAGTGCCTAGCAATGTTTGACATAAAGGTCGTGTCTAATACATTGCGAGTGATTGAGAGAATCTATCTCATTGACCTCAAGTCTGTGGAAGAGTCAAGAATCAAACCACTTTCTTAATTACAACATCCTCAAGACATCATCACATGGTGTTCACATGGATTTGGAGCCAGTCTCTTCCCCCTCTAACTACCTGTGTGACCTTGAGCAAGTAAAGCCAGTGCCTCACTTTTCTCATCTGTAGGATGAGAATAATATTAGTGTTGACTTCATAGAATTGCTGGGAGAACTAACTGAGTTGATATGTGTGGTGCTTAAAAGCCTGCTTGGCACATGGTCATCCTGGCAAAAGGCTGAACTAAGATTATTACTCAGTGTGAATTCTATTTTTATCTATACTTACTCTGTACCCACGGATGTTTGCTGCAAGGCTCTTTTCAAGAAATTGATGACGGTTTCCCATATGAGGAAATGCCAGAATAGCTGTAGCCATCCACATAGTGCTTTTCCTTCATAAGATTCAACAAAGTGTCAGGTATATATTCCCTAATCCCCTCAATGTCCCTGGACCATGCGTTTTATTTTCTTTGTTTTATGTAGTTTTGCATGCCTATTTACAGTGAAAAAAAAACCCACAGTGATGTTTACATAAAGACTATCATCTCCAATAATATGCCTGCCATGGAGATTCTGCTACTATCGATTCATCAGGCCTCATACACAAAGATATTCTGTTTCTCCAAATCAAATGCTATGTGATAATGATTTAAATATATGAGAAACAATGACAAATGGTAGAAGTTTAATGGAGCCATATTTAATAAATCAATGCTTATTTACCATTTATTATGAAAATATGTTCTAGAGTGGTAATATTTCATTTTTATCATTATTACTGTTTCCTTGTAATCAGATCTTTTCTGCATTGCTTTGTTTTTGAGATGAGGTCTAGCTCTGCCACCCAGACTGGAGTGCAGTGGAACAATCATAGCTCACTGCAGCCTCGACTTTCTGGGCTCAAGGGATCCTCCCACCTCAGCCTATAGCTGAAACTACAGGCTCCTGACCACACCTGGCTATTTTTCATTTTTTCACATTTTTTTTTGTAGAGACAGGACTCTTCCTATGTTACCCAGACTGGTCTTGAACTCCTGGCCTTAAGCAATTCTCAGACTCTCACAGTGCTGAGATTACAGGAATGATCCACCACACCCGGACCTTGTAATGAGGTCGTAAACTATTGAACTTTTCCTGAAGAAAAGTAGTTTCCACATCTTGTATTTTCAAAACATTTCTATTAGACACAGATAGTAGTTACCCACAGTTCTCCTTCTCACTTCACTTTTGCTTGTTAGAACTTTTTTGAATTTTCTTTCATTTCCTGGCCCCATTGTTTTATTTTCCTGATGAAGTAAGATTTTACTGCGGCATTATTCACAATAGCAAAGACTTGGAACCAACCCAAATGTCCAACAATGATAGACTGGATTAAGAAAATGTGGCACATATACACCATGGAATACTATGCAGCCAGAAAAAATGATGAGTTCATGTCCTTTGTAGGGACATGGATGAAATTGGAAATCATCATTCTCAGTAAACTATCGCAAGGACAAAAAACCAAACACCGCATATTCTCACTCATAGGTGGGAATTGAACAATGAGATCACATGGACACAGGAAGGGGAACATCACACTCTGGGGACTGTTGTGGGGTAGGGGGAGGGGGGACGGATAGCATTGGGAGATATACCTAATGCTAGATGACGAGTTAGTGGGTGCAGCACACCAGCATGGCACATGTATACGTATGTAACTAACCTGCACATTGTGCACATGTACCCTAAAACTTAAAGTATAATAATAAATAAATAAATAAATAAAAATAGTGAGACCCCATCTCTAAAAATTGAAAAAATAAATGTTTAAAAAATAAAAAAATAAAAATAAAAAAATTTAAAAAAAGATTTTCATTATAGTTTTTGGATAGACACTGGTGACATAAAATCAAACCCGAAGATTCATCACATACCCAAACAAATCTGACTTCCTCAACTTTCTCTCTTAGCTTCTGCATAAAAATCAGCTTTGGATTTATTTCTTATTTGCAAGCACTCAATGCAAACAGTCATTGTAGATTAACACAACAATGCACTTGAGATGTTTGTATTAATTACAGCTTTTACTTTTATAATTTATTTGAAACATAATTATCTTATAATAGTTTTCAGATTGTTCTAGTATTTTAAGTTTCGTGGCATTAATTCATCTGGTACTGTGTCTGCTGACTCTTGCTCATGGTGATTTTCTTGTGAGGTTTGCAATCTATTAGTGTGGGCTCATGATCACCTTGGTTTATAAAATCCTGTTGGAGTCCAAAATGGTCTGAGTTATGAAATAATGGTTTGGGGCTTGGTTTTGCTGGGGAATTTCAGTGATGTGGGACTGGGTTGTAAGGTTGATTTTTCAGATCATGTTACCTATCCCACCCAGGTGGTATAAATGTAGAGCCTACATCAGCAAGTGATTCAGATCTACAGCTTTAATTTCTCAGAATGTTTGGTTATTCCAACACAGTCCCAGATAAATCGTAAGTTTGTTTACATTTTCTTGGCTTAATTGTTTGGGATTGTCTTCCAAGCTATGAGGTCTGGAAATCCTTAGAGATTTTGTGTTTTATGAAAGACTCTCAGATTACACTTCCCTTCTTTATAGGTGTTTGTAACCATTTCTCCAGTAACTAGGTCATATGTCCTTTCTGAAACCCATGTGAAATGCCTTGGTATTAGTTTTCCATGACCTCTCATTTTGATTCCCTTCTTACTACTTCTTATAACACTTGGGGATTCAGTAGTCTAATAATTTTATTCTCATATAAACAAACATGCTATAACCTCACTAACATTAAACAGCTTATCTACTTCTTTATGTTTATTTTCTTATAACACCTGGGGATTTTCCTGTCTTTTAATTTTATCTATGCTTTAAAATCAATCATTATATTTAATCTAATATTTTAAGGTGGTTTTTAGTCTGTTCACATTTGCTTATTCTACCGTGTGTCCAAAAGCCTCCTTGCTGTTTTTTTGTTTTTTGTTTTTTGGTGTTTTTTTGTTGGTTTTTTTTGTTTGTTTTTTTGACATTCTATAGGCTTTCCTACTAACTGCTAGTTATAGTTAGTGGGAAACTTCCTCCCTCTCCATCTGAGCCTTGTCCAGCCTTTTGTACCATGTCTCATTTTTTTTCCACAACCAAATTTTATACCATGACATCCAAGGGATTCCCAGAATAAGACATAGGCTTCATTGTAGCTCAAACTCTGAGTCAAATCCTTTTACAGATCTCTTCTCCCTTGGTTAAATGTCATGAGTTCAACCATCTTCAGTCAATAATAACCCCATATCCCAACAAGATGTCTATAAAATTGAAAGAACCACAGCAAAGACACCTAGAGAACTAATAACTTGGTAGAGTTTGGGGAGGAAGGAGAATGGGTGGCAATTCCAGGGAAGCATGCAATGATGTCAACATTTCCACAGTAGATTAAAGGACATGGAACAACTTTCCCATCAGAAAAGGAGTTCCCAGCAATGACTACTAATGAGTGAGATGCAAAAATGCTTACTCTTTTTTTTAATGTGGTTGGTGCCTCACTCAGAGATACATTTGTCACCTAATTATAGGCATCATTTATCCAAAGATCAACAAAGATGAAGCAACAACTAACCAGATATAATTCTTCATAGATTCTATTTTTAAATATGAACAAAAAAGTAGATAACCTGTTTAATTTTAGCCAGATTATAACATGTTTGTTTATATAAGAATGGCATTATTTGACTACTCATAGGTAAGCTATTGTGAAGAGCATCACATCTGTATTCTTATCATCAATCTACGTGGAACATTAAAGCCTCTGGTAGAAAAAGTATAAGTGCATTCTTGACAAAGGAATAGTTACCACGTAAGATGACCTTGTAGAACTCCCCCTTAAACCAATCTTTTGTGATCTTGTATTTAGTTCATAGTTCAGAGCCCTGGGAATTAGTACTGCAACTGGGGGGACAGGAGGTGGCTAAAAGAGGCAGGGTTTCTAAATTACGTACAGTGATCCTCACCCCTTGGAGCTTCTGTATTTGTGAATTCACTTACTTAAAAAATCTATTTGTAATCCCAAAATGGATACTCACAGCACTCTCATAGTCATTCACAGGTATACACAGAGTAGCAAAAAGTTTGAGTTGCCTGTTAAGCACATTCCTGGCTGAGGCTGAACAAGGCAATGCTCTGCCTTATTGTTTCAGCCCATACTGTGAACAAATGTCCTTTTTGTGGTGCATTTCATGCCACATTGTTTACATTTTTGTGCTTTATCTTGGTGATTTTACTGTTTAAAATGGCGCCCACGCTTAGTGCTGCAGTGCTTAGTGTTCCTAAGTGCAAGAGGCTGTGACGTGCCTTACACAGAGATTATGTATGTTACCTAAAATTCATTTAGGCTTGAGTCCTACTGCTGTTGGCCGTGAGTTCAGTATTAATGAACAAACAATACGGTAGATCCAGAAAAAGGAAGCAGAAATTTGCCAATTTTTATGTAAGGCTGCCTTGGAAAATGCTAAGTTAGCATCTATAGTACTTATAAAGGTATAAAATCAGTGTGAAGGGGCTAAATTTGTGGATTCATGAGATGACAACAAACAACAACAACAAAGTGAAGTAGACAGAGTTATTTTGAAGCTGAAAGCCAAAGAAATTTACAGTCACATTTCCCAGGGTTAGAAAAGGTCAAACCTTTTTTAGCTAGTGCTAACTGCTCTGCATTTTCAATAGGTGATAAGGCATGAAAAATGCTAAACATGCAGGCAAGGCAAGTTCTGTACAGGAAAATTTTTAAAGTACCTGCTAAGTGTTATACAGGAAAGGAGTTATGTGGAAGAGCACATTTTCAACACTGATGAAACTGAGTTGGCTTGCTTTACAAGTATGTTGGCAAACATACCTGTATAATACAAATAGCCTCCAAAGCTCTTGGCTTTAAATCATTCAAAGACCATGAAATTAATTATTTGTAAGATGTATATACTAACAAAGTTGCCTTTAAACAGAAACACACATGAAACAAGATTATGTGTTGATAGATTGATAAAATATAACCAAAGGTTTGCAGGAGCCTAACTCAGTATTTCCACTAGGAGCAATGATTTAGTATTTGCTAATTCAGCATTTACAGCAATTTTATAGAATACAACTACTGGGAATATTGAGAACGTTCTGTAATGCAGATATTTAATCTGGAACTATCATAACCCAGGGGTAGAGAGAAGAGTTTTTGTAATAATAAATGGAAATAACGTATTTGAGTGTTACAATCAAACCTCAACACTTAACTACCAGGTAGCTGGAGACCACGCTATCTACTTGTTCAAAGCAATAAGACGATTTTTCTAAGAGGAATTGGTCATGTATTCAACTTGGCATCTGGTATCTGGCACTCCACTGTGTCTCATTCCAACAATATCATGTACTTAATAAGCTATTTAGATTATTTAATAACTGTATTTTATTTAGGTTTCTATCCTAGTGGCTGTGGAATTTTATTTTACTTATATTCTTTATGTCTGTTTTTCATAATGAACTATAAGCTACTCAAGGGCAGGATCCATATATTACCTATTTTAGTACCCATGATGCCTAACATATCATATTGTACATAGCAAATGTTAAACAATTTTTTTTTAGATGAAGTCTCACTCTGTTGCCCAGGCTGGAGTGAAGTGGCGCCATCTCAGCTCACTGCAACCTCCACCTCCTGGGTTCAAGCAATTCTCCTGCCTCAGCCTCCCAAGTAGCTGGGATTATAGGAGCATGCCACCACACCTGGCTAATTTTTGTATTTTTAGTAGAGACAGGGTTTTGCCATGTTGGCCAGGCTGGTCTCGAACTCCTGACCTCAGATGATCCACCTGCCTCGGCCTCTCAAAGTACTGGGATTACAGGTGTGACCCACTGCGCCTAGCCCAAACAATTTTTTGTTGAATGAAATTAATGAAAAAGAATAAAAATATAATCCATAATCTCAGGAAATAATAATAATTTTTTAAGTCATGGTCAAAGCTCACATTAAATTTCCTTGTAATTTCCCAGAAATGTAATTCAGAATGATACTACTATGTGCATTTGTTAAATTATTTTAGTTATATAAATAATACATGGATGCATAATTGTGGTGGAAAATCTAGACGTTAGAATAGTGTATAAACATTAGAAATAGTGTATAGCCATCTGCCAACCTGCTGATCTCATACTATTCCCCTCCCTGAACATTTTTAGATAAATAGATGGTAAATATAACCAGAGCTAGGAGAATAGTACAAACAAAACATGCACACACAGAGTTTTTTTGGATTTTTAAAAAAATATTTATGATGTGATCCAAATACTGATTTAGGAAGTATCAACTATCTGAAAATATAGTTTTATTTTGAACCACATCCCACAAGATAACCCACATATGTATTCCTTCTATGCTGTCCACTCTGATGGCAATCTTTCCAAACTAAAATGTGTTTGATATTAATTTTTTTTCAATCAGTGAAGACATTACTACAACTATATTTACATGACCTTTGCATTCTCCATTTCCTATGAAAGTTCTGGGGAATTCATGAACCTGCCATCTCAGTGCACTCTAAAGTATTTGTTCCAAAGCAAATGTAATTTTATAAGTTCAAGAAATCTCCAAGTTGAAATAAAAGGTAGATACTTATCACAACTCGGAAGCTGTCAATAGAGTGCATCCAGAGGTTAAAGAGGCTTACAAAAACCCTGGGGAACGTTCATATGGTAAGAATTCCACATCACTGGCAAGCTGAAAGGAGCAGCTTATAGTTGATTTCACAACTTGGATGGATACAAAGCAGTAAAAAGATCATCTGAATTACAGAACTGATGCCAACAAAAGGAAGTCACCATTTTATTAAACACAAGAACCACACAGAAACAAGGAAACATCTCATGATGACTTTACATCTGCTCAAGAAGTCAAGCACAACATCGATTGCTTATTAGTAACAGCAAAATAAATACACACTACTCTAATTTCCATAAAGACATGTTTAAGAGCAACTGTTTGCCATTTTAATTTATTGATCCCCTCCCTTTAATGAACTTTAAAAACTTTATAACCTCAACACTTTTCTATTGCATTCATTATTATAAAGAAAAACAAAGAAACTTTAAACTAGGCCACTTGGCCTTTTACATTGTTTCTTCCTAGCTCAAAACATTTTCATCTCCTAATGGCCAACATCCTCTTAGATCAGAGGCAGACTGAATGCGTGTAAGCCTCAAGATGATTTTCTGTGTGGTTTTAGCTTTCTTCCAGAAATTTAATGATTATATGCCCACTGTAGGAAGCTACTTTCAATCAATGATCCCTCTTTCTCATGAGTCTAAAGTGGAGTTATCTTGAAAATTGGTAGGTTTGAGAAATATTCACCATTTTTGTGGCATTAATCTCTGTATACAAAGAAAAAAACTGTTAATGTGATTTTTTAACAAAGCCCATTGAGCACCAACTCTGTTATGAGAACATAGTAGATAAATAATATAAGCCCAAAGTAGGGAAGACAGTTCCTTCTACCAAAATGGCTTCTGATATAGAGCTGTAACTATACTGGGTGGCACTTAGTAAAATAAGTAATTTAGAGAATAAGAGCCACCAGGTATTTGGAAGACAGATCATGAAGAAATTACAATTTCAGGAATCCTTGTATAAAAAGGAAGAATTACATTTTGCCTTGAAAGAATATTAGAAATAAAACTTATGGAGATAAGTTGGGTGAAAGGCATTGGAAGCCTTGTGAGCCAGCATTTGGGGAAACAAGGGTATCATGCACACTGAGATTGATGAACAGTATTCTTGCCAGAGAGGAGTTGGTGGAAAGAAGAGAAATGGAAATACGGTACATGTAGGAAGAAGGTTGATTGAGGGCCTTGAATGTCAAGTGCCAGAAAACTATAAAAGATAGATGAGATAGATAGGTAGATGGATAGATAGATAGATACATACATACATACATACATACATACATAACAGATACATACATACATACATAGATCATACATACATACATAAATGATAGATACATACATACATGCATACATAACAGATATATACATACATAGATAACACATACATACATACATACATACATACATAGATAATAGATAAAAGATTCACTTGGTCATTTATTCACTATACCCAACAAAATATTTTCAAATGTTTAGCAGGTTGGCTTTGTGTAGGTAAAGCTGTCTCACTAGAATTGAATAAAATAGGAGAAAACTAAACAGGAAGGGCCAAAACAACAAGTAGAAAAACTATGTATGTAAGAAAAAACAAACAAAAACAAAAGTCTGAAGATTTCATTGTTTATGGCAGTGAACAAACAAATATTGATTCAGACTTAAGAATGTGAGCACAAAATCTGAGCAGTCAGGTTGTGGGCTCATGAATCCAGGCCAAGGGAACGAAGGATTAGACTCTCTACAAGAATTTGAGCCCTGAATGATCAGGACATTAGGCCAAAAAGTGTGACAAGATATCAGAATTGAGGTATGAAGCATGAGTGGTGAATAGTAAATAGCAGGAGGTGTTGTCACTGGTAGAGGGTCGTGACTGCAAGCTGTCCAGGTTCTTGGCGTTTTGAACTAAGAATTGGACAAAACGCCCAACAAAGCAAGTAAAGAATGAAGCAACAAAAGATCGAAAGCAGGGATTTATTGAAAATGGAAGTATACTCCACAGTGTGGGAACAGGCCCAAGCAGCAGCTCAAGGGCAGGATACAGAATCTTCCTGGGCCAAAATACCTCCCATAAGTTTCCCATTGGCCACTTCACGCTCACTTTATGTAAATGAAGTTGTAGCCCACAATCAGTCTGATTGGTTGTAGAAAGCAGCCAACCAGAGGCTGAAGTGAGGTTACAGAGGTCGCACTCCTGTGCAAACATCTGATTGGTTGCAAAAAGCAACCAATCAGAGGCTAGGGTGAAGTTACAAAGTTATACTTCTATGCAAATGAAGATTCCACCCGCAATTAGTCCGATTTGTTGCGGACTGCCAATTTCTCAACTGCGCGCAGAAAAGGTGGGGGATTTGCAAAGGGAGTAGCCTCTGGTCCTTTTGTTACTTAGGCGTGGAAAGTCAGGGTTTTCCTTTCAATTTAGTTCTAGGAAGTCAGCGTGAAACAGCCTTAGGTTCCCTCTCTGCAGACCCTATTCTCCTGCCTCAGTGTAAGTGCCCTTATGAGCAAAACTCCTACAGTAGCTCAGAAATGGTCCCGGAGGGCCCTATGCAGCCTCTGACAGTGGTCAGGCCTGAGCCTCCACTTATAGGAAATGAGGAACCCCTGGATGGGAGAACAGATTTAGCAAACAGAGAGCAAAGTGGTTTCCAACCCCAAACGTCCAGACATCTGATGGAATTCTTTGCTATGAATCCAGATAGTCTGATGTCATGCAGACACACTCACACTTAGAACAAATGTCAGCTATGGGACTCTTGGGCAATTGTCCTCTTGACAAAAATATTTCCCAGCCCCATTCTGAGACTCAAGTACACATTTCACAATTCCCACGGCCTTCCCTGAGAAATGTACTCCCTTTACTCAGAGCTAAAGTTTCCCCATGTAATAGATCTACAAAGACTTCTAATTTGCTTAGCAAATTGCTACAAGGCTTTGCACAAATTTTTTCCCTACCCCATATTTACTGCCAAGAAAATATTTTTAGAAATGTTGTAGATAAATTTTGTATGGCTCTTTCAAAATGACCAGGTAAAATATCACATTACAATAGTATTTTCAAAAATTATGTACCCACCACATAAAGATTCATAGATATTTTCAGAAAGAAAGAAAATGTCTTCAGTTAGTAGAGGAGTGTGTACTACTAAGTCTATTTTAAGTAAATGTGAGAGTGCAATGGAAAAAGAAAGAGACCAAAGGAGTATTTTGGGAGTCAAGGGACTCAGGGACTGTGTCTCTAAAACTGGAAATGTTTCACAGATCAAGAAACTTTAATCTGCTTGTGGGTTTATGAACCTAGATATACATTTTAAGTTCCCTCTAACACACATTTTTCATAACTTCTGTCTCAGGGCACAGAAGTAGAGGATACTTTCAATTACTTAAAATTATAGCAAAGATATCATTAAATTTTTATGCTAGCATTTGCTTACTACTTATTTTAAACAGGAAGTTAACTTTGTATCTAAAGAGCAAGACTATTGCCTATTGTGTCAAATTTCTGTGTTGCACTAAGAGAGATGTTATAAACCTCATTCTAAACACAAGCGATGTGCTAAACTACCAATGTCCTTTTTTGATTTCACAAGCACAATTTAGAGACAACATCAGTCATTTGAGTCCTGGCCAAATAATTTTAAGTTCCCAGAATTTGAAAGGATCACCCGGAACTTTTAGTAAAATAAGTCAACAAAGTTATGTGTAAGGCCAGCACAACAAATAGGCTCACTTTATTGTGAATCTCATGAAGCAAAGGAAATATATTCTTTCTGTCAAACTTCACCATTGGGTTCAGGCAGCCTCACATTGTTGTTGCACAAGCACAACTGAGCAGCAGGGTATGAGAGAATATGGTGCCAACAGAAAGAGTGTGTGATACATGGAGCCCGGGGAGCACATGTCCTTCTAGTATCTGCAGAACTTTGGCCAAATCGCCTGCACTCACTGCACTGCTGTCTCCTCATTTGGAAATGAGATATGAGGACTGTATACTTTCTAAGATCCCCTTCAGTTTTAAAACCCTATTAGACCATAAAACCTGCAAGTAAGCGACCAAACTTCAAGGGGCAGGCTCCATCTTGTCAACAAGACTTACTCAGAACTGAGAACAGCCTCTTACAATGGCCAGCTGAAAGGAGGACAGGAGAGAAGGAAGAACAGAAACATTTATCAAGTACCTTCTAAGTCTGTGGCCAAGAACTGGCTACACATTTATTATAAACATTACATTGTGTTTCATCCTCACAACAACCTGTGTTTGTTCTCTTTTGATTGTGATCTTATACCTACTTCAAGTTGGGTAAACTGGGCAGAGGGAGGCCAATAAATGACCTGAGACTACAGAGTAAAAAGCAAAATGTGATTTGAATAATGATACAAATGGCTTTATGGTCCTCTTTACTGTCCAGGCCACTGACAGATATGTTCAGCATTGTACATATGTAGCTCCAGGGTATTTCATTTGAGGGATAAACACATAAACACATCCACTGGAAAGAATAAACTACAGTGAGCTGAGAAAATCGATGTGATTTTCAGCTGTATGCTAAACTTTTGCTCTCTGTTGGATCCCCTCTGAAACCACAGTAAATCAGTCATCTGGCATCCTTTGAAGGTCTTGCATGGGTCAGCAGGGGCTCCTGTTTCTGGCACACAACAACGAGGGCTGCTCTGCAGTGGCCTCAGAGCTGCTGTTGTAGCTCTGGGTGTCACCGTGCCAGCACGGGTTCCCTTTATCTCTTTTGCAACTTTATATGTTCCCAAATCATACTGTGTTTCATAAGCTTTGACCTACAGTTGGGAAGAAAGAGGAGGAGGTGGAGATAATGACCTACAGGGCTTTGTTTTGAAATGCTCCCTGCAATTTGTCCTGAGCCAGATCTGATCTTGGATATCAGAAGATTCCAAATCTGATCTTGGATATCTCAGAAATCATTACCATTTAGTGGATATTACAGCCTCCTCACAGTGTGTTTTATACATTTTTGGTGGGATTACAAACTCATTTGAGAATTATAGAAATACTACAAAATGCCCATATGTGTATAGTGTCAAAACTGTGCATATGTTAGATCAGTTTTAGCAGACTGATACCTTAACAGACCTAAGATATTGCCAAAACAATCCTAGAAGTTGCTTTTGTTGCTGTTTACAAAGGTCACATTTAAGCCTAGAATTTTCTCCTTAACATAAAATCTAACCCCAAGCCACTGACCATTATCTCTCAGCCAGGACTCAAGCAACTAAATGTCTCCTTGTAAATTTGTTTGAGTTCATTGTAGATTCTGGATATTAGCCCTTTGTCAGATGAGTAGGTTGCAAAAATTTTCTCCCATTTTGTAGGTTGTCTGTTCACTCTGATGGTAGTTTCTTTTGCTGCGCAGAAGCTCTTTAGTTTAATTAGATCCCATTTGTCAGTTTTGGCTTTTGTTGCCATTGCTTTTGGTGTTTTAGACATGAAGTCCTTGCCATCAAAAAGTGGGCGAAGGACATGAACAGACACTTCTCAAAAGAAGACATTTATGCAGCCAAAAAACACATGAAAAAATGCTCACCATCACTGGCCATCAGAGAAATGCAAATCAAAACCACAATGAGATACCATCTCACACCAGTTAGAATGGCAATCATTAAAAAGTCAGGAAACAACAGGTGCTGGAGAGGATGTGGAGAAATAGGAACACTTTTACACTGTTGGTGGGACTGTAAACTAGTTCAACCATTGTGGAAGTCAGTGTGGCGATTCCTCAGGGATCTAGAACTAGAAATACCATTTGACCCAGCCATCCCATTACTGGGTATATACCCAAAGGACTATAAATCATGCTGCTATAAAGACACATGCACACGTATGTTTATTGCAGCACTATTCACAATAGCAAAGACTTGGAACCAACCCAAATGTCCAACAATGATAGACTGGATTAAGAAAATGTGGCACATATACACCATGGAATACTATGCAGCCATAAAAAATGATGAATTTATGTCCTTTGTAGGGACATGGATGAAATTGGAAATCATCATTCTCAGTAAACTGTCACAAGAACAAAAAACCAAACACTGCATATACTCACTCATAGGTGGGAATTGAATAATGAGAACACATGGACACAGGAAGGGGAACATCACACTCTGGGGCCTGTTGTGGGGTGGGGAGAGCGGGGAGGGATAGCTTTAGGAGAGATACCTAATGCTAGATGACGAGTCAGTGGGTGCAGCGCACCAGCATGGCACATGTATACATATGTAACTAACCTGCACATTGTGCACATGTACCCTAAATCTTAAAGTATAATAATAAAATAAATAAATAAATAAATAAATAAATAAATAAATAAATGTCTCCTAATTGGTCTCTGATTAGGTTCTATTCTCCACAACAGCAACCAGAGTAGAATTTGTAAAACCTAAACCAGATAACATCCATCTTATGTGCACAGCTCTCTAAGGGCTTCCCAACATATTTAGAATAAAATCCAGACTCCCTACCCAAGCCTACAAGTCAGCCTTCACCCACCTCCTCAACCCCATTTCTGCCTCTTCTGCCCATTCATCAGTGGTTTTCTTAGGTATCCTTGAATGGGCTGTTTATTCCCTTCTTTAGATCTTTGTGACTGATGTCCCCTCTACCTATTCCCTCCTCCCTTGATAGTCACATGGCACAGTCCTTTACCTTATTCAGGTCTCTACATAAACTTCATCTACTCAGAGAGAGTTCTATATTGAAAATAACAGCATTCTTCCAAGCTACCTTTCACTGGCTATCATCTTTTCCCAGCTTTATTTTTACTGAGCATTATATTACTTATTGTGTATATGTTAATAATATATACCCCTACAATAAAAGGTAAGCTCTGTAAGGATAGGAATGTGTCTGTCTTGTTAATAAGTAATCCCCAGCACCCTAGTTTTTTACCCCACTTATTAAATAAATGAATGGATATAAAAGGCATTTTTAACATATGTTCAGCATAATATCTACCATGACCAACCCTAGATAAATATAGTTGTACCTTGGTATCCATGGGGATTGGTTCCAGGACCCCCCATAAAGAGCAAAATCCATGGATGTTCAAATTCTTTCTATAAAATGGTGTAGTATTTGCTTATAACCTACACACATCCTCTTGTATACTTTGAATCATCTCTAGATTACTTATAATACATAATACTATGTAGATGTCACGCAAATAGCTGTTATACTGTATTTTTTAATTTTTGCTATGTTTTGCTGTAGTGTTTTTCTTTATTAGGTTTTAATTTTCAATGTTTTCCATTCATGGTTGGTTGAAGCTACAGATGCAGAACTCATGGGCCTACTGTATTAGTCTCCTTGGCATTCCTTTCCCTCTTTAAACCATGTAATTCAGCTTTAAAAAAATTGTAACTACTTATTGCCAGCTAAAATGAACTCAGAATCAGTTACACTGAAAACATAAGTTTCCAAGTAATATGAGTGTTTGCAAAAAGAAAACTAATTTATGGGGTTCTACTTCTATAATTATTCTTCTTCTGTATTGGCCCATATGCTTCTGAAAGGCAATAGAATGTGGAGTATGCCCAGAGTTACAGTGACAAAAAAGACAGGACCCCCAGTAAGTCATTGTTGTGATTATAAGTGAAGTCACTCCTGCTCAGCCCTTGAATTTCCAGACCTTTCTTTTGAGGGTACAGCATCATATAGGGGTCTCCAACTTAATAAATACACTATGTCTTGTAGAATGATAGACACACCATCCATTCAGAGTTTCCTGCATGCTGGCATTTAAATAGTCTAGAAGACTATTTAAGCATTCTTCAAGGCTGGTTGTCTCTAGGTAATGCAGTACCTCATATGATGAGTGGATCAATGGTCATAGGTCCACTCTGCACCCCCTTCACTGTTAAAAAGGGCTTCTTGTTGAATGCTATCCTGCGTGGAATTCCATGTCTGTGTATCCGACATTCCACAAGTTCCTAGGTAATAATGCTAGTTGAGGCTCCATAGGTAGGAAAGGCAAATCCATACCCAGAATAAGTTTCTATCCTTGCAATGACAAACTGCTGGCCCTTGCAAGACAGAAGAGGCCCAATGTATTTGACTTCCACAGAGTATCTGGTTGGCCTTAAGTAATAGTGCCATATCTTGGGCTCAGTGTTGGTCCCTGTTGCTAACTTTCAGAGGCAGCCAGAGCAGACTTGGGAAGTGGAAGTCATATTGTTTGGTTCACATGTGGCCTTTATCGCTACCATCATGACAACTCCATTCATGTGTCTCTCATTCCAGTTCTGGAGTAGTCAATGACAGAGGCTGGATAATGTCAACTGGCTGAGTCATCTTGTCTGCTTGGTTCATCAGTGTCTCTTCTTTGGGGACACTTTGGGGACTTTCCAGTGGGAACCAATGGGTAGTCATAAGTTCCCACATTGTGTGCCATTTCTATTTCCCCATTCACATATTTGTACACCAGACCTTCTTTTCCTTTTCAGGCACCTGAGCAGAAGGTCTGGCCACTGGCCACCGCCCAAGATCCTGTATATATTCTCACCTTTATTTCAATAAAAATTATTTAAGTAAACAAATATTTAGATTACAGACCCCTCTTTTTAGTTTTCATAAAAATTGCTTCAACAGTTAATCAATATATATATTCATGTAAACTCATGTGAGTTTATCTACAGGCAGAATCCTAAAAGTGAATTTACTGATCAATATGAAGTTTGAAATTCCAAAATTAAACATTAAGTTGCCTTCCAAAACAGTTATGCCAATATCTACTCCTACCCACACACTAACATTGAATATTATCAATCATCTTAACTTTTTGCTTATCTTACAGGCAAAAACTGGAGTCTTGCTGCTTATAGGTATACAATATACTTTGATGATCACTAGGATATTTTCATATGACTATTCGAAATTCATATTGCTTCATCTGTCAACTCCATGTTCAATGTCTGTGTGCATTTACGTACTATGTTCTTTTTCTTATGAACAGTAGAAACTCTTTCCATATTAGAAATATTTACCTTTTGTCTCATGAGAAAACCTGGTTTGTAACACTTAAGTTGTTATAGCAAAGAGAAAATTTAGCTTTTTGTCACAGTGGCAGAAGGGCATGTGGCTGGATCCTGGAAAAGTAGTATCAAATTATTAAGGAAATGTAAAAGGTAACAGTGGAAGGTAAGGAAAAGTGGTTTAGGAATAAATTGTAGCCTTGCTTTATTTTGTTTGGGACTACAACCTTATCTTCTTAGAGTCAGTTGCCACTTGATTCCTTCAGTAATACTGAAAGGAGATCTAGCAAAACTTTAAAAGGCAGGGGTTGTATATTAGGCTTGAACAATTACTCAGCTCATCTTCATCTATTGCTCAATAGCCAGTAACAGATAAGTAAAAGTTATTCACATTTTCTATCTTTTGGTTATTCTTCCACCATTTTCCCAAAGTTTCTCACTAATTATTTCTTTTCCTATAGTCACTCTACCATAACTATTAGTTTTATGTGTATACATTTACAACCATAGAGCACAAAAATCTTTCAAAAAGTGCTGAAGATCAAAAGAATTTAATTTAATGACACTATGATTCTGTTTGATGGAGGTAAGAGGAAGCTGACAATATCTTTATGTTTTCCTACCCCTTCTGTTTTTCAGATTCAGTGCATAGCAAATCTCCCTTAAGTAATAGGGATTTTTAATGTGCTCAAGAGACTGGAATGCCTATTTTAAGGTCTAATTTTCTATTTTCTATCATGTTCCTTCCAACACTTCCAATCTCAAACACAAAGCCTTCAAATGTCTGACTTGATTTTCTATTTTTCATTTTGATTTTTTTATCATATAGAAGAAATACCCATTAGACTTCATAGAAATATTTATTGTTGTTAGCCATGATTCACAGATTCTAAGATAGACATCATTTCACATGTTAATCTCTCTGAAATTAAACAGGAGAAGGTCTTACAGCTGATAGCATGTCATAGTTTAAATGGCAGTGTGTTATGTATTTATTGTTAATGTTACATAAAATAGTGCACATTACAACTAATACATCTTAAATTTGATGAGATTCAATAATAGCACACTTTATAAAACCACTGAACTTTTGTTCAAGTTCAGCCTTTCCTGTCTAACTTTTGCTCTAGTGATTCGATTTTTGGCACTAAAACAGAAATTTTGAGTCTCTCTAGCAATCAAATCAGAGGAGCTTAGCTGTTGAAGTTTCTTTGTGTGGCTGTAAAATGCCTGCCTGAAATGTGTGAACAATTACAGTGATGTGATTGTTGGAGCCAGTTATTCGTTTGCGACTTGGGAAAGTATTATTAAAATAATGATAATATTTTTCCCCTTAAAACTTAGAGTTCTTTAATCCAAATAATCCCTTGAATGTTTTACAGACTCTACAGATTAGAATTACATCTGCTCCTAATGAAACCCATTTACTTTCAGGGAAAAGCCTGGTGACTATTTGTGATAACCAAAGGCAATGCTATATAGTAAGAATGAGTATGAAATAAGAGTTCATTCTGAGCCATGCAATAAGGAAAACTGGGAAGGAAGTGTATGTTTGTTATTAGAACTTCACCAGGACAGCATGGCAGACTTTGAATCTTAACTACTAACTCTGACTTTTTGCAAAAGTGAGCCCTCTGCTTTGAATACTCCGTATTTTCTTCTTTTTATTTTACCTCTTTTGCTTGTTAATTACTAGCATTTGTCTCAGTTTTACTATGATTTCTTCTGGGCAACCTCTCTCAATATACCCAAATAGGTCAGGTGCACCCAATTTAACACTACCTGGCCCCTATACTTAATCCTTAGCACGCTGAATTACAATTGTGTATATAGTGGTCTATGTTCCCCACTAGACTACATCCTTTTTGAAGACAAGGAAGATCGTGCACCATTGTATATCAATTGTTCAGCACAGAACTGACCCACATAGATGCTAAATGACTAGTTCTTGAATGAGTGAATAAATTTATGACTAGCCATCTGGTCTAAAATTACTTTCAGAAAACAAAGAAGCAAACAAACCCACAACTAATTATTCTGACAATCTCAGATTCCTGAAGCTATAGCCACATAAGTGAAGCCGAGGAAAGAAGACCAAATCAGCTTGTGAGGTATCTTAACCTAAGCTCAGTGATCTTACCTCAGGGACAGAAAGTAACTGACTGCCTCAATTCACTCTCAAATGTTTTTCAAACCTTGAGCAAATGTTTGGTTTTTTAATTATCTTCACAAATAAACAGTAATTACATTGCCCAAGTATGATGTGCACTATTTTATCTGCTATTTATTCTGCTACAAAACTCATCCCAAGGAAAATCCTATAAAGACAACTTTCCATTGCCTATGCTCTTGCCTAGTACTGTAATTGAGAGTATGTAGGTACAGCAGATATAGAAGAAGCAGCCAAGCCATTTGGTTGGCACTTTACATAGGCATGACTGTGAGAAAGTTCATCCTACATGCACAATGAACTCCGGGTACAACAAAGGCAAGACGCCATAAGCTGAACAACATGGAAATGTACACAAAGTCCTTAATAAAACCACATAGAAAAGCCAACAAGTGTCACCACACCCAAGAATCATGACAAGAAAATAATCCAAACACACCCCAGAGCTCTTTAATTTATTGTTTTGTTTTTAGTATTTTCTCCTTTTCTCTTGGTTTAAAGGATTCTTGATTTCAGTAGCTAACCAAGTCAGTAGATGCATAATAACTGCTAAACTAGAAAAAAATATGCAAGTAGGTCTGTTTTATATTAAAAGAAAAAACCTAACACATTAACATCCTTTGTTGTGATGGTGGTTCTCAAACCAGCATTTAAAAAATGTTCACGTTGTGGGAAAGCAAAACAATGGTAATTTATGTCACAGAAGATCTGAACATCGTCTTCTTGGTTATCTTACACTACTAAGAATGTAACCTTATTCAGTACTTTTTAAATCTCTGAGCCAATTAAATAATAATTTCTTTATATTTTACTGAAACAAATATGTAATACAAAATTAGTTAATGTGCAATCATGGGAATAGGTGTAATAAGGGATCCATGTAAATCCACCTTCCAGACCCTGCTTTAGTGCTTTCCTTGTGAGATTTCCTCAGTCACTATAAACATGACTAGTTAGCTGATTATCACAGAATAATTAAATTTTGCAAACAGTACAAGGATATGCTTACAAAAATCTTTATTCTTGTGTATGTAGAGCAGATTTTAACTTAAAATTTAAGTGTGTGTGTGTGTCCAAGATTTGGATAGGGACAATACTGTATTCTAAACAAAATGTGTAAAACTTGATACGACAATTTTCAACAGACATCATATGTCTCTTCTTCCCTTGGTACTCAGGTTGAATTTGTCTGTACAGACGGGATTTTTTCCCAATGACCAAGAAACAAGCTGATGTAATGTTCATTTTCAATTCAAACTTGGCATTGGAAAGATAACAAAGGGAAAGCCAGTTTCTTCCAAAAACTAATAAAAATATGAGTTGTGCCAAATACCTCTAAAATATATTGGGCAGCCCATGAACAGTCACTTAGTGCTATAAACATAGGGCAGATCTCTGTGCCTGCTCCTCAACAAGACTCTGTATCTACACGAAGTGTATTTTGCATGAAATCCAGAAGGTCTCAACACATGCCATATAATCCACCAAAGCCATGCCATATAACGCCCACATATCCTGTCCCTGGTCCATAACTGAAGACAAGACATGCTCCACAGTTCATTCTAAACCATCCTAGTACAAGGATGCTTTTGAGAATCAACCCTGTTCTGTATAACAACACAAGTTACTCCAAGTTAATCTGATTTACTTTGTGTGACACCTTCCCACTCCAGACATGTTTAAATTAAAACTATTAGATGGAAATCTTAAACCTGTATGTTTTTTAGACCTCTCTTGGAAAGGAGAGATTTCAAGAATCTGAGGAAAGGGAACTTTTTGAGAACTCTTACCAATCGCTTGGTACTTACACAAGTAGATATTTAGAAACAATGTTTTAGATCTCAAAATAATGAAAATAAAATAACTGGTAATCACACCAAGTCTATTTTTGGTTTTAACAATAGTGAGCAAGCTTTTGATGCACACAAGGAAAGCATGTACTCTCTTTTAGAGTCTGTTTTTCAAAACAAACTGTGGTCATGGTTTTATACACTGAGTATGACTATCAAGATTAATTCTTTTTTTCTTTTGAGATGGAGTCTCACCCTGTCGCCCAGGCTGGAGTGCAATGGCGCGATTTTGGCTCACTGCAACCTCCGCCTCCCGGATTCAAGCATTTCTCCTGCCTCAGCCTCCCGAGTAGCTGAGATTACAGGTGCCCACGACCACACCTGGCTAATTTTTTGTATCTTTAGTAGAGATGGGGTTTCACCATGTTGGCCAGACTGGTCTCAAACTCCTGACCTCATGATCTGCCCGCCTCAGCCTCCCAAAGTGTATCATTAATTCTATATGTGGAGTTAGACAGTAGCTGACTGTTTTTTTTCCCACTCCTCATAACAGCCCCAAAAGTCTCCCATGATAACAGCGAGTAATACTTACCCCGACTCTGAGTTAAACTAGCATTCCTGATAAATTAGACTACAAAGGCAGGTATATTATCTAGAGAAGAGCAATTAAAATGCACTTTGTTCAGTGTAGGGCTATCGGAGACAGCAGCAGAAGAACCTTCAATGACCTTCCGGGCTTTAGCATAAAAAATGTTTACCAGATTAGTAAATTCAAATGTGGGAACCCTGGGATGATCAAGTAAATTTAAGAGGCATAAGGAGTTAAGGAGAGCAGGAGATAGCCCAGCATCCATTAGGTCAGGAATATATAACAACATCAGAATTCCAGTGCCTGGCATCTATGAGAAGCACCTGAGTTGAAGAGGTTCTAACTCTGTCAAGTAGCCACCCCGTTGCCATTATTCATTCCAAGTCAACATGGCAAGGAAAGAGTATGGGACCAATCTCCCATTTTATACGTGGTGAACCCAATACCAGTTCTGTGAGAATCATACAAGGTTGCAGGTTACAGAAAGGAAGAGCAGGAACGAGCCCACCTGACTCCTAGACGCTAAGTGAGTGAGTCTGTCCTCCATCCTTCTTTATACTGCTATCAGCCAACTGTGAACACAGGACAAAAGTCCCATGGGCATGTAATGAATGTGATAGGACAGTGCAGCTCTGCAGCCACAGGTAGGAAAATTACTGTTTGCAAATTCATATGCCAATGTGCTTGTTTTATTGTGTTACTTTTTAATACCTTTTTTTCCCTACTCTCTGGAGTTTGAGCAAGCTTCTCCATTCTATATTCTTCTATTCTTCTTTTGTTCTTGCACCAGGGGATTTAATACGGACTTGCCATAAAAGTTATCTGCACAAGAACTCAGATCATGATCTAGGTAGTATTCTCACGGGGAGACAGGCATACCTCAGTGAGGCATGCATTTTCTCATCTGGAGCTATGGTTTTAGTGCTTACCAGCAGAATTGGGAAGGCCAGGACAATACAAATGCCAGGTAAAGTTGGAGAAAAAAAAAAGTCCATAATACAGTGTTGAGATGGTGGGCATGATGCTAGAATTCTGAATCCATTTTTGTTTTAATTTGGGATCTTGACAGCTTGACTAATCAAAATAAAGAATAATGAAGTCACTTTGAAGGCAAGAACTCACAAAGGCAGAAATTGAGAAATTCACCTGTTAGAACCAAAAATGTCAGCATGGGGGTTGGGAGTATCTGAAATTCACATCTTTTTACAAATTAAATTCTATAGCATAGTTAGAAAAGTTGTCAAAATAACAAATGCAACATGCTCAAAGGAGTTAATCTATATCATCATATCAATACAGAATAGGCTATGTCATTTTTTTCTGTGACAGCACTTTTTATGGTGCTGTTATTCTCTCTGAAAAGCAAATTTAATGGGTGCCTAATTTCTCTCATTTAATTCAGATTTCTGTGTATGAATCCCCCTGGCAAAGCAGAAGCAGAAATACCATAGCAGGAGGCACTTAGAGGGTCACAGGTATCACTTTAAATTACTTTAAGTTCCTTCTGGATGGTCTGTGCTGTTATCTCCTGAAAAACATTGCCAGTAGAAGGAAAGCATTAAGCAAATGTCATATTCTGCACATGGTTTTTTTTTTAAAGTTTCTGCCTTTAATACTATTGCTAAATCATGTCTTTTCCATAAATATGAAAAATGACAAATTTGTTTTACTTCACAGTTTATTAGACAATTTTGAGGTTGATAATAACTTTTGAAATGAAACGAGGCCATCCTTTTGATTAAACATGAACAGATTTAAACACAAACAGGCATAATTAAAACAATGAATGAGAACAGACTGTAAAGAACACAAATTCATCAAAATTTAATTGCTGGATGATAAAATATCCCTGAAAGTTTAAATGCTGGGGAGTCTTAGAATCAACAGGATGCTGAATGCAAAATGCTAGTCTATTGAACTTCCAACAAAAAGAAAAATCTTGCTTCAAATTTTTGTCTAGAAATAAGATTTCTCATGAGCCAAATTCAAGACGATAGTCTTCCTGAACATTGTGCAGAAATTAGGCTGATCTGACCCCAGTTTTGACTTACATGAAGAACTGTAAGTGTACTTTACCTTCACAACAAACAAACTCTCCTAGCAACAGTATCCTGAAATGGCTGAGCACATTCTTGACTTGTCTGCATATGCCTTTTACTTAGAGAAATGTGCAAGATGGCCAACTAAAAATTACAATAATAAAACAGCATATTTTCCTGGAGTCCGAGCATAGAGCCAGATGCCCACCTTACATCTTTAATACACCTTCTAAGGTGGATATTTCCCATCCCTACCTTCCTCATGGAAAAAAAAAAATAAGGATGAAGCCTATTCCCTAAGGCACAGAGCTAGGAAGGAGTAGAAATAGTGAAACACCAGCCAAATTCAGGTCTGTCTGACTCCAAAGCCTTGGCTCTTTCCATCACACACTATCACCTATTAGGCAGCCTATACAAGGAGGAAGGTGTTTATGTGTTGTAATCTTTACCAGCTGGCCCATTCCTGGTGGATTCCATCAATTTGGCTTGCCAAAAAAGCATCACTGATAAATGCTGTGTATTTGAAGAAGAATGATGGTTAAGAGTGAAATGACTATCATATAAGAATCTGCTGATAGAATTAGAGAGGAGATGACTTGAGTGCGGGATGAAAGAATGTGAGATTCCAGAGTGATAATTATTGTCAAATATTTGGAGGTCTGTCATGGAAAACACAGGCAAGACATTTTCTTCATGAGCCCAAATAGTTTGGCTAAAACCAATGCATGACTGCAGAGAGACAGGGTCATTTATTTCTATCATGAAATTCAAGAGCTGAAATTCATTACCCTGATGAAGAAGAGAGTTCCCCATCAGGTGTTAACACACAAGCTGGACAACCTCTCAGCAGATGAGTTAGACTAGAGAAAGATCTCCAGAGCATGAAGTTAAGAGCGTGGTCAGTTGGCCAGAGTTGAATTTCTACCTTTGCTACATACTAGCCGTGTAATCTTGGGCAAGATGCTTAACCCTCAGAAATCTCCCTTCCTTCCACTATAATATGAAGGTAACAATGGTAATTAATCCACAAAAGTTCTGGTGAAAATTAAATGAGATAACCATTGACCAGCATGAATTCTTAACAAATACTAATTACCACTGTTGTTATGGTCGTAATTAAGATATTGAAATAAATGTAAATTCCATCCCAATCTCAAGAGTCCATAAGTCTATAAACATTAAAAGTAGAGACTTGTATACCAAAGAAATCCTGTTGATATAAAAATAACCCAAAAATATTTCTATGAAAAAGAGAAAGCAAGGTTATATCAGAAGAGACATTTTATTATGTATAATGTAGAAATAGGTTTAAAAAACAATAGTCAGTGATATATTCTGCCAAGAATGATTTCTACAAAAATACATAGTCATAAATATCTTTCAGGTAAGCTGGAAATCAATAGGATGCTAATTTTCATTAATTCTCAAATCTGTATTTGTAAAGATTTTTTAAAATATAGAACCTATTATAATATGTGATTTCTGAAAATGTAGAAATATTTTAGGAACAATTACTTAAATAAAATGCAAGAGCCTTCTGCAGAGGCTGCTCCATTTCTCCTACTATCTATTCTTCCTCTTTCTTTCATAAACATAGAGCCTTGATTTTTTTGAGGGGGTGGAAGGGACAGGGCTTTACTCTGTCTGTTGCCCAGGCTGGAGTGCAGTGGCATGATCATGGCTCACTGCAGCCTCAACCTCCCAGGATCAAGCGATCCTCCCAAGTAGCTAGGACTACAGGTGCATGACCACATGTCCAGCTAATTTTTTAACTTTGTAGAAACGGGTCTTGCTATGTTGCCCAGAGTTTTCTTGAACTCCTGGGCTCAAGCAGTCCTCCTGCCTCATCCTCCTGAAGTGCTGGGATTTGAGGCATGAGCCACTATGCCTGTCCAATGCCCTGGTTTTTATCACTGCATAACCATCTGGAATATGGTAGGTAGTCTCCAAAGATAGTCTCCTACAATTCCTCCCCTTCATGTTTGTCTGTGTCACTATTCCCATTAAGAAGTGAAGTCTAATTCCCTCCCCTAAAATCTGGGCTGCAGTTGTGATTTGTGACTTGCTCTGATCAAAATACATGGCAGAGATGACACTATGCCAGTTCTAGGCCTCGCCCTTCAAAGGCCTGGCAGCTTTCCTTTCACCCTCTTGGAATGCAGCTTTCAGGCTGTAAGAAGGCTATTCTTCTGGAGAAAGAGGCCTCATAGAGAGTCCCTGACAGATGAAAGCCATGTGGAGAGAGAAACTTCGTGGATGAGAACCAAGCTAAAAGCACCAAAACCTCCAACAGATAAGAGGCCTTTTGTCCCTTCTAGTCTAGCCCAACTGGCAGGTAAAAGCAGCTGCACCATTGACCAAGTCAGTACCATATGGGACTGAAAAAATGCCCAGTTGACTCATAAAAACATGAGCAAATAAATCATTCTTATTTGAGCACATTAAGTCTTGGAGTCATTTGTCATGCAGCAATAGATAAGTGAAACACAGAATAAAAACTACTTTATATAGCTTTCCTTGCAGCTAGGAGTGGTCATATGACAAAGAGTGGCCAAAGAAATGAAGTGCTCATCTTCTGGGGCTACCTTTCCCTTCCTGCAACCCCCAGCCCATCCACTGGAACACAGGTGTCAGGGTCAGTCATCTCACTCCATCCAGGCAAGAGCTACTAACTTCGGGATAGCAGAGCACAAAGGCACAGCCCTAGACTGTTCAACAGAGTCCTCTCTTAATTAAGCCACCTTATATTTGGTCTCTACTTGATATGGTTTGGCTCTGTGTCCTCACCTGAATCTCATATTGAATTGTAATCCCACATGTCAAGGGAGAGACCTTGTGGGAGATGACTGGATCATGGGAGCAGTTTCCTCCATGCTGTTCTCATGATGGTGAGTAAGTTCTCATAAGATCTGATGGTTTAAAAGTGTTTGGCAGTTCCCTCTTCACTCTCTCTCTCTCCTACCACCATGTAAGATGTGCCTTGCTTTCCGCCATGATGGTAAAAGGCCTGTGGAACTGTGAGTCAATTAAACATATATATGTGTACATATATATACATACACACACACCGCCCCCCAAATTACCCAGGCTCAGGTAGCTCTTTATAGCAGTATGAAAATGGATTAATATACCACTATTCAAGGCAAGGCTCTAGCATAACATATACATTTTGTTCCAAAAGTGGAATATTTCTACAAAAGTGAACACTCAAGCATTGGATTAGCAATCAGGTAGAAAACAACCATGGCACAAGTAATGCAAGCTGAAAAGCTAGAGATAATTGTGTATTTATGGCAGATCATTTGACAAATATGTCACTTGTGATTCCATGGTATATTTACCACTATATTAACAAAACTTACAGTTGAAAAAAACAATTAAGAAAATTTAGAATCTTGCTATGCATTGACTACATATTTACCACTTCAACAAAGTGTCACAAGAGAGATAGACCTAGGCTAGATCTAACCAGTCTACAAGCAGATATTGCAGAGAACACAGATCTGCTGAGAGAGACTCACTTTGTTGGGGCCTGAATCAGAAATCTAAGTTGACTGAGAGTTCGGTAATTTGAAACATCATAGGGTTAAAAGAAATAATGATAAAAATGATTTCTACACTCACAAATGTAAGAAAATGTAAGAAGGGGCACTGAAGCCTGGGCGTGGTGGCTCACGCCTGTAATCCCAACACTTTGGGAGGCCGAGGCGGGGGATCATGAGGTCAGGAGATCAAGACCTTCCTGGCCAACATGGTGAAACCCCGTCTCTATTAAAAATGCAAAACAAATTAGCCGGGCATGGCAGCACACACGTGTAGTCCCAGCTACTCGGGAGGTTGAGGCAAGGAGAACTGCTTGAACCTGTGAGGCGGAGGCTGCAGTGAGCCGAGATCATGCCACTGCACTCCAGCCTGGCGACAGAGCAAGACTCCCTCTCAAAAAAAAAAAAAAAAAGAAAAAAGAAAAAAAAAAAAGAAGGAGCACTGAAGAAGCAATCTTCAAAGAAATTCTGACTGCATTGTGAAGTTTTTCTCAAGCACCTCCTGCTAAGGCTGTCTAACAGATGAGGAGAACCAGCCCAGAGACCAAAAGGAGATGAAGAATATGACTTTAACACACAAGTCTATTTTTTTTTCCATGATGACCTCCAAGTAGTTACTATTAAGTGGAGGGCGCCTAGAGCCAAATAAATAAAAGATCAGTGATTTCAGACTTAAAACTGATATCTAGAAGCCATAATTGGCTGTGCTTGCTAATACATGATACCAGTCAGAAGGAAAAGTCTAGAAGTCGGTTTGGCTTTTATGGGAATTGTAATGCCTAAAGCAACACCCAGACCTCCAACCTGTCCGGGTCACCAGCAAACCAGGGAGAGAAGGCCACAGCTAGGGCAGGAAGTCTGCTTCACTCCTGCCAGCAAGATTGGATAATCACTGCAGACCAGTGCTCGCTATGCAATCTCCATTATTCCCTTTTGCTGCAGTTATTCAGTTCATCATTACCATTTAATATTGAGTATTTGGTGGGTGTTGGAGGGGATGCAGATGACTTGTATTTTAATTTGTGGGTCATTGTCCCATAAATTGCTAGAGTCACCCTGAACATAGCAGATAGGATGGAGCAGCACTCAAAATTCCAGGATTTTGAACCTGAAACAATTGGATGGGTTTCTCCTCTCTTGAGGAATAGGTGAGTATTTTCTACGTGCACAGAAAAAAAAAAAAAAAGATGTACACGGATATTTGTCTGACTCATAGGAAGACCCTGACAAATTCTAGTTGTCAATTTTCTCATCATAATAAACCTCCTAATTTTTAGCCAAACTCCTGACACAGCAAGAAAGACTACATTTCTGCAATGGGCTGGTTGTGTCCCTCCAAAATTAATACGTTAAAATTCAGACCCCCAGAGTGATGGTATTAGGAGATGGGGCCTTTGAGAAGTAATTAGATCATAAGGGTGGATCCCTCATGAATAGGATTAGTTCCCTAATTAAAGTGATCCCAGAGAGCTCCATCACTTCTTCCACCATGTAAGGATACAACAAGAAGTTGACAGTCGCAACCCAGAAGACAGTCCTCACCATTACCCATCCTTGCTGACACCCTGATCTTGGACTTGCAGCCTCCAGAACTATGTCTGTGGTACTTTGTTATAGCAGCCCAAACTGACTAACACAATTTCCCAGCTTCCTTTGTTCCTAGGTGTGACCTCAGGGACTAAGTTCTGCACATCAGTTTGTGAGTACGGCTGATACATGCAACTTCTGGTTTATTCCTTTAAAAGGAAGAAGTATGCCCTCTCCTTTTCTTTCCTCCTACTCACTGGCTGGACAAAAACAAAGTGGTGAGCCATCTCAAACCATACAGGTGAGGAAAACTGCCTATAGATTGGAGGAGCAACAAGACATAAGAGCCTGACCCCCGACACACACAGCTGCCATATGAGCCCTGGGCTGCTTACATTGAGATGAGAATATAAAAGAAAAGGCCCCTGTCATCTGGTCTAAACTGCTCTTTTGAGCCATTCTTACCAAAATCTGTGTCCTTACTAATATGTTTCCTTAAATTCGTGTCATCATAGATTTTTAATTGAGTTCATGCTGACACATTATAAAAATGTTCATATTAAAAGATAGTTTTAAAGTTAAATGTCTCCATTGCCCCAACAATTCCAATAAATTCAAAACCTGTTGTAGTAATATGCAATATAGTTTAAAATACAGTAATCAACGTAACATTGTACCAATAACATATATTGCTACACTTAACAAAAATGTTTACCTTAAACATGTTTATAATATAAAACCATACTAAGAAGCAGAAAACATTTTAAGATGATATATTTATAAGACACTTTTATATATTATCAAACTGTAAAAATAATCATGAATGTCATTGGCATGCAGTGTATTTTTATTTATTTTTGTAATTTAAGAATAATCACCTTAAATAAAATAAAATAGTTTAGCATTACTTTTTTTTTTTTCTTTTTTTGAGACAGGGTCTCACTCTGCCACCCAGACTAGAGTGCAGTGGTGTGATTGTAGCTCATTCCCACCTTGAACTCCTGGGCTCAGGCAATCCTCCTGCCCCAGCCTCCTGAATAGCAGACACCACGATGCCTTACTATATTTTTTTAATTTTTTTGTAGACATGAGGTTTTGCCATCTTGCCCAGGCTGGTCTTGAATTCCTGGCATTATGGGATCCTCCCACCTCAACCTCCCAAAATGCTGGGATTACGGGCAAGAGCCACAACACCGGGCTAGCATTACTTTTAATTATCTCTCAAATATTAGGTTGATGCAAACTTAATTGTGATTTTTGCCATTTAAAGTAATGGCAAAAGCACTGTTTACAATAGCAAAGACATGGAACCAACCCAAATGCCCATCAATGAGAGACTGGATAAAGAAAATGTGGTACATATATACCATGGAATACTATGCAGCCATAAAAAAGAATGAGTTCATGTCCTTTGCAGGGACATGGATGAAGCTGGAAACCATCATCCTCAGCGAGCTAACACAGGAACAGAAAACCACACACCACATGTTCTCACTCATAAGTGGGAGGTGAACAATAAGAACACATGGACACAGGGAGTGGAACAACAAGGAAGGGTCTTTCAGGGGGTCGGGGGTGAGGGGAGGGAGAGCATTAGGACAAATACCTAAAGCATGTGGGAATTAAAGCCTAGATGACGGGTTGATAGGTGCAGCAGAACACCATGGCACATGTATACCAAATGTAACAAACCTGAACATGTATCCTGGAACTTAAAGTACAATTTTAAAACTTAAATTAAATTAAAAAAATAAAGAATGTGTATGCTTGAGAAAGTTATTTTCTTTCACCTGTATATAAATAGTAATAGAATAAATAATATTCATAGCCAGTATATATATAAAAAAAGCAGTGGCAAAAACTGCAATTACATTTGCACCAACCTAATAAAATAATCCAAAATAAGTTCTTACAAGATAAGGCATGCATGCACATATCCACGTACAGAGGCACAACACAATGATTTACCCATCATAAAATAATCATCTAAATTCACCCCAAATATGGATTCATTCTCTTTTTTTTTGAGACAGAGTCTTGTTCTGTTGCCTGGGCTGGAGTACAGTGGCATGATCTTGGCTCACTGCAACCTCCACCTCCCAGGTTCAAGCAATTCTCCTGCCTCAGCCTCCTGAGTAGCTGGGATTACAGGTGCGCACCACCACACCCAGCTAATTTTTGTATTTTCAGTAGAGATGGATTTCACCATGTTGGTCAGGCTGATCTCAAACTCCTGACCTTGTGATTCACCCACCTCAGCCTCCCAAAGTGCTGGAATTACAGGCATGAGCCACTGTGACCGGCCCTGGATTCATTCTTTACACTGGAATAATATTCTATAAAAGGCCCAGCTGTAGACATACCCTAGAGCTATATTAAAGCTTGCTTTCAAGCCAACTTCTGTTTCATGATGTTAACCAATTGTAGCAGATGCAAGGGATACTCTTCACCATTCTGGGAACCCTCAGAACTGCCTACTACAAGCACCCATTTCTCCCTACGTTAGAGATTTCTCTGGGCTGCATGGCCCAGAGATAAGTGCGAGAGGAGACTACACCAGCTTCCTCACTGTTCAGGTGGCACTCATCCAAGGTGTGTTGTACACTAGTGGGAGTGGGCCCCCAGTTGTCCATAGCAGTAATCAACTTAATAACCTAGTCTCTGTTGGTCTTGCTTCCCCGTCCTCCTACCAGAGCTTTCTGGGATCTTCTTTGCAAACGACCATTTGCATTTGATTCTTTCATTCAGGGTCTATTTCTGGAGGGACGTAGGCTAAGACAGCAGCATTTAGAAATTATTTAGAGTTGAAAAATTAATTTTGCATACATTTTCTAATTTGAACCCCACAGAAACTTAGTGGAAGAAGTAGATGACATGATTTCACAGATGAGGCCCAGAGGCTTTAATTGTTACTTACAATCCTTCCCATAATTTTCTTGGCAAGTATAAAGATTGCCTCCCTGGACCAACACATTACTTTTTTGCAAATTGCTTTTATGGGGCTCTATTTGTTCCTGGCAAGCAATATCCTTGCCTGGGACAAGTTACACCCTCCATTTGTAAAGTAAGAGATTGAGCAAACACAAATAAGTACAGGTCTTTCTTTCTCTGAATTTTTTTTTAATCTATTTGTCTGTGCATGGGAGAGAAACCCAATGACCAAGATGTCCATTTAAATGTCCAAAACGTATTCAGTTCACAAGTCACAAACAGAATGGGATTTTTCTAGTCAAACACCTTTGAGTTCATGGTAAGATCACAATGGCAACATAAAGGTTTATATCTTTTTTGTGTAAAGTTAATTCTGAATTGTGAATCGCCATGGACAATTAGGCAGAAGGTACTTTTGTCCCTGTTCTATGCCTGTATATCCAGGCAGCATGAACTCAACCAAATTTCCTAGGATTCTGTTGCCAATCTAATCAATGTCTTCCTTTAGTTATTTTATGAATCCTGCAAGTCAAAAGTACTCGTAACTTGTGCTAGGATTGTCTTTTAAGTAGCTGCAGGCCTTTAACTTTTAGTTATCAGTTTTAGTCATCAGTTTTTTTCATACACACACAGTTCATCCATGTTTCATTGTGAAGGTCATATTCTTTCCTTACTAATAGTAATAGAAATATTCTAAGAATATATTCTCTTTGAATATATGTTTTCAAAAATGTTCATCCCTTTTTAAAATCCATATTTATTGTTTTATGCCTGGCAAAGATGTGTTTGGTAGCAATAAAAAAACAATAGAAAAGGAAAAAGTAGGACCGGGCACTGTGGCTCACGCCTGTAATCCCAGCACTTTGGGAGGCCAAGGCGGGTGGATCACTTGAGGTCAGGAGTTTGACCCCATCTCTACCAAAAAATATGAAAATTAGCTGGGCATGGCAGCAGCGCCTGTAATCCCAGCTACTCAGGAGGCTGAGGCAGGAGAATTGCTTGAACCCAGGAGGGAGAGGTTGCAGCGAGCCGAGATTGCACCACTGCACTCCAGCCTGGGTGGAGTGAGACTCTGTCTCAAAAAAACAAAAAAAAAAAAAAAAAAAGAAGGAAAAAGGAGGTCTCCCAAAGAAGGCTTTCATTACTGAGAAATTATTCTAGGATAACCAACCTACTCCTCACACCCTGAAATTCTAGCACACACAATTGCAAAAAGTTTAACAAAGAATAGTAAAACACAAAAACAGAACAAAACCACACTAGCATTAAACCATTGTAGCCCTCTGGAAGTGTTCTCTCAGTCTTCTAAAATCATTTAATATAGAGTTGGATACACTGACTAAATCTATATAACTTTCATTTACTTTATGAACTTATGCTATATGGTTTTATAATTTCCTTTCCCCGTCTTTTGTAAACAGATAAAACCCATGAAATGATACTCATCACACACATATGTTGCTATTAATTTTACAACAGATTAGCATTTGGCAAATATAATTTCTGATTCATGGAAATGTGTTAAGGACCACCCAAGCTCATATCAATACAGTGCCACCCTATCTGATTGGAAAACAGGAAAGGAACAATTCTCTCATCCTCGTGGTGCTCTCTGCCAAGGAAGCTTTCCAGTCAAAGACTCATCCTAGTAGATCCTTAATAAACCCTGATTGGAATTAATTAACTCAAAAGAATGACTCAATTTCAATCCTTGGAACCTAATTTGAGAACATGATAGAAACCCTAGTTGTTGAATACACAAGGTATTCCACTTGCGGAATCTCCTAAGAGAGAGTCTCTTAGGAGACTCTCTTAGGATTTCATGAACTTTTCTTAACTCTGTTCCCCCCATCTTTTCTCCCAGATATAAGATTTTTGGGGTAATACATTTGCTGACCTTCTGAATCCAACTTAAGATTGATCTCTTTAATATGGTTTTTCTTTAGGGTGGGACATTTCCCAAAGTATCTTCTGAAAGTGTGTTCATATAAGAATCATCTTAAATTTTGTTTTTTTGTTAATGAGTAAGTTAGAGAATAATGCAAAATTTATAATGCAAATTTAGATAGGTAACGTTATGCAAAGTAAACCAAAAAAATCTGTCCTCATTTGACTGTATATTTTCCAAACCTATCTAACCATGAATCCATTTTTTTAAATCATATATTAGCATCCTATGGTATCAGTGTTCTATGCACTGTCTACAGTGACTTGTGAAATGGCATCAGTAGGAGATGAGAGAAGAGATGGGAGAAGTAAAAAATTAAGGAATCACAAATGAAAAGGAAAGAAATGAAAAAAAACTGAAGATAAGCAAACAGGTCAGAGGCTATATAATGTAAGTGCTTATAGGTCATGAAAAAAAGGTGCGGATTTTGAATAAAATAAGAGTCAGTGAAGGCTTCAAGTAGGAGAGTTACATCCATTTTGTCATTTAAGAAATGAATTCTGGCTGCTCTGTAGGAAGTGGCTTAGACTTGGATAAGAGTGGAAGGGGCCACATAAATTGTTCAAAAGAGGTGATGATTACACTGAAGATTGAGAGAGTGAACAAATTCAAGATATATTTTTGAAGCTTTGCATTTCAAATTATAACACCATTTTAATAGTGCTGTATTTCTTTGTTACTTATTAACACATGCACAGGACTTAGAACAGTGCCTCCCATATAAAAAAGTGTCCATTCATGTGAGCTCTTTAGTATTAACATTGACTAACATCTAACCTCAACATGGACTCAGCTCAGATGTCTTTCTTTAACCACGGCCTCCTCTGCCTTCCTAGCTGGGTTCTTGCCTGTATACTACACTCTATCCTCTTGGCGTATGTGCTTTCCTTTATTATCAACACACATCATGCTGTATTTTATTTCATTTCCTATCTGCATTCCCCGCTGTAACACAAGTTCTTTGAGGTCAAGAACAAGGTCTTTTTTATTTCTACATCCCTACTGCCCCAAACTTAGTAACTATTTATTAAATATGGACAGAAAAAAATCAATGTCATATAGAACATTATCTCAATCAATAGTGCTATCCACACAATGGGTAGTCTTAAGTACATTTGAATGATCAAGGTGAATAGATTTATAAAAAAAAAAAAAAGGCAGAAAAAGCTAAAGAGTCTTGAATCTGAGGCCAACCTTTGAGCAGTAGCCAAGTTGTAATACAAAAGTCCTGGACTACAATTTCAAGTGAACTGAATTCTAATCCCTGATCCACTGCTTATAGGCTATTTGATCTTGGACAAAACATTTAACTTCCCTATCTTTAATTCCCTGGTCTGCTGAGGACACATATCAATACTTCCCCTGCCTACTCAAGAGAGATATTAAAACTAAATATAAGATATTCCAAATGTTATGATTTCATGTAAGTAGTTGAGAGACATATATTAAGCTGAGTTTCCTCCCATTTTTAAGTTTCTTTAGCCAGAATGATGGGCATTTGAAAACCAGGCTTATTTCATTTGCCTAGTGTCAGCCTTCACCATTGCTCAAGTTCCATGCTCTATCTAGTCATAATAAAAATAATACCTCCTAAGCATTTACCCTAGCAAACTCTTCTACATACTTTACATGTGTTTACATGTAAATTTAATTTAATCTTCACAATAACTCTACACAGTGGGTATTACCACTATTCTGGTTTTGAAGGTAAAGAGAATGAGGCACAGAGAGTTTAAGTAACTTGCCCAGAAAAACCCAAATAACAAAAGATAGATGTGAGCTCTGAATTCATGTGATCTGGTTGCAGAGTATAACCTTAAATGCCACCATCTTCTTTTTCTCAGGGTGGAGGACTAACCAATATGGCAAACGGTGAGGCATGGAAGGAACTCTCCAGAAGCCTCCCATCTGCTTCTTCCAGCCGCAGCCATGTTGCAGTGCATTCAGCACCATCCCAGGAAGCATCCACAGGAGTTCAGTCTATTTCCATCACATGGTTGCTCCACACCCAAACTGGCTTACATCTGCGGTTATAATTTTCCCTTTAATTTAACCAAAAGCATTCTGAATTTGAAGCAAGGAGATTTATTTAATCCTTTTAATTTCATATAACATCCAGCCATTACTACATCAGGTTAGCAAATGTACAAATGTAAAGGGAAATTAACATGGTTTGGAATAAAGCAAATCCCATGAGCTCTCATTGACTGGATACTACATTTGGGAGGAAGGCATTGTATTGTTATTGGAAACTAGGAACAGCTCTAATCAAATGCCGAGCAGGCATTATATCTCCCATGGAACTGTCACTGTGACTGAAATTCCAACCACTGTTCCACAAAATCCCATTTGAGAAAAGGTCTTATACATGGAATTGAGGCAGTATTCAACTCAACATGTATGGAGTGCCTACTATTATATAAAATCTAGCTGAAATTCTATTCATTCATTCAGTAAAATGATTAAGATCCTCCTACATACACAAGGCATTGAGTTAGGGAATGGGTATAGAACAGTAAACAATATAGTGTCCCTTCATTCTTAGAGCATACAGTACAGTGGGAAAATGTACATTAAAGAAGTACTTACATGAATATCTAATTATACCTGGGAAAAGGGCAGTGCAGATGCACAGAGAGCCAGGAGAATGTGTGACAGCTAGAATATGACCTAGCTAGTGGGCCAGGGAAAGCTTCCAGAGGAGGCAAAGTTTGTGTTCATGTTTCAGTTTTCCAGTGGACTTGGATAATGAACAATGCATAGTTCACAAAAGTGATAGACTTGTATTGAAGAAGAGAAAGGAGAAAAATGTCAAAAGTAGGGACCACTACTGAGCCCTGTCAAGGCATAGTGTTGTCCATGATGGCAGTCCATGACAGCATAGAGGTACGGAGCAGGTTGAGTCAAAACGTGGGGCACAGTTTGCTCACATCAGAGAGTCACCCAGCACTAACAATAACTTGACCCAGCTATGCTCAATCTAACTGTCTGATATTATTGGTAATTTGAATTGTGACTCATACAGTTCCCTCATAATCAGATAAAGTAAACAAATCTCCTAAGTAAATGAAATCTGGTTAAAAGCACTGATTACAGATATGCTGGATCATCTCCCAGGACTTTGTATGAACCCCATAAGTAGATAGATTCCAAAGTATCCTTTAAAACCCAGGATAGTCTCCACTATGTAAAACTTCATTTCATAACGACTTCTAGGCCTGGAATTGTGAATACTTATATAGTTCAGGGACTCTCAGTGCAAAAAGTTTCCACCACATTACTCTGCTATAAACGCCATACTAAATTTTATAATGGTTTTTAAGTACCTTAAAATGTTAAAAATCTCTAAATTAAGACAAGTGTCACCCTTCTCTTACGGTCTACTTAAAAACGTGGTACCCAGACCATCCCTAAGCACAATCACATCACATTGCAAAATCCCCAAGTTGCCTCACATTTTATACAAGGGAAATTAGTTGAAAATGAAATTTGCAAGAGAAATGAGATCACAAAAGGACTAATAAAGCATTTTTAACTTTCCTGAGGGTAAATTATGAGTCTTGAAAATATAATCAAAATTGGTGGATCCATTTTCACTTTCTCCACTGAACATCCCTGACCCACTGATTATTTTATTTCCTCTGTTATGCCTGCTTACTCCTTCTTTCCCCCAAAGGAACCAGAGGATTTTCTAAAGTTCAAATCTGCTTATTCCAGGAAGAATAATGCAAATCAAATGGTTTAAGTTTAAAAATCGCTACTTAGATGGGCATACTTGGAATTTATCATTATGAACATAGAGGATTTGGTAACACAAATGATATGGAATGGGGTGGCTGCAAACTATTCCTCAGAGGAAACAAGAATTTCTGATAACTGTTAAACTAGATGCATATTGCAGAAATTTTAAAAATTATCATTATTTACCACTGCCAATTTTAAAAATTATCATTATTTACCACTGCCAATAAAATATGCAAAATCCATACAAAAATACAAGTTCTGAAATATCACTCACTCAAAAAAGTAAATGGACAGACTAGAAGCTTCAGAAAGTGAAGAATGTGTCTGTCTTATTGCCAGAACTCAGCCCAACCCCATAAGCACAGCACACATGAAATACTTGAGGAATAAATTAATAACTGCTAAGTAATGTGTGACACACACAAAAAATTCCCTAATGAACTTCTAATTAATCAGATAAATTGGGTTAAGCAATAAAATAAGAAAATTTGAGCTAATATAGAAATCTAAGAGATTCCAAGATATTGCCCCAATGAAGAAATCAACTCTTAGCTGTCCATGCTTTTGAAAAAAAATTCTGAAACAGATAGATAATGAAAAGGAGTAACATTTTCCTCTTTTTCAAAAACTTATGCCCATGTAATTCCCCCATTTACCCAACTCCTCCCCCAATCAAAAAAAAAGGTCTGATGTTGTCTATTTGTTAGCATAAATTCTGAATATCCAGGCACTGAATACTCTCCATAATTTGGTCTCTAACTTCATGCTAGCCTGTCTTAATTCTCCATGATGCCAGTTAATCTACTTCCTGATGCTCAACACATCTGGAGTTTACTTCCTCCATACATTAACTTATGCCACATCCTAATGCCTTGAGTGCTCTGCAATTCACTTACTACATTCCTGTTCACTTCTCAAGTCCCAGTAGTTCCCTGAAACTATCTTGCCATGCTGTCTGGAACTGACCTCTTTTCCCTTGTCTAATTAGCTCACTCAACACTTAGCAAACACCATCTGATATTGATGATTATTTCTGATACAAGGCAGAGGAACATGTTATATTCAGAATCAAAGAATTTTAGGTCTACAAATAAGTTACAGATTAATTAGGTCCATTCTATCATTATACGGATGACTAAATACAAAGATGAAGCTACTAATCTAAATTAGTTACTAGAAAAGCCATAAGCGGGACTCATTTTCTATCTTACAGTTCAGTGAAGTTCCCAATATGCCATGCACTTTTAAAATTTAAATTTAGATTTTAAAATTTTATTTAAATTTTTAATTTTAATTTTAAAATATTTAAATTTTTTTTAAATTTAAATTCTAATTTAAAATTTTTATTTTAAAGTTTAATTTTAAAATTTTATTTTACATTTTCAGAATTTACTAACACATTGCATATACATAACTGTGTAATTTATACATTATATTTTACTTTGTCACAATTATATAATAAATTTAAATGTTCAACTAAGTTTTGTTTAGCTTCATGATGAAATATGCTTTCATTTAACGAGTGAGAAGAGTAACAAAGGAGGGGGTCCAAGAGAGATGAGGAAGAGACCTCCTGGGATTTAAATTTTGCTGTCAATATTCTACAATCCAGATAACCCACACAGAGTTGTGGGAACTATCTCTTCTTTTAGAAGCCCCATCTTCTTCCAATCTTCTTGAAAGCAGGGAATTTGGCTTCATTGACAAGTTGCCCAAGCATGCTGGTTTGGTTCTCATGAGGAAGGTTTGCATCTGTTGGACTGGAATGCCCCGCTATTTCTAGGAACTGTGTTTGGAACAAAATGCTTCCTTGTGATACAACTAAAATTAGTCATTCTTGTAAGATGAAGGGAAAATTTTGCAAAGGTTTTCCCATTCAGATGATGACTCCTTTGGCAGAGGATATTAAGATCCTGTGAGTGGGTTCAATTATATGCCAACTCAAGATGCCAGATCACGGGGTCTCTTCATAAAATTTATGAGGAAACATATTCCCTGGAGCAAAATGGCTCACAGATAGAGAAAGCCGAAGACTCTCTATTGAAGAACTTCCTCTAGGTCTTCCTCTTTACTTTTTTTAACTTTTAATGGGGGAGTTCCATTTCCATTTGGAACTTAGACAAAGTTCTTTCATCTTGTCTTCTTCCAAGGAGAGTTCTTTTCACTGTTTGCATCATAAAGACATCCATCCTCAAGGATATTATAAGCACCTCCTGGGTGCCTTTGTAAAGACTACGTGGATCCCTTAATTAGTTAATCCATCATCATCTCCGGTTGATTTATTTAATATTATCTCAAACATCAGAGAATTGCTTGTTTCTCACAAAAATTGTCCATTCTTTCTCTGGTATCTTCTAACTTCTGTAAGCAACAATGTCCACTCAACAGTTTAACTGAAATTACAGACAAGCCTTAATAAGCAGACAATGTCTCATACATAAAAACACTCCAGGAGCATCTGGACTGGAATTTTGCCCAGTTAAGTGACAGTTTATGAAAATAGCCCAATAGCCCCAGTTGCAGTTAAAAAAAAAGTCCAAAGACTACAAAGAGTTGCATACTATCAGGGCACAAATCCATAAAACTGGTTGCAACATTGTGGCTAGAAAAAGAATATTTTGAGTGACTAAACAAGAAAATGAATTCTGGTTGCTTAACCTGTCTGACTTTGTAGCTTTCTTGATACCTTTCAGACTCTACCATATCGATACTATCCTAATTGCTTGTATGTATTTTATTTTTATTTCACAGACTTTGTATTTATAACAGTGGCTATCACTCTGTCAGCATGGGTGTATTCTGAAGAAGACTTTCAGCCTCTCCTGGGCAGATGTGGCCATTAGACTCAATCGGTTTTAAAATTATTTCCAACCTCAAACACTCAATGTAACAATATAGCACCCAGCAGTGCCTCACATATTTAGATCAGATGGTAAGAGCTTTCAGGTGACGACAGATATCTACATGGGAGGGAATTTTAACTCACAAATTCTCTGATTCAAACACTGACTGTGCATCACAGGCTTAGAATGTAGTTATTTTATAAATATTGAATTTTCACTAGTCACATTGACAAACACCATAATTAGAAAATGCAATAGTGGGATGTGATGAAATTCTGTGGTACTCTTTTTATTTCTTAACCAATACATTTTAGAAAAGTGCATTTGACCTAAAATGGGCACGCCTCACCCGTGTGCATCCACTTCACGCACTTGCAAATCCTCCCCAACGACTTCATTTCTGCCTAGAAGCAGAATATGCCCTTCCCCGCCAAGAAGCTTGTGAAAAAAAATTTTCTGAGAGCTGTCCAGTCCATATACTAAGAATTCATTTTCCAGTTTTTACATGTATAAATAGATTAGTAATTGTTTTCAGGTTTTCTTATTTTTACAATTGGTTAAGCATGGATTTTGCTGTCTGCACATCTTTAAGAAGTCATCTTTTATACTACACAAACACTATGGTTTTCTTTACCTGCTCTCGTTGCCAGCAAATGAAACAATGATACAAGAGAACTGGAGACCAAGGAGGCCCCTCGTGCTCTGGTTCGTGCAAGAACCAACATTGCACATAATCTTGGGAGTTGGACTAACACTGGCAGCTCCTGAATTTCGCTATAGAAAGGACTTAGGAGTGAGAAGGTTTTTGGAAGTGAACGCTAATTAATTTGCCTGGAAGCTACATTACAGAGCAAGCACACTTGATTTTACTTAGATTACTTAGATTGTAAATTTATGAGGGATGACTTAGAGGGGGTTGCTCATGGAGATTTATGAAGGGACAAAACTCCCTCTTCCCCAAGTGCTATACCTTGGCAATGCCACTGCTAATGTTCTCAGAAGTACAACTACTCAAGTCTGTGTTTATTTAATAAATGAAAGTCAGGTCATGTCCATTGCCCACCCACACTGTTCTGCAATTTCATATTTCCTTGTGAAATGACTTGGAGGTTCAAGCTGGATCCTGCCCTGGCTCTGACGCCAGACAATAATACTTCCTGCTCAAACCTCATACCAACTGCAGAGCAGAACTGCTTTGCTGAACAGTTAACACATGTGATGGAGTGATTCTGTATTTTACTTTAATAGATACTTAATTTCTATTACCCTGTCTCCTTGATGTGTCGTCTTTTAGAATTTTATTTCCTTCTAACACAATTTTTCTAATGATATCTTAGTTGTAGGGATATAAACAGCATATGATATTTTTTTTCCCGAACATTTCAGAAGTTTAGTTTTTTTCTGATTTCTGCTTGCTATCCATGGGCCTAGTTTTATCGTAAATATATTTTTATTTGGAGTCAGTTACACTAGAATCTGCTTCTCTGTAAGGGAAAGGAGTTAGTCTGCTATGGACTGCAACTTGTTTTGATAGCTGGTAACTTTGAACTAAAGGGACATTACTGTTATCAAAACAGCAACCAGCTTTTCTTGGAAGTAGAAACTGACATGGTCTTTTTTTCCCCCTTCTTTCTGCCTAAGGTCGTATCCCTTGACTACAAGCACCATCTCTATGTTTTACTGAAGGCTTTTCCCTTTCAAATCTCACAGGCCAACTATAGAAAGATCAGACTCTTGGTCAGAGTCCTCAAAAGGAAACAGTCTGGGGCATCAAAAGGCCATAAATTCAGCCAGAGTAGTGGTATTTGGAAACGACCTTAAGTATCAATCTTAGAATGAAAATATATGACTTTTACATCCAGTTCAATTTTTGAGGTTATTTACTTTTTAGAGAGGCTGAAGAGAAAGGGTTAGTACATCAACTTTCAACCTGAAACATATGGAAGAACGTTAAATACTTTTAATTTTACTAGAAAAAAAAATGTCTGCAAAGTATTTTAACTGAGTGGGTTTTGGCAAACATAAAAACTCAATTAAATAATTTTTTCCTATGAAACTTTTGGCATGTCCCTAAACTGGGTTTTCTTGTAATATTGTCTGAATTAGAAATCAAAATTGAGACAGACATTAACAGTAGTCAATCAAACTCTGATGCAAAAGTTGCCCCATTTAGTGGAAGATCCTGACATCCTGACATCTTCCACTGGAAAAAAAAAAAAGAAAGAATAAAAGTAAAGGAAGTTCAGCTGAGCTGCTATACCATCATGACCAGTGCAACTTTCAATAATGATGTGGCCCTATGCTTTAGAGCACAGTGATATTATTCACAGTTAACTTCTGGACATGTTTTAACAATACAATTATCCTGCCATGCTTATCCTAACCATTGAAAGAGGATAGTTTGTGAAGATTGCAATGTTAAACTTGATATGTTGCCAATATGTATTTTTCTCCTCTGCCTCCTGAAGTTCTTCCAAAATTTCCTTAAATGAAATGTTTATCAAGTCAAAAAAGATAAACCATTTGGGAGATCTCAGTAGATGAAACATTTCAACCAAGTTTTGGAAGATGAGAAGTGTAGGAGAGAGATTACTGAGGTAGCTGAGTGACAGCACTGTAATTCTAAGTGCAGTTATCCCCACTTTGGGATCCTGAGGAGAATAAAGTTGATTCACCCTGAAGAAATCCCAGAGAGGCCTGTAGGCATCAGATTTAGTAAAAAGAAAAAGGGGAAAGTCTGAGGGCTGAGGATAGGAGGAATGGAAGTCTATATGAAAAAGAAATTGCTGGATCTCCTATGGCCAGATGACTACTACCCTCCTGACACCTCCCAGGAGATCATAGTTTTATTCTCTGTAGTTAGTGCCTGGAAAGACTCCATCTATCTTTGGCACACATGGATGTTAGTGAGGCAAGAAGCATAAAACTATTGCATGTGTCCCTTGGTCACTTCCTCAAGATGCACTGTCCCGAAGGAACAACCAAGCATTGATCACATGCCAATGCTCTCATTGCCAAGAAGTATAGAAAGAAAATATTTGTCTCTTAAGGCCTTCTTTAGTGGGGAAAGGACCTCTGCTTTCCAGTAACTTCCACACATTGCAGATACCCACGAAAAGAAATAAATTTTAGAAAATTAATAGAAAAAAAATCACAGATCTATTCCCATATAGATATATGTTTCCCATTAGCCAGATGTTCCCTTCCTCCTATTCTTACCTTTCCCTCAAAAGAGTTACCACCCTACTCAAATATCCCTTTTACAACCCAAAATATAACTACTCCTCTCCAAAAGTAGGCAATCCATAGTCTGATAAATTACTAAATTCCTCCAAGTACAGGATCTCCACTTATTGTAATATGGTAGCACCGGTGCTTATCAGTGCTACCTGATGGGTATCATTGGAAATACACATTTGTATTCCTAAGGATGCTTAATCCTCAGCTATCCACAATTTATAAGGCTGTATTAACCCGCTATCAGCTTTGACTAGACTCATGGTGGTATGAAAGGGGACCAAAAGAGATCACTTGACTTTCATCCACATGACTTCCAGATCCCACAGCATAGCAGAAATTCTACTCACCCCTGATGAAAAAGATAAATCACTCCAGAACATTCCTCCTAATTTTCCTGTTTTCCCAGTAATATTCAATAAGCAACCTGAAAAACAATAGCAGAATATAGCTGAGATAACAGTAATCCCATCATGAAGGGGGATGGGTCACAATTCCATTTATCTCCTGATTGCCCTAAATCCTGCTGTTATCCATGGAGTACAGTCATCGTTTGGGTGCCTAGGAATTATTGTTAGCTTGGAGCCAGCATGCAATAGGCTCTGAAAACTTTAGGTATTTCCCATTCCCTAGTGCATAATCATTTGGTAAAAGACCATAGGTTTCTTTGAGGAAGATTAAAATAAAGATTCACAGTATGTACTTATTATGGTACTGATGCATCCTTCCTTAAGTCTATATTTATTATAAGAGCTCTGATCCTGTGAACTGATTTAGATTTTGGAATTCCATTCTCAGGACCTACCTGAGTCTTAGGCATCACAAGATTTGGTCACCATCAGTCCTATGTACTCTTACGCTACCAACAATCCCCAAGGGCAAGGCCCTTCTGATTACCTATCATAGTAGCCACGTCCACTTTTTTTCTGATTGTTGAATATTCTTATGTGACTTCTGCTACTCTAGGATCTTTCCACCCCATTGACATTAGGGAACTCATTTTCAATTGCAGGACCCCCTTCAACATCCAAAACGTTGCAGAACTTTTCAGAGAACGTAACACCCCTCTCACCAATATATTTATCAAGGCCTTGGTGAAGAGGATATCTTCTGAACCCTCTTAACAAACATGGTTAGGATAGGTGAGTCGATCACAATCAATTCTATTGCTCATTACCTTTGGGTTATTTCCTTATACATCATGCCAAGGAATTTTGGGCATCTAAACTTTAGCATGGGCCATGTTTTAATCCAGATTTTAGCCATTTGGCCAAGAAAACACTTTGATTGAATTGATTATTAAATTCAGTCTAATGTAGTGCTCTTCCTTTCTTGGTACTTCAGAATATCTTCTCACACATATCTCCCAAAGTTTTGTTAAAATAATTGTCCAGTTCTTTTTATTTCTTTGGGGTGAAATCTTCCCTTTTTAGGTTTTAACTTTGAATGTGGTGAAATCTCCTCCTCTTAGGCTTAAAGCTTTGAATCTGGCTTACATGTATATTCCATTCCCCAATTCTAGTAGGATGTGTGCAGACATTGAGGTACAGGCAAGTCTTCAGAAGAACTGACTTACCTTGCAAAGAACTTTTCTTCATCATCTTCAAATCAGATGAAACTGCCTCATCAGACATAAAAGATGGCATAGCTTCAGCTGGCAAAGGAAGCTAGTGAGAGTTAGGGTACAAAGTACATCAAGGTCATTGTATCTTTTGATATCATCCAATATAACTATGCATATTCTTTTATCCCTTCTTAATCAAAATCGCTTTCACATGGAAGACCTGGCATTTCTGTGAACTCCTATAAAGGCATTTGACAATCTGCATTTTCAATCTTTTGCATTTGATTTTCAACACTGTAGCTGCAGCAGAAAATAAATTATTTTAGTGTAATGATGGAAAGTTCCTAAGTTTTATACCTTGAGTCAAAAATTTTGAACTTTAACCTGTGCCCTCTCTATTTTTACTTATTTCCATTAGAAGCAAACACCCGTTCTGGCATCCTGGAAATTGTATGACCTTAATTTTTCTCTAGTATTATATCAATGCAATGCCTCAAAGATTTACCTTTCATTGAAACCTCATTATTGGTAACCACAAGTGGTAATTAGTTGTTTTGTCATTGCATGCCATAAGCTACCAGAAACTCACCGGACATTAACTGGATTTTTCACTGCCTGCAATTCCAGGTTAACCAGAGATAAGGTTCTTCTCTCCCTGGGGTTTTGAGACCATTGACTTTCTGGTGCCAAGCACCATAGAAGTTAAATCCTTGATTGTAAATGCATAAAACTGACTTTGGCTAATTGATTTCAAAATCAAATTATTTAGTAGACTATTAGTAGTTCACAGAATCAACAGGAATGCTGGAAAATAGCTCAGAAAATGAAAAGAATGGCTCAGAAAATGACAAGAAGCAAAAGAGACATGGCAGTCAAGAAAAGAGCCAATGTCATAACCTAGGAACAGTCTAGTTAGGATGCCACCATTGGTGCCACCCCAACTAAACACCCTCTATGGAGCCACTGGACTCTACCTTGGCTGAGCATAGGTCATATGTCCAAGCCCTGACTGCCCCGGAGTATGGAGAAGGAATATACAATTGACTTCCAACCCCCGCACAATGAAGCATTCTCTCCAAGTAGAAACAGTGCTTGAACGGTGGCTAGCAAAACTAACCAAATGCTTACTACATTTTAAAAAATGTTCTAATATCCATCTATTCAATAATAAGTTTAAAAGTTGATAATAAAACAAAATTTGATAATTTCACACTGCATGCATTACCTTGAGTTTTAAATGTTTTTTAAACTAAGAACATCCTCAGATAAGAAGTGTACAGAAGATTCTAAATATTTATCAAATTCTCATTCACCAAAGCATCAAACTTCACTCCTTTCAGGCAATGGCCACAGTTTTCTTTATTCTCTAAGCAACTGTGTCTTACTATCTCATGTAGTAGGTTTGAAAGAAGTAAAGGTACAGGAGAAAAGTGCTCTTATACTGTATTTCTGTGTGATATCTTAGAAACAAATCACTTACTGCATTTTATTATATATTTATTTATCTTTCCTTTAGTATAGACTATTAGCTCCACCAGTGAAAAAGCTATTTCAGAATTATATCTGTACTTAGCATAGAAGAAAACATCAATACATATTTGTGGAATTTAAATAATTAATAATCACTTTGCTTTGGAATTTAGTGGGATAGAACATATACCTAGAGAGGATACAGTCATGGGTTGGTTACAAATATAGTTCAGAAAAAAACTGAAAAAACATCCATTATTTTTTCATCAAGGATTGCACAAAAAATACAATCAGCTGTCTCAGAAATGAGAGCCCTCCATCACAAGGCTAGTGATCTATAAGTGTAGACTGCCCACAGCAGCCCATCAATATCAAAAGCAGAAACTTTTAAAACTGAAAAGTTAGCCTTGATTTTGTAATATAAAATAGTGATTTAATTTTTCTATCAATTATTTTTTCTTGTGTTTGTAAGGGAAATAGGGATTGAAATCATTTGATATAGCTAGTATTGTTATTAAATTAACTTCACCTGTTTTATTACTCTTTTAATGTGGCTATCAGAAAAGTTTACATGACATATACGGCTCATGTTAAACTTCTACAAGGCAACACTGGTTTAGAGCATTGAACATGGCGTTTCACACATCGTAGATGATTTCCAAAATTAACTACTCCAAATTTATATTTAGTTATGTATACCTTATATGTCTGTAGCAGCATACTTTGCTGATAAGCAGGTTTCCCTGTTGTAGATATTTATGTATTTCTGTATGTATAATACGTATGCACACACATACATATACACAGCACAGCATGTGCTCATACATTAAGCTCCACCATTGTCTATCTATATACATGTAATAATGTAGTATACTGGCAGTTTAAAAACCATCTCATATCCCTATGTATACTTCGGTTCTCTCATTGGTAAAATGATTTTACCTTCATCATAGCATTGTTAGAAGAATTAAATGAGATTATTCTTAGCAAAATGGTTGATAAACGGGTTAGCACTTAATGAATTTTAGTTACCATAGCTAACCAAAGACCAAACACAATATATTCCACAACTATAGTTAGTTAAATCAAGTATTATTCTAAGTATGGGTTGTTTAAAATCGAAAACACTTGGAAAAGAAATGTTATACAAACAAAGACTTACACGGCATTTTACCATATAGAAACCATTTCCACTTAATTGTATTTTTTAAATTTCAACAGGTTTTTGGGGAAAAGTTGATGTTAGGTTACAGCGATGGTGATTTCTGAGATTATCGTGAGATTATCATGCACCCGTGACCCGAACAGTGTGCACTGTACCCAATATGTCGTCTTTTATCCCTCGCCCCACCTCCCAGCCTTTCCCCAAGTCCCCAAAGTCCTTTGTATCATTCTTACACCTTTGCATCCTCATAGCTTAGCTCCCACTTGTGAGTGAGGACATACGATGTTGTTTTTATTCCTGAGTTACTTCACTTAGAATATTGATCTCCAATTCCATCCAGGTTGCTGCGAATGCCATTATTTTGTTCCTTTTTATGACTGAGTATGATTCCATGGTGTATATATATATATATATATACACACACACACACACATACACATACTACATTTTCTTTATCCACTCATTGATCGCATTTGGGATGGTTCCATGTTTTTGCAGTTGCAAATTGTGCTGCTATAAACATGCGTGTGCAAGTATCTTTTTCGTATGATGACTTCTTTTTCTCTGAGTAGATACCCAGTATTGAGATTGCTGGATCAAATGGTAGATCTACTTTTAGTTCTTCAGGGAATCTCCATGCTGTTTTCCATAGCGGCTATACTAGTTTACATTCCCACCAACAGTGTAAAAGTATTCCCTTTTCACTACATCCATGCCAACATCTATTATTTTTTGCTTTTTTGATTATGGCCATTCTTGCAGGAGTAAGGTGGTATCACATTGTGGTTTTGATTTGCATTTCCCTGCTCATTAGTGAAGTTGACCATTCTTTCATATGTTTGTTGGCCATTTGTGTATCTTCTTATAATTGTCTATTCATGTTCTTAACCCTTTTCTTTCTTTTCTTGTTTTATGTTTCATTTTATTTTACTTTAAGTTCCAGGATACTTGTGCAGAACATGCAGGTTTGTTACACAGGTGTACATGTGCCGTGGTGCTTTGCCGCACCTATTGACCCATCCTCTAAGTTTCCTCCCCTTGCCTCCCACCCCCTAAGAGGCACTGGTGTGTGTTGTTCCCCTCCCTGTGTCCATGTGTTCTCATTGTTCAGCTCTCACTTATGAGTGAAAACATATGTTAAACCACCTTTTCATGGGATTGTTTGGTTTGTTCTTGCTGATTTGTTTGAGTTCCTTGTATATTCTGTATATTAGTCCTTTCTCAGATCCATAGTTTGTGAAGATTATCTCCCAGTCTGTGGGTTATCTGTTTACTTTGCTGATTATTTCTTTTCTTGTGCAGAAGCTTTTTAGTTTAATTAAGTCCCATCTATTTATCTTTGTTTTTGTTGCATTTGCCTTTGGGTTCTTGTTCATGAAGTCTTTGCCTAAGCCAATGTCTAGAAGGGTTTTTCCAATGTTATCTTCTAGAATTTTTATGGTTTTAGGTTTCAGATTTCAGCCTTTGATCCATGTTGAGTTGATTGTTGTATAAGGTGAAAGATGAGGATCCAGTTTCATTCTCCTACATGCGGCTAGCCAATTATCCCAGCACCATTTGTTAAATAAGCTGTCCTTTCCCCGACTTTGTTTTTGTTTGTATTGTTAAAGATAAGTTGGCTGTTAAGTATCTGGCTTTATTTCTGGTTCTCTATTCTGTTCCATTGGTTTGTGTGCCTATTTTTAGTACCAGTACAATGCTGCTTTGGTGACTATGGCCTTACAGTATGGTTTGAAGTCAGGTAATGTGATGCCTCCAGATTTGTTCTTTTTGCTTAGTTTTGCATTGGCTACATGAGCTCTTTTTTGGTTCCATATAAATTTTAGGATTATTTTTTCTAGTTCTGTGAAGAATGATCGTGGTATTTTGATTGGAATTGCATTGAATTTGTAGATTGCTTTTGGCAGCATGATCATTTTCACAATATTGATTCTACCCATCCATGAGCATGGGATGCATTTTAATTTGTTTGTGTTGTCTATGATTTCTTTCATCAATGTGTTTTGTAGCTTTCCTTGTAGAGGTCTTTCACCTCCTTGATTAGGTATAGTCTTAAGGTTTTTTGTTTTGTTTTGTTTTCTGTTTTTGTTTTTATTTTCTGCAGCTGTTGTTAAAGAGGTTGTGTTCTTGATTTGATTCTCAGCTTGGTCGCTGTTGGTGTATAGCAGGACTACTGATTTGTGTACATTAATTTTGTATTTTGAAACTTTACTGAATTCATTTATCAGTTCCAGGAGCTTTTTAGATGCGTCTTTAGGGTTTTATAAGAATAGGATGATATCATCAGTGAACAGCAACAGTTTGACTCCCTCTTTGCTGATTTGGATGCTCTTTCTTTCTTTCTCTTGTCTGATTGCTTTGCGTAGGACTTCCAGTACTATGTTGAATGTAAGTGGTAAAAGTGGGCATCCTTGTCTTGTTCCAGTTCTCAGGGGAATGCTTTCAACTTTCCCCGTTCAATATAATGTTGGCGGTGGATTTGTCATAGATGGCTTTTATTACCTTAAGATATGTCCCTTCTAGGCCAGTTTTACTGAGGGTTTTAATCATAAAGGGATGTTGGATTTTGTCAAATGCTTTTTCTGAGTCTATTAAGATGTTCATGTGATTTTTGTTTTTAATTCTGTTTATGTGGTGTATCATATTTATTGACTTGCATATGTTAAACCATCTGTCCATCTCTGGTATGAAACCCACTTGATCATGGTGGATTATCTTTTTTGTATGTTATTGGATTCAGTTAACTAGTATTTTGTTGAGGATTCTTGTATGTATGTTCATCAGGGATATTAGTCTGTAGTTTTCTTTTCTGTTATGTCCTTTCCTGGTTTTGGTGTTACGGTGATAATGATTTATCATTATTATAGAATGATTTAGGGAGGATTCCCTCTTTCTCTATCTCGTGGAATAGTGTCAAAAGGACTGGTGCAAATTCTTCTTTGAATGTCTGATAGAATTCAGCTGTGAAACCATCTGGTCCTGGACTTTTTTTTTTGTGGCATTTTTTAAATTACCATTTTAATCTTGCTGCTTGCTACTGGTCTGTTCAGAGTTTTTATTTCTTCCTGGTTTAATCTAGGAGGGCTGTATATTTCCAGGAATTTATGTATCTCCCCTAGGTTTCCTAGTTTGTGCAATTAGAGGTGTCCATAGTAGGCTTGAATGATGTTTTGTATTTTTGTGGTATTGTTTGTAATATCTTCCATTTCTTTTCTAATGCAGCTTATTTGGATCTTGTCTCTTCTATTCTTGATTAATTTCACTAATGTTCTACCCATTTTATTTATCTTTTCAAAAAACATCTTTTGTTTAATTTAATTTTTGTGTTTTTTTGTTTCAATTTCATTTACTTCTGCTTTGATCTTGGTTATTTCTTTTCTTCTGCTGGGTTTGGGTTTTAGTTTGTTCTTGTTCCTCTAGCTCCTCGAGGTGTGACCTTAGATTGTTTATTTGTGCTGTTTCAGACATTTTCATGTAGCCATTTAATGCCATGAACTTTTCTCTTAGTACTGCCTTTGCTGTATCCCAGAGGTTTTGAGAGGTTGTGTCACTATTATCGTTCAGTTCAAATAATTTTTTAATTTTGATCTTGAATTTATTATTGATCCAACGATTATTCAGGAGCAGGTTATTTAATTTTCATGTATTTGCATGGTTTTGAGGGTTCCTTTTGGAGTTGATTTCAAATTTTTTCCACTGTGGTCTGAGAAAGTATTTGATATAATTTTGATTTTCTTTAATTTGTTGAGACCTGTTTTGTGGCCTATTATATGGTTTATCTTGGAGAATGTTCCATATGCTGATGAAAAGACTGTATGTTCTGCAGTTGTTAAGTAGAACATTCTGTAAATATCTGTTAAGTTAATTTGTTCTAGGGTATAGTTTAAGTCCATTGTTTTTTGTTGACTTTCTGTCTTGATGACCTCTCTAGTGCTGTCAGTGGAGTACTGAAGTCCCCCACTATTATTGTGTTGCTGTCTATCTCATTTGTTAGGTATAGTAGTAATTGTTTCATAAATTTGGGAGCTCCAGTGTTAAGTGCATACATATTTAGGATTGTGATATTTTCCTGTTAGACTAGTGATTATATAATGACTTTTATCAGTACATAATATCTTTCTTTGTCTTTTTTAACTGTTATTGCTTTAAAGTTTTTTTTTTCTGATGTAAGAATAGCTACTCCTGCTCACTTTTGGTGTCCATTTGCATGGAATAACATTTTCCGCCCCTTTACCTTAAATTTATGTAAGTCCTTATGTGTTAGGTGAGTCTCTTGAAGAAAGAAGATACTTGGTTAGTGAATTTGTATCTATTCTGCCATTCTGCATCCTTTAAGTGGAGCATTTAGGCCATTTATATTCAACATTAGTATTGAGATGTGACGTACTATTCTATTCATTGTGCTATTTTTTGCCCAAATACCTTGGTTTTCATTGTGTTTTTGTTTTATAGGTCCTGTGAGATTTATGCTTTAAGGAGATTCTATTTTGGTGTATTTCAAGGATTTATTTCAAGATTTAGAGCTCCTTTTAACAGTTCTTATAGTGCTGGGGTGGTAGTGTCAAATTCTCTCAGCATTTGCTTGTCTGAAAAACATTGTATCTTTCCTTCATTTATGAAGCTTAGTTTCACTGGATACAAAATTCATGGCTGTTTATCGTTTTGTTGTTTAAGGAAGCTAAAGATAGGGCACAAATCCTTTCCAGCTTGTAAGGTTTCTGCTGAGAAGTCTGCTGTTAATCTGATAGGTTTTCCTTTATATGTTACCTGATGCAGATTTTTTCCTTCATCTTGACTTTAGATAACCTGATGACTACGTGCATAGGTTATTAACTTTTTGCAATGAACTTCCCAGGTGTTCTTTGAGCTTCTTCTATTTGGATGTCCAGGTCTCTAGCAAGGCTGGAGAACTTTTATTATTCCCTCAAATATGTTTTCCAAACATTTACATTTCTCTTCTTCCTCAGGAACACCAATCATTCTTAGGTTTGGTCATTTAACATAATCCCAAACTTCCTGGAGGCTTTGTTCATTTTTTTCTTTGCCTTTGTCAGATTGGGTTAATTCAAAAGACTTGTCTTCAAGCTCTGAAATTCTTTCTTCTACTTCTTTGATTCTATTGTTGAGACTTTCCAGTGTATATTGCATTTCTCTAAGTGTGTCCTTCATTTCCAGAAGTTGTGTTTGATTTTTATTTATGCTATCTATTTCTCTGGAGATTTTTCCATCCATATCCTGTAACATTTTTTAATTTAAGTTGATATTCACCTTTCAGCAGTTTAATAATCAACCTTCTGAATTCTTTTTCTGGCAATTCAGAGATTACTTCTTGGTTTGGATCCATTGCTGGTGAGCTATGTGGTCTTTCAGGGATGTTAAAGAACCTAGTTTCGTCGTATTACCAGAATTGTTTTTCTGGTTCCTTCTCACTTGGGTAGACCTATGTGAGAGGGAAGATTTGGGGCTTAAAGGCTACTGTTCAGATTATTTTGTTCCATGGGTTGCTCCCTTCATGTGGTGCTCTCCCCTTCCCCTAGGAATGGGGCTTCCTGAGAGCCAAACTGCAGTGATTGTTATTTCTCTGCTGAGTTTCACCAGCCAGTAGAGCTACCAGGCTCTCGGCTGGTACTGGGGAGTGTCTGCAAAGAGTCCTGTGATGTGATCTGTCTTCATGTCTCTCAGCCATGGATACTAGCACCTGCTCCAGTAGAGGTAGCAGAGGAGTGAATTGGACTTTGTGAGGGTCCTTGGTTATAGTTTTGTTTAGTGTGTTGGTTTTGTGTTGTTTGGCCTCCAGCTAGGAGGTGGCACTTTCAGGAGAGCATCAGCTGCAATAGTATAGGGAGGACACAAGATTGCCCTAGGGTTGCCTGGATAAATATTTGGGTTTCTCAGTTGGTGGGCAGGGCCATAGAGCCCCCAAGAGATTACGTCCTTTGTCTTTGGCTACCAAGGTAGATAGGGAAAGACCCTAAGGTGGGGGCAGGTTTAGAGGTGTCTGAGCTCAGACTTTCCTTGGGTGGGGCTTGCTGTGGCTGCTGTAGGGGATGGAGGTATGGCTCTCAGACCTATGGAGTTATGTTTTCAGGGGGATTATGACACCCTCGCTGTGTCATACAGGTTGCCAGGGAAGTGGGGAAAAGCTGGCAGTGATAGGCCTCACCCAGCTCCCACACAGCCAAAAGGCTGGTCTCATTCCCACCATTCCCACCCCTCCCCCCCCGCCCCCGCAATAGCACTGATTTTATTTCCAGGCAGCAGATGAGCAGGGCTGAGAAGCTGAGAACTTGCCCTAGGCTCTAAGCCTCCCCACTGAGAAAGCAAGCAGGGCTTTCAGGAATCCTGCCCACCACCTGCTGTGGCTTCTGTGCTCATATCTGCACTCCCCTTTCACCCCCTCCCCTAGATTCTATCCAGGAAACTTCACATTAGATCGAAATTATTACAAAGTTCAGATGGAAGTTTCCTTCTCCCTGTGGTCTTTCCCCAAACCACTGGCAGCTCTCTCCAAGGACCCCTGTGAGACAAAGTCAAAAATGGCTTCCCTTTGGACCCAGAGTGCCCACAGGGCTCTTCCCACTGCTTCTTCTAGCCATGTATTTCACTTGGCTAATTGTATCCTCACATCATTCTGACAAGTTGGTTACAACAAGAAATAATGTTATCTCATTCTTAAGAAGAGAAGAATAAAACATAGAAACATTGAGTTGCCCATGATCATATAACTTGTCAGTCTGTGTTTTCTGACGCCACATACCATGTGTCTGCCACCAGATTATAATGTCTTTGTTCACAGATTAAATGTGCTCCCTCTCAGCTTTGGAAAACTTTACACACTTGAATCAAAGCCATTTTCATGCTTCCAAGATATATTTTAATTTTCATAGGTCATGTCTTTTCTTGACCAAATCATACCCCGAGAAAGAAAAATACTTTTATTCTTGACTTTCTGGAAGTTTTGATGGCCTTCTGGAGTCATATAACCTTGACAGAGTTGGCAAAGGAATTCAAAGCATTCATTTGAAATATGGGCAGAAAAGCATCTTACAAAATCAGTTTTACTAAGACAGAACTGTTAACCTGAACTTTAATGCCTTAGGCAAGCGTTATAAAACAACATCAAAGGGTAGAAACAACTTTCAAATTATGTTTTCTCTTTGAAGTATAAATTGGAAAAACAAACTTTGAGAAACTTATGTAAAGAGGGGAAGTGTTTTAAGAAATGGCCTGGGAAAATGTACCAAATAAATATATAAACATAAATGAATTCTAGTAGTGTGTTTCAGTGTATTTGATATACAAATAATTTATATATTACAGAAGTTACGTCATCACGCCCAAAAGTCCTTTTTCACTTTCTACCTCCTTAGTGTTCCTCACCAGTGACATTCTCTTTGTTCTTACTACTATTAACCCAGTTTTAGAAGCTTATTATTTCTTCCCTGAATGCAATTGAAATGTTCAATTCAGGCTGGGCACTTTGGGAGGCCGAGGTAGGCAGATCACTTGAAGCCAAGAATTTGAGACCAGCCTAGGCAACATAGTGAAACCCTCATCTCTACTAAAAATATAAAAATTAGTCAGGTGCAGTGATGCACTCCTGTAATTCCAGCTACTTGGGGAGCTGAGGCATGAGAATCATTTGAACCCAGAAAGCAGAGGTTGCATTGAGCTGAGATTGCACCAGTGTACTCCAGCCTGGGAGCCTTTATGACAGAGTGAGACTCTGTATCAAAAGAAAAGAAAAGAAAGAAACATTTAATTCAAAATATTTTTACCAATGCCCATTTTATTCATGGCTCAATGGTGGTCCTTTGAGAGATACAGACAAGAATATGTCTGTATGGCTATTGCTTTAAAGAAATTCACAGACTACAACAAGACATACACAGATACAACTACTGATGGCATAAATTGGGTTTGGTTGGGGCTAAAATAAAAATATAACTAATGGGAGAATGGTAGAGAGAAGACTATTCTGGCTGAGATATGGGAAAACTTCACACAGGTTTGAATTGGAACTTACCTATTACAATAGTCTACAAATGGGTTTCACTTGTCAGCATATATCACCTCACCAAATTATACATTATAGTACTACCAGAAATAACTTTCTAAAACTAAAATCCATATATGCCACCTCATATTCTCAAATCTTTTTACATCTTTCTATAGCCTTCAATGCAAAAATTAAAAGGAAAGTGCACAGCATGGAATTGGGTTTCCACCTACCATATTGGGCTCATCTAAGTTTAAACATTGTTCGCAGCTCCCAGCTCTATTTATCACTGGGAATTGCCCCTAGTTGCAGAAAACTGTCTTCCCCAAGGTTATAACCTTTCCAAGGAATTTCCCATTGCCAATGACTAACAGATGCACAGATATAAAGACACGGCCAAATTACCTCAATTCAGTGCACCTCTGAAAGGTCTTCCTAGCTCAAGAGCTTCTGAGGATTGACCAACTCCTCAGAGCACCTGTGCCACAGGTCAATTTCTCTTTCTTTCAAAAGTCTTATCCTATAAATCTTCTGCATCAACTTTTCTTATCAGAATCTGGTCCCAAGGAACTCCATCCAAGATGCAAAGAGCCAGTGATTACACCCAACACACATCATGGCCATCAGGCTCTAGAGTCAGACTGCCTGTCCACAAATCCTTTCTCAATCACTTTGTTCAGAATTAACTGCTTCTTTTGTACACATTGTGCTCCTTTTGTTTTAGCATGTATTTATCTCACTTACATTACTGTGAGTTGGTAATGTATCTTCCTGCCTTGTGGTTATACCCTATTTTGAATTTTTTACGTTCTCGACCCAATAATACTTAGTAAAGTATATGATACTTCATCTCTCAACAAAAATTATGGGACTCAGTGAATAAACGTCATACATAACTTTAAGAAAATTTTTAAAACTGCTAGAAGTAAATGTTACCCCAGATTCCCCGTGCTTTGTCCTTTTTGCCTCTTTCTGGTTGTCTCTTACACCTCCTTGTGGGTACCGGATGTCTTCCTGGTTCCATTTATTGCCTTCGATGTTGAAGTTTACTCTCAAGATACCGCCTAAACTTCTTACAAGGTATAGAAGGCTCCTCAAGACCTGGAAAAGCCTTAGAAAATGCTTTTCCTGGCTTAACACTTTTTAATTTTTTAATTTTTATTTTTATTTTTATTTTATTTTTTGAGATGGAGTCTCCCTCTGTCGCCCAGGCTGGAGTGCAGTGGTGCGATCTCGGCTCGGATCTGCAAACTCCGCCTCCTGGGTTCATGCCATTCTCCTGCCTCAGCCTCCAGAATAGCTGGGACTACAGGCGCCCGCCACCACCACGCACGACTAATTTTTTGTATTTTTAGTAGAGACGGGGTTTCACCTCTGGCTTAACACTCTTTAATCCTACAATCAATCTATCCACGTAGGACGATTCTATATGTGCTAAATTCCTGCCTCTGTACATTAGCTCACACTGTTTCCTCAATCTGGAATCCTCCTCTCCTGAATACTACCAGTCCTTCATGAAGAACTGACCTCAGATGACAGGTCTTTCAGAAAACTATCTCTGAAAATACCAAAGAGAGTAATTTTTCCTCTACATTCTCATATCACTCTGTGACATTCAACATAACATATAATAAGTCACTCACCAAGCATTTGTAAAATGTTGCCCATATTTATATAGCATGTAATAAAACAACGTATGGAAATACATGATTAGAAAATAGGATGATGGCTTCATTTTTTATGTCCTTTTGTAATGTCCTACCTACACCTTTTTTGTGAGTTTATCATAATACTTAGTCATTGCTTATTTTCTGGTGCTCTTCTTCATTAAGTTATCAGCACCTTTACTCAGGGTTTTCTATCTCTGGTTCTTACATGTCTGGCCCATAGTGAAGGCTCTTTAATTCTTGGTAAATGTCTGTCATTCCCACCAAGCTGTGAGGTCACAAAATGTCTCTGCCTTCTTCATGTCTCTATCCCCAGAATCTCCCATAGTGTTCAGAATATGAGAGATGCATAAAACATTTTTGTTCAATGAATGAATAAATCATAGCGTTTGTCAAATATTATCTGTATTATAGATATCATTGCATTCAGTTTCTTCTACTAGGTGGAAAGCTACTGATATTCAGGGATTGTGACTTATCCTTCTTTACATTTTCTGCCCCAAATACCATGTTATAGACTTTTAATGTAGAAGTGATCAAATGAAGAGAGGTGGTTGACCATATGAAGTAAATAAATGTCCAAATGGTTACAGAATAGTCTTCAACAGAAAGAATTAAACTCAGGTAACATATTTTCTGACTTCAGCAAACTAATTGTTTTGAGAAGAGAAAAAAAATTTTAAACTATACCACTTAGTCCTACACAAAACATTTATTGGTAACCAAAATGAACTTCTGAAATGAAAGGACTTACAATGCTTATTAATGGCGTTTCACAATCATACCAAATGGAATTGGCAAGAAAAGAAAAATAGAGAAGAATCACACAATTCATGCTATAATGAAAATCACATTTTTCATTCTTTAATTACTTGATGGTTGTTTATTACTTAAGAGCTCCAATTTCTGGTAAAACTGCAAAGAAGAGATGAGTCTTCCCATTTTAGTGGTCTTTTTCTCTCTATTGTCCCAAACGTTTTTCTAATGAGACATCCCAAGCACATATCACCTCAAACTTCTTCAGACTACAAAATACAACCACGTATGGTTGTATCTGCACAGCACAGAAAGAACAAAACAACCAGCCAAAAAATCAGTAATTCAAGGAAAAGCAAAACTCTCACTTACTACAAAATAGAGATAACAATCAATTCATAATGTATTGTTTTTCTCATGACTTTTTTTTACAATGTGAGAAGCCAATTTTATTAGCTCCTTCATTTTAAAAAGGAAGTTCCTCAGAGTGGAAGACCAAACATCTTATGTTCTCACTCATAAGTGGGAGATAAGCTATGAAAATGCAAAGGCATAAAAATGATATAATGAACTTTGGGGACTTGTGGGGAAAGGGTGGGATGGGGGCGAGGGATAAAAGGCGACAAATTGGGTTCAGTGTATACTGCCCAGGTAATGGGTGCACCAAAATCTCACCAGTCACCACTAAAGAACTTATCATGTAACCAAATACCACCTGTTCCCCAAAAACCTATGGTAACAAAAAATTAAAAACAAATAAAAATAAAATTTCATGTTAGAAAAAAGCAAGTTCCAAACGTGTACTTAGCTTTGCTACAGAATGTTGTCCATATTTGTGCAGCATCTAATAAGTTAAAGAAGAAAAACCAATGACCATAAATCACTGCAATAAGTACACATTCTCTTGGTCCCTCTTCAGTTCTTTAATATCCATGTATAGCTCGTGTATACTAGTGTTATCATTGTGCTTATAAACATTTATTTTCAGATATATCTTTTACATTAAATGATTAGTTCTTTAAGACAGAAACTGTCTTCTATATCTGTATCCTAAGTGCCTAGTCTGTGGTAATAACTGTCAGCTTAATAAGTTAAGTAATGAAATAATGGTTTGTTGTACAATATATACAAAAGTAATATATTTGGATCATGAATACTGTTCTTGTTTAGCAATTTAAACCATTTTAATTCTACTAAATCTAAACACTCCCAGGCCACATATTAATTTACCAGTGTTAAAATGCTATCTCATTCTGTTATAAGATTGCATAAACATAAGGCAAAGAAGTGTAAACATATGAGGACTACTCACATAAAGACAGTACGCAGCCCAAAGTATGTTCTCTCTTGTAAGCAGTGATCAGCCTTTTTGAAGAGCCCTCATTATCAAATGAAGCCAAAATTTTTAACAGCTTTAATGAGGCACAATTGATATACAAAGACCTGCACACATTTGATGTGTATAATTTGATGAGTTTAGACATATGCAAACACCAGTGATAACACCACCACAATCAAGGTAATAAACATACCCAACACTCCCAAAGTTTCTTTGTGTCCCATTTTTGTGATAAGAATACTTAACATAAAATCTACCCAGTTAATAAATTTTGAACTGTACAATGCATTATTATTAACTATAAGTATTATGTTATACAGCAGATCTCTATAACTTCTTTATCTAGCGCAAGTAAAGCTTTACATCCATTGAACAAGTCCCTATTTCCCTCACCCCCAACCCCTGGCAACTGCATTGTATTCTCTGCCTCTGTAAGTTTTACTATTATAGATATCTCATGTAAGCAGAATCAGGCAGTATATTCACCCCTCTGCGCCTGGCTTATTCTACTTAGTATAATGTTCTCCAGTTGTCACAGATGGCAGGATTCCCTTCTTTTATGGCTAAATAATTCCATTGTATGTATATACCACATTTTCTTTATCTATTCATCTGTCACTGGACACTTGGGTTGTTTACATATCTTGGCTACTGTGAATAATGCTGCAATGAGCATCAGTGTGCAAATGTCTCTCTGAGATCCTCATTTTAATTATTTTGGATATATGCCCAGATTTGGAATTGCTGGATCATATGGTAGTTCCTTTTAAATTTTTTTGAGTAACCTCCATACTGTTTTCCATAACTGCTAGACCATTTTACATTCCCACCAATGGTGTACAAGTGTTCTAATTCTTCGAAGTCCCCACCAACACTTATATTTTGGATTTTTGATATTAGCCATTCTAACAGGTGTGAGGTGATAAATTCTCATAGTTTTGATTGCATTGCCCTGACAATTAATGATGTTGAACATCTTTTCATACACTTGCTGGCCATTTGTATGTCTTCTTTGGATTAATATCTGCTCAAGTTCTTCTTTTTAAAAGCCAGATGAGCCTATACCATTTTTAGCTGTGATACAGGATATGTATGGCCCCTTACAAGTCAGAACTATAGTATCTGTCTCTGAACTTCAAAGTCTTTTAAAAGGGATTCTGCAAATGAGAACAAACAGATTATCAAAAACCTATCTTTTAATGGGTTTTGCAATGTTTGCACCTACTTTTCAATATCAACTGCCTCTCCTGTTTAATTGACATAAATGGTAAGTCCAGTGAAGGCAAAAGACCAGGACAGGAGTGGTGATTAGACAGGTCTGAGGCCACAGGACTTGCCTTGTTTACAGAATAATCTATGGACTCTCGAAGCAATATACATATATGCCTTACTTAACCTTCAAAACGGCTTGATGACATAGGGCACTAATATCATTTTACAGATAACAAACTGAAGAATAGATTCAAGAAACTTACCCAAGGTGACACAACTAGTAAGCAGCAGATCTCATTCAAGTGCTGACAGGCTGCAATTGCTGGTTTTCTAATCTCTTTTTCTGTATTTTGGGGCATGGTAGAATGTCTGGCATATAGCTGGCACTCAGTAAATGCAGAATAGATGGATGACCAATACTGATGCTAGAAGGTTCTACAAATCAAGCTCTCTATCAATCAAGTTGAACAAAATAAGACTTTTGACTCATAATAATATTATTTTGACTCAAAAAAATTGTAAGTCAGTCAGAGGCAGGTCCTGTTTCCCTAGGCAGAGAAAGAGTCGATGTCAAGAATAAGGTAGTGAGGATCAGAATTAGACTAGGGAGACCATGAAATAAAAAGTTAAAGGGATCTACAAGGAGATGGAAATATAAAATTCAGCTTTGAGAAAGCTGTAGTCAAAATATGGGCAACAGAACCAGGAAAAAGTTCCAGTAAGGACAGTAGAAGTTGAATTTTTTTTGAAGAAAAAAAAAAAATCTCCAGAGATTTAATTTCCTTATAAACTTCTGTCGAGAATCATTTTTCTCCTCAAAGTATAAGCAGAGCAGTTATCATGGATATAATAAAGAACTGAGAGAGCAAGGAAATAGGTGTCTGACATCAACTCTCATCACCTAGATGATCTTAAAAAGCTGCTTTTGAAAGTCTCTAAAAAATAAATTTTTAAACGATTTAAAATTTGGCAGGACTCATCTGTCCACTTGGAAACTAGTATATTTTATGTATGGGAGCTGGATAATGTATTTTTATTATTCTTCTAAAGTCAATGGTTACAAAGTTTGTTTGACTTTGATTACATCCTGTACACTCAGTCTTGGTCATTCACATAAAATAATGTGATACATTTTTTGTTTCCTTATTATGCATGACTAATTTTTCTGTGCTAGCTCTTCTGATCCATAGGCAATTATTATGCCTAAAGTCTTTCTGTGTAAACACCTTATGGTATATGTTTTTCACACTGGACGGAAATTATACAAGTGGAAGACTATGACAAAGAATTGAAAAGTTATGTGACCCAAACCAAACGCTACAGAAGTGTATAAATTTCCAGAATGGAAGCAAAAGATAAATGCCAGATTCCAACCACACATGGTTGTGAACATTTTCAAAGGAAAATTACAAGAAGCCAAAATTCTACTGTTTCCTTTGTAGTTGTTTGAAAATAAAGCAACCAGCTGCGATCCCTTTATTTTCACATCTGAAAGTATGTAGCAGTGTGGCAAATGGTTTTCTCAAATGAATAAATAATATTCTTTTTGGAATCATTGAATCAAGATTTTGAAGAGTTTCTAGGAGGATATCATCTTTTTTCAAGTGAAATTATATCTTAGCCATATTAGAAGAAAGAAATTATTTTAAAAGACATCCAGAAATGTCTAAACTGCTCTTTAGTGTATCTTATAAATGCTTCCAGAATGATAGTTGCAACTTCTTGCATGTCAAATATCAGATATTATATTAAAACTTTCACATAACTGTTTAAAGATCATCACAACAGTATCTCAGAGATGACATAATCCTCATTTTACAGGCAAAGATTATGAGTCTCAGATAATCTAAGCAAGTTGCTGAAAGCTGACAATCATTGGGGCTAGAGTTCAGAATCAGATTTGTCTCGCTGTAAAGTCTGAGCTCTTCCCACCACACCTCCATTGTCATTCATTAGACCACAAATTCATCATGCACATTTTAGATTATTCCCTCCAATCCATTGTCAGCATAGCTGGAGAAAATGTTTTGTTTTATTTGTCACTGTCTAGATTATCTGCTGACTTAATCTCACTTGAACACACCTTTACTCTAAAGTATATGTAAATCAAGGAAATCTATTGATTTCTACCACCTTAGTGATGGTTCTTAACCCAAACTAATAATGTGAAACCAGGTTGAAGGTTGCAAGTCAACAAAAAACAATGAAAGTCTTTTCTATTTACTCTAAGTGCTTCTTTTTGACTTTCTATTTTGACTTTATAACATATAATATTCAGGGGGACTTTTTGGTGGATTCGATTATTGTTCTCATTTATTCACTTACTCATGTGATCTTGCAATGTGTTAGAATGGGAAAAGAATATACTTTACACATATATATTGTTTTCTTCCCCTTCCCTCTCCTCTTCTCCTCCCCCTCTAAATGTTGACATTTGCTATATGACTTGATTTAGCGAACGGAACGTTAGTAGATATGACTAAAGTAAAGGCCATACATATGTTTGCGTAGTTTGGTTTGGCTTTTTGCATGCCTATGATATTCCAAAAAAACGATATGCCCAAGGTAGCCTCTGATCCCAGAAGAATATGGAGGCTTGTAGAGCCCAGACCAGCAGATCTACACACAAATCAGTGACAAAACCAAATGCTTGCCATTGTAAGCCACTGAGTTTGAATGCTTTTACACAGCATTATTGAGGCAGTGCTTAACTAATGTATTCATGGTGTGGTCTAACTGCTTACATAGCTCAAGGACACCGGGACCTCTGAACAAGCTACCAGTAGTCCCATTTCCATAAGGACTTGTGGAATAAAAATTTTAAGGGATTTGGGAATAACTGATTTTCTGGTGCCAGACAAAGCAAGAGAAATGAAGGCCTGCACATTTCCATAAAGGAATGGGAGGTGCTAGTTTAGAAGGTACCACCAGGACATCTTGAGGTAGGAGTGAATTGTCACATACTGAAGTTCCGTGGTCATAGCAGGGTCATCAAAATAAAACAAGGGCCACCTAAGATCTCTCTAAGAGGAGAGCTAGAACCAGCCACAAGTTATGCTAGAAATAGCTTATACCAGCCACAATCGGAGTCCTATAATTATCTAGGTAAAGATAAAATTGATTATCACTGTGATTGTAACACAGCCCTTAGGTGTTTTCTCTGGGGAGAGAAGGAATAAAAACAGAACATAAAAATAAACGTTAAGATACAAAGAATGGCACCAGTATTATCTTTAAATCAAAAGGAACATTACAGATTCATATTCTACTTCCATGGATGGTTAAAATGAATCAAGGAAAGTAGGCAAGTTGTCCAAATATGCCCAGGATGCCAACAGCAAAGGTAGATTAAGAACCTAGTCATCTGAATATGCAGTGTAATTCTCCTGTTGCTACTTACAAGTAAGCAGATGGTGTTTTATTTCAAGAACCTCACATCTGTATTATATAGTTTACAGCTTGTGTTCAGGTTATGTTAGTGACTTCCATTTCCAACTAATATTTCTGAAATTCAGGGATACAGAGTGACTTAATGAAAATATCAGTCATCCTCAAAATCATTATTTTGCTAAATTCTTCATTCCCAATTCTTTCTTAAAGAACTATTATCCTGAAAAACAAATACAATTTTTCAGTTTTATTTTGCAACATTAGATATCTACATAAAATATGTATATAACATACATACATATTGTGATGCATAATAGCAAAACACCTGGCAACTCACTCTCAAGCCTTCTATGTAACCACTGTTCTGGTTTTGTTATTTATCATGCCTTATTATTTACACTTTTATTGCATGTGCATATGTATATCTGAACACAATATTGCATGGCTTTGAACTTTATAAAAGTGATATCATACTGTATACAGACTTCTAAAACTCCCTTTTATTTCTCAGATTCAATCATATTCTGTGTTTGTGGTTCATTCATTTTCATTGTTATTTTACTGTGTGAATGAACCATAATTTCAAAATGTATTCTTCTGTGTATAAATAATTGGTTTGTTTCCAGTTTTTTTCTGTAACAATCCTTCTACTAAAAAATCTTGTATACATCTCTTGGTGAACATGAACAAGAGTTTCTCGGGTGTATATATCAAGAAGTGGATTTGCAGGGTTGTAGCTCATGCAGAAAAGCATGTTCCTAGTGGTTGCACCATATAGTTTCCCACAGCAACATTGGAGCACTCAAAACACTTGGCATTCTCCAGTTTCTTCGTTTTTGGCAACTTGTGTGTGTTAAGCTGTATCTCATGCAGCTTTTATTTGCATTTTCCTGATTTATAATAAGATCCAGCATCTTTTCACAGGTAAGTTTTTCTGTTGTATATGTTTTTCTGTTTATGTTTTCCCTTTGTTGAAATGTCTGTTCATATCTTTTGACCATTTTATTATTAGTATTTTGTTAATTTTTAGTAATCTGTAATATTTCTTTATATGTTATTGATACAAATTCTTTTTCAGTTATATATCTCAGAAATATACTTTTCAGGTTTTAACGTTTTAGTCTTTGTGATGTCATCTGATAAAAAGAGTTAATAATTTCAAAGCAGTAAATCAATCTTTCTTCTTGTATTTAGTGATTTTATGCCTCATTAAAAACTTTTCTATATCCTGAACTCATTAAGGTAGTCACCCTTATACTATCCTCTAAATACTTTAAAATTTGCCTTTCCCATTTAAATTTTTCAACTGCATTTTTTATATATTGTATGTATTTCAGGTGTACAACATGATGTTTTGATATGTACAATAAATGATCACCACAGTCAAGCAAATTAACATATCCATCATTTCACAAACACCCACCTGCTCATTTTAATATCTTTGGAAATGATGCTATGTGTATAGTATAGTCAATCCCCCTACATAGGTAACCAAATATCTCAGCACCATTTATTGAATAGTCATACATTTCCCCAGTGATCTGTAATTACATCTCTATCATATATCAAATTATCATGTACTTATGGGTCTGTTTCTGGTCTCTCTATACTGTTCCTATATTAGCCTGTTTTCTTCTGCTATAACAGAATACCACAAGCTAAGTAACTTATAAATAGAACAGAAGTTTATTTGACTCATGGTTCTGGAGCCTAGGAAATCCAAGAACATGATGAGTTATCCCATGGCAGAATATTATGTGAGAACATAAGACAGAGAGCAAACGGGGGCCAAACTTGTCCTTTTATCAGGAGCCCAATCCCAGGATAACTAACCCATTCCCAAGAGGTAATAGCATGAATTCATGAATTAGGGCAGAGCCTTAATCACCTCTCAAAAACCCCACCTCCCAATACCATTACATTGGCAATTAAATTTCAACACGAGTTTTGCAGGAGAAATTGAAACCATGGTAGTTGCATTTCTTGGTATTACTATCCCTGCTTTAATACCAGGCTCTCTTGATTATTTATTGCTTTAAAAATACCTTACTTTCTGACAGAGTAAATCTACCTTTTGTTATACTTTATTAGAAAGGTTTTGGCTCACCTGTAGACCCTCTTCATCTATATATATATTTTCCAATAAATACATCAAGTTTCTTAAAAATCTTAATTTTTTGCTGGAATTGCATTGTATTTAAAGATCAATTTGCAGAAAATTTATGCCTTGGTGACATTGTGTCTTTTTTTTATTATTATTATACTTTAAGTTTTAGGGTACATGTGCACAATGTGCAGGTTAGTTACATATGTATACATGTGCCATGCTGGTGCGCTGCGCCCACTAACTCGTCATCTAGTATTAGGTATATCTCCCAATGCTATCCCTCCCCCCTCCCCCCACCCCACAACAGTCCCCAGAGTGTGATGTTCCCCTTCCTGTGTCCATGTGTTCTCATTGTTCAATTCCCACCTGTGAGTGAGAATATGCGGTGTTTGGTTTTTTGTTCTTGCGATAGTTTACTGAGAATGATGATTTCCAATTTCATCCATGTCCCTACAAAGGACATGAACTCATCATTTTTTCTGGCTGCATAGTATTCCATGGTGTATATGTGCCACATTTTCTTAATCCAGTCTATCATTGTTGGACATTTGGGTTGGTTCCAAGTCTTTGCTATTGTGAATAATGCCGCAATAAACATACGTGTGCATGTGTCTGTATAACAGCATGATTTATAGTCCTTTGAGTATATACCCAGTAATGGGATGGCTGGATCAAATGGTATTTCTAGTTCTAGATCCCTGAGGAATTGCCACACTGACTTCCACAATGGTTGAACTAGTTTACAGTCCCACCAACAGTGTAAAAGTGTTCCTGTTTCTCCACATCCTCTCCAGCACCTGTTGTTTCCTGACTTTTTAATGATTGCCATTCTAACTGGTGTGAGATGGTGTCTCATTGTGGTTTTGATTTGCATTTCTCTGATGGCCAGTGATGGTGAGCATTTTTTCATGTGTTTTTTGGCTGCATAAATGTCTTCTTTTGAGAAGTGTCTGTTCATGTCCTTCACCCACTTTTTGATGGGGTTGTTTGTTTTTTTCTTGTAAATTTGTTTGAGTTCATTGTGACATTGTGTCTTTCTATCAATGAACATGATTTTATTTCTTCTTTGGTTTAGATGTCTTTAATATCTGTCTTAAAAGTTTATAACTGTCTCCACAAAAGCCTTAGGCATTCATTTTTAGGTTTATTCCTAGATGCATTTGTTAGTTTTATGAGCTTTATGATAAATAACATGTTTTTATAAATAGACTCTGGTAAAATGTAATTTACTTTTCTATATAGATTTTACCATATCTAAACAGCATTTTTAACTCCGTTACTAATTCTTATAGGTTGTCTGCAGATTCATTTGGGTTTTCCAAGTTGACAATAATATGATCCGTGAATAATGAATTATCCTTCTTTCTTCCAGTATCCATATATTTTACGTTTACCTCTTGTCTTGCTAGTAGAACCTACATTAAAACACTAAATAGAAGAGGTGATGGTGAATACTTTTGTCTTGTTCCTAATTCCACAGGGAACACTTCTACTATTTAGCTGTTAAGAATTGTAACCAGGCAGCTGGGCACGGTGGCTCATGCCTGTAATCCTAGCACTTTGGGAGGCCAAGATGGGTGGATCACTTGAGGTCAGGAGTTCAAAACCAGCCTGGCGAACATGGTGAAACCCCATCTCTACTAAAACAAAACAAAACAAAACAAAACAAAAAATTTAGCCGGGTGTGGTGGCAGATGAGTGTAATCCCAGCTACTTGGGAGGCTGAGGTAGAATTGCTTGAACCCAGGAGGTAGAGGTTGCAGTAAGCCGAGATCGTGACACTGCACTCAAGCCTGGGCAATAATAATAATAATAATAATAATAATAATAATAATAATAATAGTAAACAAGCCAAATGCCTATCAACCAATGAGTGAGTGGATAAAGAAAATGTGGTACATATACACCATGGACTACTACTTAGCCATAAAAAGGAATGAAATAATGGCACTCGTAGCCACCTGGATGGAGTTGGAGACCATTACTGTAAAAGAAATAACTCAGGAATGGAAAACCAAATATCATGTGTTGTCACTTATAAGTGGGAGCTAAGCTATGAGGACTCAAAGGCATAAGAGTGATATAATGGACTTCAGGGACTCAAGGGGAAAGGTAGGATAGAGGTGAGAGATAAAAGACTACTCACTGGGTACAGTATACACTGCTCAGGGGACAGGTGCACAAAAATCTCGGAAACCATCACTAAATAACTTATCCATGAACAAAAAACCACCTGTTCCCCAAAAACTATTGAAATAAAATACAATTTTGAAAAAGATTTGTATTTGACATCCATCATTGGTAGGTTTTGATAAAGATATTCTCTTCTATTCCAATTCTGATAAAAATTTTTATCATGGATGGAATGTTGAACTTTATGAAATATCTTCATGCATTGATTGAGGTAATCATATTTTTTCTCTTTCATGGTGAATGAAATTTATATAATTATTATTGTTTTAAAGCACATGTTTTTCCTGGGATAAACCTAACTTGTTCACTATGAATTATATGTTTTTAATACATAAATGATCAGACTTTCAACTATGAGATTGGAATGTATTCTTCATTCCCATACAGTTCTTTTTTATTATATTACTGTCATTTCTATTATATTAATGTTTGTTATATTATTGTCCTTGTGTTATATTTCTGTCTTCTATAACCATTCTATAACCACTTTTTTCCCTTTCTCATGCTCTCCTTTTCTTTACCTTTAGAATCAAGGTTATATAGACCTTATTAAATGACTTGGGAATTGTTATCATTCTTTCCTTTTTTTTTTTTTTTTTTTTTTTTTGAGACAAACTCTAGATCTTATCGCCCAGGCTGGAGTGCAATGGCACAATCTCAGCTCACCGCAACCTCCACCTCCCAAGTTCAAGCGATTCTCCTGTCTCCGCCTCCCAAGTAGCTGGGATTACAGGCGCCTGCCACTACACCCGGCTAATTTTTGTATTTATTTTTAGTAGAGACGGGGTTTCACCATGTTGGCTAGGCTGGTCTCGAACTCCTGACCTCAGGCGATCTGCCGGCCTTGGCCTCCCAAAGTGCTAGAATTACAGGCCTGAGCCACCACGTCCAGCCTGTTATCATTCTTTCTATTCTCTGGAAAAGTTTGTGAGAATTATTGTATCTTAATTGAATACTTAGTATAACTGGTATGTAAAGTCATCTGAGGCAGTTGTTTTCTCTGTGAAAATATTTTTTACTAGGTATTCAATTAATTACTGATTTTAGGGCAATTCAAATTATTATCTCTTCAGCCAACTTTTTATTTCCTCTTCTGTCAGTTTTGATATTGTATATTTTCTAGGAATTCATCTATTTTGTTAATACTCTCAAACATTTTCTATAAATTTGCCTGGAAAAAAATCTATCTTTTCAATTTCCGCTCTTTGTAGTTATGAGCTTTTTCAAGCTGTAATAATATTTGTAACTTCTTTCCTTTTTTCCTCAATCAGTCTCATCAGAGTTTTGTTCAAATTGTCTTTTAGAGAAACCACTTTTGCCCTTGCTAGTTTATAAATTTTTTTTACTATAGCCATTATTCTTTTGGGGTTTATTCTATTATTCTTCTTTATTTGCTAATTTAGATATCTGACTCATTCCATTTTTGCCTTCTTTTCAAATACTGGCAAATTCACACTATGTTGCTCCTAAAATACTGCTTTCACTGCATACTATACTATAAGTCTTGATATATGGTAACTTCATCATCATCCAGTTCTTCATAGTACCTTATATTTATTACTTCTGGTTTTTGACCTATGAATTATTTAGACATATGATTTTTAATTTCAGTTTTTGATATGTTAATTTTTGTTGCAATTTACTTCTAATCTAATTTCCCTGAGGTAGACTATGTGATACCAGTGTGATGTTGTTTGCATGACATCAGTTTCTGGAAGTTTGAGAGTTGCTTTATGGATTAATAATACATACATAATTAATTTTTTTAGATATTCTTTATGTGTTTGAGAACAAGATATGTTTTATAATAATGGATGATTTCATGCATATCTATTTATTTAAGCATATTAATTATGATGTTCAAGTTTTTTATAATTTACTGTCTTTTGTCTGACCTTTGAAAGG